>NC_000015.10:51401874-52026874 GCF_000001405.40 Homo sapiens
TCAGGGTTTGTCGACTGAATGAATCACAGGATATGTTAGTGAGCCCCATGGCCCAGCCCCTGCCTGGGGTCTGCATTTGTTGCTGGTCTGGACAGCCCGAGGAAGGTCAGAGCCAGGGAGAAGTAGACCTGGAGTGGTGACGGCCGCAGCTTCCCCATCCTCTGAGAGAGAAGCAGCCCGAACTCATAGCTCCCCCTGGTGGAACGTGCTGCTGCTCCCTGATAAAGTTTTGTTTTGGAAAACTTTGGGTGTGGGGAATTTCGTGTCACAGCTGAGATCATTGAAGACTGGGGAATGAACCCCTAGTCAAGCGTCTCTGCCTTCAGATCCGTCTGTCATCCTGATGGAGTCCTCCCAGGCCGCCCTCTGCTCTCCCATAGGGAAGGGAGGAGGGTCACCTGGGTAGACACTGCCCAAGGCAGCCGCTGAGCCTTCCCCACAAGAATTGCTGAAGTTCTGTCTTTAGGGTTCAAGAAGAGGAAATCAAGCTCTGGCCTTTGGAGGCAGAAGCAGGTCATCTTGGGCAAATCAAGAGAGCAATGAACCGAAAGCCAGGACACCTGGTTTCTGGCTCCAACTCTTGTGCCTCCTCTATGGCCTTGGACAAGAGACAGCACTTCCTGTGTCTCCCTGTCCTCAACTAAAAACAAAAAGATGGACTACAGCCTCTGAGTCCTTCTAGCTCTTCCACTATCTGAAACAGTAAACCCAGTATTATGAATGCCACAGTCCTACTCATTCAAAACAAGAGACAGTGACTTTGAGGGAGGACTGGGTCCCTTCCCTCTCCCTCATCCTTCTCCTACCCTTAGTGAGGTCCAGCTTTAACAACCTTTGGCATTTGAATGCTCAGGTTAGAATGGGGCGAGTTTCCTAGTGTAATATGCGATATGATCAGACACATCGGACACTGGCGTCAGCCGCGGCAGGAAGCATCCCCTCCTTTGCCTCTCACTCCCATCTACATGACACCCCCATCATCATCTCTACACCTCCCTGGCCACCCCATTTGGGCAGTCTTGTGCTAGTAGAAAAAGACAACTGACCTACCACCTGCTCAGTAGTCCCCCTCTCAAGACACACTCTTTCCTCCGATGCTTCTCACTGAATCTTGTGGTTCCCTGCTGCCATGTTATATAGGGCTATTGCCACACGGAGGTGGCGTGGGGGGCAGTTCTGCGGTGGATAACCCCCATAGTGAGAACTGGCCTCTTCAAGGAGGTGTATCTTCTAAGGAAGCTAAGTTTGGATGCAGTGGTTAGGAGGCTGTACTGCTCTATGCCGCGCCACGGACTGGGACCTGACGGAGAAGCAGAGCTGAATTCGACCCTGTAATTGCTGGGAGAGATGGGTCTCACCAAGGAATGCAGCTGTGAGGTGCCAGGACTAGACGGGGCCAAATGGCAGCAGTAAACCCCAGGTATTCAGAGGAAGGAGAACTCCTGTGTACTGAGATGTGCAGGGACCTTCCCAAGCCTCACTATTCTCTAGTTTCTTCACGGTTTCTTGATAGACTTCAAGTCTGTTATGCTCAAATGCATATCCACAGATGCACACAGTTCATGTTTCTTCTGCTGCTCAGTGGCACCCTCTGGTGTTTTCTTTTAGCCTAATGTTCCTGAATTTTCATTCCTGGAGTTACGTACCTTTTGAATTATAATTCACTTTTACAATACAGCCTAGAGTTGGAATCTGTCAAATCATACAGCCTCCAGGAGCTAAGGGGCATGAGATTCCATGCCATAGTTTAATGTATCCAGCCACTTACTTCACAAGAAAATGGTTTTCACAGTCATGACTTTGCAACAGCCCTTCTCACCTGCTGACTTTCTTCTTAACTTAGCAGGCTGTGAAACTCTTTTTTTAAAATTTCAGCAGGGAGTAAAGGAATAACCCCCACACTTAGAGTTAGAAACCCTAAGTTCAACCTCTGGCTCTGCCTCTTACTTGTCTTCATGGGCCAGTTGCTTCTCATTTTTTGCTTATAAAATGAAAAGATTGGACTAGATCCTCTTTTACAGCCCCCTTGCAGCTCTAAGAATCTTTGAGGGGGCATTTCAGGAGGTCAACAAACATCTGGGCATTAGTGAAGTGGGGGTCACATGGCTAGTAAGTGGTCACTCAGATGCAAATTCATTCTGACTTTGGTGATTATTCTGACACCACACCACTGTCTCCCTGTTGCCTCTGCTAGCACAGCCAGTCATTGTCTCTTACAGCCTCACTGCTCACAGCATTGCCCAAGGACCAGCAGAGCAGGCATTACCTGGGAGCTTGTAAGGAATGCAAAATCCCAGCCCTCACCCCAGACCCACTAACTCAGTTTAATAGAGGAGCCTAATAAACCACCTGTCCACAGAAACGGTGATTCATGTCTACTTTTCTTTGTTTGCATATTTCAGATTTGAATTTGGCCAGGAAACATCCCAAACTCTGAAGCTTGAAAATGCCTTGTATTTTGATCGAAAATACCTTTTTGCAAATTCCAAAACTTACTTCAATCTAGCTGTAGATGAAAAGGGCCTTTGGATTATCTATGCGTCAAGTGTGGACGGCTCGAGCATTCTTGTAGCACAACTGGATGAGAGGACATTCTCAGTGGTGCAACACGTCAATACCACGTACCCTAAATCCAAGGCTGGCAACGCCTTCATTGCCCGAGGAATCCTCTATGTCACAGACACCAAAGATATGAGGGTCACATTTGCCTTTGATTTGTTAGGAGGGAAACAGATCAATGCAAACTTTGATTTAAGAACTTCCCAGTCTGTTCTTGCCATGTTAGCATACAACATGAGAGATCAGCATTTATATTCATGGGAAGATGGCCATTTAATGCTTTATCCTGTGCAGTTTTTGTCAACTACCTTAAATCAGTGATGTGCTGCATTCGGCTCCCTTCAGCAAATTTCAGGGGTTTTCTGGGACCAGTTCTCCCCCAACAGGAAACTTGTTTTTTTAACGTCAGCCAGATATTTAGAAAATAACCTCAAAAGTGTTTATATGGTCAGTGAGCCCCGCTTAGTGAAATAGCAACAGATTGGAAGTTGAAATGGCTGAGATTTGGTGATCTCCCCACAGCTGGCTCTGCAAGTTACCTCTTTCTCCTTGGGCCTTAGTTTCCCCATTGGTAATCTGAATTGGCTAAGATGATTGGGGAGATTTTCTGTACCTGTAGGTAATTTGGTGATTCTTGGTGGCTGCTCTTCTCACAACTTTTATGTATCTGCTTCTGTCGTTTAGCTTTTTTAGCCACATGCTGACCAAATTTACCTTTGAGTTGATAAGTCCAGTGGCTTGAGTAGTGAATCCCTCAGTGCTGACTTATATCTTGTTCTTTGAAAAAATGCATTGACTCTTTAAGACATCTAAAGTATCACATTATCCATAATTTATTGCTTTTCTTTGCATCTGCACCTGCCACCACAGAATAACCATTACCCTCAGCTGCTGATTGGGCAGCTCTGAGATTAGCAAAAGCCAGGGACAGCTACATGTTCAGGTTTTTTTTTTTTTTTTTTTTTCAATAAGCTATTTTTTTTCTTTTCTTATTTTAAATAGAGAGAGAGTCTTGCTATGTTTCCCAGGCTGGTCTTGAACTCCTGGGGCTCAAGTGATCCTCCTGCCTTGGCCTCCCAAAATGCTGGATTACAGGCATGTGTGCCTGGCCCAGGTTTCTTAATAAAACAGAATCATGATCTTCCAGGTTCCCCCCAGTTTCTGATCATGTTGATTTGTAGCTGTGGATCATGAACACTGAATCCTCAGATCACTCTGACTTCTTATGCTTCTCCTGTGGATCCACTATCAAAGTACTAAATGCTGTGTAAGTAGACGTTAATCTGGCTGGAACCATGGGAAGCACTTTGCAGTGTTCAGAAGAGAGGCTCCATTTGTGGCTATTATGTAGAACTGGGCCAGAGCCAGTCCATTGCCTGTTTTTTTAAATAAGGTTTTACTGAGCACAGCCACACTCATTTGTTTATGCAGTACGGCCTGACATTGCTTTTGCTCTGCAACAGCAGAGTCGAGTCATTGCAACAAAGAGCATATGGCCCCACAGTGCCTAAAATATTGACCAGCTACCCCTTTATGGAAAAAGATTGCTGACTCCTGATAAAGAATATAAAGTGAGCCTGATTCTTGAAAAAATCAGAACCAGAGCCTGTTTTGTTTTGTTCTAAACTAAGAAGCCGCATAGGATGTGACTTGCGTTTTGAGTAGAGGGGAAGGCTGATAACGGCGTAAGATGAAGTGGCCCTCCACAAAGGCTGGTTAGGGGACAGTTCTTTCTCTAACATAGTTTTAAAGGATGTGATCTGGTCCCCTTGGATGCCAGGAGAGAATCCAGTTGAACTTGCTCCTAAATGCTCTTAAATATGCATATTTTCTGCCAACTCACTTCTTTAAACATCTTTCAGCCCAGCGCTGCGGCCCCGGGAAGGGCCACTGCGAATAGAGAGGAAGCTGGAAAAGTTCCTGGGGCTCTGCAGCCAGGAAGGGGAACCAGGGCAAATCTTATGTAAAGATTTTTCAGCAACTTGTCCCAATTTGTGTGTATTCTGAAACTTTCTCTTTGGGACCAAATTCATTCTCAATGGCCCTGAGTTCAATATATTATTAACAGCAGTATTTTAAAACTTAGGGTTGAACTGGGCATGGTGGCACATAACTGCAATCCCAGCTACTTTGGAGGCAGGGATGGGAGGATCACTTGAGGCCAGGATCTCAGGACCAGCCTAGAGAGATCCCATCTCTAAAAAATAAAATATAAGAAAATAAAACTTAGGGGATATACAGATTTAAATATTCAAATCTCCCTGCTCCCCTGAAAGTCCCCAGGCAGCTGTCAATGACTTGTTTGTTGTGTTCTCAATATGATGGCTATTTGAAACTTCACCTACTTTTCATTAGATTGGTTGTACCATGTCACCTTAGCTTTTAAAAATACTCTTTTCAGATTCACGTTCTCTAACAAAGAGTCTCATGTTCAAGATCAATATGTCTAATAAGTGCTGGTGTCCTTTTAAAGTATTTAAATATATATGTTGCTGTTGCTGAATACAGGAGACCAGGTTAGGAATATAGTTTCATAATAATAGTACATACAATACTAATTGTATATAAGGTAGCAACCAAAAGAGGTTGTTAATTAGCACATATTCCTTTTAGAAAAATGTTTCAGAAACCTCAGTCTTGATATCTGAGCTATCTGGGCTCCCTTACTTGTGAGTAAGGGATCATGCTCACCACTGGAGAAGCTTACACCGGGACTTTTTTTCTTTTTTCTTTTTTTTTTGCTATGACAGAGTAATGCTAACGTAAGGACAACTGAGTTTGATCAGTGTTTAATCGCAGTGGGTAATCTTATCTGATTGTCTTTAAAAGTGAAAAGGATTAAGATTTTATTCTTTCTTGTAAACATTACTTGATTTTTTAAAGAAGTTTTGGGCTCACTGCTAAAATAGAGTATACAACTGAATGTTTTTAAGTCAAGATACTGTTTTAGGAGTTTACCCTCTCATTTATAACCAAAGTTGCTCTAAAACACTTTCCAAATATCTGCACTTCTGATGTCAGAATCAAACCAGATAATTCTCTAATTCTTCTTTAATCTAAAGTAGATAGCTTCCCACTGGAAAGTAAACAAAACCATCCCTCCCAACCTCAAAGCTAGGCCACACTCTATTTCAAGGCATTTTCTTTCAGCTGATAAGGTGTCCTCCTGAAGCCAAGTAGGTGGTTCTGGTCTCCAAGTATCGTTAAGCACAGGTGCTATGACAGAAAAAGTTCTGGGGTGGAAGTTTTAAGATGAGGAGTTCTGATCTTAGGCATCTTAACAGTCACAAGGTGAAAAGTCAAATGAAACAGTACAATTCTTGATGAGTGAGGTGTCATCTTCCAACCACACAGAGGACGTTTTGGCTATGATCATCTGATGGCAAGTGAAGGAGAAATGAGTGATAGGGCTTTGCGTTTTCATCCAGATGCTGTGGCCCTGTGTTTCACAGCATTAAGAGCCATAATTTCCAACCTGCACAGATCCTGAACAACAAATGAATAACGATGAATGTCTTTTTGGTTGTAATTTAACAAGTCAAATAAAATAATCATTGCTGAGCACAATCACATGTTGAAACAAGTGTGTTGTTATTTTTACCTCTTGTTAATGTATACGTAACATTTAAAAGAAAAAATCCAAAACAATATTGTGGTAGAATTATATTAGTTGCTCCTCTGTGGAAACTCAATTTGCTAGCTCCTTCTGAATACAGTACTGAAAAATTGTTGATATGGACTGTCTCTTCTCTATAAGAAAACATGAGCGATGGAAATCTAGTACTAGAACTGGGTTATACGTAGACATAAATGCAATCAAGCTTTGCCAATTCATCAGCATGGGCAAGGCAATTGAGGACATAATATTTGAGGCTAAAAATTGAAAGAACAAAAATTTAAAACTGGATTTATGTGAATTTGGGCAAGTCTCTTAATCCCTCAGAGCCTCTTTCATCTATAAAACATGTCTAAAAAAAAGTAATAGTATTTACTTCCTTTGGTTTTTCTATGTGAAATGCTCTGATAATTATACAGTTTTTGGCAAATTATAATTGTTACTTTTATTGTTCCTCCCTGCAGGGAGCCAGAGTGACCCTGTTCTTTTTTTCTTTTCTTTTTTTATACTTTAAGTTCTAGTGTACATGTGCACAACGTGCAGGTTACGTATGTATACATGTGCCATGTTGGTGTGCTGCACCCACCAACTCGTCATTTACATTAGGTATATCTCCTAATGCTATCCGTCCACCCCACCATCCCATGACAGGCCCTGGTGTGTGGTGTTCCCCACCCTGTGTCCAAGTGTTCTCATTGTTCAATTCCCACCTATGAGTGAGAACATGCGGTATTTGGTTTTCTGTCCTTGCGATAGTTTGCTCAGAATGATGGTTTCCAGCTTCATCCATGTCCCTACAAAGGACATGAACTCATCCTTTTTTATGGCTGCATAGTATTCCATGGTGTATATGTGCCACATTTTCTTAATCCAGTCTATCATTGTTGGACATTTGGGTTGGTTCCAAGTCTTTGCTATTGTGAATAGTGCCACAATAAACATACGTGTGCTTATTCACATGGTGTCCCTAACCATTTCTGCAGCCCTAGATAAGGCCATAAGAACAACAGGGGCTGCTATAAAGACCCTGTTGTTCTTATGGCTTATCTAGGGCTGCAGAAATGGTTAGGGACACCATGTGAATAGTTTCCATGGGCTGAGACCAAGGACCTGGTAGATCAGGTAACGCTGTCACAACGCCAAAAAAAATGGTCCCTTAGTTATACAACATATTTACATAAAACTCCCCAAATAATGAAAAAATGGTTCAAGTACCTGTTACCTTGACCTATAGAGCTTCTTTCTAACCTTCCCTAGAAGTGCCTGTTACTGGACTTTTGTAATTGAAATATTACAAAGTGAAAAAGTCCAAGGAGAAAATAATAGTCTCACCCCTTTAAGTGGACCATTCAGACCATGCATGTGATTTTAAGATCCCTAATCTTCTATCTATTCACTGTAAAGGTTTTAAATAAGGATGAAATTTGTCTTTCAGTCCCGCTACTGTTTCCTCCAAACACTCTGCTATGATCCAGCTCAACAACTGAGTTAAGCTTTAATAAAGAAGTGGTTTAAACTACTTCTAAAATCAGATTCTTGTGTCTAGCAACATGGCATTGTCAATGTCCCAAGCCGCTTGCCCAGAGGCCACATCCACAATTGCAGGATGAGAAAAGGTCAACACTGGATGGGACCCCTACAGAACACTCGATCCCACTGTCATTTTAAAGTCTAGGAAAGTGAGACCAGAGGAGATTCATGACTAATTCACCCCACGTGCAGCTTCAGTGCCAGAGTCAAGAGGAAACACTGTTCCTGACTTTATGTTTTCCACCTCATCCCACCGCTTCCAAAGATTGGATTTGGTTCTTATAACTGGAAAGTGGAAAAATTAACTTTGAATGCTTTTTAGGGCACTCCTTTTTAAAAAGCTATGTCTAGAGAAATATGCCAAACCCAGCCTCATCTTGCAGAGAAGTTCCATCACTCGGTAATGCCCAGCCTCACCTTCTGGAGCAGATACACACGCCCAAGTCCAGCACTACTTGTTACTCTCAAGATTACCACCACTGGACAGCCCTTCCTGGCCCAGTGCTTTAGAAACATCAAAGTAGCTGCCACTTGGTGCTCATCATCTCTATGCTGTGGTGTCTCCTGGGCAATCTGCACACGTGATTTCACTCAATCATGCCCAAGTGGAAAAGTCCTTAGATATCACCCCTTCCCTCTACGTGACGTTTAAATCCTCTCTACAAATGCAGTGAACACTGCGATGCACTCACAACTTGGATTCTACTTCAGAAAAGACATTTTGCTTTTGGTGCTGGAAGTGCTGTCAACATATAGCCTTCAGCTGTCAGCCCCTACAGAAATGGTCAGAGCTGCAGAGAGCCGCTTTGCCCAAGGAAGCGCCTCATCATCCAATGACTGATCGGTGTGAGAGTGTAAAGGCCTAGACATCTCAGCCCACCTTGGAATTACTCTAAAGAGCAATTCTAGTGCCAGAGTACCCCATGGTTCAGCCAAGTCTGTCACCGTGCCTGTAGATTGACTTTCTCTGTCCTTCCTGCTTCTGGCACCTCCTTTCCACAGGTGTTGATCCTAAGGGCTCTTCTTAATGACATCATGCTGACTAAACTCCATCTCAGAGTTTGCTTCCCAGGGAACCCAACCTGTTGTAGAATTGCCACATAAAATACAGGATTCCAAGCTACATTTTAATTTCAAATTGACAGAAAAATTATAGTAAAAATATGTCCCAGATATTGCATGAAATATACTAAAAAATGTATTTGTTTATTTAAAATTCAAATTTAACTGGGAGCCTTGCATTTATATTTACTGAATCTGGCAATCCTAACCAGGTATGATCCCAGAAAGAAGCCACTGAAATGGGGCTTTGGTGCTGGATCACTCACCATCCTTCCTTCATTGAGGACCCCAGGTTGGTAATAGATAAAGCACAAATATCACCTGGGACAAGGAATTGGTCTAATTGCTCAAACTTTCATTGGTGATCAACTGGCATGGTATAGCGGTAGAAAGGAAGGCATTAGCTGATGTGATGTGTCAGATGTTTGAGATTTGGGCGAAATAGGGACTGAAAGGATAATAAAATCAGGTGGCTACTGCTAAGCTTGATTGGCCCACTGAAAACAGATAAAAAGCTGAGCGTGACTAATCACCAATAGAAAACTGAGTGAGAAAGCTAAGGGCCTCCTAACCCGCTCCTTACACCTCCAGCTTATAAAGAGACTCTTGTCTCCTGCAGAAGGGGAGAAAAATCTCAGGATCAGACCCTGTACTTAAAGATCAGAGTTACCAACCTCCAAAGAAGATTAAACTCCCAACAAAAGAAGACCTGCTATGCCAAGGTTAGAACATGAACAGAGACAGACTGGGGCTCTGACATATGGGATAAGATGTCTGTGTTGGCCACTTCCAAGTTGCAGTTTGTGTAGACTTTGTGGGCATTTGGAAGTAAAGGGGAAATTCAAAGATGGGTTAAATCAAGTTTGTTGGCAAACTTTTTCTATAGAAGACCTGATAACAAATATTTTAAGCTTTGTGGGCCACACGGTCACTGTTGGAACTACTCACCTCTGCCATTGTAGTTGAAAACTATAACATGTAAATAAATGAGCATGGCTCTATTAAAACTTTATGGACACTGAAATTTGAATTTTATATAATTTTTACATCTCACAAAATTCTGTTTATTTGACTTTTTCTTTTGTTCTCAAACTTTTGACAAGCATCTTTGACTTTTAAAAAATATTTACACAGTAAAAACTATTTTTAGTTTGCAGACCATACAAAAACAGGTAGTGGGCCAGATCTAACCTGAAGGACATAGTCTGCCACCCCCTGGGATAATCATGCTACCTCAAATTGTACTTTCCATTAAGAACATTGTTTTGGCCATTGCTAGAATATGGGAGCCACTGTGCCAACTTAAAGATAGCTGCACACATAGGGTACAATAGTTTTTACTTTACTTTCTCCAAAGAAGCTAGGAAAGAAATACTATGGTGGTGGCAACATCAATGTTGTTCATGTTATTGAGTGCTGACCATGTGCCAGGCACCATGCTAAATGCTTCAAGTGTGTTAACTCGTACAATTCTCATGGGAAGCCTATAAGGTATAGTCTTTTTTAAATCAATTTTCCAGATTGAAAAATTAAGAAGCTCACCCACTGTCGCTCAGTTTGTAAGTGGTGAAGTTGGGATTCAAATTCAGGCAGTCTGACACTAGAGTTCATGCTTTTAGCAACCACTCTTACTTGCCTCTAAGAATACCTACGATTCCTCTATGCTTTTTGGCTCCCTCTGACCTTTCTATTGTAGTGATAAGGGTTAAAGACATCCACATAGGAGGAGACTCAGCAAGTCCTTTTCTGTTTTTTTGTCTTTTGGTCTCTCTTGTCCTTAGGAGTCTGACAAGGTAATGTGAGGTTGGCAAGCTGATCCCTTTGGTAAAAGATGGATCTGTATTTCTATTTTCACCCTTGCCATCTCTCTCTCTCTATCCCCCAACTTGTGCTCTGGAATATACTTTTGCTAATACTAACATATGCACTCCAGCTTTCTTTTGGTTCATGTTAGCATAGGATATCTTTTTCCTTCCTACTATTAATCTATGGGTGTCATAGTAAAGTGGGTTTTTTTGTAGGCAGCATATAGTTAAGCTTTGTGTTTTTTTTCTTTTTTTACCTAACAACTTCTGCCTTTTAATTGAGATATTTAGACCAGGGATTAGTAAACTACAGCCTGGTGGGCTGCCTTTTTTTTGTACTAATGTTTTATTAAAATGCAGCTACATCTATTTGTGTATCGTCCATGGCTGCTTTTATGTCATAATAATAAAGTGATATAGTTGCAACAGAAACTTTACCGTCTATGAGCTTAAAATATTTATGATTGGCCCCTTTAAGAAAAGGTTTGAAGACTCTCGGTCTGGACAATTTACATTTTTTTTTCTTCCCAACTCCTTAGTTTAGACCATTTACATTTCATGCAATGGATATGCATTTATTGATATGGTTGGTTTAAATCTACCACCTTGTTATTGCTTTATCTGTTCTTTGTTCCCTTTTTTCTTTTTCTGCTGACTTTTGAATTGACTGTGTTCTAAAATTTCACTTTATTTCCTTTCTTGGATTTTTAGTTATAATTTGTGTAATTGTTATTTCTGTGTTATTTTACTTTAGGGTTTATAATGTGTATGTTTTTTCAGAGCCTTTTTAAAAACTAATTTTTTGGAAGGAGGTGGAGCAAGATGGTGAAAGAAGCCTCCAGCAATCATCCTCCCCACAGGAACATCAAATCTAACTACTATCTACACAAAAAACACCTTAAGAAGCCAAAAAATCAGGTGAGCAATCACAGTACCTGGTTTTAACTTACCACTGAAAGAGGCACTAGAGAGGGTCTGAAAGACAGTCTTGCATTGCCAATGCCACAGTGGCCCCATGCACAGAGAGAATCTGTCCTTGGGGGAGGGAGAGGACAGTAATTGTGGGACTTTGCATTTGAACTCAGTGCTGCCCTGTCACAGTGGAAAGCAACACCAGGCAGAAATCAACTAACCCCATAGAGAGAACATTTAGATGAGCCCTAGCCAGAGGGGAGTCATCCCTTCCAGTGGCCAGAAATTGAGTTCCGCAAGCCTCGCCGCTGCAGGCTAAGGTGACTTGGGTTCCAACTAACCTTGAGAAGCAGTCTAGGCCACAAGGACTACAACTCCTAGGTGAGTTCTAGTGCTGTGCACTTGGAGCCCGTGGACTTGGGGGGCATACAATCTGGTGAGATACCAGCCGGGGCAGCCAAGGGGGTGCCTGGACCACCTCTCCCCCAGGCTCAGGCCACACAGCTCACAGCTCAGAAAGAGACTTTCCTTCCAGTTGAGGTGAGGAGAGGGACGAGTAGAGAGGACTTTATCTTGAAACTTGGAAACCAGTTCAGCCACAGTAGACTAGGGCACTGGGCAGTGTCCTAAGACACTCATTCTAGAGCCTAGTTCCCAGGCAACAATTCTGGACATACTCTGGGTCAGAAAGGAACCCACTGTCTTAAAGGGAAGGACCCAGTCTTGGCAGGATTTATCACTTGCTGAGTAAAGGGGCCTTTGGGCCCTGAATAATCAGCAGTGGTCGCCAGGTAGTACATGTCGTGGGCCTTGGGTGAACCTCTGAGACTTACTGGCTTCAGGTGAGACCCAGCACATTCCCAGCTGTGGTGGCTGTGGGGAAAGACTTCTTGTTTAAAAAAAAGCAGAGGGAAGAATAAAGAGGACTTCGTCTTGCAGCTTAGCTAACAGGTGGGTCATAGTGGGGTGGAGCACCAAGTGGGTGCCAAGGGGGTTTGGGGTCCCTGATTCCAGGCCTTCACTCACAGACGGTATTTCTGGACCTGTCCTGGGCCAGAGGGGAGCCCACTGCTCTGAAGCGTGAGTCTCAGGTCTGGCAGCATTTACCACAAGCTGACTGAAGAGCCCTTGGGCCTTGAGTGGACATTGGCAGTAGCCTGGCAGTACTCCTCATTGGCCTGTAGCAGTGGTGGCGATGGGAAGAGACTCTTCTTGTGGAAAAGGGAGAGAAGAGTGAGAAGGCTTGTCTTTTGGCTTGAGTGCCAGCTCAGCCACAGTAGAACAGAGCACCAGGTAGATTCCTAAAGTATCTGACTTCAGGCCCTGGCTGCCAGACAGCACTTCTGGACCCATCCAGGGATGGAGGGAACTCACTGCCCTAAAGCAAAGAACACAAGCCTGGCTGGCATTGCCACTTGCTGATTATAGAGCTTTGAGCAAACATAAGTGGTAACCACATAGTCATTACAGTGGGCCTTGGATGAAACTCAGTGCTGTGCTGGCTTCAGGGCTCACCCAGTGCAGTCCCAGTGGTGGTGGCCATAAGGGTGCTTATGTCACTCCCTCCCCCAGCTCCAGGCAGCACAGCATAGAGATAGTGACTCCATTTGTTTGGGAGAAAGTAAAGGAAGAGAACAAGATTCTCTGCCTGCTAATACAGAGAATTCTGGATCTCATCCAGGTCCACCAAGGTAGTATCTTTGATTCTGCACAAGCCACAGTATTGTTGGGCATGGAGTACCTCCTAATGCAGATACAGCTGCAGTGACCAAAGACATAAATCACAACACCTAAGTCCCTTTGAATACCTGGAAAGCCTCCCCAAGAAGGACAGGTATGAACAAACAACAACCATAATAAATACCTGTATTAGTCTGTTCTCACACTGCTAATAAAGACATATCCAAGACTGGGTAATTCTTAAAGGAAAGAGATTTAATGGACTCACAGTTCCACATGACTGCAGAGGCCTCACAATCATGGCAGAAGACAAAGGAGACATGGCACATCTTACATGGCAAAGGCACATCTTACATGGCGGCAGGCATAAGAGGTGTGCAGGGAACTCCCCCTTTAAAACCATCAGATCTCATGAGACTTATTCACTGTCATGAGAATAGCATGGGAAAGACCCACCCCTATGATTCAATTACCTCCTACTAGGTCCTTCCATGACATGTGGGAATTATGGGAGCTATAATTCAAGATGAAATTTGGGTGAGGACACAGCCAAACCATATCATTCCACCCCTGGCCCCTCCCAAATCTCATGTCCTTACATTTCAAAACCTTTCTAAGTCCCCCAAGGTCTTAATTCAGCATTAACTCAAAAGTCCACAGTCCAAAGTCTCATCTGAGACAAGGCAAGTCCCTTCTTCCTCTGAGCCTATAAAATCAAAAGCAAATTAGTTACTTCCTAGATACAATGGGGGTACAGGGATTGGGTAAATACACCCATTCCAAAAGGGAGAAATTGGCCAAAGTAAAGTGCCCACAGGCCCCATGCAAGTCTAAAATCCAGCAGGGCAGTCAATTCTTAAAGCTCCAAAATGATCTCCTTTGAATCCATGTCTCACATCCAGGTCACACTGATGCAAGAGGTGGGCTCCCATGGCCTAAGGCAGCTCCAGCCCTGTGGCTTTTGTGAACCCCCAAAATTTGAGATAGGTCTCAGTTATTTTAGAAATTTTATTTTGCCAAAGTCGAGGACATGCACCCATTTGACAGTTTCAGGAGCTCCAGATGATATGTGCCCAAGGTGGTTGGAGCATAGCTTGATTTTACACATTTTAGGAAGACATGAGACACAACCAAAATATGTAAGATAAACACTGGTTTGGCCCAGAAAGGCAGGACAACTCGAAGCAAAAACAAGACAACTCGAAGCAAGGAGGGGCTTCCAGGTCACAGGTAGATAAGAGACAAAAGGTTGCATCCTTTTGAGTTTCTGATTAGCCTCTCCAAAGGAGGCAAACAGATATGCATCTGTCTCAGTGAGCAGAGGGGTGACTGAATAGAATGGAAGGCAGGTTTGCCCTAAGCAGTTACAGCTTGACTTTTCCCTTTAGCTTAGTGATTTCGGGGGCCCAGCGTATTTTCTATTCACATTTTCTCCCCTTTTTAAAATCTTTTGGAGAAAGTGTTTTAGAATAAAATGAGTCTCTCTCTGGTCTAAGATTTCATCTGATCTCTCATGTCGAGGATGGTGTATTCCTAGATGGGTAAGTCCCGAGTTATTAGGAAAGCTCATTTTTAGCAGGTTATGAAGTCTCGTGTCCTGTGAAGAGAAAATAGGGGGAGGAAGGGAGAAAAACAACAAAAGAACAATCCTGAAAAATCAATATAGGCCACATTACTCTCAAGTCCATACATCAGTAGTCAGGTATGAAAGTGGCTTATGTATGTAAATAGATTGCTGTTATTTTCTTCTGAAGTTTGTCTGGCTTCAGTTCACAGGGCTTTAAGAAAGGACAGCTTAGTTTTCAGTGACTCTAAATTAGGAAAAATGGGGAAAAAAGAAGGAAAAATAATTGAAAACATTATTTTGAAGACTTGTAGCCCACAAAAAATAGAACTTGGTTCAAACTCTAGAAAATAATAAAAATCAAAAATAGTTAGGCAAGACCAGATTCTAACAGGTGTACTATAGTTTTTGAAACATAATTTTTCCTCCCTTCAGTTTCCCAGTTTTACTAAAGGTAAATCATGGTAGTATCTATTTGCTTTATTATACTTGACCTGATTATTTGTATACAGTACAGCAAGAATAATTATTTTTTTTTTTTGGTGCTGATTTTAGATGCTTTTTTGTTTTGTTTTGTTTTGTTTTTGTTGTTGTTGTTGTTGTTGTTGTTTTAATTTTTTTTTTATTATACTCTAAGTTTTAGGGTACATGTGCACATTGTGCAGGTTAGTTACATATGTATACATGTGCCATGCTGGTGCGCTGCACCCACTAACGTGTCATCTAGCATTAGGTATATCTCCCAATGCTATCCCTCCCCCCTCCCCCGACCCCACCACAGTCCCCAGAGTGTGATATATTCCCCTTCCTGTGTCCATGTGATCTCATTGTTCAATTCCCACCTATGAGTGAGAATATGCGGTGTTTGGTTTTTTGTTCTTGCGATAGTTTACTGAGAATGATGGTTTCCAATTTCATCCATGTCCCTACAAAGGACATGAACTCATCATTTTTTATGGCTGCATAGTATTCCATGGTGTATATGTGCCACATTTTCTTAATCCAGTCTATCATTGTTGGACATTTGGGTTGGTTCCAAGTCTTTGCTATTGTGAATAGTGCCGCAATAAACATACGTGTGCATGTGTCTTTATAGCAGCATGATTTATAGTCCTTTGGGTATATACCCAGTAATGGGATGGCTGGGTCAAATGGTATTTCTAGTTCTAGATCCCTGAGGAATCGCCACACTGACTTCCACAATGGTTGAACTAGTTTACAGTCCCACCAACAGTGTAAAAGTGTTCCTATTTCTCCACATCCTCTCCAGCACCTGTTGTTTCCTGACTTTTTAATGATTGCCATTCTAACTGGTGTGAGATGATATCTCATAGCGGTTTTGATTTGCATTTCTCTGATGGCCAGTGATGATGAGCATTTTTTCATGTGTTTTTTGGCTGCATAAATGTCTTCTTTTGAGAAGTGTCTGTTCATGTCCTTCGCCCACTTTTTGATGGGGTTGTTTGTTTTTTTCTTGTAAATTTGTTTGAGTTCATTGTAGATTCTGGATATTAGCCCTTTGTCAGATGAGTAGGTTGCGAAAATTTTCTCCCATGTTGTAGGTTGCCTGTTCACTCTGATGGTAGTTTCTTTTGCTGTGCAGAAGCTGTTGAGTTTAATTAGATCCCATTTGTCAATTTTGGCTTTTGTTGCCATTGCTTTTGGTGTTTTGGACATGAAGTCCTTGCCCACGCCTATGTCCTGAATGGTAATGCCTAGGTTTTCTTATAGGGTTTTTATGGTTTTAGGTCTAACGTTTAAATCTTTAATCCATCTTGAATTGATTTTTGTATAAGGTGTAAGGAAGGGATCCAGTTTCAGCTTTCTACATATGGCTAGCCAGTTTTCCCAGCACCATTTATTAAATAGGGAATCCTTTCCCCATTGCTTGTTTTTCTCAGGTTTGTCAAAGATCAGATAGTTGTAGTTATGCGGCATTATTTCTGAGGGCTCTGTTCTGTTCCATTGATCTATATCTCTGTTTTGGTACCAGTACCATGCTGTTTTGGTTACTGTAGCCTTGTAGTATAGTTTGAAGTCAGGTAGTGTGATGCCTCCAGCTTTGTTCTTTTGGCTTAGGATTGACTTGGCGATGCGGGCTCTTTTTTGGTTCCATATGAACTTTAAAGTAGTTTTTTCCAATTCTGTGAAGAAAGTCATTGGTAGCTTGATGGGGATGGCATTGAATCTGTAAATTACCTTGGGCAGTATGGCCATTTTCACGATATTGATTCTTCCTACCCATGAGCATGGAATGTTCTTCCATTTGTTTGTGTCCTCTTTTATTTCCTTGAGCAGTGGTTTGTAGTTCTCCTTGAAGAGGTCCTTCACATCCCTTGTAAGTTGGATTCCTAGGTATTTTATTCTCTTTGAAGCAATTGTGAATGGGAGTTCACTCATGATTTGGCTCTCTGTTTGTCTGTTGTTGGTGTATAAGAATGCTTGTGATTTTTGTACATTGATTTTGTATCCTGAGACTTTGCTGAAGTTGCTTATCAGCTTAAGGAGATTTTGGGCTGAGACGATGGGGTTTTCTAGATAAACAATCATGTCGTCTGCAAACAGGGACAATTTGACTTCCTCTTTTCCTAATTGAATACCCTTTATTTCCTTCTCCTGCCTGATTGCCCTGGCCAGAACTTCCAACACTATGTTGAAGAGGAGTGGTGAGAGAGGGCATCCCTGTCTTGTGTCAGTTTTCAAAGGGAATGCTTCCAGTTTTTGCCCATTCAGTATGATATTGGCTGTGGGTTTGTCATAGATAGCTCTTATTATTTTGAAATACGTTCCATCAATACCTAATTTATTGAGAGTTTTTAGCATGAAGGGTTGTTGAATTTTGTCAAAGGCTTTTTCTGCATCTATTGAGATAATCATGTGGTTTTTGTCTTTGGCTCTGTTTATATGCTGGATTACATTTATTGATTTGCGTATATTGAACCAGCCTTGCATCCCAGGGATGAAGCCCACTTGATCATGGTGGATAAGCTTTTTGATGTGCTGCTGGATTCGGTTTGCCAGTATTTTATTGAGGATTTTTGCATCAATGTTCATCAAGGATATTGGTCTAAAATTCTCTTTTTTGGTTGTGTATCTGCCCGGCTTTGGTATCAGAATGATGCTGGCCTCATAAAATGAGTTAGGGAGGATTCCCTCTTTTTCTATTGATTGGAATAGTTTCAGAAGGAATGGTACCAGTTCCTCCTTGTACCTCTGGTAGAATTCGGCTGTGAATCCATCTGGTCCTGGACTCTTTTTGGTTGGTAAACTATTGATTATTGCCACAATTTCAGAGCCTGTTATTGGTCTATTCAGAGATTCAACTTCTTCCTGGTTTAGTCTTGGGAGAGTGTATGTGTCGAGGAATGTATCCATTTCTTCTAGATTTTCTAGTTTATTTGCGTAGAGGTGTTTATAGTATTCTCTGATGGTAGTTTGTATTTCTGTGGGATCGGTGGTGATATCCCCTTTATCATTTTTTATTGTGTCTATTTGATTCTTCTCTCTTTTTTTCTTTATTAGTCTTGCTAGCGGTCTATCAATTTTGTTGATCCTTTCAAAAAACCAGCTCCTGGATTCATTGATTTTTTGAAGGGTTTTTTGTGTCTCTATTTCCTTCAGTTCTGCTCTGATTTTAGTTATTTCTTGCCTTCTGCTAGCTTTGGAATGTGTTTGCTCTTGCTTTTCTAGTTCTTTTAACTGTGATGTTAGGGTGTCAATTTTGGATCTTTCCTGCTTTCTCTTGTAGGCATTTAGTGCTATAAATTTCCCTCTACACACTGCTTTGAATGCGTCCCAGAGATTCTGGTATGTGGTGTCTTTGTTCTCGTTGGTTTCAAAGAACATCTTTATTTCTGCCTTCATTTCGTTATGTACCCAGTAGTCATTCAGGAGCAGGTTGTTCAGTTTCCATGTAGTTGAGCGGCTTTGAGTGAGATTCTTAATCCTGAGTTCTAGTTTGATTGCACTGTGGTCTGAGAGATAGGTTGTTATAATTTCTGTTCTTTTACATTTGCTGAGGAGAGCTTTACTTCCAACTATGTGGTCAATTTTGGAATAGGTGTGGTGTGGTGCTGAAAAAAATGTATATTCTGTTGATTTGGGGTGGAGAGTTCTGTAGATGTCTATTAGGTCTGCTTGGTGCAGAGCTGAGTTCAATTCCTGGGTATCCTTGTTGACTTTCTGTCTCGTTGATCTGTCTAATGTTGACAGTGGGGTGTTAAAGTCTCCCATTATTAATGTGTGGGAGTCTAAGTCTCTTTGTAGGTCACTGAGGACTTGCTTTATGAATCTGGGTGCTCCTGTATTGGGTGCATAAATATTTAGGATAGTTAGCTCCTCTTGTTGAATTGATCCCTTTACCATTATGTAATGGCCTTCTTTGTCTCTTTTGATCTTTGTTGGTTTAAAGTCTGTTTTATCAGAGACTAGGATTGCAACCCCTGCCTTTTTTTGTTTTCCATTGGCTTGGTAGATCTTCCTCCATCCTTTTATTTTGAGCCTATGTGTGTCTCTGCACGTGAGATGGGTTTCCTGAATACAGCACACTGATGGGTCTTGACTCTTTATCCAACTTGCCAGTCTGTGTCTTTTAATTGCAGAATTTAGTCCATTTATATTTAAAGTTAAGATTGTTATGTGTGAATTTGATCCTGTCATTATGATGTTAGCTGGTGATTTTGCTCATTAGTTGATGCAGTTTCTTCCTAGTCTCGATGGTCTTTACATTTTGGCATGATTTTGCAGCGGCTGGTACCGGTTGTTCCTTTCCATGTTTAGCGCTTCCTTCAGGAGCTCTTTTAGGGCAGGCCTGGTGGTGACAAAATCTCTCAGCATTTGCTTATCTGTAAAGTATTTTATTTCTCCTTCACTTATGAAGCTTAGTTTGGCTGGATATGAAATTCTGGGTTGAAAATTCTTTTCTTTAAGAATGTTGAATATTGGCCCCCACTCTCTTCTGGCTTGTAGGGTTTCTGCCGAGAGATCCGCTGTTAGTCTGATGGGCTTTCCTTTGAGGGTAACCCGACCTTTCTCTCTGGCTGCCCTTAACATTTTTTCCTTCATTTCAACTTTGGTGAATCTGACAATTATGTGTCTTGGAGTTGCTCTTCTCGAGGAGTATCTTTGTGGCGTTCTCTGTATTTCCTGAATCTGAACGTTGGCCTGCCTTGCTAGATTGGGGAAGTTCTCCTGGATAATATCCTGCAGAGTGTTTTCCAACTTGGTTCCATTCTCCCCATCACTTTCAGGTACACCAATCAGACGTAGATTTGGTCTTTTCACATAGTCCCATATTTCTTGGAGGCTTTGCTCATTTCTTTTTATTCTTTTTTCTCTAAACTTCCCTTCTCGCTTCATTTCATTCATTTCATCTTCCATTGCTGATACCCTTTCTTCCAGTTGATCGCATCAGCTCCTGAGGCTTCTGCATTCTTCACGTAGTTCTCGAGCCTTGGTTTTCAGCTCCATCAGCTCCTTTAAGCACTTCTCTGTATTGGTTATTCTAGTTATACATTCTTCTAAATTTTTTTCAAAGTTTTCAACTTCTTTGCCTTTGGTTTGAATGTCCTCCCGTAGCTCAGAGTAATTTGATCGTCTGAAGCCTTCTTCTCTCAGCTCGTCAAAATCATTCTCCATCCAGCTTTGTTCTGTTGCTGGTGAGGAACTGCGTTCCTTTGGAGGAGGAGAGGCGCTCTGCGTTTTAGAGTTTCCAGTTTTTCTGTTCTGTTTTTTCCCCATCTTTGTGGTTTTATCTACTTTTGGTCTTTGATGATGGTGATGTACAGATGGGTTTTCGGTGTAGATGTCCTTTCTGGTTGTTAGTTTTCCTTCTAACAGACAGGACCCTCAGCTGCAGGTCTGTTGGAATACCCTGCTGTGTGAGGTGTCAGTGTGCCCCTGCTGGGTGGTGCCTCCCAGTTAGGCTGCTCGGGGGTCAGGGGTCAGGGACCCACTTGAGGAGGCAGTCTGCCCGTTCTCAGATCTCCAGCTGCTTGCTGGGAGAACCACTGCTCTCTTCAAAGCTGTCAGACAGGGACACTTAAGTCTGCAGAGGTTACTGCTGTCTTTTTGTTTGTCTGTGCCCTGCCCCCAGAGGTGGAGCCTACAGAGGCAGGCAGGCCTCCTTGAGCTGTGGTGGGCTCCACCCAGTTCGAGCTTCCCGGCTGCTTTGTTTACCTAAGCAAGCCTGGGCAATGGCGGGCGCCCCTCCCCCAGCCTCGTTGCCGCCTTGCAGTTTGATCTCAGACTGCTGTGCTAGCAATCAGCGCGATTCCGTGGGCGTAGGACCCTCTGAGCCAGGTGTGGGATATAGTCTCGTGGTGCGCCGTTTCTTAAGCCGGTCTGAAAAGCGCAATATTCGGGTGGGAGTGACCCGATTTTCCAGGTGCGTCCGTCACCCCTTTCTTTGACTCGGAAAGGGAACTCCCTGACCCCTTGCGCTTCCCAGGTGAGGCAATGCCTCGCCCTGCTTCGGCTCGCGCACGGTGCGCACACACACTGGCCTGCGCCCACTGTCTGGCACTCCCTAGTGAGATGAACCCGGTACCTCAGATGGAAATGCAGAAATCACCCGTCTTCTGCGTCGCTCACGCTGGGAGCTGTAGACCGGAGCTGTTCCTATTCGGCCATCTTGGCTCCTCCCCAAGAATAATTATTTTTTACATAGGCTTTTAAATTGGCTTTGATGGAACCTTGTTCCATGGTAGGAATCTCAGACAAGACTTTTTTTTAAAGCCCAGCGCAGCCATAGATTTGTACCATGAAGTACTTATAAGTTGGGTGAACTCCTCTCCTCTTCAAGTTTCTTGATAAACTTGGAGCCCCTGGGCCTGTCAAATAGTGACATTTTTTACTTACCACAGTCAGGAACCCTGTACAGGGACTGTGTAGATAAAGATATGAGGCCAGTTTTTCCAAGGGACCTTCATTGGAATTGTAAGTCAAGTTTGATTCCTTCAAGGAAAGCACACCATTCCAGTCACAGCCTTGGTAATAACCACTTTCTCCAATTGTGTCCTGTTACAAATGAAAACCGATTGTTATTGCACTTATGTGAATAATGGTATTGTCTTAAGAATACTCACACATGGTTTTCAAATATTGTAGAAATCAGGTAGAGAGAAACAAATATGCTCCAAATTTTGTTTATAGGGGTATACTTTAATTACTAAAAGCTGTAAATAGCTTAGAAGAAAAGTTTTCTTGACTCAGAAAAACAAAGGATCAACAACGTTTTAAGCAAAAAGTTAAAAAGATTACTACTTTTAGACTTGTATTAGTTTAGTTCATGCAGTTAATTCCTGTACTGCTTGATATTCATGAACATTTCAGCTCTCCATGAGTCCTGAAAGTTTTTGCCTCTATTCTGATGTCACAATCTCCAAAGTTATCAGAAACCTGCATTTCAGAGTACCTGTTAGAATTTTATAGCTGATTATAAAACCACCTCCCAAAGAGGACTAAAACAAGATGACAGTTGTCCATGGATGACAAAAAGATTTAGGGCAGCCATAGTCAAACACACAATTGACAAGAAAATTTGTTACCTCTATGGCACACAATAATTTAACATAATTATTACTGATAATGTATACTGTATTATATCAGAATTATAGGAGTTTCCCGTAATTTTGGAACACATACCAATAACATAACTATACAAATACAGCTCAAAGAAAACCAAACACCATTTCATATTTGACAATGTTTCCTG
The DNA here is from genome assembly GCF_000001405.40 of Homo sapiens. NCBI lineage: Eukaryota > Metazoa > Chordata > Mammalia > Primates > Hominidae > Homo > Homo sapiens. Next base: position 51,424,317 of record NC_000015.10, read on the forward strand.
TACAATTTTATACCAAATAAGCCAAACTATGTCATTTTAGGACTTTTGGGAACCTAATATCTTAAAGGATTAATTAGGCCAGAAAAAGACATAATTTATAATTTGATCTTGGAAAGTTTTCAACTATCAAAGGTTTAAAACTCTTGTTATCACAAAATAGGATCATTCATTTAACCAAAGTAATAACTCAAGGGTTTTTTTTAAAAGGCAAAAACCTTCATTTTTTTTGGAGGAGACTTAATTTTCCAAACAATAAGCCCTAATAAAAACAGCATGCAGCCAATTAAATTTGTTTTTCAAAATTTTATAAACTACCTATAAAATTTTAATCTTGACCATAAGAAACAACTTCCATAAGCCTTTTATAACATTTATATCCTTTATTAAGAAGTTGGTTAATGCTTCAAGAAAACCTTGTTAATCTGACACAGGGGCCCATACACTGGTCTTGCATCAGAGTGCCTTTGACATTAATGATTTCTATATAATAGAGAAACTGAAGTTATCTTTCAAAATTGGCCCTTACAATCTTCTGTGCCCACTTCTTCCATGATGCCCCTGGGCCTTGAGTTGAATAGCTTTAATTTCTGGCCCTGTGTCTTAGGAATGCTGTTTATTTTGATTGACGTCACCATAGGAATGCAGTTTGTTTTGATTGACATCCTCTGTGGGGCCTGAAGGTGAGGATTTAATTGCTGTCAGTGTTTAAGATTTGGCAGGACTTGATGTCCTTTTTAGACCCAGGGGTCAAAGCCCTGTAACTCACTGTAACAAGGACTTTAAAAGCATGTACAGAAAGATACACAGATGTAATAACCTCAACTAAATTTTTTTTACATCAGGCCCAATCTCTAGAATGACCATTATACTTTTTTTTAATGAAAAACAACTTGATCTTATAAGTTTTTGGTTTTTTTAAATAAATCCTCTTATTGTGATTTACATAGACCATTCATGACATGGTTAGACTTTCTGGTTTGTCCTGAACAATCTTCTTTCTTAACCAGTCATTTTATTCTGGGACTAAATTTACCATACAATATTTTGTTCTTACATAAAATTATCGATCTTTAAGCTTTCTTACCCACCAAAACTCTTTACTTTTATAATTTTCTTTACATCTTTCATATTTCCTGGTTCCTTTTAACTTGTTTCATATATAACCTTTAAATCAGCTTTGAATTAGACAAAAATTATTTGCCTTTTTAAAAGGACACTTTTTTTAGTAAGAATGTTTTTCTACAATATATTTGTGTAGGAAAATACTCAAATAATGAAATATGTTATTTAATATAACCTTAGATTCTAAACTATAACAAGTTTATCTACAAGTATTTATCCCATACATTTACCTAATTATTTTAATCATTTACTTAGATTAAATGATGACTATGCAGTTTTTATAAATAAAGCTATGAAACTGTCATTGCAAAATTATAACTGAGACAGTGAAAAAGATCTGCCCTAAATGACTGTCTTGCTTCTAACCTCAAGCTGTCATTGTTCATTCCTGGATATAGGCCAAACTAACTTTGAGAAGGGCTTAGTTTATAGTTTAGCTTGATACAAAAAGGATAACAGTCCTTTCCCAAGGCAAACCACCTTACTGCCTGTGTACTCGACTGCCTAAGGCCACAGGATTAGAAGTTAAGATAATTTTACTAAATTCAAGATGTAGCTATTTTCATTAAACCAATATTAATGTCTTATTAAAAATTACACAAGCAAAGATCATTCTGTTTGGGGCTGTTGATAGTTTTGTAACCCTTATGCCAAATGTTGATACCTTATAATATTTGGCAAGGATAAGTATGAAACTGCTTGATTAATAAATGTAAACAAATACATCTGCTGGCAATTCTTAAGACATTTCCGATATTGATCAATAATTTTAAAGCTAGCTTATTAAGATTTTACTTAAGTCATGTAAATTTGAAAAAGGATTTGACCAGTTTTTCCTTTAAGATAAAGTATTTGATTTAGGCACTTTTATTTTTTAAAGCCAATTAGAGCTCTTCTATATATTTTCAGTAGTGAAACATTGTGTACACAACACTTAAATACATAGATGTATTAGGAATGCCGATAAAAGTACAATTTATAGATTCATAAAAACCTTTTTCCCTCTATCTTAGACTTTCAGATTCTTCATAACCTCTTTCACAACCCTAGGCAGTTGTCAGGTAAATAGCCTTAAATTTGCATATTAAAGGAAACAAGGTGAAAATCAAATAGCAAAATTTACATCATAAGGTACAGAGAGAAAAACTGGTGTGCTAGAGGGAGATTAAAGATGGATGTCAAATCAAACATAAAATTATAAAAATCTATCATATGATTGTAAAAGGAGACCAATTATATTTAGACAGGGATTACCTATCTTTTTTTTTTTTTTTTTTTTTTTTTTTTTTTTTTTTTTTTTTTTTTTTTGAGACGGAGTCGCGCTGAGTCACCCAGGTGGAGTGCAGTGGCGCGATCTCGGCTTACTGCAAGCGCTGCCTCCCAGGTTCATGCCATTCTCCTGCCTCAGCCTCCCAAGTAGCTGAGACTACAGGTACCTGCCACCACGCCCAGCTATTTTTTTCTATTTTTTAGTAGAGACGGGGTTTCACTGTGTTAGCCAGGATGGTCTTGCTCTCCTGACCTCTCGTGATCTGCCTGCCTCGGCCTCCCAAAGTGCTGGGATTACAGGCGTGAGCCACCACGCCCGGCCAGGGACTACCTATCTTTTAACTATATCTCTAAACTTTAGGCAGAACCCACACTGAATCGTGGGTTTCCAAAAAGGGAGAATCGTTATGAGGCTAGATCACATGATGTTACAATGCACTTAAAATTTTTTAAACAAAGGCATTTCTAAGTGTCTATATTACACTCTAATTTAAAAACCCAAGTATAGCCTCTGTTGCAATAATTACTTTAGTTAATCAGGTAACACAATACAAAAGCAGCTTAAAAGCTGAGATGAACTTGTCTATTCACAATCTTGGGGTTCCATAAAGAAAAACAGGTTCCTCCCCGAAAGGGAGTCTGGTACCTTCTCCATTTTCTTTAAGGAACCCCAGGCTATTATAAATTATTTTAGTTCCCTCATGCAGCAGAGGGTGCAAGAGAAAGAAGAGACAGCAGAAGTATATGGAGAAAACAGAATTCAGTCAACTAGAAGAAAAAAACTTTTGCTCAAAACAAGGACAAGGCCCTAGGAGAGAATAAAAAAACATGAAGGCCTTTTAAATACACACACACACACACACACACACACACACACACACACACACATATCCTGGATGTGTTAGCTTTTAATTAAGCTGACTTTGTCCATTGAGCTCCTTTTAAAAAAAAAAAGTCTTTTTAATCTCATTACCATATTTCAGCTAGGACAAATTGCTGCTATTTCAGAAGTACCAAGTATCAAACCAGAAAGGGCTTGATTTAGGAAAAAAACCCAAGCAACCATGGTGGAAAAAAGACAGAACCTTAGCTATTGAACTTTAGCCAAGACAAAACCCCAATTCAGCTACTTGCCTAGGGATGGGTCTCAGGCTGAAGACTGCTCTCTACCATCCTAGAAGCAGGAAAAAAATTCATCTTCCCTGCTGGAACTGAGCTCAAACTCCATAAAGGAGTTACCTGCCTTCCATCATCATGGAAGCAGGAAAACTTGCCTTCCTTTTTGGAAGTAAAATTCTTTTTTTTAAAAGTAAAATTTTTTAAAAGTAAAATTAAAAAAAAAAAGGAGTTGTACAGCAAAATAAACCTTAGATCTCAACCAGATTTGGGGAAATCAGGGATTCTCTGGAGGTGGTGCTCCCAGACCTCAGCAAATTATCCTATTGGTTTGAGCCATAAAGTTAGCTCATGCTGGTACCAGGTACCGATAGATTTGTCAAAGGCCAGGGACACCTCCACTCAGAATCCCTCTGTGGTTACCAAAATGTAAACCCCAAAAATCTGAGACGGGTCTTAGACAATTTAGAAAGTTTATTTTGCCAAGGTCAAGGATGCACACCCATGATGCAGCCTCAGGAGGTCCTGATGACATGTGCCCAAGGTGGTCAGAGCACAGCTTGGTTTTATATATTTTAGGGAGACATGAGACATCAATCAGTATATGTAAAATGAACATTGGTTCAGTCCAGAAAGGCAGGACAACTCAAAGCAAAAGCGGGATAACTTGAAGCAAGGAGAGGGCTTCCGGGTCACAGGTAGATAAGAGACAAATGGTTGCATTCTTTTGAGTTTCTGATTAGCCTTTCCAAAAGAGGCAATCAGATAAGCATTTATCTCAGTGAGCAGAGGGGTGACTTTGAATAGAACTTCTGCCTGTTACCCCGTTCCAAAGTCACTTCCATATTTCCAGGTATCTTTTTTTTTTTTTTTTTTTTTTTGAGACAGAGTCTTGCTTTGTCACCCAGACTGGAGTGCAGTGGCATGATCTCAGCTCACTGCAAGCTCCGCCTCCTGGGTTCACACCATTCTCCTGCCTCACCCTCCCGATTAGCTGGGATTACAGGTGCCCACCACCACCCCTGGCTAATTTTTTTGTATTTTTTTTAGTAGAGATGGGGTTTCACCGTGTTAGCCAGGATGGTCTCGATCTCCTGACCTTGTGATCCACCTGCCTCAGCCTCCCAAAGTGCTGGGATTACAGGCGTGAGCCACCTCGCCCAGCTTTCCAGGTATCTTTACAGCGGCATCTCACTCTATCATGTGAAAGAAAAATAAATCTTCAGTCCCCCAAGTCACTAAGCTAAAGAAAAAAGTCAAGCTGGAACTGCTTAGGGCAAACCTGCCTTCCATTCTATTCAGTCACCCCTCTGCTCAGTGAGATAGATGCATATCTGTTTGCCTCCTTTGGAGAGGCTAATCAGAAACTCAAAAGAATGCAACCTTTTGTCTCTTACCTACCTGTGACCTGGAAGCCCCCTCCTTGCTTCGAGTGGTCCCGCTTTTGCTTCAGTTGTCCTGCCTTTCTGGACTGAACCAGTGTTTATCTTACATTTGTTGGTTGATGTCTCATGATGTCTCATGTCTTCCTAAAATGTATGAAGCCAAGCTGTGCTCTGACCACCTTGGGCATGTATCGTCCGGAGCTCCTGAAGTGGTCATGGGTGCCTGTCCTCCACTTTGGCAAAATAAACTTTCTAAATTAACAGACCTATCTGATTTTTGGGGTTCAAAACTGGCACCAACTTACTCTCTTAGTCCATTCTCATGCTGCTAGTAGACATATTTGAGACTGGGTAATTTATAAAGAAAAAGAGGTTGAATGGACTCAAAGTTCTGCATGGCTGGGGAGGCCTCACAATCATGGTGAAATGCGGAGGCAGACCAAATGCACATCTTACATGGCAGCAAGAAAGAGAGCATGTGCAGGGGAACTCCACTTTATAAAACCATAAGATCTCGTCAGATTTATTCACTATCATGAGAACAGTATGGGTAAGACCAAGCCCCATGATTCAGTTACCTCCTACCAGGTCCCTCCCATGACCCATGGGAATTGTGGGAGCTAGAATTCAAAGTGACATTTGGGTGGGGACACAGCCAAACTACATTAATACCTAACTCTTCAATGCCTAGACACCAACAAACATCCACAAACATCAAGACTATCCAGGAACACATGACCTTGCCAAATAAGCTAAGGCACCAGAGACCAATCCTCGAGAAACCAATATGTGACCTTTCAAACGAATAATTCAGAATAGCTGTGTTGAGGAAACTTGGCAGAATTTAACACAGAAGAAATTCAGAATTCTATCATGTATAACAGATTGAAATAATTAAAAAGCAGAAATTCTGGAGTTGAAAATGTAATTGACGTACTGAAGAATGTATCAGTGTTTTTTTGTTTGTTTGTTTTTTGACATTGTGCCTCACTCTGTCACCCAGGCTGAAGTGCAGTGGCACGATCTCGACTCACTGCAACCTCTGCCTCCCAGGTTCAAGTGATTCTTGTGCCTCAGCCTCCTGGCTGGGGTTACAGGCATATGCCACCACACCAGGCTAGTTTTTGTGTTTTCAGTAGAGATGGGGTTTTGCCATGTTGCCCAGGCTGGCTTCAAACTTTTGGGCTCAAGGGATCCATGTGCCTTGGCCTCCCAAAGTGCTGGGATTACAGGTGTGAGCCACCATGCCTGGCCCAGAGTCTCTCAACAGAATTGATCCAGCAGAAGAATTAGTGAGCTTGAAGACAAGCTATTTGAAAATACACAAAGGAGACAAAGAGTGAAAAACAATGAAGCGTGCCTACAAAATCTAGAAAATAGCTGCAAGCTGGCCAGATCTGAGTTGTTGGCCTTAAAGAGGAGGTAGAGAGATTATGGTAGAAAGCTTATTCAAAGGGATAATAAGTGACTTCCCAAACCTAGAGAAATATACCAATACTCAAGCAGATTTATAGAAGATTATAGAACATTAAGTTTTAACGCAAAGAAGACTACCTCAGGGCATTTAATCAAACTCCCGAAGGTCAAGGATAAAGACAGGATCCCAAAAGCATCAAGAGAAAAAAAACAACATGCAATGGAGCTCCACTATATCTGACTTCTCAGTGGAAACCTTACAGGCCAGGAGAGAGTGGCATGACATATTTAAAGTGCCAAAGGAAAATCTTTTACTCTAGTATATCTGGTGAAACTGTCCTCCAAACATGGAGAAATAAAGACTTTCCCAGATAAAAGCCAGAGGATTTCATCAAAACCAGGTATGTCCTACAAGAAATGCTAAAGGGAGTACTTCAATTAGAAGAGGATGTTAATGAGCAATAAGAAATCATCCAAAGGTAAAAAAAAAATGCAGTGTTAATAAGTACACAGAAAAACAGACTATTATAATACTATAATTATGGTATATAAAGTATTTGTATCCTGAATAGAAATATGAAAAGATAAACCAATAAAAAATAACGTCAACTTTTCAAGACATAGATAGTATAATAAGATATAAGTAGAAACAAAAAGTTGAAAAGAGTGGGGACAAAGTTAAGGTATACAGTTTTCTTTTTGCTTCTTTTGATTTTGATTGAGTTTGATTATGCAATCAGGGTTATATTATTACCAGTTTAAAAAATGGGTTATATAAAATATTATTTGCAAGCCTCATGATAACCTCAAATCAAAAAACATACAACAGATACACAAAAAATAAAAAGCAAGAAATTAAAACATCCCATCAGAGAAAATCACCTTCACTAAAAGGATGACAGGAAAGAAGGAAAATAACCAGAAACCAAATAACAAAATGGCAGGAGTAAGTCCTTATCAATAATAACATTGCATATAAATGGACTAAACTCTCCAATCAAAAGATATAGGCCAAATAGATTTAAAAAAAAAAAAGACCCAATGACCTGTTGCCTATAAGAAAAACACTTCACCTATAAAGACACACACAGGCTGAAAATTGAGGAATGGAAAAAGACATTCCATGCCAATGGAAACCACAAAAGAGCAGGAGTAGCTATACTTAGACAAAATAGTTTTCAAGACAAAAACTATAAAAAGAGACAAGCTCACTCTATAATTATAAAGGGGTTGGCTGGGTGGAGTGGCTCATTCCTGTAATCCTAGCACTTTGGGAGGTGGATCACTTGAGTCCAGGAGTTTGAGACCAGCCTGGGACATATGGTGAAACCCTATCTATACAAACGCCTGTAGTCCTAGCTACTTGGGAGGCTGAGATGGGAGAATCACCTGAGCCTGGGAGGTTGAGGCCATAGTGAGCTGTGATCATACCACTGTACTCCGGCCTAGGTGACAGAGTGAGACACTGTATCCAAAAAAAAACCCAAAATGAAAAAGGGGTCAATTCAGCAAGAGGATATAACAATTTAAAACATACATGCAGCTGGGTGCAGTGGCTCACACCTGTAATCTCAGCACTTCGGGAGGCTGATGTGGGCAGATCACTGGAGGTCAGGAGTTTGAGACCAGCCTGGCCGACGTGGTGAAACCCCATCTCTGCTAAAAATACAAAAATTAGCCAGGCGTGGTGGTGGGCACCTGTAATCCCAGCTACTCTGGAGGCTGAGGCAGGAGAATTGCTTGAACCCAGGAGGCAGAGGTTGCAGTGAGCCAAGATCGTGCCACTGCACTCCAGCCTGGACAACAGAATGAGATTCCATCTCAAAAATAAATATACCTGCACCAACACTGGAGCACCCAGATAAATACAGCAAATGTTAGAGATAAGGAGAGAAGTAAGCTCCAACACAATAATAGTTAGAGCCTTCGACATCTCACTTTCAGCATTGGAAAGATCTTTCAGACAGAAAATCAAAGAAACATCGTATTTGATCTGCCCTATAGAACAAATGGACCTAATAGATATTTACAGAACATTTCATTTAACAGCTACAGAATATACATTTTTCTCCTCAGCATATGAATCATTCTATGAACTTTCCTGTTGGAACTGCTTTTCCTGCTTTGCATAAATTTTAGTATGTTGTGTTTTCATTTCTGTTTGCCTCAAGATATTTTAACATTTTCCTTTTAATATCTTCTTTGGCCCATGGATTGTTTAGGAGTATGTTGTTTAATTTTATTGTATTTGTAAAGCTTCTGAAATTCCTTCTATTACTGATTTTCAGTTTCATACCATTGGGGTTAGAAAAGATATTTATTATAATTTTAATTTTAAACTTGTGAAGACTTGTTTTGTGGCCTAACCCATGACCTATCCTGGAGAATGTTCTGTGTGCACTTCAATGTGTATTCTGCTATTAAATGGAATGTTCTCTTTAAGTCTGTTAAGGCCATTTGGTCTAAAGCATAATTTAAGTCTAATGTTTTCTTACTGGTTTTCTGTCTGGATGGTCTGTTTATTGCTGAAAGTGGAGTACTGAAATCTCCTACTATATTGTATTGCAGTGTATATCTTCAAATCTATCAACATTTGCTTTATGTGTTCAGGTGCTCTGATGTTGGATGCGTATGTATTTACATTTGTGATATCCTCTTGATGAACTGACCCCTTTATCATATAATCTTCTTTGTCTCTTATTGCAGTTTTAACAGAAAGCCTAATTATCTAAGTATACTTATCTTTTTGGGTCTCCAGTGGCCTGGAATATATTTTTCCATCCCTTCACTTTCAGTTGATATGTGTCTTCAAAGGTGAAGTTAGTCTCTTGTAGGCAGCACATAGTTGAGTCTTTTTTAAAAGAATCCATTCAGCCACTTGATCTTTTGATTAATCCATTTATATTCAATGTAATTATTGATAAAGACTACTGCCAATTTGCTGATTATTTTCTGGTTGCTTTGTAGGTTTTTTGTCTGTATCTTTTTCTTCTCTTGCTGTCTTCCTTGTAATTAGATGATTTTCTGTAGTGGTATACTTTGATTTCTTTTTATCTTTTATGTACCTATTATGTTTTTTCTTTTTATCTTTTATGTATCTACTATGTTTTTGCTTTATAGTTACCAAGAAGCATGCATAAAGCATCATATAACAGCTACTTTAAGCTGATACTTTGATTGCATACAAAAACTCCACACTTTACTCTCCCTCCTCACATTTTATGTTTTGGGTGTCACAACTTATATCTTTTTATATTGTGTATTCCTGAACAAATAATTGTAACTGTTATTAATAGTTTTGTGTTTTAACCTCTATTCTAAAGATATAAGTGATTTACACACCACTATTACCATATTAAAGTATTCTGACAGTCTTTCTTTTTTTATTATTTAAAAAATTTTTTGTGGGTACTTAGTAGATGTATATATTTATGGGGTATATGAGATGCTTTGATACAGGCATGCAATGTGAAATAAGCCCCTCATGGAGAATGAGATTATATAATTCATCCCCTCAGGCATTTTTCCTTTGAGTTACAAACAATCCGATTACATCATTTAAGTTATTTTAAAATATACAATTACATTATTATTGACTATAGTCAGCCTGTCGTGCTATCAAATAGTAGGTCTTATTCTTTGTTTTTTGTACCCATTAATCATCCCCACTTCCCCCAAGACCACCAATACCCTTTCCAGCCTCTGGTACCCATCCTTCTACTCTCTATGTCATGAGTTCCATTGTTTTGATTTTTAGATCCCACAAATAAGTGAGAACAAGTGACGTTTGTCTTTTTGTGCCTGTCTTGTTTCACTTAACATAATCTCCAGTTTCATCCATGTTGCCGCAAATGATGAGATCTTATTCTATTTTATGGCTGAATAGTACTCTATTGTGTATATGTACCACATTTTCTTTATTCATTCATCTTTTGATGGACATTTAGGTTGCTCCCAAATCTTAGCTACTGTAAACAGTACTGCAACAAATATAGGAGTGCAGATATCTCTTTGATATACTGATTTCATTTCTTTTGGGTATATAGCCGGCAGTGGGATTGCTGGGTCATATGATAGCTCAATTTTTAGTTTTTTGAGGAACCTCCAAACTGTTCTGCATACTGGTTGTACTAATTTACATTCCCACCAACAGCATACAATGGTTTCCTTTTTCCACATCCTCAACAGCATTTGTTATTGCTTGTCTTTGAATATAAGCCATTTTAACTGGGATGAGATGGTATCTCATTGTAGTTTTCATGTGCATTTCTCTGATGATCCATGATGTTGAGCATCTTTTCATATGCCTGTTTGCCATTTGTAGGTATTCTTCTGAGAAATGTCCATTCAAATCTTTTGCTCATTTTTTGATTGGATTATTGGATTTTTTTCCTGTAGAGTTGTTTGAGCTTCTTATATATTCTGGTTATTAATCCCTTGTTGAGGGGATAGTTTACAAATATTTTCTACCATTCTGTAGGTTATCTCTTCACTTTGTTGATTATTTCCTTTGCTGTGCAGAAGCTTTTTAACTTGATGTGATCCCTTTTGTCCATGTTTGTTTTGGTTGCCTGTGCTTGTTGGGTATTGCTCAAGAAATATTCGCCCAGACCAATGTCCTGGAGAGTTTCCCCCAATGTTTTCATGCAATAGTTTCATAGTTTGAGATCCCTAAATTTAAGTCTTTAATCCATTTTAATTTGAGTTTTGTATATGGCGAGAGATAGGGGTCTAGTATCATTCCTTTGCATATAGATTTCCAGTTTTCCCAGCACCATTTATTGAATAGACTATCTTTCTCCAATGTATGTTCTTGCCACCTTTGTCAAAAATGAGTTCACTATAGGTGTGTGTATTTGTTTTTGGGTTCTCTGTTCTCTTCCATTGGTCTACATGTCTGTTTTTATACTAGTACCATGCTGTTTTGGTTACTACTATAACTCTGTAGTCTAATTTGAAGTTAGGTAATGTGTCCTCCAGTTTTTGCTTAAGATAGCTGTGGTATTCTTTTTGTGGTTCCATATACATTTTAGGATTGTTTTATCTATGTCTATAAAGAATGTCATTGGTATTTTGATAGGCATTGTATTGAATCTGTAAATTGCTTTGGGTTGTATGGACATTTTAGCAAAGTTTATTCTCCCAATCCATGAACATGGAATATTTTTCCATTTTTTGGTGTCTTCTGTAATTTCATCAGTGTTTTAGAGTTTTCATTATAGAGATCTTTCACTTCTTTGGCTAATTCCTAGGTATTTGATTTTATATGTGGCCAATGTAAATGGGACTACTTTTTAATTTCTTTTTCAGATTGTTTGCTATTGGCATATGGAAATGCTACTGATTTTTGTATGTTGATTTTGTATCCTGAAACTTAATTTATCAGTTCTAATAGCTTTTTGGTGGAGTCTTGGAGATGTTTTTTCAAATACAAGATTATATCATCAGCAAATAGGGATAATTTGAATTCTTTCTTTCCAATTTGGATGCCCTTTATATATTTCTCTTGTCTGATTGCTCTAACTAGGACTTTCAGTAGTATGGTGAATAACAGGGGTGACAGTGGTCATCATTGTCAAACTCCAGATTTTAGAAGAAAAGCTTCAGTTTTTCTGTATTCAGTATGATATTGTGTGTGTGTGTGTGTGTGTCTGTGGTATATGGATTTTATTATGTTTGGGGTATGTTCTTCTGCACTCAGTTTTTTTAGGGTTTTCATCATGAAAGGATGTTGAATTTTGTCAAATGCTTTTTCAGCATCAATTGAAATGATCATATGGATTTTGTCCTTCATTCTGTTCATGTGATGTGTCACATTGATTTATTTGCATATGTTAAATTATCCTTGCATCTTCTGGGATAAATCTCGCTTGGTCATGATGAATGATCTTTTTAATGTGTCATTGAATTCAGTTTGCTAATACTTTGTTGAGGATTTTTGCATCAAAGTTTATCAGAGATTTTGACCTGTAGTTTTGCTTTTTGGCGGTGTTTTGTCTTTGTCTGGTTTTAGTATCAGGGTAATACTGGCCTCATAGAATGAGTTTGAAAGTATTGTCTCGTCCTCTATTTTCCAGAATAGTTTGAGGAGGATTGGTATTTTGGTAGAATTCAACAGTGAAGCCATTGGGTCCTAGGTTTTCTTTACTGAGAGAATTTTCATTATGGCTTTGATCTCGTTACTTGTTATTAGTCCATCCAGGTTTTAGATTTTCCTAATTTAATCTTGGTAGGTTTTATGTATCTGGAATTTGTCCATTTCTTCTAGATTTTCCAGTTGATTGGCATATACTTGTTAATAATAGTCACTAATTATCTTTTGGCTTTCTGTAGTAGCAGTTGTGATATCCTTTTTTTTTTTAATTTCTGATTTTATTTGAATCTTTTTTTGTTTTGTTTTGTTTTGTTTTCTGAGACAGAGTTTCACTTTTGTTGCCCAGGCTGGAGTGCAATGGCGTGATCTTGGCTCACCACAACCTCTGCCTCCCGGGTCCCAGTTCAAGTAATTCTCCTGCCTCAGCCTCCCAAGTAGCTGGGATTACAGGCATGCACCACCATGCCCAGCTAATTTTTGTATTTTTAGTAGAGACAGTGTTTCACCATATTGGCCAGGCTGGTCTCAAACTCCTGACCTCGTGATCTGCCTGCCTTGGCCTCCCAAAGTGCTGGGATTATAGGTGTGAGCCACTGCGCCCAGCCCCTCTCTTTTTTTCTTAGTCTGACTAAAGTTTTGTTAATTTTGTTTAACTTTTCAAAAAATGAACTTTTTGTTTCATTGATCTTTTATGTATTTATGTATTCAATTTCATTTATTTCTGCTCTGATCTTTATTATTTCTTTTCTTCTGTTAATTTTGGGTTTGGTTTGCTCTTGTTTTTCTAGCTCTTTAAGATGTATTGTAAGCCAGGCATGGTGGCTCACGCCTGTAATCCCAGCACTTTGGGAGGCCAAGAAGGGTGGATCACTTGAGGTCAGGAATTCGAGACCAGCCTGGCCAATGTGGCAAAACCCCATTTCTACTAAAAATACAAAAATTAGCCAGGCATGGTGGCACACATCTGTAATCCCATCTTCTCAGGAGGCTGAGGCAGGAGAATCATTTGAACCTGGGAGGTGGAGATTTCAGTGAGCCAAGATGGCACCACTGCACTCCAGCATGGGTGACAAAGTGAGACTCTTTCTCAAAAAAAAAAAAAAAAAAAAGTATCATTAGATTGTTTATTTGAAGTTTTTCCTCTTTTCAGATGTAGGCACTTATAGCTATAAACTTACCTTTTTTAGTTGCTGTATCCCATAGGTTTTTGTATGTTGTGTTTTGATTGTCATTTGTTTCAAGAAATTTTCATTCTCCTTCTTAATTTCTTCATTGACACACTGGTCATTCAGGAGCATATTGTTTAATTTCCATGTGTTTGCATAGTTTCCAAAATTCCTCTTGTTGTTAAGTTATATTCTATTGTGGTCAGAGAAGATGCTTGATATGATTGCAGTTTTTTTTAATGTTTTAAGACTTGTTTTGTTACCTAACATACGGTCTATCCTTCAGAATGATCCATGTGTTGAGGAAAAGAATGTGTACTCTGCAGCCACTGGATGAAACATTCTATAAATATCTATTAGATCCATTTGTTCTATAGTGCAGATTAAGTATGGTGTTTCTTTATTGATTTTCTGTCCAGAAGATCTGTCCAATACTGAAAGTGGGGTGTTAAAATCTCCAGCTATTACTGTATTGAAGCCAATCTCTTTCTTTAGCTCTAGGAATATTTCCTTTATATATCTGGGTGCTCCAGTGTTGGGTGCATATATATTTAAAATTGTTATGTCTTCTTGCTAAATTGACCCCGTTATCATTACATAGTGACCTTCTTTGTCTCTTATTATAGTTTTTTTTCTTGAAATCTATTTTGTCTAATGTAAGTGTAGCTACTCCTGCTCTCTTTTGGTTTCCATTGGCGTGGAATATCTTTTTCCATCCCTTTGGTTTCAGTCTATGTGTGTCTTTACAGGTGAAGTGTGTTTCTTATAGGCAACAGATCAATGGGTCTTGTTTTTTCATCCATTCAGCCAGTCTGTGTTTTTTGATTGGAGAGTTTAGTCCATTTACATTCAGTGTTGTTATTGATAAGTAATAACGTACTCTTGCCATTTTATTGTTTGTTTTCTGGTTCTTTTGTAATCTTCTCTTCATTTTTTTTCTTCCTATCTTCTAGTAAAGGTGATTTTCTCTGGTGACATAATTTAGTTTCTTGCTTTTTCTTTTTGTATATCCATTGTATGTTTTTTGATTTGAGGTTACCATGATGATTTCAAATACTATCTTATAACCCATTATTTTAACCTGATAGCAACTTAGCACTATTTGCATAAACAAGCAAAAAGAACACTAATAAAAGTCTATGCCTTAACTTTATCCCCCTGCTTTTTAAATTTTTGTTGTTTCTATTTATATCTTATAAATCTTAACTGTCTTGAAAAGTTGTTGTAGTTATTATTTTTGGTTGGTTCATCATTTAGTCTTTCTACTTAGGATAACAGAAGTTTACACAGTACACTTACAGTGTTATTCTGTATTTCTCAGTATACTTATTATTACCAGTGAGTTTTATACCTTCAGGTGATTATTTATTGTTCATTGATATTTTATTTTCTTTCTGGTTTGCAGTACTCCCTTTAGCATTTCTTGTAGGACAGGTCTGGCATTGATTAAATCCATCAGGTTTATCTGGGAAAGTCCTTATTTCTCCTTCTTGTTTGGAGGATATTTTTGCTGGATATACTACTCTAGGGTAAAAGTTTTTTTTTTTTCAGCACTTTAAATATATCATGCCACTCCCTCCTGTAAGGCCTGTAAGGTTTCCACTGAAAAGTCAGCTGGCAGAGTTATTGGAGCTTCATTGTATGTTATTTATTTACTTTCTCTTGGTGCTTTTAGGATCTTTATCCTTGACCTTTGGGACTTTGATTATTAAGTGCCTTGATGCAGTCTTCTTTGGGTTAAATCTGTTTCATGTTTAATAACTTTCTTGCACTTGGATATTGATATATTTCTCTAGGTTTGGGAAGTTTTCTGTTATCCATTTGAATAAACTTTCTACCCCTATTTCTTTCTCTACCTCTTCTTTAAGGCCAATGAGTCTTAGATCTGCCCTTTCGAGGCTGTTTTCTAGATCCTGTAGGTGTGGTTTATTGTTTTTTATTCTTTTTCCTTTTGTCTCCTCTGACTGTGTATTTTCAAATAGCCGGTCTTCAAGCTCATTAATTCTTTCTTCTGCTTGATCAATTCTGCTATTAAAGGACTTGGAATTCCTCAGTATGCCAATTATATGTTTCAGCTCCAGAATTTCTGCTTAATTCTTTTTAATTATTTCAATCTTAGTTACATTTATCTGATAGAATTCTGAATTCTTTCTGTGTTATATTGAATTTCTTTGAATTTCCTCAACACAGCTATTTTGAATTCTCTGTCTGAAAGGTCACATCTCTGTATCTTTAGGATTATTCTCTGGTGGTTTACTGAGTTTATTTGGTGAGGTCATGTTTTCCTGGATAGTACTGATGCAGTAAATGTTCTTTAGTGTCTGGGCATTGAAGGGTTAGGGACTTATTGTAGTCTTCACTGTCTGGGGTTATTTGTAGCTGTCCTTCTTGGGAAGACTTTCTAGATACTTGAAAGGACTTTGGTATTGTGATCTAAGCTGTATCTGCCTTAGGGGGTAACCAAAGCCCAGTAACACTGTCATTCTTGAAGACTTGTAGAGGAACCGCCTTGATGGTCTTGGATAAGATCCAGAATTATCTAGTTTTCTGGGCAGAGACTCTTGTTCTCTTCCCTTAACTTTCTCCCAAACATACAGAGTCTCCGTCTCTGTTCTGAGCCAGCTAAAGCCGAGGGTGGTGTGACACAAGCACCTCTGTGGCCACCACCACTATGACTGCACTGCGTCAGACCTGAAGCCAGCACAGCACTGGGTATCCTCCAAGGCCGGTTGCAACCACTCCCTGACTACTGCCTATGTTCACTCAAGGCCCTTGGGCTCTATAATCACCAGGTGCCAAAGTCAGTCAGATCTTCGTCCTTCCCTTCTGGGCAGGGACACTGCCCAAGCCCTAGGTGGGTCCAGAAGTACCATCTGGGAGTCAGAGACTAGAGTTAAAAAACCTTAGAAGTCTACTTGGTGTTCTATTATATTGCAGCTGAGCTGACACTCAAACTACATGATGCAGTCCTTCTCACTTTTCCCTCCCCTTTCCAAAGGGAGAGGAGCCTCACCCCACAGCCACTGCCACCCCAAGCCATGAGGAGTACTACCAGACTACTGCTGATGTTCCTTTAAAGCACAGGTTTTCTTAAATCAGCTTGTTGTGAACGCTGTCTGGCCTAAGACTCGCCCTTCAGGACAATGGGCTCCCCTCTGGCCCATGGCAGGTCCTGAAATGCCATCTAAGAGTCATATTTTGGAATTGAGGGACCCCAAGAGCCCTCTTGGTGCTCTACCCCCCTGTGGCACTGTTGGTACCTAAGATGCAAGACACTTTTCCCTCTGCTTTTCTGAAGCTGAAGGAGTTTTTCCCTGTTGCCACCACAACTGGGAATGTGCTAAGTCTCATCTGAAGCCAGCAGGTCTCAGAGGCTTACCCAAGGCCCTCGATGTAATAGTTGGGTATCACTCCTAGTAATTCAGGGCCCAAGGGCTCTCCAGTTAGCAGCTGATGAATCCTGCCAGGACTGTATTCTGTCAAGACAATGGGTTCCATTTTGGCCTAGTGTGTGTCTAGAAATGTCATCTGAGAGCTAGGGCCTGGGATAGGGGCCTCACGACTCTGAATGGTATCCTATTGTGCTCTTGCTGGGCTGGTATTTTAGATGTAGTAAGATACGGTCCTCCCCACTCTTCCCTCTCTCCCGAAGTGGAAGGAAGAGGTCTCTCCTGGGACCACGAGCTGTGTAGCTTGGGGTTAGGGAAGAGGTGACGCCAGCACTCACTTGACTGCTCCAGCTGATGTCTCATGTGTCCTCTCCAAGTCCACTGTCTGTCTTGGTGTAATTCAGCACTAGGACTTGCCTAAGAGTTGCAGTCCTTATGGCCTAGACTGCCTTTCAAGTTTACCTGGAGACACAGAGCACTGTTGCCCTCAGTGGCAAGGTTTATAGGTACTCAGGTTCAGACTGCTGGGATCAGCGATTCCCCTCTGGGTAGGGTTGGTTTAAATGTTCCTTCCATGGGTGAGCATCAGCTGAGTTTGGTCTGGTTTTCCTTTCTGCTCTAACAGGACAGCCCTGAGTTCATTGCCTCACAATTGCCATGTTCTCCTTCCCCCAGTGCCCAGAGATCCCTGGCTTATCTCACTTAGCATAATGTTCTCCAAACCCATCCATGTTATCATGAATGATAGTATCTCCTTCCTTATAAAGATTGAATAATATTTCATTTGTATATATACCTCATTTTCTTTATTCATTTGTCGATGGACCCTTAGGTTGATTTCTTAAGATGACTATAGTAAACAGTGCTACAATAAAGATAACTGCAAACATCTCTTCAACAAACTGACTTTTGAGTAAATATCCAAGAGTGTAGTTGCTGAATAGTAAGTCTTCATTTCTTTAGGGTCAGTTGCTGGTGCTTTATTTTGTTCTTTTGGTGGTGTCATGTGTCCCTGATTGTTCTTGATTCACGTGGCCATGCATTCATGTCAGAAAGGGACTGATTCGAGTCTTTGCAGGCTTGCTTTGGTTGGGCAAGGACTTCATCAGTCAACCTGTCTAGAGATTCTGGCCACTATCTGCTATGGCCCATGGGCAGGCTTGCTTCTTGTGTTCTTGGGCAGGCGGGCCTGGTGCCTAGGTCTATGAACCCAGATTCACTGGAGTGGACCTGTTGATTAGGTCCATGGGAGCTGATCTAGTGCTGGGGTACATACAGCCTTTGACTTTGAATCTGCAGGGTCTAGCCAGGCAATGGGATGATCCTGGCATACAAGTCCACTGGGAGAGACCTTGAATCTGAGTCTGTAGGGCTAGGTCTGGGTCCTGAGTCTGCAGGGGCTAGCCTGGTACTGCGTCTACTAGGACAGGTCTGAACCTTGGGTCTGCTGGAGCGTGGGTTTGTAAAAACTGGACTGGCACCGGATAGGCCTAGAGCCTGTGTCCACACATGCCAGCTTGGGACTGGGGTTTGTGGGTGCTGACCTAGTGCTAGGGCCTAGACCTAGGGCCTAGGCATAGAGCCTGGGACCATGGGGGCCAGCTTTGTGCTTGGAAAACCTGGAGGCTGGGTCTATGGATGCCAGCCTGGAGTCTGGGACTGCAAAGGCCAACCTGGAGCTAACACAGACTGATTCCTGAGGCAGCAGGTGCCAATCTGGTGCCTGAGGATAGGGGTATCTACCTGGTGCTGGGGTGGGCCTGAAACCTGGGGTTATATGGGCCAGCATGCACTGAGCTGCTCTGGAGCTCAGGACTGCCAGGGCCGTCCTGGTACTGGGGTCAATGGCTGCCAATCTAGTGCTGGAGCAGGCCTACAAGATGGGTCTGCATGTGCTAGCCTGAAATCTGGGGTTGTGAAGGCCCAGCCTGGCACTGGGGCAGACTGGGTCCCTAGTCTGCAAGGACTGGCTGGAGGCTGGGTCCATGAATGCTGGCCTGAGGCTGAGGAGGACCTGGAAACTAGGTCTACAAAGGCCGGTCTGGAGTCTGGGGTTACAGGGCCAGCCTGGAGCCTGAGGCTGCTGGTGCCAGCCAGCCAGGTGTTGAGGCAGTCTGGAGCCTCAGGTCACTGGGGCCATCCTGGCAGTGGGACAGGCCTGGAGCCTGAGAATGGTCTGAAGCCTGAGGCTGCAAGTGCTAAACTGGTGCTAGGGCAGGCCTGGAGCTTGGGTCCATGGGTGTCCCCTTGATGACTAGGGCTGCAGGGACCGGACCAACACTGGAGGGAGCATGAAGCCCAGGGCTATAGAGGCCAGCCCAGCCCTGGGAACAATCTGGAGCATGGAGCCACTGGGGACAGCCCAGCCCTGGGGTAGGCCTGAGAGAATAAGTCCACTGGCACCAAGGCGGGCCTGCAGGCAGCTCCATGGGATCTTGTCTGGAGCCTATATCCATTAGGGTCTGCCTGTTGCTGGATGAGTCTGAGGACTGAGTCCTTGGGGCCATCCTGGAGCCTGACTATGGTGTCTGGCCTGGCATTGGAACCAGTCCAGAGCCTGGGGCTGCTGCAGGTGAGCTTAGAAATTGTATGGGCCCAGAGACGAAGTCCAGTGAGGGGCCTGGGGCTGCAGGATCCTGCCTGGTGCTTAGATGGGCTTAGAGGCTCAGTCTGCGGGAACTGGCCTGAAATCTGGGCAATAGGGGTCTAGCACTGGGTTTTACTGGGGCAGGCCTGGTGTTGGGGTCCGAGGCACCATTCTGGTGCTCACCTCCCTCTCTATCCCCCATGCAGAAGGTATCTCTCCCCACGTCATACTACCCAGGGGTGGAGGGAGGGTGGCACGGATGGGTCATGTAAAACTCTTTCCTATCCTCTTCACAGCATCTTTTCTGATTTCTGTGCAACATTCAGGTGCTGTAATCTCTCATTTGGTTTCCTCAGCTCTTGTGAGTGTATTCTCATGCATGGATAGTCCTTTAAATTGGTGTTTCTGTGAGGGGGTGAGCATTGGAAAGTCCCATCCTGCTATATTGCTGATGTCACTCCCCAAACTAATTATACTGTAGATTTTTATCTAACTTTAAGTGATATATCACTTCACATATAGTGTAAAAAGTTTACAACAGTATACTTCTAGTTCTCTCCTGGCCTTTGTGCTGCTGTTGTCATACATTTAAGCAATTCTTCACCTCAGGCTCCTGAGTAGGTGGGATTACAGATGCCCACCACCATGCCTGGCTAATTTTTGTATTTTTAGTAGAGACAGGGTTTTACCATGTTGGCCAGGCTGGTCTTGAACTCCTGACCTCAGATGATCCGCCCCACCTCGGCCTTCCAAATTGCTGGGATTACAGGCATGAACCACCATGACTGGCCTTACTTATGCTTTAAACAATTGTCTAGGAGAGATTTAAACAATGAGGAAAAGTCTTTATGTAATTTACTTATGTAGTTATAATTGCTGGTACTCTTTATTCCTTTGAATAGATCCGTATTTCCATCTGGTATCATTTTGCCTTCTGATTCAGAAACTTTCTTTATATTCCTTTGATATTTCTTATAGTGCAGATTTGCTGGCGATGAATTCTTTTACCCTTTTCATGTCTTTATGTAAACTTCATTTTTGAAAGGTATTTTCACTGGTCAAAGAATTCTAGATTGACAGCTTTTTTGCTTCCAAAACTTCTAAAGATGTCACTCCACTCTTCTGGTTTGCATTGTTCCTGAAATAAATCTGCTGTCATCCTTATCTTTGTTCTTGTGTATGCAATGTGTCTATTTTCTCTTTGTGATCCTAACATTTTTCTCTTATCATTGATTTTAAGCAATTTGATTATGATGAGTATGGCTCTACTTTCCTTGTTTCCTGTGCTTGAGTTTCATTAAAGCTCTTGGATCTGTGGTTGAATCAAAACTGGAAAATATTTGGCCATTATTTTAATTATATTTTTCCTTTACCCTCCTCCCTCACGGACTCCAATTACACATATATTAGGATGCTCAAAGTTGTCCCAGAGCTCACTGGTGTTATTTGGTTCCAATGTTTTTTAAAAGTGTTTCCTTTTGGATAGTTTCTATTGTGCCTTCATATTCACTAATTTTTCACTCTGCAATGTCTAATCTGCTGTGAATCCCATCTAGTGTATTTTTTTATCTCAAACATTATACTTTTCATTTCTGTAAGTTTGATTTGAATCTGTGTGTCTTCCACATCTCTTCCTAACATTGAATTTTTTCTCTAGCTTCTTGGACATATGAAATAGTTATGCTATTAATTTTATCACCTGTGTTATTTCTGTATCTGTTTTGATGTATGTTTTCCCTCTCATTATGGTTTGTATTTACCTACTTTTCATGCATTTTTTTTAATGTCAAACATTGTGAATTTTACCTTGTTGAGTGTTGGATATTTTTGTATTCCTACAAATACTCTGGAGCTATGTTTTCAGATAAAATTTAGCTATTTGGCTTTTGGTCATTTCCTTTTTAGCTTTCTTAGGCAGGACCATGATAGTGTTTATCCTAGGACTAATTTTGTCCTGCTACTGCAGCAAAATCCTTGAGAGTACTACCTAATGCCCCATGAATTATGAGGTTTTCCAGCTGGTTGGTGAGAATATGAATTACAGTAGTCCCCCCACCTTATCTACAAGGGAGATGTTCCAAGACTCCAGTGGATGGATGCTTGAAACTGCAGATGGTACTAAGCCCTATATATGTGTTTTCCTCTCTATATATACACATATGATAAAGTTTAGGCCAGGCATGGTGGCTCATACCTGTAATCCCAGCACTTTGAGAGGCTGAGGCAGGCAGATCACTTGAGGTCAGGAGTTCAAGACCAGCCTGGCCAACATGGTGAAACCCCATCTCTACTAAAAACACAAAAATTAGCCGGGCATGGTGGCACATGCCTGTGGTTCCAGCTACTTGGGAGGCTGAGGTATGAGAATCATTTGAACCCGGGAGGCAAAGGTTGCAGTGAGCTGAGATCGCACCACTGCACTCCAGCCTGGGCGACTCAGTGAGACTCTGTCTCAAAAAGTGTAACTTATAAATTAGGCACAGTAAAAGATCAACAATAATAGAACAATTAATATACAGTAATAAAAACCTATGTGAATATAGTCTCTCCCTCTCTCAATTTCTTATTGTACTGTCCTCACCTATTTTCAGACCATGACTAACCACAGGTAACTGAAACCACAGAAAGCAAAGCCACAGATAAGGGGGGCCTCCTGCTGAATTCCTAGCTTTGTGTGATTAGATTGTTACCTCTAATCCCTTTCGATGGCTATTGTTCTGGGTGCCAGCAATTTGCTCATACACATACACTGATTCCTTTCTCAGCAAAATATTGAGGAAGATCTTGATGTGGTTTGACTGTGTCCCCACCCAATTTCATCTTGAATTGTAGCTCCCATAGTCCCCAAGTGTTGTGTGAGGGACCCAGTGGGAGGTAACTGAATCATGAGGGCAGGTTTTTCCCATTCTGTTCTTGTGATAGTGAATAAGTCTCAGGAGATCTGATGATTTTATGAAGGGCAGTTTCCCTGCACACGCTTTCTTGCCTGCTGCCATGTTAAGATGTGCCTTTGGTCCTCCTTTTCCTCCTGCCATGATTGTGAGGCCTCCCCAGCCACGTGGAACTATGAGTCCATTAAATCTCTTTCCTTTATAAATTACCTAGTCTCAGGTATGTCCTTATAGCAGTGTGAGAATGGACTAATACAGACCTTCTGTGTACCTCTCCCTGTGCCCCTCTGTGGCCTTTGGCCTGCGAACTCTATCCTCATTATATTCCCCAGACTCGCAGTTCTATCATCTTGGCAACTTGGAGAAACCATTAGGCTCTGCCTGGGTTCTCTCCCTGCCTGTGGCCTGGAAACTTTCTTGAGGTGGTAAGTTGGGACAATTAAAATGCTCACCTCTCAGGAATCACTGTCCCTCCCTACCTGATGCTTAATGTCTTGAGAACCATTGTTTATATATTTTGTCGTCTTCTTTCTTTTAGTTGTTTCAAGCTAGAAGGTGAATCTAGAGTCTCTTACTGCTTTTACCTGACAGAGAAAGTTCTCTTCCCTTTTTTCTGAAAGCTCCTTTGAATCAGTTTTGCTTTAGGCATTGAGATGTCACTCACAAGCTTATTTTCCTGGCTCTTCTTATCAGTGGGCATATTCTGACTTCCCTTACTTACTTAGGAGCAAGCAAATAGCCAAGACTCAGATTTGAGTTTTGGGTACGAGGTTAGTACTTCATTCAATAAACTTCAAATCTGTCTGGAGAAGGTATAGTGAGGTTAGCTCTTGCCCCGCTAAATCTCAACATTGTGTGCTTTCTCTGTCTGGCTCTCCACTGTATCCCATTTCCTAGAATGGCTTTTGGTATAGAAGGTATTCAGTAAATACTTACTTATGAATGAATAGACTGCCAAATAGCTTGCAAATTCTCTAACAGTTAAACATTTTATCAAATTAAAAATCTCAATGGTCAAAAACAGTATCAAACTAAAAACTCTAACAAATAACATTTATTTTTCTTTTACATATATATTTCACAGCCTGAACATCACATCTTCAGAGAAAGTTACTTTTATGCCATTGTATTTACTATTTACCACACAGGCATTGAACATTCTCATTAACATGATAAGACAATTTGCTGGTAAACATTTAAACACACAGACATTAGTTTCAGTATCTCAACATATTTTTGGTCATAACCAAGGAAATACATCAAAATAATGACAACATTGGCTAATATTTTACAAGCAAATATTTAACTCTGCATAGTTTATACAATAGGCTGTGGCAATAAATAATGTCACCAATCTCATCAACTATTAACTGGCCACAAGAAGCCTAACATTCATTTTAATTATGATATGAAATGCTCTATTGGTGTAGTTTCAACATATCCTTAAATGTTTGGGTGTTTAACCTTGAATACACGAAAAGAAAAAGTACTAAACTGGACTAAGAAGGTGTGTTTGGTTAACTACAAATATGTCATGTTCACATAGTACATTCCTAACATGAAGGCAAATATTTAAATAGAAAAACTAGCAGTCCAAAAAATGTGAATGTGCAAATTGTGAGTAAAACATTGCATTTAAATTTGCACTCATTTGCAAGTTACAGTACTAGCTCAGTATAAACACTAACAGGAAAAATATTCAGCAGGAAAGAATGGAAACGGCCTCTCACAGCAGAGAACTGGTCACTGCGCACTGCTCCACAGCTAAGAAAGTTTTCCAGGTGGTCTAGCGCTCCTAACAAACACCTTATGATTATCCTTCATTCAACAGAGGAGGAGACTGCAGGCATGCTTCAGTCAGTGGTAAGAACAGGAAGAAAAACCCAAATCAGCAACATTTTCTTCCTTAATTTGGTATAAACGTCCTTTTCATTATTTCAAGTTACTAATTTGCTAATCTCAAATGTTTTCTGAATCAGGTTTGCTAAATGCTGTAAAGAATAGCTATCCTTCATACAATACTAGGTTTTATTTTTTTTAGTATGTCAGCATAATAAGGTACATGCGCATTCATTCCACCAACCTGTTTAGATAATACTCAGCTTGGGTCATATTCAAATTCTACACAGAGATTCTCTGTTTTCAATACAACTGCTTAGAAAGCAGAATTGCCTAGTGATGACTGTAGTGTGCCTTTTAACTGAAATGTATATAAAAATAAAACCCCAATCTTTATAGAATGTCAAGAATTCTGTTAGGGATGTTAAAAGCATTGGGCAAAACCCTGGTTTTCAGCGTGCCATCTGCACCACAGGAGAAGAGCCGATTGCCCTGGATGATGTCAATCTGCATGACTCCAGCCCCAATGTTTCGAAATATGGACTGCTTAGCATGTTCACTTTTAAATGAATGAATTAGGCCATGGCCTGTCAATCTCCAAACCTAGTGCAAAACAAAAGGAGTTAAAAATATATTACGAAAAGACCAAAAGCAAAAACATGGCCCTTCTGCTCCCTTGGCCCAAGTGATCTCACTAAAGCCCAACCTTCCCACCCACTGCCTCTTTCCTAAGAGCTTATCTAAGTGGGAAATGATAACACCACTCCCACGATTCATTTACTGTCCTCCTTCCATATTTTCCTTCACATCCTCTTGTGGCTTCATATTAACCATATGTAGCCCATCTCTAATTCAATTAACTATTTGAGTTAATTCAGTTAAATGTGTTCCTCATGCTGAGCTAGGTCCTAAGGCTATGTAAAAGTAGTGTGGTACAGACAGTCCCCTACTTACGATGGTTTGACAAGACTTTTTGACTTTATGACAGTGTGAAAGCAATACGCATTCAGCACGCTCCTTGGCTTATCCTGAGGTTAGTCTCAATAAACTCATAGTAAGTTGAAAATATTAAGTTGAAAGTATGTTTTTCAACTTTAACAATATTTTTAACTTATAATGGGTTTGTTGGGACATAATCCCACCATAAAGTCAAGGAGCATCTGCACTAGCTCACTTACTGGAAACGTCACCTCCACCACACACAAGAGTACTGAGGGAGAGGGGAGAAGCTTCTAAGGAGCCAAACTAATGTCATCAAAAAATTTCATGCATTAAACTCATACACTTTACTCAAAATAGAATGCTTTAAAGCTTTCTAATGGCCTGAGTCCAATGAGTTTGATAATCTCATTGACCATAACAGTTTAGAAAGAACCATACAGGAGCATGGGGAGGCGGCAGAGTGTTGAGATATGCAGTATCTCCATGCAGTAGCCCAAGTGAAATAAAGTGAAGCTTTATTTCAAAGAATGTGGAGTTTTTGTTTTTTCTCTTTCCAATCAGTCTTTAGCACATTCCAACCTCTTGTACTGACTCACCTTTATGTTACCTTCTGCTGAACCTGTGGTAAAATATTCCTCATAGGGATCCAAGGCCAGAGCCTTAATAGCTGAGTCATGGGCCTGGAACGTGTGAATGAGCTGCCTTTGCCTGATGTCAAAAATGCAGACGTGTCCTTTCCTACCCCCCGAGATTAGGAGTTGCTGTTTGGGTGCATACTGCAGTACCGTGGCACCATGATCGTGGCACGTGAAACCTGAAGAAGAAAAACATCAGAGAATTTCTCAAAACAATTTCTTGTCTTGGTAATTATGATGTCTACATCCACATTTAAATACAGACCTTACTGATGCATTTTTCATTCTAAGGTACATTTATTGTTTTGTAAGTCATTGAATTTCTGTAATCACATGATTAAAGAAAAATGTTAAGCAATGTCAGAACAAACTTTTTATCCATAATCTCAATATGAAATGAACACAGAGAGAAAAAGAAAGTTTAAACCTTAAGCCCTAAGTGATACTGCCTCATAAAAAGTATACAGAAGAGCAGAGACCAACCTTCTCAAAGTTGGTGAGTATTAACCCAGCCAAGTGCTGTACCGTACAAAAAGTTCTTTTCAGGTAAGTAATTGAAACAACGACACTATGAGAAAATGTGTGAATGTTTTCAGTTACAAGTTAAGAAGTTCATTATCCTTCCCAGGAGTATTTGCATTTTAATATGATTAAAGATTCAAATTAACATGCAGAAAATCTGTAAGCAATGTTAACCACTGTTTGCAGAATTCTGCAATAAAATTGAGAATTAACTACATATTTCAAAATGCATATCAGTGTATTAAAAGACTGAGAATCTTTCTGTCTTTCTGACAATCTACTTCATTTAACCAAACTTACTTGAGCATGGAGCACTTTTTGGGTGGTACTATGTGGAAGACAGAGTTAGGACACTAATTTGGCAAGTATTGTCTTAAAAGGAATAATATTTAAATGGCACTGTTTACATTTCTAGTCATTATAATAAGGTTAACCTTTGTTTTATTTTATGGTTAGGGCCAGGTGTGGTGGCTCATGCTTGTAATCCCAGTACTTAGGGAGGTAGAGGTGGGAGGATAGCTTGACCCTAGGAGCTTGAGACCTGCCTGAGCAATACAGCATGACCTTGATCTCCACAAAAAGGAAAAAAAGACAAAAAGTATTTTATGATGAGGTTTAATTCTTTAAAATATGTTATTTTCTATTAAGCTCAATGAATACTTTGCAACTAATTTCTTAAATAGCCTTGTTAGTAGTACCACTATCCATACCATATTTTCTGAATAGAATATAAAGACTATTTTGGATTTCTGAGACCATATATCTTTAACTCAGCAAGGAAGCCAGATATGCTAATTAACTTTCCAAATTTTTAGTCATTCATTCTAAATATTTCTCCATTTTCAACCTGTCAATAAACACTCACTGGATTCACTAATTAAAACCAAGAAAGCATTCCTTCATGGTGTATTATTCCTTCATGGTATATTTTTAAAAATCATAGACCTTAACTCACCATGAATGAGGCTGTTTCCGGGTGATATTAATGTGTCCCAGAGGCAAACATTTCTTTTAAAGAAACACAATAACAAAAATACATCATAAATGATTGTTATAAGTCGTCATCAGGGACAACCTGTCTTTCAGTCAAATATTTTGCTTATTCATTCTTATCTTTTTTGTTCACTCACACCTATAGAGAGTAGTGATTCCCAACTAGGATGGGGGTAGGGTCAAACTACACAGTTCCATCTCACATGGTCCTGCCCGTCTCTGCATCCTCTACCCCATCTCCTTTCCATTGCCACTCCAGGAAACTGATATGACTTCCTGAGTATAAGGAATGCTTTTATATCCCCAGGTGGTAGCCACTGCAGGGAAACAAGATGTTATTCATGGGCATGTGTTGCTAATGAAAACCATGTGAGGTCAAAATAAATGTTGAGAATGATGGGGACAGTGTCAAATACCTGTTAGTCCCTGAATCCTCATCTCTCACCTTATACAAAAATTAACTCAAGATGGGTCAAACTTAAATCTAACACTTGAAACCATAAAAATTCTAGAAGATAACATCAAAAAAAACTACTCTAGACATTGACTTAAAGAATTCATGACCAAGAACCCAAAGGCAAATGCAACAAAAATAAATAAATGGGACCTAATTAAACTAAAACACTTCTGCACAGCAAGAGTAAAAAGGCAACCTGCAGAGTGGGAGAAAATACAATGTATATATCTGACAAGGGACTTATATCTAGAATCTACAAGGAACTTAACAAGAAAAAACAATCCCATCAAAAGCGAGCAAAGGACATGAACAGATAATTCTCAAAATACAAATGGCCAACAAACAGGAAAAAATGCTCAAAACCACTAATTACCAGGAAAATGCAAATTAAAACTCCAATACGATACCACCTTATTCCTGCAAGAATGGCCATAATTAAAAAACCAAAAAACAATAGACGCTGGCATGGAGGTGGTGAAAAGGGGACACCTCACTGCTGGTGGGAATGTAAACTAGTAAAACCACCATGAAAAACAGTATACGGAGATTCCTTAAAGAACTATAAGCAGAACTACCATTCAATCCAGCAATCCCACTACTGGGTATCTACCCAGAGGAAAAGAAGTCATTATATGAAAAAGACACTTGCACATGCCTGTTTAGAGCAGCACAATTCACAATTGCAAAACTATGGAACCAACCTAAATGTCCATCAACCAACAAATGGATAAAGAAAATGTGGTACATATACACCATGGAATACTTCATAAAAAGGAATGAGATAATCACATTTTGCAGCAACCCAGATGGAGTTAGAGGCCATTATTCTAAGTGAAGTAACTCAGGAGTAGAAAATCATATGTCGTATGTTCTCACTTGTAAGTGGGAGCTAAGCTATGAGGATGCAAAGGATCAGAATGATATATAATGGACTCTGGGGGCTTGGGAGGGGTGGGAGGAGGGTGAAGAATAAAAGACTACACACTGGGTACAGTGTACACTGCTCAGGTGATGGGTGCACCAAAATCTCAGCAATCACCACTAAAGAACTTATCCATGTAACCAAACACTACCTATTCCCCCAAACCTACTGCAATAAAATAAAAATGTTGAGAATGATGGAGACAATATCAGATGCCTGTTAGTCCTAGAGAAACTAACAGTGTTAACAGTAGTAGTTTAAAAAAGACTGAATAGCTTTAAAATAAAAATTACATATATTAGGAATAACTTTCATTTTTGCTTTTCTCTTTTTGGTAAGAAAAAACACTCTGAAATAAGAATTATGTAACAAAGTTTTTTTTTTTAATGCCTAGAGTGGAAAAACCCTACTAATAGAAAAGTATTCTTGCTAAAGGTATGGATTTCTAACGTTTTTATATTTCTTACTTTGCTTTTCTGTCAACCTACCTATTGTCATTGGAGTGTCCAGATGTGGCAACTAGACTTGAAGAGGTAATAAATGCAAAGTCACTTGTGGCTTTACTGTGGCACTGCCAACTCTACGAAAAACAAAGTGCAACTGATGTTATTTTACCATTGGATAAAATTTGATACAGTACCAACATACATGTCTGCTAATAACATACTATATGCATGAGCTAAAAATAGTTTTTAAAAACTCGGTCTAGGATAAAAGAATAAGTGATAGTATGAGGCTTAACTGTCATGTGTATATTATTTGGCTACTGTCCAATAATTTTTAATAACTGGAGTTGGTAAAAACAGAATTAAAGGTCATGTTTTTCAGATTATGTAAGAATAGGACATCAAAGTACATGAACCTACCTAAGACCCGTCAATTTTAGTGCTAATGATCTCAAATACATGTAATAAACTTTAACAGTCACAAAGGAAATGCTTACAGACCCAACTAGTCTTAGGATGTCAAGGTATTTTAAAATATAATGCATGTTTTTCTGTCTGGAATTATAGTGGTACAGATCTGACTGAAGACAAAAGTATAAATTCAAGATTACTTCCATTTCTGCATAGACAAGGTACAGTCTATAGTGTCCTAATTTAAGAGAATTATCTTATACACATAATTAAGAACATATGTATAGTTTAGAAAAATTTTAAAAAGTATTTGGGTAATCTATCTGGTCCCAGGAGGTTCAAGGCGTTCTGAACCTCCCTCCATATATGTGAAGCCTGAAGTTTCACACAGGACAGCATCACCTTCCACCCTCCCCCATGTTCCTTTCCCCCACCATATCTCCATCAGGTAAAGATCTACTTATCTTCATCACCAACTATTTTGTAATCCAATTTGGATTAAGGTGGCTCATTGGGATTGGTTATTTTATAATCTGGTAAGCACAATTCTGGAACAAATTGGAACAGATGTTTGGAACCTGATTCTTTTTTTTTCTGAGACGAAGTCTCACTCTGTTGCCCAAGCTAGAGCGCAGTGGCACAATCTCAGCTCACTGCAACCTCCGCCTCCTGGGTTCAAGCGATTCTCCTGCCTCAGCCTCCCGAGTAGCTGGGACTTCATGCACGTGTCACCATGCCTGGCTAATTTTTGTATTTTTAGTAGAGAGGGGGTTTCACCAGGTTGGTCAGGCTGGTCTCGAACTCCTGACCTTGTGATCTGCCCGCCTCGGCCTCCCAAAGTGCTGGGATTACAGGCGTGAGCCACCGTGCCCGGCAGAACCTGATTCTTAATGACAGAATTTTATCATGTGTATATTAAGAAGATAGAGTTTTCAAAATGGATGAAAGTATAATAATAATGAAAAAAAACCCAAGTTGTACCACACACAGGGAAAGCCCCCAAAATTTTTAAAATATAAACTGTACTTCAAGGTGAAAAGCAAGGCTTTTTGTTTTTCAGGTCATTTCAGTCTAAAACTAGGGTAAGGATGGGTGCTGCTGTCAGGCTGGGATTGCTGAAAAAAATCATCCTTTTCCCAATAGGACCACCAATGAGATTCACTGTCTGAAACAGACACTTCATGAACAAAGTGTTGTGTATATGCGCCCTGGGAACATTTAGTGATACTTACCATATAAGGTTTAGGATTTGATGCAGTTTGGTTAACTTGCCAGATACTCAGAAAACCCTCTCCATCCGCAACACCACACTGTAAGAACAGTATAACTACTAAACACATGTTCTTAGCATCCACAGCAAAGGTAAAAACATGGAAGGAAGATTCACTAAGGCCCTACTAAATAAACATTCTGCCTCTAACTATGTTTCTGTTGCTGTCATTCCCAAAAAGTCCAAGTGCTAAAAAATTCCCTGTCACTTTTTTTTTAAATTTTTTTAGAGACAGGGTCTCATTCTGTTACCCAGGCTGGAGTGCAGTAGTGCAATTATAACTTACTATAACCTCAAACTCCTGGGTTCAAGGGATCCTCCAGCCTCAACCTTCTGAGTAGCTAGGACTAGAGGCACATGCCTGGGCTTTTTAAAAAAATTTTTGTAGGGATGTGGTCTCCCTTTGTTGTTCAGGTTGTCTCAAATGCTGGAGTTCAAGCAATCCTCCTGCCTTGGGCTCCTAAAGTGTTGTAATTACAGGTGTGAACCACTGTGACTGGCCCTTCCATTACTTCTTAACTGCTTACCTGTTTCACTGTTTTCCTCTAACCTCTTACTGATGAAATTTAGTAAGAAACTAGGTTTCTCTCAAGAACTTTACTGTGCTTACAGGAATCACCAACACACTCAACACAGGCAGTTTTTTTACTCTCACAGTATATTTAGTATCTTTAAATAGATGATTAATCCATACTAAATTTTGTAGATTTTTGCTTCTATTGGAAGAAAAGAGAGTGTATGAATAGACTCCAACAAACTGTCTACTCAGTTTAAATCCAGGGTCACTGAATTCATTTTTCGATGCACTTTTATCACTTACTCCTAAATATCCACAACTATTTTCAGATGAATTCAGCAGTAGCCCCCAGAAACTAACCTTGTTGCCTTGTGAATTAAAATATAATCTAGTAACTCTTGCATTGCCAGCTTGACGAAAGCAGACAAGTTGCTGAGGCCGCGTCCATTCAAACATTCGTACACTGCCGTCCTGAGCACCTGTAAGATCTGAAACACAAGAGAAAAAGCAGGAAATAAGAAATTAAAGAGTTCCAATATTTTCTATTCTATAAATCAACCTCCAAATGAGGACACTTACAATTATTAGGTCATAAATACTTACAGTATTGATGGACTGGGTGTGAAGTCATTCTCTTAACATTATGTAGATTCCTTTTCATAAGCTTTAAAAGAAAATTTTAAAAATTTTATTTTGTGTATGCAGAAAAGATGAGGAAGGATATGCTTCAGGATAAATTCTGACATTTATTCTCTTACACCTTGCTTATTACTGAGATAAAGCCTGTTATGGATGTTCTGAACCACTACATAGAACACTTGTCTGAAGAGGGTGAGGAAGCACAGTCACTTGCTGGTATAGCCCTGGCCTGTGAGGTTACCAAGGAGCTTCATCTCATAATAAAGGAACTCTTCTTCAAGTGCCCCTCCCTGAGGATATTCAGGAGCACCTCCAGATGCTTCAGAGCAGAACATAAGAATGGGACCCCTCCAGCTACAGTGACAAGAATGTTACTGACATGCTTTCAAGCACTTAGAAGTAGACATGAATTCCCCTTTAACTTTGCTTTACCATTTTGTATCTGTTTATTCATCTGTAAAATGATAATGGAGGGTAATAATAGCACCTACCACCTAGGATTGTTGTGAGAAAAAGCATGTATCTGACACTAAGAAAGTCATATGAGGCCAGTGTGGTGGCTCATGCCTGTAATCCTAGCACCTTGGGAGGCTGAAGCGGGTAGATCACTTGAGCCCAGGAGTTCGAGAACAGCCTGGGCAGCGTGGTGAAACCCCATCCCTACAAAAAATACAAAAATTAGCCAGGCACGCTGGCATGCACCTGTAGTCCCAGCTACTTGGGAGGTTGAGATGGAAGGATCAATTGAGCCCAGGAGGTCAAGGCTGCAGTGAGCCGAAATTGCACCACTGCACTCCAGCCTGCGCGACAGAGCCAGACCCTGTCACCAAATAAAAAAGCCACAATAAATGTCAGCTGTCATTATCATGGCCTATCTACTGGTGTTTGTCCCTGAAATTTAGGATCATTCCTATGTCAAAGAGATTCCAACTGATTTTTCAGAGTCCAAATCCAGAAATGATACCTATAAGTAAATAACATACCACACTAGCTCCAGTGCTAGTCTGTCCAGTGCCCAGCCATGGCAGAGATGAAGGTGGATGCACCTGACTTGCTGAATAGGATGTTGCACTGGGTTGATAAAGAGTTGTAGTGGAACCACGATAATCAACATCATCTGAACTGTGAAAAACATTCATGTGTTACTGTGAACATTCCCTTTTCTCTTAACACAAATTCCAACTAAAAATCTTCTTATGTACCCATAGGACAATCTTTATTTTAAAAACTAAGTAGCCATGAGAAAAACTTAGGTACAAGTCCTAATCGCCAATGTTAATACTGGTTAACTTTTTTCCCTTTTGGCAAAATGTAAATTTAGTCTAATGTTGTTTGGGGACAACTTTATTGCTGCACAAGTTGAAACAAAAGTTTGTTGTTATCTATGGAAAAATATTATGTTCTCTTCAAGTACAGATAGCTCAGTATCAAATTAACACGTTTAAAGAAATTTGAGTTTAAAGATTTCTTGGAGTAAGACATATAAAATGTGAAAGTAATTGTTGGGATGGATTGTATCATAGTACATGGTTATATCTACTCTGAAATGTGATATTAAATCCTAGTTATATCACATACTAACAAAAAAAAGAATTCAACAAAATGAGGAGAGAAACTATCATGGCACCATCCTCAAGCATGAACAATTTCTAAGAGTCTGGAGAAAAGCAGGAGGGAAGGCAAACCACAAAGAAGAAACCTCAAAATAGGTAAGAATGGCAAAACACTCTTGGTGCAGTGTCCATAGCTTCAATGAAAAGTAAAGCCGTCTACATTTTTATGTTTAAGAAAAGGTATGCTTATCAGGTGATAAGAAGAAACACTGCAAAATTACTCGGTAAATGTGACTCAGTGTAATTAACATATTTGTGTCTACTGTTTTAATTATCCAGATCAGATTAATTTACTGAATATCATGAAGCCAAGTGTTAGGGATTATCCTTATTGAAATATTATCAATAGTGTAGGGTTTAATGGAAGTGTAATTCATTCAGTTAATGTAGACAAAGACTTTCACTGGCAGCTAAACCAATTATATTTGTCACCTACCCAAATGAAGGAGATACACGTATACCTTTTGAAATAATTCAAATCATGTGCATAACCATTTGGTGGGTACTTCTTACAGAAAACTATATGTAAAAGTGACTATGAGACAAACCTTTTGGATTCTCTGTCATATTCTTCTCCGATCCATATGTATGACTGACAGGCCAGTAGAGAAGTAACATCAAGTTCTTGAACATCATGTGTTGAAGCCAAAACAATTTCATTACAATTTGCCTATAAAGCAAAGGCAGAATCGATGATTTAAGCAATTTCACTAAGGAGAAATACACTGTGTATAATGATGAGAGCTTTTACCTTATTAACAGAAAATGCCATGATCATATCAGATTCCTTATGGATGACTTTCGCCTTTCCACCTGGATAGCCCAGATCAGCTTCAACCTAGAAAACATTCATCAGCAGTTTTAGTTGCTGCAGCACAGCTCTATTTAGAGTTATGCACATCCCATAAGATTTAAATGTAGGATAAGAAGAAAATGTAGCAGCAGCAGCAGCAGCAGCAGCAAGAAAAAAGGGTAAGAGTAACTTTAATGTGTTGAAAACTAGCTTTGGAAAATTTGCTTAAATTCTCTGATGTCCTGTAATCACCCCAATTTCCACTGTGATGGTAAGATACTGATTAATTATAAAACATGGCTAATATATTTTTATTAGTAATTTATACAGTAGTATGTCTCTCTTAGCTCTTCCAAAAGTGCATAAATATTCTGCAATAAGAATGTGTATACATTAAGAGGCACAGAGTGGAGTAAAAAGCCATAGAAAACCGCAAAGAAACCACCCTTTGAAGTAAGGGTGGTGAGACAGAAATAAGGAAAAGTTGTAAAGAGGGATACTTCGAAAGGAATAAAAGAGACTGATGAGAGGAAGATGCAATGGCTTAGGGTTGGTGATGGGAAGGAAAGAAAAGGCAGAATCAAGAAGATGAAACAGCCATGCTTAAAACAGAAAAAGTGACAAGTGAAGATGGGACAGGGAGCAAGAAAGAGAAGAACCAAGGGCAAGACAGAGCAAGCCAGATACAGTGAAGCATCTCCTCCCCTGTGCCACTGAAGTGGTATGGGAGTACTATGAGTTCTCTGAGTAGTTAGCCAGTTGGGCAGGTCATGGTTAGTATCAGAGATGAGGCGTTAGCTCCTTGAACTTTAAAGAATGAGCTAAATACAAGATCTTGGAATACTACCTTGATGTGGCAATCTTCTGCTATGCAGTTTTGGTTGACCTGCTCCACATGTTCTTCTATAGACTAAATACCACCACACCGTCACAAACACAAAACACATGCATGGAATGAAATTATAAAGACAGTGAAATATTTCAAGCTGAAATGGCCACTCCACCACTTAAAGATGATAAAAATGAATTTGCAAAATCAAGAAAAAATTAAACCGAATAAAACAGTCATCAAATAAACACAACACAAAGCCAAAAGAGCAAAATTAATGTGACTATTACATAAACACAAGAACATAAAAGCTATTTCAAAATAAAAATTAGTTATCTGTATACAGTTTTAAGAAATCTAAGTTACATAACTGGTAATCTATAAAATTAAAGCCCATTTGTATAAGCAGATGCAGAAGATGCTACATAAATTCCTGCCCTATAGGGGTTGATTTAAAATACAAATTAAAATATTTATTTCTAAACATAGATTCAAAATATTGATAATTATTTCACTCTTATAAGGAATATGATGATTTTTCTCTAAGTAAATAAATGTTTAATAAAATCAGGCACGGAAAAAGAAATAACTCAGTAATTTGCTCCCGGGTTGATGCAGGGTCCTAAGGATGGCTGCAATCAGAAGTTATATTTCTGCTCTGCTGTGGAAACTCTGAAGGTTTGATCAGAGAAACAAACTCTTCCTCATACCTTTTCAGGTGACTGCCTTCCTTTCATCACGAAGGGCCATTCAAATTTTCTGCCCATGCCTCCAGGGACTCCCCTATGGCTGCTGCAGCTGATAAAGATGCATCCAAGAAAACTTCCAAGGAATGGTCAATGTGTGGCACAGCTAACTCAGTGAAGGCCAAACTGCTGAAGAATCTATTTGTCTTAACTAGCTGAATTCACCAATCTGTTTCCCAAAAACTTGTTTTGTGAAATATTTTCCTGTAATATCTTCAGTGAATAAAAGATCTTATTCTTATAAATATATAACTTCAGCATTTCTCAGGGATTTTTTTTAAATGCACCCAGCATTTTTAGGATTAGCCTGCCAATTTTATTGGTCAATTTTCTGAATTTGCCAAATTTAGTGATTACCAAAATCCTATTTGACAATTTTAAAGATGTAAGCACTCTTACTGGATTGGGTAGAGTTTTAGTAAGTTTTGCATATTTCTGAGCCTAACGACGAGTTTTTATTTTGTCCTAACAGCCTTAATGTTTTATTCATAATTTTTTTCTTAATAAAACACCTTTTTTTTCAGATCTGAGCTATTCAAAACAGCAATCACTAACCATATGTAACTATTTAAATTTAGATCAATTAAAATTAAAATTCAGTTTCTCAATCATGCTAGCCACATTTCAAGTACTCAGTAACCACATGTGGCTGGTGACTACTATGTTGGACTATGCAGATACAGATTTCCATCATCACAGAAAGTTCTATGGGACAGTACTGGACAAGACAGTAATTCCATTCAATGTTTTAAAATTAAAAGGGTACATGATAAAAATTCTTCCATCCTAACTCCCAGCCATGTACTTCCCTTCCTTGGAGCCAACTGATGCTTATATAGCACTTTAAGAAACATTCCGTTTATCTCTGTCCTACTTCCCTGTTCATGGGGACCCACTGCTGGAAGAAAAATAGAACACACAGAGACTGAGGGGCATAATGGAAGGGAGACTAAGGGGCGGAGAGGGGGAGAATTAGTTAAGGAAGAAGCAAACTCGTGGGGAAGGGCAAGACGAGAATGGGAGGGTCCAAGAAACCCAGACACCTGGCTTCCCACAGCACTCTACACTCTGACAAGTCAACCAGTCAAGCTGCTATCAACCTTACCAATACTTAAAACATACTTGTGATAAATCATTAATTTTAATAATTTGAAGAACAAAACACTCAGAAAATTGATCACTCAATGAACTGGTTTTCTGTGAATAACAGAGCCCCTAATTGACCAGAAATCTTATTGATTAAGACAGGGTCTCACTTTGTTACCCAGGATGGAGTGCAGTGGTGTGTGATCTCAGCTCACTACAACCTCCACCTCCTGGGCTCAAGCAATCCTCCTGCCTCAGCCCTGCAAGTAGCTGGGATTACAAGCATACACCATCACACCTGGATAATTGTTTTGTATCTTTTGTAGAGACGGGGTTTCACCATGTTGCCAAGCTGGTCTCAAACCCCTGAGCTCAGGAGATCCCCCACCTAGTGCTAGGATTACAGGTGTGAGCCACTATGCCTGGCTAAAATCTTTTATTTTAAATCACTATCTTAGATTCCTATATTTTAGTTTATGGAATTTGGACTCAGCATCACTATAGGAAATGCTATACACAGTGGTTTAAATGACAGAGGCAAATAATTTGCCTCTGATTTCCCTAACAAAGTCACATCAATAATTTCAATGCCATAAGGGTCTTTTGTTATGAAAAAGCTTATAACTAGGACTCAAAAGGTCTCTACAGTTCATTCTTCTACTTCCTCATTTAAGTATATAATTTTTAAATCCATAGAGAAAACAAATGACTGTTCATAAGGGCTGACCACAATTACCATTCAGGTAAGTGGGTGAGTGGGAAAAAGAACAAGTATGGTAGGTTCCACTGCCCTGGGCATGAGGAAAAACTGAGAAGCAATTTTATACTTTATCTCGGGAAATTGAGCCGTATGGACTCTCTCTGTTTTCACTTTTCTAAGCGAAATATAATTCATTTCTTCTCTTCTCATTGATTGTGTTTGCCAAATCTTTATTTTTTTTGAGACAGAGTTTCGCTCTTGTTGCCCAGGCTGGAGTGCAATGGCACAATCTTGGCTTACTGCAACCTCTGCCTCTCGGGTTCAAGCAATTCTCTTACCTCAACCTCCCGAGCAGCTGGGATTACAGACATGCGCCACCACGCCCGGCTAATCTTTTGTATTTTTAGTAGAGATGGGGTTTCTCCATGTTGGTCAGGCTGGTCATGAACTCCTGACTTCAGGTGATCTGCCCGCCTCGGCCTCCCAAAGTGCTGGGATTACAGGTGTGAGCCACCGTGCCCGGCCATGTTTGCCAAATCTTTAATTACATCAGACGCTCAACTCTGAATACTCTTCAAACTGCTCATTCCCTCACTAATTACCTCACTAAATAGCCAAACAGACTGAAATGCTCATATAAAAGGTCCCACTTTTATAAGGAAGAGGTCACTTGCCAATCTCCCAAACTGCTAATTCTTCTTGAACCATGTCTGCTATTACATTACTAATTGTATTAGCTTAAAAATAACCATGCAATGCAGAACCTCTGTCTTGCTTTGTAAGAGCAATCTTCCTTCATCTTGTATTTGCTATTTCTGTAGTTTATTCTCTCACAAAAGTATCCTGAATTTGTTGCTTCAAATCATCATTCTGTTCATTTCTAAGTGCTAAGTAAAGAAAATGCTTTTAAAGGGCTATTTTATATTTTAAGTACATATTTGGAGAATATTATAGAGTAAGCTTATATATTAAATTCCTCAAGCCATCCATCACAATGTTTATTATGTGTAAAAACCTAATGACAAATACTGTAAAGTACCAACTTTCACTTGAATATATGTAATTTATCAAAGTACCTATGTTGTTTCATTGCTATGAAATGAAAATTATAAGGTTTTATCTTAAAAGTAGTTCACGGTAGTTTAGTGAACTTTGACTATTACCCAACCAGAAAGAAAATTTCAGAATAAATCAAGCACTGATTTCCTTAGAAATGTTAAAGAAAACTAAAGAAAAATTACAATAGAAAATATTTTTCTCAAAATACCTCACTCTGCTTTCTTTTCTTAGTGAAAATATATCTAATAAATGTCTCTTGAAGGACCTCTTGTTTAACAAGGAAATGCCAAAGTCGTTTGACTGGAAATGCAGAAGAATCCCGGGACCTATTAAAAAAAATTAACATATCACACTACTTTAGTCTATAGAAAATATGTTTATATTTGCAGATATTTATTTTTAAAACCTTCACAATCTATTGCAAAGATATTTATTTTTAAAACCTTCATAATCTATTGCAAAGAAGACACAGCATTAAGCTCAACAAAACTGTACAGTTTACTTTTAATTTTTAGTTCTCCTAAAAATCATTTCATCTAGCAACTAATTCTCTAATTACACTGAATGAACCAGTTAAGCTGAGAGTCAAATGAATCTCTTATTATTCTCTTTTTAAATTATACTTTATATTGGTTCTCTTGGTTAAAGCATATCAACAATGAATACAAGTCATAGATACCGATTCTAACAGCCTAACAAGCTAAAAAGCTTTGTTCTTTCAAGCTTATTTTAATAGTAAAAACTATTAATCAGGGTCCACTACCTCAAAAAAAAAAGCATGCTGCTTATCAAAAGGGACCTAGATTGGCAGGTAAAAGATCAAAACATCAGTTAAAAACCTGTAATGTGTTTACTGTTAAATTACTGACAAAAGTCAGAAGCACCTTATTTGCATATATAGATTGTTAGAAAAAAATTCTGTAAGAGTTCTGACAATAAGAACATAAATATGCCATACGCAGTGGCACATGCCTGTAATCCCAGCACTTTGGGAGGCCAAGACCAGGGACTGCTTGAGCCTAGGAGTTTGAGACCAGTGTGGGCAACATGGTGAAACCCTGTCTCTACAAAAAATACAAAAAAAATTAGCCGATGGCGCTCGCCTGTTGTTCCAGCTACTCAGGAGGCAGAGGTGAAAAAGATGGGTTGAGCCCAGGAGGTTGAGGCTGCAGTGAGCTGAGATTGCACCACTGCTCTCCATCCTGGGTGACAGAGTGAGACCTTGTCTCTTGTCTCAAACAAACAAACAAACAAAAAACACCACACCGGAAATTAATACAATAAAGACTTTTTCCTTTATGTAAATGGAATGTCTATGAATTACAGATAATACTGGGAAAAATTCTATTCAAATTTCTGATATTTTTCTTAAGCGTATTCTGCTAAAAATAGGACTGCAGGTTCAAAATTATGAATGTTTTAAAGTATATTGGCATATTTAGCCAAACTGTCTTCCAGAAAAGTTAAGCTACGCTCTTTATCAGCATTATAAGAGCTTTCTTACTTGAATGGGGTATTTTCAGGTTCTAGCATTGCTTTATTTCGAAGAATAGCTGGTCCAGCTCCCACTGAAAGGTCAGTTGGATATGTGTTGATATAGTTAGGGGGTGGACCTTCAAACTGATCCATTTTCTCTTGCAAGATCTGTTCCCAGTTCTCCAAGTTTTTAATCACAGCAATACCTAATGGTGATGTTACAGGCAGCTCTACAAGGTGACAGAATATGTTATTTATTTTAATAAAAAATATCGATCATCACCCAAATATTTATAGAATCTGAATTCTCAGAGATAATACTTCTGAAAATACAAATAAATCTGCAAATGTTAATGTAATACAGTTTAGATTCTTAATGCTTTCAACAAAACAGAAGTGGGTTTCTGCTCTTTCTCAATCTTCTGTGTAGAGAGTGATTCTTGATATAAACTAAAGTATTAGACTGAAGCCAGGTGTGGTGGCTCACACTTGTAATCTCAGCACTTTAGGAGGCCAAGGCAGGTGGATCGTTTGAGCCCAGGAGTTCAAGACCAGCCTGGGTAACATGATGTAACTTTGTCTCTTACAAAAAATACAAAAATTAGCCCAGCATGGTAGCACATCTATAGTCCCAGCTACTCAGGAGACTGAGGTGGGAGGATGGCTTGAGCCTACGAGGCGGAGTTTGCAGTGAGCTCTGATCACACCACTGCACTACAGTCTGGGCAACAGAGCGAGACTCTATCTAAAAAAATAAAAATAAAGTCACAGATTGGAGCCTAAAATAAACAAGACTTTATAAAATATCTAATGCACTATTTTTTAAGTACCAAATGACCTTATATATAGATTTTGTAAAGAGAAACTTGACGGCAATTTATTATACTTAATAACATTAATTTTTAAATTCCAAACTCACCAGAGAATTCCAGTCCAGCAATAGGAAAGAAATTCTTGACATTGTGAAGTGCTAGTTTAACCATTGTCAAATGTAGAAGAGCCCAGCTGTTCAAGGAGGGGCAAAAAGAGTCTTTAAGTGAAAAATAAAATCATGGGAGAAACAGAGTGGTGTTCCCTGCCAACTGTTTAGCCCACTCTCCAACCCAGAAAAAAAGCTGTCATTGAAATTTACTATGCAAAAATGGCACCTCTGTGGTCACTGAATACAAAAAACTTGCAATACTATATTACACTTGCTGAAAATTACCTCGTGGAAAAAGATTAACCACATAGTCACATGAAACCTAATAGTATACCAATAATTTATATATTAAACTCTAATAGTATATCCATGAGTTACATATTTTTTCCTCACTAAAGATGCTTGTGTTTGCACTCTCCATAAAAGCTAGTCTTTGGAGGTGGAGAAAACACTATGTAGACATTGACCTCAAAGGTGTAGAATTTGTAACCTGGAAACATAAGTCATTTCTTATATAAATTCAGGATAATAATGTTATTTAAAATTAATAACATTGATATTTTCTACAAAAAGAAAAGCCAAAAAAAAAATGAGAGAAAGAAAAGTCTTATTTACCTATAGGAATTTGGATCTTGGTGCTCCTGTATTTGTGTATCTGAAAAAAAGGCATCATCTTCTTCATCACTATGAATGCTTTCATCAGAATCATATATAACACCACTATCAGACAAAGGAAGAAATGGCTGCAATAAAAGGTAAAATTATTTTTTTAAAGATTATAATTTCATAAACATATAAAATATATTTTATATAACATGTATTATATATTTAATATAGAAAATATTTTTAGTATATAATTATTTTTGTTCTAACATAAAAGTAAACATTTTAAATGGTGTCAGCATAAGTAAAAATTTTCTTTTGCAGATAATGCTACATCTACAAAAGTCAAGATGACAAGGTAAAACTCTCATATTCAATAACTGAATAGCTAGATGTGAAATTTTTTTTAATCAATAGTTTTCTTCTTATAGATCAGCAATAAATAGTTAGAAAAGTCTAAAGAAATACAAAAGGACAAACTATGAAAGCTGTGAGAGAGCTATTGTGAAGGAAATTATAAATCTTTATAAAATTATATGAAGGGAAGGACTGAAATGTGTAAAAACTGTAATTCTTTATAAGTTAATTTACACAGGCTTTAAGTAATTTCAATAAAAATCTCCCTGTGAATTTCTCTTCCTGTTTTGGAACTTTAAAATGATTCTGAAGTTCGTAGAGAAGAAAAAATAGATGAGATTAGCTGGGGAATTTTTTTTAAATAAAAAAAATCCCATTTTTTTTAGTGGATATTAAACTAAGTAAGAAAAATGTAGTCTAGATTGATGCAAAAATATAATACAAAAATCATACACGTATAAGAAGTTAATCTGACAAAGGTAACATCTTAAGTCAGTGGGAGAAAAAGAAAGATTATTTAATAAATAATAATGGAACAACTAGTTAGCTAAGTGTGGGAATGGGAGATGAAGTCTGATCCAGTCTGTTCCTCACTTTATTCTAGAT
Organism: Homo sapiens; assembly: GCF_000001405.40. Taxonomy (NCBI): domain Eukaryota; kingdom Metazoa; phylum Chordata; class Mammalia; order Primates; family Hominidae; genus Homo; species Homo sapiens. The sequence goes on from NC_000015.10 coordinate 51,467,135, forward strand.
AAATAAGAGAATTAAAAGTTAAGGAGGAGGAGAAAGAAAAAGAACAGGAGGAAACAGAGAAGGAAGGTAAAATAAATGTACACATTTATTAGTGGAAAAGACTTCTGCTGAAAAACAATGTAATCAATAAGGAAATGTATGGATAGATCTAATTTTTAAACTTTTTAAAATTTCTGTGCATGATAAACTTTTTAAAACTTCAAATGCATAATAAACAAAATTTTAAAGCAAATAAACTAGAAAAAGCTTAACAAGATAAATTAATAATATCTCTAGATAAAGTATCCAGAAAAAGGAAAAATACCATAATCTCAACAGATAATTTAGGTAAGAATATGAACAGTCAATACCTCAAACTGGAAAATCAAATGGCAATAAGATCATTAAAATTTTAATGTCACTAACAGAAAATAAAAATCATTTAATCTATCAAATTAACAAAAATGAAAAAGGAATACTTAATGCTAATAAGGGGGTAAAGTTAGATGCATCCTCTCACTATTCTCAAGAGAGTACAAATTAGTAATGTGGAAAATAATCTGGCAATATGTATTAAAAGCCTTATTTAAGTTTATAGCCTTGGACCTAGTACTTCTTTTTTTTTTTTTTTGAGACGGAGTCTCACTCTGTTGCCCAGGCTAGAGCGCAGTGGCACGATCTTGGCTCACTGCAAGCTCCGCCTCCCGGGTTCACGCCATTCTCCTGCCTCAGCCTCCCGAGTAGCTGGGACTACAGGCACCTGCCACCACGCCCGGCTAATTTTTTGTATTTTTAGTAGAGACGGGGTTTCACCGTGTTAGCCAGGATGGTCCCAATCTCCTGACCTCATGATCTGCCCACCTTGGCCTCCCAAAGTGCTGGGATTACAGGCGTGAGCCACCATGCCGGGCCTGACCTAGTACTTCTTAAGGAAATAATCTGCTCATGAACAAGACATATTTTAAAAGATACTATTCTTGGCATTTTAAACATCAAATCACTAACAAAGTGAAAAGTTACATGGTCACTATAATTGATGCTTATCTAGAAACAATGATCAACCAAGTAAGAGCGAGCACCCCAGCATCTGTCTGTAGTTTCTAAATATAATTTCTCACAAAAAGGAACCAGGTTATTTCAAAAAAGTGATTGTTCTCAGTCACGGGCAGGAAATATACATGATTAGCCTAGAATAAAACTAGAAAGCAGGCAAACTCAAACACTAGTGGAATAATCTCAAAAAGATTCGGAGCCAATTGTGGAAGAGGCTCTCACTGGCAAAGATGGATAATCTGAGTCCCCATGAGAAAAAAATAACTGCAATAGATTAAAACATATAAAATATGTTTAAATCTATAAGTTCATAACAAAGCTGAAAGCAAAACAAAACTCACTGGCCTCCTCTGAAGGATGCTTGGGAACCAACTCATCATTTTGAAAACTGGTACACAAAAGCAAAAGAATAAAGCATTTATCCTGTCTTTCCGACTCAAAATGTACTTCAGGGTAATTGAATAGGTTGATGAAGAGACATTCCAGCAAATACATGAAAAATGAATGACAGGATTATATTATCATAATTTAAAACTTTCACTGAAATAATAAATGTAGGCAAAGATCAACTAAAATCATAAAAAGCTTCCTGACAGAAATATACAAAACCACCTATGAAGTTAATCCTGTACTCCCTCTTCCTATCCAATCAGAATGAAATTGGATTTAATTTTCACTTGACAAGATTCAGAGGAACAAAATATGGTGATGCCATCAGCAAAATCCATTGAAAAATTCTAAAGGTCAAAATTCTTTCAGGGCAAACGAAAAAGGTGGGAGTTAAGTTAAAAAAAGAGAGAGAGAGAGAGAGAGAGGTGGAGCCTATAGATTAAAAGAGACTGAAGATATAGCAACCACTTGCAAGGTATGAATCATATTTTAGATCCTGATTTGAACAAATCAACTATATAAAAACATTTAAGATGCAACTGGTGAAATGTGAATACTGTCTGAATATGTGATAATATTAAAGAATTGTGGGTGTGCTTCTGTGGGTGTAACACTAATGTAGATCTATTTAAAATCCTTTTTTTTTTTCAAAAATAAATAATGAAATATTTTTGAATGAAATTTCATGATGTTTGGATTTGCTTCCAAACAAAGTAGTGGGGAGAGGTATAAATGAAACAAGACTGTCCATGAGTAGATAATTTTTGAAGCTACATGATGGTAGATAAAAGATTCATATGCTATTATCTCTCCTTTTGTGTATGTTGGAAGTTTTCTACACTGAAGTTTTTAAAATGACAGCTATATAAGTTTTTAATGGCATAAAAACTGTTTACCTTGTTAATGTTAACAGAAAAAAAACTACATATACTGATCCAATTATACATTTTTTTAATCTGAGGAAAAAAGATTAATAGTAAATTGGCCACAATGGTAACAGTTATCTTTGTTGCACAGATGAGTGCTATTTCCCTTCTTTATAATATTTTGCATTTTCCAAATTTTCAGAACATATATCAGGAGGAAACATTTTTGAAAAACAAAAATTTAGCACATTACCATTTACAAATCTTAATGTTGTTATCACTCACATTAATGATGCAATGAGCTTTCATTCGTGGCAAATAAAAATTTTAAAAAGGTAGGAGTGGGAACTGCCTATACATTTTTAAGAGTACTTTATTATTTCCCTGGTTTATTAGCTAAATACAACTAAGTGCAACTCAATTGGCAGCCTTAAGGGATAGGCCAGAATGACTCTGGAAGTATAACTCGGACCCTGATAGAGTGTAAACCTGGAAATCTGCACTCACAATGTGCCTAAGCTCATAGTTCTCAAACTTCAGCACACATTAGAACCATCTGGAGAGCTTGTTAAGACATAGATTGTTGGTTCTCACTCCCAGAGTTTCTGATTGAGGGGTCTGAGGGAAGACCCAAGAATCTGCATTTCAAACAAGTTCCCAAGGAATGCCGATGCTGCCGGTTCTGAGACCACACTTTGAGAACCACTGACGTAACCAAAGTCTTTTTTTTTGAGACACTGTCTCAGTCCGACACCCAGGCTGGTGTGCAGTGGCACAATCATGGCTCACTGCCACGCTGACCTCCTGGACTCAAGCAATCCTCTCACCTCAGCCTTTCAAGCAGCTAGAACTACAGGCAAACAGCACTGCACCTACGTTTTAAAATTTTTTTGGCAGAGACATGGTCTATGTTGTCCAGGCTGGTCTCAAACTCCTGGATGTAAGCAATCCTTCCACCTCAACCTCCCAAAGTGCTGAGGTTACAGGTATGAGCCACTGCACCTGGCCTCAGAGTCTTTAGATAACAAAACAAAGCTTCCAAACTCATGTTGAAAGACTTTTTAAGGATCAGCTTAGCATACAAAAAAACGGAGCGGGATCAGCGCCTCAATAACTCTGAGATCTAATAAAAATCTAAAAATGGGAAGAGGCATGACTCTGGAGATGTATTCCCTCATGTGTATGCACAGCAAGGTAACAACAGAGTTAACACATGTAAAGAGGGAAACATACCAACAGAAGGAGAATCATGAGCTCAAAAGAGCAAAGTGCAGAAAAGCAAACATTAGCATGCACCCAGCATGGTATGAAATGGGGCTATACCAGATCTAGTCACCATGAGTATTCTGATCCCCTGAGAAGTTTCCTTTGCGCTGGGAAAACAGAGATGTATCATGGGGCCTCATCATGGCCTGATAAAACCGCCAAATGTCCATCCATCTCCTTCTATTCTAATTCCATGCTTACCAAGGGAGCCACTGATAATTAGAAGAGGGGTGTCTAGGTGGTAGATACAAGTATTCCAGTCACTCGAAAAAGATGGTGCTGATTATGTAATAAGCTGACTTCTAATTTATACATAACTCCCATGTGATTTTAATTTGTCTCCTACATCATCAGGTAACTGATCATCCTCGAATTTACTATGACTATTCAGTTTCTGGACTTAATAAATTAAACGTCTAAACTATGGTGATTCAATCCAAAAGCTACCCCATCATTCCTATGTGAGACACATGCAAGAGTTAATAAAATAGATGATAGACTTCTCTTAAAGCTTGCATTCCTCACACTCCTTACCTTTGCAACAAAATAATCCCACATACTAAGTTCGGGAGGAATAAATTTTTCTTTGTAAGATGGTCTTTCTGCAGGCACCGGTGGTGGGGTAGCATCTTTTACAGGCCTTCCAGGGACGAGCATTCTCATGTTAAATCTCCTACGGTGTTTATCTATGTCTTCAGAAAGGACAGGAGGTGCTAAATGAAGATAGAAGGAAAAAAAAATCTAGCATTCATTTTCCATTGTTAATTGATAGAGTTAAGCTTTCTTTTTATCCTACTCTTGCCATGTTTTGGTCTAAACTAAATTACTTATTCCTGTGCTTCTAAACTTTTCTAGTTACTGAATCAGCTTTCCAGCAGTCATGGCAGAGATACAGATGGAGATAAAGCATTAAAGCCTATCTTGCCATGTGCTCCCTAAAATAAGGATTAAAGTAATTCTATATAAAATACACTAAATAAGTGGTATATTCAATAAATATTAAAGTGAGTGATTGACTGATTATCCCTGGCTATGAGGTTCAAGAAAGATTCACTGAATATGTAGAATTTAATAGTGTGCCTTAAAAGAAGGGCAGAAGTTCAATGGGAAAATGGAAAAGGACAATATAAACAAATAATCAAAGAAGGTTTGGGTAAATGAGGAGTAAATTACTTTTGGTAGACAGGAGTCATGGAGGGAAGTAATATCAACAACAGTCTAGAGTTAGGTTAGGACAAGTCTGTGGCTATGAACCTGGGAACTTATGTTTTGGGCAATTCTCACTAACACCTCTTAAGTTTTAGTCACACAATGAGGTATGGCTTGTCTGATCAATTAGAGAGGAAGATGGAAGATGACATAAGAACAGCCTGCACTAATATGGTGGGTGGTAAAAAGTAGAGGAAGGGTTGTATATGAGTGATACACAAAAGAAATAGCAAAAGGATTCAGGAATTGGGTATGGGAGGGCCAGAAAGTAGAAGTCAACCTGCTCCTCTCCTAAACCTCCCCATCACAGAAAATAATTTTATCTCAACTCTTCTATCTTCCCTACCCCAGACACAATTCATCAACAAATCCATTGGCTCTAACCTCAAACTATACCCAGAATATGATCACTTTTCACTCTGACCATAACTAACACCCTAGGATGAACCACTATTATTTCTTTTTAATTGAGGCAAATTTTACATAAAATAAAATTAACAATTTTAAAGTGTACAATTCAGTGATATTTAGTACATTTAACATGTCATGCAACCACCACCTCTATCTAGTTTCAAAGCATTCTCCTCACCCCAAAAGGAAACACTATACCAAATAAGCAGTCACTCCTTATTTCTCCCTCCCCCTAGCCCATGGCAACCACAGTCTACTTTCTGTCTCTATGGATTTACCTATTCAGGATATTTCATATAAATGGAGCCAGACAATATGAGACTTTTTGTGTCTGGCTTCTTTGGCTTAGCCTATTTTTGAAGTTCATACAGATTATAGTATGCATTAGTACTTCATTCCTTTTATAGCTGAGTAACACTCCATTGCACGAATATACCACACTTTGTTGATCCTTTCATCCTTGATGGTAACCCACAATTATCTTTTAAGTGAACTAGCCTCCCTACCACCAGCCTCCCTACTCTTATTTATGTTACCCAGTCTATTCTCCACAAAGCAGCTAGAGCGGTTCTGTTGAAAAGCTGAATCAGATTCTGTCACCTCCTCTCTTTAGAACAACTAACGCTTTTACCATGATCCTAAAGGAACTTGCCCCAGCTACTCTTCTATTCTCATCTCCTACAACACTCCCTCTTCATGACAGCCATGATGGTCCCTGGGTAGTTCTTGGAAAAGGCCAAACTCAATTCTACCTCAGGACCTTTGCATTCATCTGCCTGGAATGCTCTGGTCTCAGATATCCACATGGTGTGATTCCCAACTTCCTTACAGCTCTCCTCAAATGCTATCTCATCAGAAATATGTCTTCCAACCACCTTAACTAAACTGGTCCATTCCCATTCCCTCATCACCGTCTTTCCACTTACTCCATTTTTATCACAGTTCTTATCATTACCTGAAATATCTTTGTTAATTGCCTGATAGGTGTTAAGTGAATAAATTAATGCAAATATTAATATGTACTGGCAGGTTTTAAGCATGGATGATTTGATGGATAAATTACCATGAACAAAAAATCAGAAAACTCAGGCAGAGAAATAAACAATTTTGGAGAAAAACTTTTAAGTTTAAAGTGGACTATAACCAAGCAGCAAGAAAGAGATTCAGATATCCACATTTGATGGGAATGGAAGCAGTGGGAGTTGATAAGATCATCTCCCTTACAATGACTTACACAGGAACCTATTTATTTAACTCAATCACAGACAATGAAGACAGAGGTTAGTGTCATTAAACTTGTGTGCCACTGATTTCTCATCTGTAATATGTCCATTTCTAAGGATGAATTAAGATGATTTCTATATATCAGCATCAAGATAGAAATCTTTCCTGCGGCATCAGTCTATACCTCACCATATCATACCATTTTCAAAAGTGGGATGAAAAATATATTCTGGCCATGAGGGAAGAAGAAACACACAAGGAAAATGGAATAATACTATCACATTGAAGACTAAAGGAACCTATTTTGGAGAATAAAAAAATAGAATTTAAAAACTGTGTGTATGATTGGAATGGCTATCTTGCACATGACCATACATTTAATCTGAAGCCAACTGCTGGTATGCGCTAAAGATTTTGAACACTTACTTAAATTTTCTTCTTTCTGTAATTAAGAACTATCCGTTTTGTTTTTGCTTTTTTTTTTTCATTTTATTGTCTTAGGAACTACTCTTTTTGTATGACTTTGTTCCTTAACATTTTTTCTGTATTTACCTTTACCTTTCCTCTATTTTTAATCTTCTTCAAACATGTCCTGCTTTATCAACCTCAAAAATGTTATTTCTATAAAAATAAAAGTAACAAACTATATGTTTATTATATCATGGGTTTAATTATTTGCTGTCATAACAAGAGTGATTATACTTTAAGCATCGCTTATTTTCAAAGTGAAATTTCTTGAAACATTAAAAAAAATTTTAACATTCAAAATGATTAACATTTACATACATTACTGGTATCAAACGTATCTTACCTGAAATATTTTCTGATTGTCTTCGAGGTTTCACAACAAGTTTTACACCGCCTCCAAAAACAGCAGCCCACATTCGATTATTTAATGGGTGGGCTGCAAGCCGAAATAATTCACTGGAGGAATTTGTGGCAAGAGCATGTATCAATAAACTTAAGTAAACAGCAACAACAGCTTCACATAGCAAAATGTTCAGTTTTGGCTGGTCTTCATCTTGGGCTGAACTCAAAAGATTAATAAGTGAGCTCACACCTATAAGGGTATATAAAATCATAAGACGTATGTCAGGATGAAGCACCAGAAGGAAAAAACATCCAAATTTGCAACTTATCCAAAATTATGCATTTATATTTTACAAAATATTTCCATAATTTGAGCAACAAAATAAACAAGATAGGAATGGATTATAGCCTATAGAATAAAATCATCCATTTGTCTACACTGATATAATAAATGAGTAGATAAACAAAAGGTAAGAAGGGGAAGCTCTTCCTTAAAGTACAATTTCAACTAATACATAAAATGAGTGATAGTGTTAGAAAATCACCAGCTAGTAACCCCACAGTAATACCTGATTCAGGCAAAAATCATCACTAGATGCTAAAATTAGCAAGTGAAAGTATAATATTTTACACAGTCTCAAACTAACTCTTCACAAGATACTGATTAATTACAAAGGAAAAAAAAAGTAACTTTACAATGGAGAAACTTGGCAGAAACCACCTTAACAAGTGATCAAAGTTAACAGCAGCTGGGGCCAAATGACATCATATGCCTCTTGATATCTCCTACTGAGAAAGACACATCTTTTTTGTGGTATCCCTGCCAAAAAATACGTAACCTGAATCCAACATTAAGAAAAAAATCAGGGCTGGGCACGGTGGCTCACACCTGTAATCCCAGCACTTTGGGAGGCCAAGACAGGTGGATCACCTGAGGTCAGGAGTTCGAGACCAGCCTGACCAATATGGTGAAACCCTGTCTTTACTAAAAATACAAAATAATTAGCCGGTCATGGTGTTATGCGTCTATAGTCCCAGCTACTCAGGAGGCTGAGACAGGAGAATTGCTTGAACCCAGGAGGCGGAAGTTGCAGTGAGCCGAGATTGCGCCACTGCACTCCAGCCTGGGCGACAGAGCAAGACTCTGTCTCAAAAAATAAAATAAAATAAATAAACATAAGGAAAGATAGAAAAAAAATCAGAAATGCCCAAATTGAGGGACACTTAAAAAAACAACTGGCTGGTACTCTTCAAAAGTGTCAAAGTTGTGAAAGAGAAAGAAGGAAGACTTTACTCAATATAAGAGGAGACTAATGAGACATGACAACTAAATGTTACATATGGGCCCCCAAAAGCACATTAGTGGGACAACTGGCAAAATTCAAAAAAGGTCTGTAGATTAGAGAACATAAATGTTAAATTGGATAATTATGTGAGAATGTCTGTTTATAGGAAACACACATTGAAATGTTTAGATGGAAAGGGATATCTGGTCTGCAACTTACTCTCAAATTTTTCAAAAAAAATACACTTAGATACACAAACAGCAAGTGAGTGAGAGAGAAGAAATGAATGACAAAGCAAGCATGGTAAAATGTTAACATTTGGGGAATCTGGGTGAAATTTAGTATTATGTTTGCAATTTTTTGCAAGTCTGAAATTATTTTGAAATAAGAGGTTAAAATGAAAACAATGTGTTTCTACAAGGCAATGGTTACAGTAATCTGAAATATACACTTAGGATATTGAAGAGAGTGGAGAAGTTTTGAAACAACTGATGTAGAGAATGAGAAAGAGAGCCAACAAGAAAAAAAGGACTGTCAGACAGCATGATATATGTACCACAGAATAGTCACTCCTACCCCAATACATAAATTTACACGCCCGAGAACAACTAACTGTATTTTCTATGGTATGTCTGTGAAAATATGTCTGTGATTTTCTAAGACTCTAATTTAACATTTCTAAGAAAGATAATGTGCTCCATCCTTATGAAGGATGTTAAGACATTGCTTTTTTATGTTGGTTAACATAGCTGGTTTTATGAAGCCTTAACTTCCTGAGTCTTCAGACAATATTGCAGTACTTAATAGTTCCTAATCCATAGCAGAAAAACATCATCAAAAAACAAAGAAAGAAAGGAACCACTCACTAAATCCAGCAACAAGCAGGAAACTGGTCAGTAGGCTTTTAGGAAGAAATTGCCAACTAGAAGATTTTTTTTTTTTAATCATTTAAATTCTCACCAGGCCATTGAGCAGGAGATGAATTTGGTGTTGCGTGTTCTTCAATGCTTTCTGTCCTTAGTCTTCTACGATCACTTAAAAGAAGTCCTTGATAAGCCATTCCTGTAAACTGATTTCCTTCTGTTTGACTGCTAAAACAAATAGGTTCAGTTATTTATCATCCTGAGAGGTAATAAAAAATTGCACTTTATGTATATCATCTATTTTAGACACCTATTTTAAGAAACAAAAATTCTTAAAATGCATTCACTGTTCTAATAAAAATTTATTTTAGAAAATTACTGAAATTAGTTACAAATGCTTATTGTTTCTTTTAAACAAAGTAACAAATTTTATTATGTTGGGCAGATGACACTTATTCCTTTAGAATTTTTTCCAGATGCCACTTTAATACTTTAAAATCTTTTCTATTTGCAGTAATTTTTATTTTGTGTTTTTACAAAGTCTGAGGTAAGGAGACTACTGCTGGTACTAGGATACAGTAGGCAGAAAGTTTCAGGGACTAGTAGGTTGCATTTCTTTTCTCTGCAAAGTTGTGCAAGTTTAACCCTAAATTAAAGTTATGAACTAAAACCCAGAGAATCACATTTTAGAAATACCTAAACCTAAAACCAAATGTCCCTAAATATTATTTAATAATATTTACTTCCCTCTCTATAATGGCTATCTTTGTGAAGTTGGGGAAAATATAAAAGCGGAAAGTCAAGCTGAGTCTAGTAAATCATAGCCGACCAACTGGAAAATATATATTTAAAAACAATGTATTTGCATTTTCATTTGGTGCCATTTTAATGGTGACTGACATCAAACAAGTTATCTTTGATCATTTAGATGACAACAGTCAACTAAATCAACTTTTTTCCTTATTTACATTTCCAATCTTTGGAGTTATTTAGACACAGCCTAATTAAGTTACAATCAGAGTACAGGCCATTTTGATAGATAATTCTTTACTTGATACCAAATGTTCCCACAAAAGGCTGCTACCATTACAAGAAAGAAAGCCAGAAATATATTTAATATCAATTTAATGTGAATCTACTATTATAAACTTTTCATTTATTAACATTATTCATTTAAATCTAGGTTATCTTTCCAAGTGATTCAATTTCCTGCTACTTACATTGCTCTAGTCATTAAAATGCAAAGTACACACTAATGAAGGCAATTATACATTTAGAAAAATTCAATCCATTTCTTCTAATTGATATCACTTCCAAAGACTTTTACATCATATGTAAATGGGTAGGTAAAAGTAATTTAAATAATTCCATTTTAGGAATGTACTTTTTCATTTTTCAAAAGTATTTTTTATTTCAATGGATAATTAGTTAAATAGCTGCTAATCCAATGCAAAAAGAAATTGTTTCTAAGGAAAAACAATTAGAAAATTTCATATTATAAGTTATTATGGACAGTAAACTCTTCTTTCTTAAAAACAAAAAGGATGGTAATGATGGTAATTTACATTTACTATTTGTTACTTTCTATATTTCTCTGTGACTACTAGGTGACAACTAAACAAATAATTATTTTATTTCTGATTCTCTCGCATGTATTAAAATATCATGGCTGTCATATTTAGGGATTTTTCAGTCCCTAGGAAATAGAAACTTAATATAACTCTGGAACAGTTTAATGTTTTTGCTGTATTAATACTATTTTGGGTGATTTTTTTTTACCTGTAGCTATGACTGTCACATAATGCTTGGTAAATTGATGCAGAAAGTGATGCTGCTAGTGAATGAAGTGTGTGCACCTAAAACCAAAACAGTCACAATTACATTTTGTACTAACATTTCTACACAACAGTAATATTTCAAAAATTAGAAAACATCCAGGAAACCTAGCAACATCATAAATAAGACTGAATCCTAGATGAGACTACTAACTCTGCTTTAAATCTTCTAAAGTAACTGTCACCCACCTTTATACACATGCCACAATAAAGCTGATTGTTTCAGACACATTTTAATCAAACAGTTACTTACTGTGAGCCTGCCGTTTACGAGGCCCTGAGCAAAGTGCTAATGTTCATATTACAGGCATTTGTCCTACCCTAACAATTAGCTTAAATAGTAATATTTAAAAAAAAGCAGAAGAAAATAAGAATAGAATTTTCAGAGTTTTTATTTAAGCTTGCCTCACGAAATTCGCCTTGATGAAAATAAACACTTAATCTTATCAATGAAAATGAATTAAATCTTTTTAGTAAATGTGTCAATCACTGTGTGAAACAGCAGATTTTCCAGAAAGTAATTTACTTGGTACTCATGAATTGAGGACAGTCTTAGAATTTTACATTTAGAAAGTTTTAAATTTCTCCATATAATTAAAAAAAAACCCACCACCCTGAAATGCTATACTGAATCAATATTTTCAGACTCACAAAATCTTTAAATTTGAAGGGACCTTAGAAACAGTTTCATACCTTATACAGATTACTCTTTGAAAGCCTTATCCAAATGTCTAGGAACTAGAAATGTTTACTTTGAATTCATATGCTTTTTATGCCTTTTCTGCGTGTCCCTATTCACCTAACAAATGATTTAAATAATCTCTGCTAAAATACTAATACAGGTTAATTCATAATATGGATGAGAAGTCCCTAATTGGTTATGACCAGGCCTTTAGAAGAATGTGCTGCCAGAGAGTAAATGTGCCTGTCAAACAAAACAAATAAAAAATAAGAAAACAGGGGACCTGAATTGTGCATCAGCCAGTAGAACTGGAAAAAGCATAGCACAAATACACTCAGGCTGGGACAGTGAAAAGTCTGATCAGCTAGCTCCCCAGATCCTGCCAAGCTCCCTAGTGTTTCTTGGACTGTATCAGTTTTTAAGATCTTAGCACAGGGTATCAATATAGTTCGCAGTAGTAACTGCCAAAACTCTGATTGCCTCTAACTATTGCCTCCAATAAACACAACCACCAAGGAAACAGTAATAAGGACACTCTCTCTGGGACCATTTGTGACCAGTCATGCTTCCCTCCCAGATACTCCCCAACTTGTATTTTCATAATATCTTGGCATGTAAACAAATAGTCATATTTCCAACTTAATGGTTCATTTAAGGGGAATGGAGGATCTAAAGGGATATTAAGTAGCAAGAATACTGTCAAGAAAATTAGTTTTATTGCCAAAAGTATTTGTCTGTCTTAAAGGAAGACAATAACTTCTCCAGAAGTAAGAACACTTACTTTTAAATTACATTCATTGGACTAATAGTCTTGAACTGATCATGAGTGAGAAAGGTAGCACTTTGAAATATTTCCCCTAAGTTCGAATTAAAAGACAGGTATAACATATTTACCTTCTCAGGGTGTATAATATCAAATGATCATAAACTTTACATTACCTTCACATCTTCAATACTGGGATGAGGTGGTGTTTTCATCTGAACAATAGTATAAAGTATATCATGGATGTGATTATTTAAGTACAATACAGGATTAGCTATGACTGTTTTTGTTGACGCAATACTTGCTGAAAGCAGAGGTAGGGTGGTAGGCAGTGGTAGTGGAGACTGGAGCTGCTTTACTGTAGTTTCCTGTGGGTGATAGTGAATTATTTTTTTCAAAGTAGTTTAAAAAATTTTATCAGTTCTCTGACAGAAATACTGGTGATAAACATTGTGTAAAGGGAATATGTTCGCTCACTCATTCTACACAAATTTATTGAGCACCCAGTATGTACCAGGTACTATGCTAGATGTAGATGGTATATAGATAAATATGACACAAGAATACTCTCAAGCTGTTAAGCCTACTCCTTATTATCAAAACTTCAGTCTAAGACACATAGAGTATAAATATCTGCCTCCTATAAAGAGAGGAGCTGAACATATTTAGATTAACTAGTAAAAAGTAGTAAAAGAGCTTTATAGCTATAACTGGAAGAGCTACTGAAATTACTGAAATAACCAAGATTGAAAAAAAAGTGATATTCACACCTGTTGTGATTCTTGTAGCAAAAATTTGAGTTCCATCCTTACTGAAGCCAAACCACCACCTTGGGCCCCATGAAGGCTACAGTAGCTGAGAAATACTCTCAGGAGATCTTGGTTTTTCTGCAACCACGACTTTCGTCTTTCTGCATGCTCTCGTTTGGCCTGCAATCTTCTTCTTTCTATTTGATGGCGCTCATAGGAACCAATATCTGGTTTGTCTACCATTTCTTCCTGATCCAGCAGATCACTCTCTACTTTGGAATATGTCTTACTGGAATACTCTTTAATAACTGATTCATGATTACATATCTCATGCAAGGCAGCAATTTCCTTTTCAAGCCAGTTATAGAGTTGAAATCTGAGTTTTCCTCCATCTACTTCATAACCTGTAGCCAATGTTCTTAATTCAGTCATAAGGATCTTTAAACAAGCTCTGAATTTTAGTTGTTCAGCAATCACATCAACTTCAGTATCACCTTCAGGATCATCCTCTTCCTGAGGTGTTAATAACATGTTAGGGTCTGAGGCCTTCTGATCTGATTGTTTATCTTTTTCCCTGGCATCTGTACTTTTCATCACTAAACCAACAGCATCGTCTTCCTCTTCATCTAAGGCACTGTCGTGATCTTCACCCCAATCAAGATTAAGAGGTTCCTCATCAACTTTTACTATTGGCTGACTCCAGTCATACTGTGATGAAGTTACATTTGACCATTCAATGCCAGAACTTCCATTGCCATCACTCAGAGCTTTTGAATGTGAAGGTACATCATCCATCCTGTGAGAAATGAAGTCAGGCTGATCTTTTTTTGCAGATAAGGCAGATGTTTTGGTTACTTTTGGAATTTTGGAGAGTACCTCCAAGGCTAAAACAGGGCATCCAACTTTAAAATGAGCATTTGCAGTGGTAAAGAATAATTTTCTTTCTATGAGGTTAATTTTATCAACAAAGTTCTTCTCAGTTTTGAGACCTAAGGTTGCCAAAGTTCCTTCAGGGGAGGCAAGATTTCTTCGAATGAGCAAAGGATGAGTTCGAAGGTAGTTATAAAAACTAAATGCCACCGGGTTACAAGACTTGATGATAACTATAGAAATCAAACAGATAAAATCACAAAGCATTGTGTTAATATGTATTTACATTACAAAACAATAAAATACGTCAGCATTTCTTCAAAAAAACAACATGTAAATATTAACCTACGATAGGTTACACTATGGCATATACAATCATTACAACTGTACAGCTGAAATAGAAAGAATTTCCCAATATGCTACGGAGTGATTCCCATCACTATAGAGTGATGTCCAGGATACACTAAGAAAAAGAAGATGCAGAAAGTACATGTAGTAAGCTACCTTTTATCTATCTAAGACAGTGAAGAGGAAATACAAATACACACTCATGCATATTGGCTTATCATTTTTAAATGGAAGACAAACACAAAAAATTTTAATTGATTCCTTAAAAGGGGAGAGCAAAACAGGGAAAAAAAGAGCTAGATTTCTCTGAAAATACACTGGTTTTATATATTTTATTTTAACACCATGTCAACATTTTACATAATTTTAAAATAAAACCAAATCTAAACCACAATTCACAAAAGGCAAAATTAAACAAATCAGTCTATCAAGTTGGTAGCATAATCACACAGAGATGAACTCTAAAAAGTGAGTTAAAAACAAGTAATTTGACTGTACATCCTTAGCAGAATGTACCATAAAACAAAAAAATTCTGCAAAAAAGCTTAAATTATGTTCAGAATCATGTTATTATAAAAATATCTATATTATTATTCTGAAACTTATATGCACATAGATAGCAAATAACTATGTTCATGCCATGAGAATCCAAACATTTCATTATAAGACACAAACTTAACATCTAAGAAGAAAGAACCCTATAATCTATATGTGCATGAGAAATAGCAGGGTAAACTCCTAAATTCTAAGGAAAAAAAATTTCCTAATTCCATTCATTGCAATAGTCTAGAAATTATGACAAGATTAGTACCAATGAGGATCCTGGTGCCCAAACTATAGTTTCTAAATATTATTCCCCACTAAAAGGAAGCAGAATGCTTTGGAGGAATGGTCATTTCCAGGTCTGGGGCAGGAAATGTACAAGATGACCCTTAAACATTTTGTAGTACCAGAAAGCAAGAAAACTATCAAGAAATAATGCCAGAAGAATTCAGAAACCTGAAGAAGTTCCCATTTGTGAAAGAACAATCTGAGCATCCATAAAAATAAACCAAGAGAATGATGCCAGCAAGATGGCTGCTAGACACACCTGGCATTCATCCTCCGAAAAGAAAGGACCAAGGCAATGAATAAACAGCTAAGATTTGACTGGAGTGTCAAAGGGAGAGCACTAGAGTGCAGCAGGGGAGTGGAGATGCACCTGTGGTGACTGCAAGTCTAGGAGAGCAGTGTGGAGGTACCCGGCCTCTGCAGCCCTATCTCCCCCACCCAGACTGGATCTGCCCACAGTCAGGAAGAACTTCTCATTGCAGAGGGGAAAAGGTAAACAGAAGATCCCCATCAGCCCTCATGGCCACCACAAACATCTACAGTCCTTACAACAGAAGAATCCCATAGTACTTGCAAGCCCTGTGTCCAGTTTGGAGAGACGTCAGAAGTTCACGCAACGGCACTGACCCAGATTAGGAGCATAAGGTGTGTGCCCTCCACCTACCGCCAGTGAGCCAAGCTGCTGCAGCACAAGCACTATCTTGAGACCAGTCACCTCTGGCATGCGCACTGCTCTGGGGGCCAGGAGTCACTGTACCTCTCCAACACTGGGGACCCGTCTTCATTCCAAGCCTACATGGGTAGCTGAATGCTACAATCCCAGCTATGCAGAGCCTAGGACCATGACTGGCTATGACTTTGGTCCTGCATGGCAGGGAAATCAACCCCTACCATCACACTTTTGGTCAGAGAAACAATCTGGCAGTCTTGCCCAGGGTGAACCTGCCCTTGAGCCAGCCAAACCACTACATACATACCCTCCCCCAAATGGGAGAGGTCTCCAAGCCTACGAGCAGCTGATATGCCCCCAGGCCAGCAAAGCAGCTACATGCCCACACTCAGGACCTCAGAAACAGCGTGCAGCGCCCCTGCTCCCTGCACTCAGAGTTCTGGCCTGCCAAAGGCCCTGCGCCTGCAATCAACGCCTGAGAAATAGTCCTTCGAGCCGCCCCTGGCAGCACACCACCAGGCCAGCCAAGCAGCCAAGAGCCCACTTCCACGGCCCTGTGGGCTATCCCTGGTGGACACATCCCAGCCTGGTCAAACAGCCCTGCAGGCTGCTCCCAGTGTGCACACCCCTTAGCCAGCTGAACAGCCTTGCACCAGTCTCAGACCTGAGAAATAGCCCCATGAGCCCCTAACAGAAACGCCCCCATGCCAGCTGAGCAGCCTTATGCCCACACCTCAGGCCTGAGGAGCAGCCTCACTGCCACCCCAGCTAACATAGTACCAGACCAGCTGAGCAGCCCTGCACCTGCATCACAGGTATACAAATAACCCATGGGCAACACCTGCAGAAACACCCCCAGGCCAGCTGAGCAGCCATGCAATCGTGTCATGGGCCTGAGAAATAGCCTTATCCCCACCCCTAACAGACAAAACCCCAGGCCAGCTGAGTAGCCGTGAGGCCACATATGAGCCCTGTGGGCTGCTTCTGGCAGGCACACCTCCAGGCTGGCCAAGTGACCATGTACCCACACTCCTGGCCAGAGTAACAGACCTGTGGCCCCAATCCCAGCCAACCAGACCCTAAGCTGGCTGACCCATTGTGTGCACATATGCACCCCAACCTGAAAAACTGCCCAGCGAGCCCACCTGGCAAAGCTACATGGCCATCACCGCAAACTCTTTCAGCCTAGGCAACTGAGAGGATTGCAAATGCCACTAATGTGGATTACAGGTGAAGAAGCTACATGGAGACTACACTACTGTATCCATCTAACCAATGCACTCCACCAAACCAACACCTCAGGACCTATTCATAGTAACAAGTCTTTCCCTATGAAACCTACTCCATAAAATTAGAAGAGGCAACTTTTTCTGCCAGATACATAGAAATCAATGTAGAAACACACCAACCATGAGAAAGCAAGGAAATATGACACCAAAGGAAAAGAATGGAAAGGAAAATACTAATTCTCCAGTAACAGACCTTAGTCACAAGGAAACATGAAATGCCAGAAAAATAATTCTTAAGGAAATCATAGTCTTAAGGAAACTCATTCAGATACAAAAGAATACAGATATACAACTAAATGAAATCAGGCAAAGAATACATGATGTGAATTTGAAATTCACCAAGGAGATAGATATCATACAAAAGAACCAAACAGAAATACTAGAGCTAAAAAATTCAATGAATGAAATAAAAAATATAATCAAGAGCTTCAACAACAGACTAGATCGAGCAGAAGAAAGAATTTCTGAACTTGAAAACAGGTCTTTTGAAATAACTCAGGCAAACCAAAAAAAAAAAAAAAAAGGAAGAAGGAGGAACAGAAAAAAAAGAATGAAGAAAGCCTACAGGATTTATGGGACACTATTAAGTAAACAAATATTCATATTATGGGCATTCCAGAAGAAGAAGAAAAGGGAAAAGGTGAGGAAAACACATTTAATAAAGTAACAGCCCAAAATTCCCAAGTCTTGGGAAAGAGATAGGCATCTAGGTCCAGGGTGTTCAAATACTCCCAAATAGATTCAACCTAAAAAGATCCTCTCCAAGGCACATGGTCAAGTTGTCAAAAGTCAAAGACAAGGATCTCCTCATTTTTATTCCCAAAAGGTAGCCAGTGACCAATGACCAGTATTTCATTTCTTATGATTTGTTTCAGGAAACAACCAAAGGAAATGGAGGAGGCAGACATAACATGTGTGCACATTCAGGTGCATGTTTGTACAACATACATATGCCAAATGCAACAAGAACCACACTGCTGTGCATCTTACTTTTTTTCACTTAAAAATACAGCACATATTAACATATGTATCTACCTCAATTTTTAATGACACACTGTTTCTATATGTGGATATATTAAAACGTATTTAACTATTCTATTGACAAAAACTTAAAATGTTCCATTCCTTTCAAATTATTGAAAACAATGCTGATAAATATCCTTTAAGTGCTTGTAATATCTAAATTATTTAGGATAACAAGGAAAAAAGAAAATTTACCACAGAGGCATAAAGTTTTTCCAGGCCCATGTGACAAACCAATACGTGTAACAGCCAAAATTTCCATTTAAAAAAAATGGCTATATGATTATGTAAAAAGAGCTACAGAATGTGGCAAACATTTTGTATGCTTGTTAAATATATACGTAATTAGAATAGGATGGTAATCCTATCTAATCCTTTAGACACACAAGAAATTTTAATAATAAATTCTCAAAGTTGAAAAGCAAATCTGGTAATGATTTTTCTTAATCTAAGTGAACATTAGTTCAGAAAGTATCTCTTCCTTTAAAAAAGAAAAAAAAGAAATCCACAAAACGTCCTACCTTGATGTTCATCATCCTCCTTTGGTGTTTGTTCCAGTAATGTGTCCAAGGCTCGGGTGTAATCTTTCATTACCCAATAGGCAAGACTACGCAGGAAAGGATCAGGATGTAATCTTTTGCAACTGAATCCTGAGCCATCCTTTTGGCAACCCAAAATCTTCTGATTTAGGATGGATATATAAGTGGATGAAGTCTCAAATTCAGATTCATATAAACGGGCAATAACCATGGCTAGCTGAATATCTTCCATTTTTTCAAGACATACCTGCAAATTTAAATATTAATACTTATCTTACTTAATGATAATTATTTAGAGAGATGAAATATCCCATCAATACCCTGAAATTATCTACCATTTATATCCTAATGGTGGGCGAAGGGACAGTGAAGGGTAGTTAAATGATTGATAGGAGATTAAAGAATAGCAAAAAGAGTAACAGGTTGGAACCCAGTAGCTTCCAAACTAGACAGATCATTTATAAAATAAGCATGAAACAAAGTATATTAATATCATCTCAGACTTAAGATCAACTTAAATAACATTCATTTTTAAATTAAATACTATATATGACACTAGAATTTATATACCACTTCCTCTTAATTTCCAAACATATTTCTGCATAATCATAATTATTACTATCTGCCTCATATTTAAATAGTAAATAAATTATGAAATACAGCCATATGTTCTATTCATAGTCTCTGGGAGCCTGTATTCTAATGCAACTACCAGTTCTGAGCATTTGAGGTCATTTAGGCAATATGAGCATCTCTCAGTCAACACTTCTCTTTGCTTGAATATCTTCTAAGCTAAACTTCCAATTTTAAAATCTTAAGTATTTGTTATTTAAAAAAAGAAACTCATATGCCTGGGATAATTGTAAAAAAAAACCCAACTAATTCTAAATTTAAAATACTAAAGTACTTTCACTTAATTGAATATTTCCTGTTTTTCTATCATATATTATTCCCAACTGTATTTGTCCTTTACCTGTTCATATTGTTCATGATAGTAATCTAAGAGGAAGATATCAGAAGTAAACACAAACATTTGTAATTACTCTCATAATCAGCTGCTAGGATTACATATCAAAAAGTGGGAAGTTTTACCTCCTCACATCGTTTTCTAATATAATATTCTAATATTATAAACTATTATAAAACAGTACAAACTGGAGTTTCAGTTCCTTATTTATGAATTTCATTTAAAAAAACAGCTTAATGTATCTGCCTTTCTGCACAGAATAAGGAGGTTGTGACCTATGTACTTTAAACAGTTCAGAATCACAAGATGGTCTGGAAGAAGACATTCATAAACTATTTTTCAGCATTTTTTTCATATATTTTACACATAGTCTTGAAATGCAATGTGCCATATATGAAATTTTTCTTTTTTTCTTTTTGAGATGGAGTCTCACTCTGTCGCCCAGGCTGGAGTGTAGTGGCACAATCTCACCTCACTGCAACCTCCGCCTCTCGGGTTCAAGTGATTCTCTTGCCTCAGCCTCCCGAGTAGCTGGGACTATAGGTATGTGCCACCACACCTGGCTAATTTTTGTATTTTTAGTAGAGATAGAGTTTTGCTATGTTGGCCAGGCTGGTCTTGAACTCCTGACCTCAGGTGATCTACCTTCCCTGGCCTCCCAAAGAGCTGGGATTACAGGCGTGAGCCACCATGCCCAGCCTGAAATTTTTCATTTGTTTCTCCCTTGAATTTATTCATATTTTCCTTTACCACAGTGCCACTATTTTAAGTACAGCAACCTCTGTAGTTATTCTGTGTCCTAACAAACATATGACCAAAAGTTACAATCTCCTCTACAACCTTCTTAGGTTTTCAATCTTTTACAAGTATTATATAGTGTGTTTTCTTATTTATACCTCTATGGCATCTTTCAATGAACCAGCTAGCAAGAAAAAAGCAGCCGATTGTTCAAAGCGTTGTTTTCCAAGTAAGGAAAAAGCATTTTTCAAAGCAGCTTTTCGCCATCTATCTTCATTAAAGTTGTGGCTGAAAAATGTTGTCATTTTTTCATCATGCTGTGACCTGGGGACCGAGCATAAACATAAAGTGGTTAAACCAAATTTAAAATGTTCTACAGAATGTATAATAATATAAAATAAAAACCTCAAACAGAAATCTAAAAGAAGAACAATAACTTCAAGGACAGGCATTTGTTATCAAGCATCTCTTCACTTCTTCTAAGAAGGAAGGTCAATAATGCCTTATGTATACATAAATAGGAAACAGCATTTTTTACTTTGCAAAGTGCTTTTATCAACTTTTAAAACATCCCATCCTCTAGATTAAGCTGAAAAGATATTTTACCCATTTTTTTCAGCTAAAGGAACCAGGTCGCATAGAAGTGGATTTGATGAAGCTCATATACCTAATTATTTTCAAAAGCATTAGGTTTCTTACTCACAGCACAATCTTCATTCTGTTGAATCACGTTAAGTGTCAAGGCAACTTACCTAAACAGACCCCACACTACTGCTTTCTTCTTCATTGAAAGGTAGAATAGTGCAGCATCTAAGGCATCATTGTTCCTTTGAAAAGAAGCTTTGGCAACCTAAATGATAAATAAAATATTAAATTCACAATTTGACATAAGAATTACAATCAATTAATCAACAATAATGTTCCCCTGCTACTTCCATGGCTGATAGAAACTGTGGAGACAGAAAAAGTTGGTTCTGTTTCACAATCTCCAGTAGGTTATAATATTAATACATGCTCCTAGAGATAACCATTCGCAAGCCAGTAATTATGGTAAAAATCCTAATTACAGCCAGCACTTATTGACTATTTACCACGTCCTGGGCACGAGTCTATGCACCTTTTGTTATCTTATTGCATCACTACAAACCATGAGGCACTATCATTATTCCCATTTTATAGATAAAGTGACTGAGACAGAAAGGTTAAGTGAATTGCCTACAGTCACACAGTAAGGGTTAGAAAAGGGAATAGAAACCACGTAGAACTGAAACTAACATAGAAAGCAATAAAGAAGGCAGAATATTCAATAGATGTGAGCTTTTTCTTGAAAATTCAACATGTTATATTGTATGCAATCATACTGTCTTAAACATAAGAGCATATAGGCCATACCTTATTTTTCCAAGATGCTGAGATATAGCCTCTGCAAATCATTAAGTTGAAAGGCATAATGACAAAACAACAGTGGATGTTTTATTAATTAGCTCACATTGATGGCAAAGCAGGAAGCTATAATACTAAGGTATGGGAGAAAGGGAAAAGACATCTAAAATTACATCATGAAAATGCTTTACTCTCGGGCCGGACGCAGTGGTTCATGCCTGTAATCCCAGCATTTTGGGAGGCCGAGACAGGCAGATCACTTGAGGTCAGGAGTTCGAGGGCAGTCTGGCCAACGTGGTGAAACCCCGTCTCTACTAATACTACAAAAATTAGCCAGGCATGGTGGCGCACGCCTGTAGTCCCAGCTACTTGGAGGCTGGTTGGGAGAATTGCTTCAACCCAGGAAGAGGAGGTTGCAGTGAGCCGAAATCACACCATTGCAATCCAGCCTGGGCGACAGTGCAAGACTCTGTCTCAAAGAAAAAAAAAAGAAAGAAAGAAAGAAAAAGAAAAAAGAAAATGCTTTACTCTCAATACTCTTTTCCCTTCCCCCTTTTAATTGTGTTGTCTGCCCCCTATCATTTAACTTAGTGCTTCAATATGTTAGATAATTTTTAGAGGAATTTTATTTGTATTCAGCTGATTTATAATATACATTTTGAGGCAGAAAATGTACATATCCCTTTGATTTAATTTTAAGAAATAAATTACTTGTGGAAATAAATCATGTGTATATTATCACAGATAATCATAATGACAAGACACATGTTGACAAGAAGTAAAATCTTTGTGGGATACATCTGAAACATTTCAGATAAAGTATGTCCTCTTTTATCCAGTGCTTTGGAATATAAAACATTTAATGTAGAAACTGTATCATTTATATCCTTTAACAATTAACTTTTCCTGTACATCAGAGATCACATTTTTTAGTTGGTGCAGGAATGAATTCCTTCTTATATCTGTGCTTATTTTGAGAAAAGAAATACTGATATTTTGTTGGCAGCCTTACACGTAACAGTAAAATAATACTTTTATACTCACATTTAAAACTGTGATCTGAGAACCATGCACACCAGAATCATGGGATGCTGATTAAGATGAAGAAACCTCAGCCCTACCACTACCAAATTAAAATCTCTGGTTATGGGATGGAGAATATGCATTTTACATAAGTTTACCAGTTGAGTCTTCTCTGGGGAACTACTATTAAGGAATAAATCAGGAAAAGGTCTTTGCATCCTTCGGAGAAACAAATTCATACTTCACAAATATAGTACCACTGATTGTACTCCAGGGAATTCCAAAGGACTAAAAGGAAAATATGAATAAGAATTCCACTTTCCTAATCCTGCTAAAGTAGAAAAGGCACAGGCTAAATCTAACATTTATAAATGACTGGAGTTTGGGCTTGTTACCCATCCTCTCTGAATCTTAGTTCCATCATATGTAAAATGGAGATGATGACATGGGGTTGATTAGAACATAACATGGAATTATTTATGAAAAGCAACTGGCACCAAACCTGGTAGAGAGCTGAACTGAATTTTTTTCCTAAAAGGAATCTACCAGAAAACTGACTCCAAAAACCTGCCTTAAAAACTTTGATAGCCATTTCACTTGCTGCCACAGATATGTTCTTCAAGTACATACAAATCAAAACTGTTTTTATCCAATGAGATTTCAAGTGTGCAAAGAACGTTTGCTACTTATTCAACTAGTGATGCAGAGAGTCCTTTGTATAAAAAGAGTTTTTTAATGTATTGTAAATAACAAACAAGAACTCAAGTTTACTTTCTAAAGTTAGATTTTTCCATTTTCTTAAACCAGGGCATACCTCAACTAATAACAGAAAATATTATTATTCCACGGATATATTATAAATTCAGCCTATATAGAAAGACACAATATCATACTGCATGGACATTTTATAAAGGTCAAGTTTTTGTAATCTCCAAAAAACTTTATTTAAAAAAGTCTCACCAGGCATGGTGGCTCATGCCTGTAATCCCAGCCATTTGGGAGGCCGAGGAGGGCAGATCGCCTGAGGTCAGGGATTCGAGACCATCCTGGCCAACATGGTGAAACCCTGTCTCTACTAAAAATACAAAAATTAGCTGGATGTGGTGGCGCACGCCTGTAGTCCCAGTTACTCAGAAGGCTGAGGCAGGAAAATCGCTTGAACCCAGGAGGCAGAGGTTACAGTGAGCCAAGATCACACCATTGCACTCCAGCCTAGGCGACAAGAGCGAAATTCCATCTCCAAAAAAAAAAAAATTCTCAAGACCTCAAGATAGACAAACAAATTTCCCACTACAGGTTTTCTGGGAGATAGTATCTTTTTTTCGTTAGGAAAAGGTTTTTTTAATATAACTCAAAATCCACTAAAGAAAAGTTACCTTTTCAATGCATCTTCGAAGCGTGTTAATGTTCCTCACCCACCATCCTATGCCCATAGCTCTTAATTCAGACCACTGGGGGTCCCCTCTCTGAATTGCTGGAATCATATTAATCAGTTCTTCTTCAGCCTCAGAATGAAAAGCCCAGGCAAAATGGCATGTAGAGACACCTAAATTGGAAATATAAAATAATAATCTGCGTAACTGTATCAAATAAGAAGAAAAACAATTTTTCATGCAGTCACATACGCATTCATTTTGGAAAGAATTTTGAAGCAGAAAGAAAGAATGAAAGGCAGTCTGTCATCATTCAGGACTTTATACTATAAAAGTTTCTGAATACAAGATCAATAATGTGATACATAAAATCCAAATCTCTTTTTCCCCAAACATTTGTTTTCATTTCCCCTACAAAAATAGGGACACTAAAACTTAATCATTAGAAAGAAAAATATTTGAATATCAGGCCATTCACATGTACGGTACACCAAATTTATCAAGAGGTCATAAGAGCTGCCCAAGCTCACATAACTAGGAAGGTAGGGCCCAGGCCCGATTCCAGGTTTCTCTGTCACCAGGACCTGTGAATCCGGCCCGCCCAAGAGGACACAAGGTGTGTTATCCCCCACAAGAGCCCAGGGGAAGGAAAGTGTGGTGAAAGCTTTATTCAAGTCAAAAGCACTTGGCTCACAGTCCTGGATGTCGATTCCAGTGCCACTACCCCATTCTTCTCTCTAGCCATGGAGCTAAATATCACTTCAAAGCAAGCTCTAAACTTCGTAAGAGTTCCAGAAAATAATAAGGATAAGTTACAATCATGATGTACATTCCTCTGCTTTTAGTGCCTTCAGTTAAAAGTTTAAAGCTGCCTAATACTGATGCTTTTTGGTGAACATTGTTTTTTGTTTTGGGTTTGTTTGTTTTTTTTTACCTGGGAGAAGACTGACAGGGATCTAGGCTGTTTGAAGAGGCAACAAAATCTTTACTGACGCTATTAGACTTTTAAGTACTAATGGATTTATCAACAGTTCAATTACTGATAACGCTCTTACTGATATTCGACTTACAGCAGGTAAAAACGAAACATAATGAATGTGAACCACACAGAATGGTAATCAATAATGGGAATGCTGGCAAGAACTCTGGGAAGCCTTGGAAAGAAGCCAAACTAGTCCAAGTAGCCATCTGTATGAATTCATTTTAGAAACAAAGAAATGTCTGAGGTCAATGAAAGTCACATTACAACATAGGCCTCTCAATGCTATTAAGTATCTATATTGTTACACATAATTTTTTCCATTTTCAACTACTATATAGATTTTGTACATAGTTTAAAGCTTTTCTAATAATTACTGCTTCACTGTAATTTCTTTAGAAAGTATAAAATAAAAACTATTATGATTATTTTGAATAACAATCTTAACTCTTTTAAATTTCCCACTGCCAACACTCATATAACAACTGTGTTTGTAATCATACCACAAAATTAATGCAACATGTCTTGGCTGCCACTATAAATTTAGGGGAAAACACCAGAAAAAATTAATAAAATAAATTTAGTTTTTTATAACCTGAAAGGCAGACTAATTTTTTCACTATTTAAATCTCTGTCTGCTGTGAGAGAATTACTTTATCAAATAATTGATATTCTGCTTCAGCAACTAATATACGGCAACACAAAATGCATAATTTTGCTGATATAAAATATATAATATAAAATGACAATACATAGCATATTACATTCTATATCCTTAAATTAATTAAAATTTTGGTATAAGAAGAAACAAAAATACACACAGACATGTCAGAAGAATTAGGTTCAGAAAGTAAGATTAAGAGCAGTGAATGTATTTGAAAACCTGCAGAGGTGAAAAAAGTTATTAGGGAAGAAAAAGAACAGGGGCACGAATAGGCACTTCTTTTTATTTACCTACCAATGGCAGGCTATTCTCTGCAGTTTACCTCTGCTCTTGCTCTTCTCAGCTTTTCTATCTATGTACTGGCTACTTAACTTTTCCCTGAAAACTGCTCCCAGGACCAACACCTACAACACCAGTCACTTCTCATCGCCAATGTTTTAACTGCAGTCAAAGGGAAAATGGAATTTGACACAGCTTTAGAAATTTGAAGTGTTTTAGACTGCCCTAGGAAATGTACAAAATTGTCATTAACTGATTCAATACCACTTGACTATCACCCAAAACTAAAACTTAAGAGAACGTGGAGATACCATTTTAAAAACCTATCCAAATGGCATAGATTGCTTAAAATGTTAATATCAAATGTGGGCAATGGGGTTGAGATTTGGCATCATCAAACTTCTTTTTTATTTTATATTTTTTATAATTTTTTGTTTTCAATTTTTGTTGGTACGTAGTACGTGTATACAAACTTCTGGGAATGTAAATGAGCACATTTCTGAAGGGCATTTTGGTAATACTTATCAAGACTGAAGAATTTTCATGCCTTTTGATTCAGTAATTCCACTGCTGGAAAACTAGCATGAGGAAATAATCAGGAATGCAAATATTTACATGCCAAGGTACAAGGTTATTCATTAGAGTGATAATTCAAATAGAAAAAATACCTCAGCAAAATCTATTTCAAAAACAAAGGATTGGGCAGATGAAATATAGTTTAGACACAGAATCTCAGATAGCTATTTATAGTTATGTTTTCAAAGAACATTCATAGGTTAAAGGGTAAGTGCCATGGGTAAGAATAACAGTGTATCAAGCCTAGTGTTCTAGGTTCTATAATACTAAGACGTATATTATGGGACTCTTTCCAAGATGTTGGTTTCAAAAGAAATATAGTCCACTGAAATAAGCTCTGGACTGGGATTCGCACTCCCAACTCTTCTAATAAATAGTCCTGTATCCTGGGCAGGTCACTTTTAATTCTATAGTTTCAATTTTTTAATCTGTAATACGAAGGCTGATATAAATCCTTATGTCTCAAATCAGGTGTAGCAGTATGCCTGAAGTACACAAATCCACTGTTATCAATATGGCAGATCTTCCTGAATCATCAACTTTACTTGCTGGCAAATAACTAGAACATAATGCTTACATTAAAGTAAATATAAAAACACATCGCAGAGCAAAGTTTACATAATTTTTCAAAGAAAAGACATCAAGATATTCAGGGCTACTCTGTAGACAGCCACTTTGGGTTACAACCTCAGGCATACCACATTTACCCCCTAAGCTACTACTCTAGTAAATAAATTCTAAAAAACTTAGTTAGATGAGCAAAAGTCACAGAATAGAGCTGAAGGATACATAGAAAAATGGTAAGTGGGTACTATGTGACAGAAAGATCTTAAGCCAAGTGATAGGTGTGCACGTAATGACTTACCTAATGTTTACACACAAACATGATACACCCCATCGCTCCAATATTAAGTAAAAGTTGTGCAAAGCTTCAAACAGTGAGTGAATTACCTTGATGAAGTAGCTGCACTCGGTATAAAGGAGGCAGCGATGTCAAAAGGCATGTGTGTAGGCGCATAGCTAACAAGTATCTCAAACCACACTCATCTAATGTATCTCTTCCTGTAATTTAAACAGGAAATATGTTTAAGGAAAAAAGAATGCAAGAGGCCACAAACTGATAAGCTATAAAACAAACATTAAACTTAGTCATAATTTATATAAAATACATAAGTTTTAGTGTATTCCTTCCTGAACACTTTAACGTCTTTACAAAAAATTATCTTTACAAAAAAAAATGTGACTACTAAACTCTTAAAAGAAAAATGATTTGGAGAAATACAATTAACTATTAGAATAGATAACAAGAACATTTATATTGACTCATAATAAATGAAAGACATCTGGAAATCCAATAAAAAATATATTAACTATGGTAAGTTAGGTACAACTTTTAATAATATTTTCTACATGAATTCCGATGAGATGTAATGGAAATTACATAACTGATGTGAAATCATTTGTTATATATTTAAGCAGGTAGTATTTTCTACTTTGGTTAAATTAACTGAAATATGGTACTATCAAAGATTTAAAATTTGAATACCCAGGCTAGTTAGTGTTACATGGTTAGTTTGAACCTTCACCTTGATTCTACAAATTTATTTATACAAATTAATTCCACTTAGTCAAAGTATGAAGGTATGGCAAGCGTAACCAAAACTATAGCCACTGCTGGATAAAAGCAAAGCAAAAATACAGACAGCACCTAGCCCAATAACTGACACTTTGGAAGTACTCAATGATTATAGAATCAAATAGTATTTTCCAGAAAAAAAAAAACAAAAACTTTTAAATTGCCAAAGATCAAGCCCCAGCTCTGCTTCCCATTACCTATATCCATCCATCCATCTATTTATTTAGCTAGATAGATAGCTATTAGGTTGGTGCAAAAGTATTTACAGTTTTGCCATTACTTTTGCACCAACCTAATATGTATCTATTTATTTATTTATGGACATGAGATCTCACTATGTTGCCCAAGATGGTCTAAAAGTCCTGGCCTCAAGCAATCCTCCTACCTTAACCTCCCAAAGTGCTGCCATTACAGGTGTGAGCCACCATGCTCATTCGTCCGTTTATTCATTCAACAAATCAAGCATCTATTACATGTGAGGGACTCTTCAGGTACTGGGAATTCAGCAGTGAATAAGGCAAAGTCCCTACTCTCTTGGGGATCATATTTTAGGAGGTAGAGACAAACAATAAACAAATAATATGTGGAAATTAATGCTATGAAGGGAAATAAAGCAGGACTGAGAGATAGGGAATGCTGGAGTAAGAGAGTTCTATTTCATACAGTGTGGCCAGGAAGGAACTCTCCAATAAGATGACATGCCAGCAGCAATTTGAGGAAGTAAAGGAACAAGCCATGCATGAATCTGGAAGAAGAGCATTCTAATAGAGTAGAAATGAGCATAGATCGTGTGGGGCCTTTTAGGCCACTGTAAGGCTCTTAACTTTTATTCTAAAGTGAGACAGGAAGGCACCAGTATATGTTGAGCAAAGGAGAGATTTAATGTGATTTGGTTTTAAAAGAATCACTGGTTCCTAAGCAAAGAACAGATGGAGGTAAAAAGAATAAAGCAGTTAGGAGATGACAGGGACTTGGACCAGAGTAGTAACTGCAGAGGTAATGAGAATTGATTATTGGATTCTGGATATTAATAGAACTGATAGCATTTGCCAATGAACTGGATACTGGGTATGAGAGAAAGCAGAGTCAAGAATGACTGTAAGTTGTCTCACCTGAACAAATGGAAGAACTCATTTACTTAGAATCCATTTACTGAGATGTGTAACTCATTTAATCTCTGAGCTTCAGTTTCCCACCTGTGAAATGGAGACATTCATTCCTGCCTTATTACCTCATGAATGTCCACTGTGTCCAGGATACACTATTTCTATATTGCTTAGCCAATGATACAGTTTTGTATTAGAAAGTATAAACTATTTTTTACAAATCATGCCATGCCTACTTTCTTAATGTCCCACAGTAAAAACTAATATATATTAAACACACAACACAAGCTTAAGGTTGTTCTGGGAAGAATCTCATTCAACTGCATACAACCTCATAATGGTTAAGATTTTTCTTTTCCAATTAATAGTGAGAAAATAAGTCATAGGCAAAACCCTAGAAGGTCTCTAGTTATTTTAACCTGCAGAGAAGAAAACTTTGGGGGATATACTATAAGGATGTAAATCTATATGAAGAGATATTTTCCAGCTACCTTTCCCCCACAGATCTGGAAATCATGAAATAGTTAAAAGGGTACAGGCTTTGAGTCAACAGTTTATCCACATATGAACTCCACTTCTACTCCTTAATGCCTATGTGATCTCAGATGAGTCCCTTAATTTCTTAAGGATCAGTGTCTTCATCTATAAAGTTAAACATAATAATAGCTATCTGCTAGAAGACTGTGATAATTAAATATGATAAAGTAAAGAAAGTGCCTGAAACATAGCAATTTTTCACTCCTCCAAAATATTTATTGAATTAATGAAATTCTGATCATTAATTTTCAGTTTCCTTTGCCAATGCCATCATTTACAATCAACACCATTACCCTGAACTATGTGCATAAAAGAGAATGGAATCTAGTTCCAGGAAGCAGCCAAAAATTTTCTAGTTACAGAATGAATTAGGCAAAATACGTATGACATTAACTGTATGGAAATCTCGCTGAAGAGACTTTTTGGAGAAAATTAGGTAATTGTAAAAAGTTGTTTATGGCTAGAAATGGGAAGACCAACAAGTTGAGCCCATGAGGTCCCAATAAGCCTCATGATTCCATAGTAACATTAACAAATGGGCTGTTATTATCAAAGAAAAAATCATAGGGATCAATCTGTGTTAAAAAACAAGAGACTTGGCCAGTCCATGGTGACTCATACCTATAATCCCAGCACTGTGGGAGGCCAAGGCAGGAGGACTGCTTGAGCTCAGGAATTCGAGACTAGCTGGGGCAACATAAGGAGACCTAGTCCCTACAAAAAAAATAAAAAGAAATTAGCTGGGCCCCATGGTGGTGCACACCTGTGGTCCCGGCTATTCAGGAGGCTGAGATAGGAAGATTACTTGAACCTGAGAGGTTAAGGCTACAGTGACCCATGACTGCACCGCTCAACTCCAGCTTGGGCAACAGAGCAAGACCCTGTCTCAAAAAAACAAACAAAAAACCCACCCAAACACACACAAAAAAACAAGATTATAAATCCAAAATGACACAAAGGTTTCAGTGTAAAAACTCATGAGAGAATGCACATGGATCTCACAAATCCATGCATTCATATGCCGGCCTCAACCGTCTTTTCTAACTGAGCATATTATATAATAGTAATTACCTATTAAGGAGGTCTTTTCCCTGCAAAGTTTGAAAGTTGAGACTGCAATTCAGTAAATGAGTCAGTATAGAGATAATACAAATATTTCTATTAGGTACAACTTTATAAATTTTTAGCGAGAATATTTACCTGAGCAACTCTTATCTCTGCTTTCATCAAGCTCAGTACTAGTAGTAGCCACTGTATCAGCCAAAGCTACAAGGAACATCTGCTCCAAACGGGTAAGGCCTGGTAGACTTGAGTGCATAAGATGACTTGAAAGTACCCTTGCATGTTCTTGGCCAAAGTAAGCTGGTCCATATTGAGAAAGATTTATTACTTTTGATTTGTTTTCTCTCTTTTCAGGCTCTAAATCAATATCATCCGTTGGTATATCCTGGATTTGAAACAGCTCTGAATACTGATCCTCTGGTTGACTTACTGTCTGATCTTCATAGCTCTGTGGTATCTTTGTACTTTCTTCTGAAATTCTGTAGGATGTATCTTGATCTGCAGCAAGTAATGCATATAGTGGTAGTGGAGGGATAGAATCTATCTCAGTATAATCTCGAGTACCATCTTTTCCTACGGTGACTGTTTCCTTTGCTGTACTGCCACTTACACTAATAGTTCGAGAGAGATGTCGCTTAGTTCCTTCTCCAGCATCAGGATCTCTAACTATTGCTACTTCACCTGCAATACATTTTACTAAATGAGAGAGAATGGCTTTAGCCCTTCGCACTTTCCCTAAATCCATCAATTCTAACAGCTGAGTTGGATGATATTGTGGAAGAGTAGGGGAAAGTACATGTGCAGCCTCAAATAAGCCACCATCTTGAATTACAGTTGGTGAACAAAAAACATCATCAGAAATAGCTGTTCCTTCAACAACACTTTTTCTTGCCAGCATATTAGATTTAAAGGTCGAATGATCTTGCATTGCTGCCTCTTCTGCATTAGAACTATCAGCTTCAGTGTCTCCAAATTTGACAGCATGCTTCCACTGTGCATATACATGCATTTCACAATCCATTCCTACCACCAATATCCCATCTCTTACCCAAGAGAGAGAAACAGGCAGTGAAGGAGTACCATCAACAGAAGATACCAAGTCTATAGATCTAAGAAGAACCCATCTTGACTTAACTCCTTGCTTGATACTACCACCTAGTGGTAAAGTGATGACAGCTACTCCATCCTTACTGTTGGTTTGCTCAGTCACAATTCCTGAAAGCCTTCCATACATGAAGATATTCGCACCGACTCCCACTGTAAGAATGTGGGAGCCATCTTCTTTTGATACCCAGTCCAAATGTACTAAATGTTTGATATTCGGAATAAGATATCTATCCTTGCTCAAGAGTGCATCTGACTTGCTATACACAAACAGATTACTGTCGACGCTGACCCTTGAATCAAGTACACTCCCAACCTTAACCAAATCATCAAGATGAATTGTTTGTTCTAAAACCCACTCTGATCCTCCTGTAGATTCACATTCAAATATACAAACATGCATGGAAAATTCTTTAGAAACAAAACCATTATGGTGGATAGGCTGCTTATAAGCCACTGCAAGGCGACCTGTGTATGAACAGCTAACAGCAACTGGTCTTCCCACAATGCTCACTGTACTGCTATTATCTTCTCCTTCATCATTCATCAAAGGCCATCTCTTCCAATGATAAATTTCTTTCTCATCACTTTTATTACACTCTGGGTTGGCTTCCATACAACATTTCCAGAAGCGTACTTTATTGTCAGAACAAGTTGTAACCACTAAATAAGGTGCAAGGCACACTGGATAAATTGAAGAAGAACTCAGATGGCCTTAAAAAAGAAAAAGCAAATAGTTAGTTGTAATAATAATAAAGCCACAAAATAATATGGTAGTAATCAAATTCTGGAATGTGATCAATTTAAAGTCACTATGAGCTTCTTCAGAATATCTCTGCAGTCTTCCTCTTAACTAGTATCCCACTAAATGTCCATTGGCCAACATATCTATAAAGGTCTTGAAGAGCCCATCAGTGAAATCAAGGTATGCAATAATAATCACTTAATTTGTTTTTAGGTAATTAAGTTTAAATGAGGCAACCATTTAATTAAAATAAAACTCAAAAGCACTGAAACAAGTCAGCCCTTAATGTGTTTCTATTATTTATATTTACCTTCACAACATGCCTCCTTAGAATTTCATACTATATATTTAATCATTTTCATCATGAATACTTAACTGAGCTTTACAATTTGCCTTTCAAATGCCCCTAACCTTCTCTCAAATAATCCAGACCCCAGGTGGTACACCAAATTTTGTTTCAGACCGCAAAACAGACCAATAGATCTTACCCATTTTACCAAGTTTAATTCATCCTCTCTTAGCACTGAACCAGAACCCTCTTATCTATTCCTGACTGCCAAAGACTAACAATGCACATCTGTTGTCAACTGTAAGACAAGGGGATATAGAGATTAAAGATCTGAGGTCAGAAGATCTGGATTTGAGTTTCAACCCATCAATAATTTCATTAACAGTGGGAAAGCTACTTAATCATCTGAGCCTATTCCATCTAAACAATTGGGATCAGTTACTGTTTCCCCTAGATTACTATTGTCAAATAAGACATTTTATAAGGCGTCTGTAAAATATAATTTATTATCACGAACTCCAATAAACTTATTTGAGTATAACCCAAACCTTTCAAATATTTTGAAAGATTAACAAACTGGCCTAGATCTGCACCAGCCACAAAAGCCCAAGAGTACACTCTTCTCAATATGATCTTTCCAACTGTGAATGCAAACCTGTCTTACGGATGAATAAGAAAACACCTATACTGAATATCATTCACCAGTAATTTTAGCGGCCCCGAACCTCCAATTTTGGTTTCCCAAAAACACTATTCTAGAAACTCCCCAATTAAAATTCTGCAAGTAGATCACTTTAAACACAGCTGCCAGACTTGCCCTCAAAATATCTACCTTGCTAAAGTCAGTATCATTCCAGACCACCCAAACTATAGTCTTTTATCCTACATTTTTCCTCAGAGTATCTGCCAACTGTTGTTCAAACATTCTTAATAAAGGTGAGACGTGATTACCACAATGTGAATGAAGTCTTAAATTTTAAAAAAAGCCTCAGTGGTTTACAAATGAATGTATTTGTTCTTCAAAATTTTACTATCATTATATTCCAAAGTGTAGGCAAGACACCTCACATTAAAATATTTTCACTATTGGCTGGGCGCGGTGGCTCACGCCTGTAATCCCAGCACTTTGGGAGGCCGAGTGGGCGGATCACAAGGTCAGGAGATCGAGACCATCCTGACTAACACAGTGAAACCCCGTCTCTACTAAAAATACAAAAAATTAGCCAGGCATGGTGGTGGGCGCCTGTAGTCCCAGCTACTCGGGAGGCTAAGGCAGGAGAATGGCATGAACCTGGGAGGCGAAGCTTGCAGTGAGCCAAGATAGCACCACTGCACTCCAGCCTGGGTGACAGAGCGAAACTCCATCTCAAAAAAAAAAAAAAAAATTTCATTATTTTGGCCGGGCGTGGTGGCTCACACCTGTAATCCCAGCACTTTGGGAGGCTGAGGTGGGTGGATCACGAGGTCAGGAGATCGAGACCATCCTGGCTAACACGGTGAAACCCCGTCTCTACTAAAAATACAAAAAAAATTAGCTGGGCATGGTGGTGGATGCCTGTAGTCCCAACTATTCAGGAGGCTGAGGCAGGAGAATGGGTGTGAACCCGGGAGGTGGAGCTTGAAGTGAGCCAAGATAGCACCACTGCATTCCAGCCTGGGCGACAGAGTGAGACTCCGTCTAAAAAAAAAAAAAAAAAAAATTTACACTATTTTCTGTCAAGCTGATTACATTTATCACAGGAAATTTTGTGGGTTTGTGTGTGTGTGTGTGTGTGTGTGTGTGTGTGTATGGAGTCTCACTGTGTCGCCCGCCCAGGCTGGAATGCAGTAGTGTGATGTCAGCTCACTGCCGCCTCCACCTCTCGAGTTCAAGCAATTCCCCTGCCTCAGCTTCCCAAGTAGCTGGGATTACAGGCACGTGCCACCACGCCCAACTAATTTGTGTATTTTTAGTACAGACATGGTTTCGCCATGTTAGCCAGGGTGGTCTCGAACTACTGACCTCAAGTGATCCACCCACCTCAGCCTCCCAAAGTGCTGGGATTACAGAAGTGAGCCACCGCACCCAGCCAGGAAATTATTTCTAATAAAGACATGTTTCTAACCATCTAGACATATCATTAATAGAAAATCAATCTTTATTTTAATGTCAACATAGAACATATTTCAGAAGAGTTCATCTATTTTATCCACTAAAGAGTTCATATATTTTATCACTCTGAGCTACCACTGCCCAGTCTTAAAGTGACCTTACCTGCTGAAGGCGTTGCTCTTATTACTTCAACTGATTCTGGGAGATCAAGGGGTTGGCTATACACCAGTCTAGAACTCAGAATAAGTTTACTGGCAGTTTGAAGATTGGCAATTGATGAAGAATGTGGCATGGGGCTCACACTAGGAGAGGTTTCTGGAGAAGAATCTACGTTCTTCTGTCCAGGGACTGAAAGTAGACTCTCAGAGGAAGCCCCTTCTGAAGCTTTAGCTTTAAAAATAAATTATAAAATTACAAAATGTATGTATATCATTACTATAAATAGGAGCTAGAATATTACTTTGTTATTATTTAAGAAACATAGCTTCTTAAAAGTATTTTGGAGGTGAGGATATAGAGAAAAGAGAGCTCTTTTTAAAACAGAATGACCATATGACTCAGCAATCTCACTACTAGGTGTTTACCCAAAGGAAAGGAAATCAGTATATCAAAGGGATAACTGCACTCCCACATTTATTGTAGCACTATTCACAACAGCCAAGACATAAAATCAACCTAAGTATCCATCAATGAATAAATGGATAAAGAAAATGTCATATATATACACAATGGAATACTATTCAGCTATAAACAAGAATGAAATCCTGTCATTTGCAGCAACACAGTTGGAAATTGCAGGTCAGTATGTTAAGTGAAATAAGCCAGGCACAGAAATACAAATATCACCTGTTCTCTCACTCATATGTGAGAGCTAAGAAAGTGGATCTCATAGAGGTAGATAATAGCATAATAGATACCAGAGAATGGGAAGGGTTGTGGGGTGGGTGAAGAGACTCTTTAATAGGTACAAACATGAAGGTAGAAGAAATAAGTTCTATTGTTTGATAGCACAGTAGAATGACTACAGTTAACAACAATGTATATTTCAAAAGAGCTAGAAGAGAAGATCTGAAATGTTCCCAATCCGAAGAAACAATAAATTTCAAGGTAATGAATATCCTAAATACCATGATATGATCATTACATATTCTATGCATGTATAAAAATATCACATGTACGCCATAAATACGTATAATTATTATGCATCAATAAATTTTTTTAAAAAAATTACTTTGCAGACAAGGTCAATTTTCAAACTTTTGCTTAGTTACCCTGATAAGCTTAAATTTTTTTTTTTACAATTTTACTCTTTCTTAGCACCAACTCCATCATGCAAGACTGACAGGGAAGAATCACAACATGTAAAAGCTAAAAGAAACCCCTTATACAGTCCAGTGCTTACAACCTTTAAAACACATTAAAAGCTTGAGGAATTTGTTAACATGCAAATTCCCAGGCCTAACCACAGAGACACTGATTTAGATGATATGGGGTAGATCCCAGTAAAGCAGCCCAGGTGTTTTTGAAATAGATGGATCATGAACCAAACTTTAGGAAATAACAATATACTGCCTCACTTTTAGATTAAGAAATTTAAACTCAGAGAGCTTAGTGATTTTCCTGAGGCCATGTAATTAGCTAGGGGCAAAGAAGACATTAGACTAGTAGCCTCCTATCAAGTACTCAAATCAGAGAATGATTTCAAGAATAAACACAAAAACCAAAAGTTCTAAGAAAATTTAAGATAGTATTAGTTGACAGCCTTTGTAAGCCATATTGACTTGATCTTCCAAAGAACTTCCAGTGAGTGTAAATCTCTGATTCAGTTATCTGTTCTTCCGTGACATATAAGAGATACTCTATATTTATTTATTTATCTGTCTCTCCCCATTGGACTACAAA
The DNA here is from genome assembly GCF_000001405.40 of Homo sapiens. Lineage (NCBI taxonomy): Eukaryota > Metazoa > Chordata > Mammalia > Primates > Hominidae > Homo > Homo sapiens. Next base: position 51,504,546 of record NC_000015.10, read on the forward strand.
TTCACTAAAGGCAGGGATGATGTGTTGTTATTGCCTTGTACATCTCAAAGAGCACCAGAATATTCAATAAATAATAATCCTCTTTTGTTTCTGTTAAACATGTCAATCTATCTTATAATGGCAGGCCACTAAGTAAGAAATATTTTCACATTTTTTTGTAAAATGAAATAAGACTACAAACTTGGATCCGTAGTCAGAAGACAGAGTCCCACTCCTGGCTTTATCACTAATGAGATGTGTTTCCTTTGGCCAGGCACTTCACCACCATCTCTGGCTACTTTCTCACCAGCAAACTAAGGTTAAACTACATCATTTCTCTTCCTGTAAATCATACTATTTTCTAACATATATCTCATGCTAAGAAAGAAAATAAGAGCAGGAAAAAAAGCAAAGACTTTAGAGTCAACAAGGCCTGATTTTGAAACTTAGTTCTGTGACAAACCATATAATGGGACTTGGTCAAGTTACATACCCTTACTCCATTAGTAAACTGGGGATAATATCTATTCACATATATAAAGCACCAATCTCAGTGCCTGGCACCCAGAAGGTACTCAACATGTTTCCTTCTCTAACAAAATTTAAACCAATCATTTATCCTCTAACAGGATATTCACTACTGCAGTAAATTCAAGCGTTAAATGTGAATGGCAGGATACACTGTTAAATCTGCAGCAAAGATTAGAACAAAAAGATAGATGCTTTCTATCACAGCTAAAAAGAGTACATTATTTGCCTCTACTGTAATCTCATTGTCTGTGACCTACTGCTGTCACAAACAGGGTAGGCAAGCAACTCAACTCTAGCCCTGGCTTTAGTGAGACACACGCTTCATAAGCAGTGGGGACAAACAAAATCACATGGTTCCTGTCCTCCCACAAGGACCTGTTACTACCCCTATAAATCTCTTCAGAGCCACTCCCATTTCTGTGCCCAACTCTAGAAATTACTACATTCTCTGCTGGGTGAATCTCTTCCTGATGAACTGGTTTCAGATCCCTTCTCTTGCATTTCTATCAAACAACATATAATGCAAAGAATTAACTCCAAAGGCTTTGAAAGAATTTTTAAATTCCTGGTGCCTCAAGAAGATTAGGCTCAACTAGGTGAAGGTAAAGGTTCTGTCACATAATTTGGCTTTTCTAATGCCAATTCATGGCCCAGTTAGAACTGCTACAATTGTGATAATGTATAATACATGTGAACAAAAAAGTACAAATTATTCTTTCACTGTATTAAATGTTATATAAAAAGTTGTATAAAATCAATTAATTACAAGACATAATAAAATCTTACAACTCAAATATTTTGAGTTAACAGTTTAAAGCAGATTCAATGTGATATGGCTATCCATGCAGTTCTTCATTTTAACAATTATCTCTCAAAAAGGAAAAGTTTGTTTTTAAAAAATCTGTGATCAATTTCTTTGCTTCATACTACAGATTTCCCAATTAGTTTAGAGATTAATCTAAATGTGTACAGCAAAAGAATGGCTGAAGTAATTTTTTAATCATAATTGCATTTCTTTTTTTGAAATGGAAAAATTGACAAGGGTCTCACTTTGTCACTTAGGCTGGAGTGCGGTGGTGCAGTCTCGGCTCATTGCAGCCTCTGACTCCAGGGCTCAAGCAATCCTCCCATCTCAGCCTCCCAAGTATAGGTACATGCCACCACACTTAATTAATTTTTTATTTTTTTGTAGAGATGAAGTCTCACTCTATTGCCCAGGCTGATCTCGAATTCCTGTGCTCAAGCAATCGTCCTGCCCTAGCCTCCCAAAGTGCTGGGATTATACGCATGAGCCACCATGCCCATGCCCAGCCTGTATTTCTTAATGCTCTACAAAAACAGTTCTGCTTATAAGTCTCAGGCACTCAATCATATTTCATCAAACAGCAATTCTGCTTTTTTTTTTTTTTTTTTTTTGAGATGGAGTCTTGCTCTGTCGCCCAGGCTGGAGTGCAGTGGTGCAATCTCAGCTCACTGCAACCTCTGCCTCCCGGGTTCACGCCATTCTCCTGCCTCAGCCTCCTGAGTAGCTGGGACTACAGGCGCCCGCCACCACGCCCGGCTAATTTTTTGTATTTTTAGTAGAGACAGGGTTTCACCATGTTAGCCAGGATGGTCTCGATCTCCTGACCTCGTGATCCGCCCACCTCGGCCTCCCAGAGTGCTGGGATTACAGGCGTGAGCCACCGCGCCCAGCCAATTCTGCTTATTTTAATGATGATAAAGCTGATGATGTGCAGTGTATTGGATGGGAATGTGTATTAACAAAAAAGTACAATATTAGTTCTATGGACATCTAGAACAGTCATAATGTACACTCAATAAATATTCACTGAAAAAAATAAACAAAGCTTTTATTTTTTTTCAATATGTCTAATGTGCCCTTAGGCTGGTTTTTAGAATTAACCAGTTTCATTAATGATTTATGACCTTGTAATTAAAAGTTTAGAAGAGACATAATTCAGCAACTCAATTTACAGTTTAATGGAACTTCATTTTACAGAATTAACCAAAGTAAAGCATATTCTATAAAATAAATTTGTTATGTATCATCTCTGTATAAAACTATAATTACTTACCTAAACATGCTTGTACAGATTTAAGATGAAGGTGCCACATATGCAGAATAGAGTTATTATTGCTGTCCTTCTCAATTACTACTAGAAAGAACTTTTCTGAAAATGGTGGTGGGCGGTATCCTATTATTCAAAGGAAAAGGATATTTAAATTAGTATGTTTTTATGGGGTTAAAAAAACACTTTTTAAAAGCTACCACCACCTCTTGATATGCATGGAAGTTGGGAAGAAAAGGCAAGAAAGACTTTAAGGAGGAGTTTTATATAATTTTTGTACCGAAAGTTAGATAGCTATCAAGGACTAATGAAATTACGTCAAAAGTACACAAAAGCTAACATGAAAGGATACCTACTAGTCAAAGAGGGGACATTTTGAGCATCAAAGAATAAAACTGAATACAATTTGTTAAAACGTATTTATCCTATTACAAACTATGAGTTCACACAAATACCAAAAAAGGGTACATAAAAAAGAAAGCAAAGGAAAGAAAGCAGCAGCAGAAGAATGGGAGGAGGATAGAAGGGAAGGAAGCGGGGTGCTGAGCACACAAAAGCTCAAGCCAGCCTCACAGGATGCCCCTGGAGTAACTGGGGCACTTACGCCTTATTTAGAAAACTGGCAATTAAAAAGAAATAATAAAATAAACATTCATCCTGCTTTTCTTGCATGAAAACAGCATTAAAAAAAAAAAAAACTTAAGTTGTGGGGGAAGGAGCAGTGGTAGGGTAAAGAAAAAATTTTGTAGAAATTTCATGCATTTTTTAAAAAAAGACATTACTTGTATATATAATTTTCCCTGCTGAAAATTAGATTCTTCATAACTGAAAATGAGATCTAATGCAGGATAATAAAAGCTTTCCTTAATCATTAAAACTCATAATGACAACATATTGGTAATGAGCGCTGCTAGAGTTAAAATTGTGGCCTCTAACCATTTTCATTAGAAGAAACAGTCTGGCACCGCATGTTCTCACTCATAAGTGGGAGTTGAACAATGAGAACACATAGACACAGGGAGGGGAACATAACACATCAGGGCCTGTTTGGGGGTAGGGGGCTAGGAAGGGGAAAGAATTAGGAGAAAGACCTAACATAGATGACAGGTTGATGGGTGCAGCAAACCACCATGGCACGTGTAAACCTATGTAACAAACCTGCATGTTCTGCACATCTATCGCAGAACTTAAAGTATAATAATAATTTTTAAAAAAGAAACAGTTTGGAAGGATGATTCCATTCTTGCAAAGGACAGCTACAAGATAAACCCAGGAAAATCTTGCTCCTGAAAGAAAGTAAACTATTACAATAATGAGGTTATGTCAAAAGGACACAGGACCTACTTCAAATGCTACTTACTAGCCTAATATAGCACTATGTAAGCATTTAAAAAATGACTGCAACTGACTGAAATATCCTACATACCTAAAAATCCATTGAGTTATATGAGTACTTCTCTGTATGTATATTATAGTTCATTAAAGAGTTTTCTTAAAATGAGTTCATATTGATACTTAAAAGACAAAGAAATCCAACAACAACAATAAATTCAACAGTAGCAGCTAGAGATAACCAGCGCGCAGACTCCTCATTCTGAAACTGTCAATTAAATGGAAATAACTAAGCACTTAACCTTTCCAAAAAGAACTGTTTTTCAAAGTAATCCAATAGCCCTAGTTGATAAAGAAATGCTTTTCTTTACAGATGCTTTCCAGCTAATAAATAAATGAGAACTGATAAAATTGGAAAATCATAATTTTTCAATCCCTAATGAAATAACTGGTTTAAGATCAATAATATTCAATGGAAGAAGCCATGAGATAAAGACTGCTGTCAAACTATAATGACACCACCACCAACTGAATCTTCCGAATCTTAATATGACTAAAAGTGAGATATCCAAATTTTTTTTTCTGGTATGATACATATGAAGTACATGGCATCACCCAGAATGTTGAACCCAGATCTAATCAAGTCTGTAGAGCTAACTTCCACTGTACAGGCAATACAGTAGACAAGAAAAAGTTTAAACAACATCACAAGTAAGTAGTCAGAGAAACTTCTTTAAAAAAAAAAACTTGCTCTAGAACTGAAGGAGACAGAGATACAAAAAACCCTTCCAAAAATCAGTGAATCCAGGAGCTGGTTTTTTGAAAAGATTAACAAAATAGATAGACTACTTGCCAAACTAATAAAGAAAAAAAGAAAAGAATCAAACAGACACAATAAAAAATGATAAAGGGGCTATCATCACTGATCCCACAGAAATAAACACTACCATCAGAGAATACTATAAACACCTCTACACAAATAAACTAGAAAATCTAGAAGAAATGGATAAATTCCTGGACACATACACCCTCCAAAGACTAAACCAGGAAAAAGTCAAATCCCTGAATAGACCAATAACAAGTTCTGAAATTGAGGCAGTAATTAATATCCTATCAACCAAAAAAGCCCAGGACCAGACAGATTCACAGCCAAATTCTACCAGAGGTACAAAGAGGAGCTGGTACCATTCCTTCTGAAACTATTCCAATCAATAGAAAAAGAGGGACTCCTCCCTAACTCATTTTATGAGGCCAGCATCATCCTGATACCAAAACGTGGCAGAGACACAACAAAAAAAGAAAATTTCAGGCCAATATCCCTGATGAACATCAATGCGAAAAACCTCAATAAAATACTGGCAAACCGAATCCAGCAGCACATCAAAAAGCTTATCCACCACGATCAAGTCGGCTTCATCCCTGGGATGAGAGGCTGGTTCAACGTACACAAATCAATAAATGTACTCCATCACGTAAACAGAACCAATGACAAAAACCACATGATTATCTCAATAGATACAGAAAAGGCCTTTGATAAAATTCAACAGCCCCTCATGCTAAAAACTCTCAATAAACTACGTATTAATGAAACTTATCTCAAGATAATAAGAGCTATTTATGACAAACCCACAGCCAATATCATGCTGAATGGGCAAAAGCTGGAAGTATTCCCTTTGAAAAGCAGCACAAGACAAGGATGCCCTCTCTCACCACTCCTATTCAACATGGTACTGAAAGTTCTGGCCAGGGCAATCAGGCAAGAGAAAGCAATAAAGGGTATTCAAATAGGAAGAGAGGAAGTCAAATTGTCTCTCTTTGCAGATGACATGACTGTATATTTAGAAAACCCAATCGTCTCAGCCCAAAATCTCCTTAAGCTAATAAGCAACTTCAGCAAAGTCTCAGGATACAAAATCAATGTGCAACAATCACAAGCATTCCTATACACCAATAACAGACAGAGAGCCAAATCATGAGTGAACTCCCATTCACAATTGCTACAATGAGAATAAAATACCTAGGAATACAACTTACAAGACCCTCTTCAAGGAGAACTGCAAACCACTGCTCAAGGAAATGAGAGGACATAAACAAATGGAAAAACATTCCATGCTCATGGACAGGAAAAAATCAATATTGTGAAAATCGCCATACTGCCCAAAGTAATTTATAGATTCAATGCTATCCCCATCAAGCTACCATTGACTTTCCTCACAGAATTAGAAAAAAACACTTTAAATTTCATATGGAACCAAAAAAGAGCCCTCGTAGCCAAGACAAACCTAAGCAAAAAGAATAAAGCTTGAGGCATCACGCTACCTGACTTCAAACTATACTACAAGGCTACAGTAACAAAAACAGCATGGTACTGGTACCAAAACAGATACATAGAACAATGGAACAGAACAGAGTCCTCAGAAATAACACCACACACCTACAACCATCTGATCTTTGACAAACCTGACAAAAACAAGCAATGGGGAAAGGATTCCCTATTTAACAAATGGTGCTAGGAAAATTGGCTTGCCACATGCAGAAAACTGAAACTGGACCCCTTTCTTACACTTCATACAAAAATTAACTCAAGAGGGACTGAAGACTGAAACGTAAGACCTAAAATCATAAAAACCCTAGAAGAAAACCTAGGCAATACCATTCAGGACGCAGGCATGGGCAAAGCCTTCATGACTAAAACACCAAAAACAATGGCAACGAAAGCCAAAATTGACAAGTGGGTTCTAATTAAACTAAAGAGCTTCTGCACAGCAAAAGAAACTATCACCAGAATAAACAGGCAACCTACAGAATGGGAGAAAATTTTTGCAATCTATCCATCTGACAAAGGGCTAATATCCAGAATCTATAAGGAACTTAAACAAATTTACAAGAAAAAAATAACCCCATCAAAAAGTGGGCAAAGGATATGAACAGACACTTCTCAAAAGAACACATTTATGTGGCCAACAAACATATGAAAAAATGCTCATCATCACTGGTCATTAGAGAAACGCAAATCAAAACCACAATGAGATACCATCTCATGCCAGTTAGGATGGCAATCATTAAAAAGTCAAGAAACAACAGATGCTGGAGAGGATGTGGAGAAACAGGAAGGCTTTTACACTGTTGGTGGGAGTATAAATTAGTTCAACCATTGTGGAAGACAGTGTGGCAATTCCTGAAGGATCTAGAACCAGAAATACCATTTGACCCAGCAATCCCATTACTGGGTATATACCCAAAGGATTATAAATCATTCTACCATAAAGACACATGCACATGTATGTTTATCGCGGCACTGTTCACAATAGCAAAGACTTGGAACCAACCCAAATGCCCATCAATGATAGACTGGATAAAGAAAATGTAGCACATATACACCATGGAATACTATGCAGCCATAAAAAAGGATGAGTTCATGTCCTTTGCAGGGACATGGATGAAGCTGGAAACCATCATTTTCAGCAAACTAACACAGGAACAGAAAAACCAAACACTGCATGTTCTCACTCATAAGTGGGAGTTGAACAATGAGAACACACAGACACAGGGAAGGGAACATCACACACCAGGGCCTGTTGGGGGGTGGGGGGCTAAGAGAGGGATAGCATTAGGAGAAATACCTAATGTAGATGATGGGTTGATAGGTGCAGCAAACCACCATGGCACATGTATACGTATGTAACAAACCTGCATGTTCTGCACATGTATTCCAGAAATTAAAGTATAATAAAAAATAATAATAAAAATAAACTTGCTCTAAAACAAGTCAGTGGCATAATGAGGGTGTATATAAGGTATCACTTTAGATTAAAATACTCTTTAAATAGACAATGAAAACACAATATGTAAACTTTGTTTGGATATAGATTCAAACAAAAACACATAAACAAACAAAAAGCTCAACATTTTTTAGACAACTGGAAGAAATATGGAGTAGTTATTGCACGATTCTGAGGAATTTTATTATCAATTTGATAACAGCAAATATGTAAGGAAGTTATTTTTAGAAACGCATATGGAAGTGAAACAACACTGTAGGTGGATTTGCTTTAAAATATTTCAGGGGGGCCAGGCGTAGTGGCTCACGCCTGTAATCCCAGCACTTTGGGAGTCAAGGTGAGCTGATCACTTGAGGTCAGGAGTTCAAGACCAACCTGGCCAATGGGGTAAAACTCTGACTCTAGTAATAATACAAAAAAATTAGCCAGGTGGGCTTACAGCCGAGTAGCTGTAATCCCAGCTACTCGGGAGGCTGAGGCAGGAGAATTGCTTGAACCTGGGAGGTGGAGGTTACAGTAAGCTGAGATGACGCCACTGCACTCCAGCCTGGGCAGCAAAGCAAACTCTGTCTCGGAAAAAAAAAAAAAAAATTCGGGGGGAAAAGGAAAAGAAAAATTGTGTAGACAAAGCAAGTGTGATAAAATCTTTAACCTACATTATGGGAATATGGAGGTTCATTTAATTATGCACTATAATTTTGTCTATTTTTGGCATTTTTCTTAACTAAAAGGGTAATTAACTTTAAATTAAAACTTAGTACAAAATAAAGCAGAGGCAGAGAAGAGGAGAAACCTACACAAGTCCTTTAAGAACACAGCTATAAAATCAGGAAGAAAGAGAAATTTCACACAAAAACTAAAGGAAAACCAAGAAAGCACTGAGGAAATCTTTTGGCCTGATTTAGCAGTGGCATAACAAATATCAAAAGCGAGAAATAAAGAAAATTTTTAATGCAAGTCAATTAAAATATTATAAAGAAAAGTACCAACTTTATATAAGCATTGAATTCTGGTAAGCTGGCATATCTTTCCTGTTAGAAATAATGTGATAAATGGCAGCTACATTTGTTGGAAACCATATTAAAAAGATTAACCCAGGCAAAGGTAAGATACTACAGAAAAGTAAATTTTAAATTGGTAAAGCAGTACTGCTGTTATAATGATAGTGAAATAAAACTTAACATAATTGAATAACACAAATAAGAAAAGTTTTGTGTATGAAGAAAGATATACGAAAGAAAAACAAGTTACTAGTCTGACGAGTGAAAAGATGTTTGAGCTAAGCTTCTTAGAATACAGGACCTCAATCTGATTTTCACTAAAGCGAAGGAAATTGTCTGCACAAATTACATAGAAACAGTTTCCTTAGATGCTATACATAATTTCGTGATGAAGACTACACTAAGAAAATTAAATATGTCCATCTGGATATTCACAATTTGTAACCACATGAGATTAATTATCTGAAAACCCTTTGTAAACTAAATATTCGCCATAGACACTTAATTCTTAAAGACATGGCTTTTCAAATAGAACATGTTGGTTTTATAATTATGAAGTTATATATATACACACAATTTTATTTGCCAATTTAAAAAACTTAAATAAAAGTTTAACGTCTGAAGGGAACATTTTAAGCTAAGTTATAAAGTTTAAACTAAACGTCATATTGTTTGTTTTTGAAAGGGTTAAACTACTTACTTTCACAAAAAGGAAAAAATACCACACTTCAAAGGGGAAAACTGTGAGATGGTACCTTGCATTCACTATTTCCATGAGGTTTCTAGTGTCCCACACAACATGATACCTTATATCTTATATTCATCATTGGTCTGAAGCAATTTACTGGTAATTTTTTAAAACCTGTAATAAAATTAACTGTTTTCCTTAAGATACCAAATGGAACTACCAATCAAAATAATTTAATTATAGAGTTGAAGAAACTTACTTTTTAAAACAAATTAAGGTTCACAGATACCATTTCTTAGTAAAAGTTGATGTCACCAATGAATTGTCTTGCAAAAAGTAATTTTCACCCACAGCCCTCTTCATCTACAAGCAAGCAATTTTGACAGAACTAACTGGTGAATCTGTCAAAAATTATGAGAGTGGTAACTTTTGAAGATCCATACTCAGTGAAAACTTAGAGATCATTTTTTAGCATGAAGGTAAACAAATGCAGACTATTTTTTTAAAGTACCTTGTGATGGCTGAAAAAATATTTCTGTTTCCTTTTTCTCCATATCTTCCTTATGTGGTTTATATCCTATAATGAAGTCTTCTTGAAACACATGAAGCAACTGTGTATTTGAGCCACACTACAAATACAAAAAAAAATGAAGAGGTTTTATCTTTGAAATTCCCTGTCTCCCATCTCCCATCTGTCACCTCCCCAATGCTAATGCAGAAGAAATATATCTAACAATTTCTATTCTTTACCACTACTAATTAGAAAGAAAAAAGCAACAGAAGAGAATCATTAAAACTATCCTGGTCAGAGAAAAATTACTTTCAAAAATGTCACAGCCAATAGCAGAATAGAAGAGCTCTAGTACAAACAAATCAACAGGTTTGCTTCTCAGGAAAAAAAAAAAAAAAAAGATGCTAAAAAACCCAAATTCCAAATTTAAAGAACAGTTAAGCAACCTTCACCACTTTGAGCCTGAAAGCATCAGATTCACAACTGACTAGGGAGGGCTGCACTATGTAAGACACACTAGACTACTACACAACTTGTAATTTTTTCAATTCCACTGGAGAACCAAAAAACAAAACAAAACCCAGAAAGCTCCTCGAAGTATCCCAATAGCTCTGTCTAGTGGGAATTATGAGGGATCCTATAACAGCCAGCAGGATGATACATCTCTAGAGAACTAAACTTACACATAAGTAACTAGAACCCCTCGAAGGATGGATGAAACATCACTGTCAACTGCTATGCTCCATGACCATGTTTTAAGACTATCACGAATGGCTACTTAGAACCTTAACAGGAACTGAAGTTCAAGGAAAGGCTAGATCCAAACAAAAGCTTATTTTGGAAGTGTATTAAGACAATCAATCAGATGGCTCCCCCAGAGATTTCAAGAAAAGGAAGCAGCTATGATTATCTTGGCATTGGATGAGGAGTCTATAATCTTATAGAATAAAGGAAAACCTGCCTCTTTACATAATAGAAAGAAATAAAAGGATTATAATATTAGGTTGGGCCATACAATTTTATGAAAGTTATAGGGTATTTTGTGTTTCTCTAGGTAGAAACATTAAAAATCTCTTCACATTCATTGTCTAGGAGGTCATTTCCCCAAGGGACAAACAATAGATGAAAGTAAAGAGAAGGGTGATGTCTTCACAGATATAGAAATCATACAACACATTGGGAACAAACCTAGAAAGAATTTTAAACTTTGTCATTCATTATTGCTTACAGTTTACCAGCCCCTGTGTTAAAAATAGGCACAAGGAGCAGGGGAAAAAGTGTTGAGCAAATATGAAGTAAAAAAACTGCTTTGTGAGAGCAGACTGTGTTAATATCCCATGGTAATGAGTGCAAAGGAGGCTAAAGTAGGGGATGAATTTAACATCCAATCCATTAAAAATTAAGTTATCTATAGGAAGGAAGCCAACCCACTCTTCTACATTCCTATTGAGTAGAAAAAAGAAATCACAGGCTGAATCTGAAGAAAGGTGGGGCACTGGGGATTAAAAAGTTAAGCATTTCCCAGGAGGTATTAGCAATATGGGTCTGGCAGCCCCAGTTCTGCTATCAAGAGATGATGTATTTTATCTATATTAGCAGAAATGAGTACATTTTCCCCAATAGAAAGTGCAAGACACTAAAGAAAATTTATGATGTAACTCTATACTTGCTTTCAACTATAGTTGGCTCTTTCTTCATTTCCTTGTTTAAAACTATTGGTAGCTTCTTTACCAAACTAATCCTTTTCACATTTGGAATAAATGTTAGTTCTATCCCTTAGACCATAAACATAGTCCTAAAGAAACAAATATCCTGAGGGCTAAAATGGGTTTTACATCTCCCTCTAGGGAGAAGGGTTCTCCTTCTTTCCTAGGTAGTAGCTGGGGAGGAATACTACACAAAGGACCTGTGATTAAAAAGTATATGTCCACTTGAATCTGACTTTCATCTGCATTTTAAAGGACCTCACAAAAGTACCCAACATGGGGCCTAACAAGGCAAACACTCTGAAACTGAGGTTACCCTCTATTGAGTTGAAAAGAGTAATAATATAAAATGAGAAACCACAACCCGACCCTTCTATGCAGCTGCACTGTATTTTCTCTCAGCATTTCAAGATCAAGGTCATGGTTTCTCTAAATGAATCAAATTTCCTTTGCTACAAATACAATTCAACTGGAGAAGAATAATTCCTTTTTTAAAAAATTTTACTTAAATAGCTTTTGGGGTACAAGTGGTTTTTTTGTTACATGGATGAACTAGTAGTGAATTCTGAGATTTTAGTGCACCCATCACCCAAGTAGTGTACACTGTACCTAACATGTGGTTTTTCAAATCTCTAGTTCCATTTCCACCCTCCCTCTTCTGAGTCTCTAAAGTCCATTATATTGCTCTGCATGCCTTTGCATACTCATAGCTTAGCGCCCACTTATAAATGAGAACATACAGTTCTTGGTTTCCCAAGGAGAAAAATAATCCCTAAATCATTAGTAGATTTTCACTATGGGAATCAACATAAGTTGTCTGCATTTAATAACAAACAAGAAAATTATTCTGAGAATGACATATATCATATACATATAAAACACCATGGGATAAAGTATACGAATATCACCAATTCACAAGCATGTTTTTACTTGGTTGGTTATTGCGTCGAGTTCAATAATGCAGCCAGGTCGAGCAGTAGACTGTTGGCTCACAATATTAAACACTTCTCCAATAAGTTTCTGTAAATAAAAAACACAAAATGTTAATGGCCAACAAATTATAATCTAATGTCAATATGATACAGCATCTTGGACATTTAAGGCCCCCTCTAAATATTCACTGATTGGCAATGGAATGTAATACATTCAAAGAAATACTTCAACTTTCCATACTCATTCTCATGTTAAGTCTAAAGTTAAGCAGAGAGAAAACTATAATGTTTACAAAAATAGCATATAACTTCAAGGTATCATATCTTCTTCATTTTTGCAACCTTAAAGCCCAAGACAGACATGGCTGAAGATCTGGCCCAATGCCTGAGTGGTCTGCAGATGTGCAATGCCATTTAAAAGTACAACCCTGCCAGACCGAAGGTAAGGGCAAGGGTTGAGAAGAAGTGGGACTCTTGTGCCTTGGGATAAGGATGTATGAACAAACAAATGAAGCCTAACTTTGGAACCCCAAAATCCCAAAACTTTCTGCTAAAAAGAACAGTCCTCCTCACCCATGTTCCAACCAGCTTTCTCTTGCATAAAAACCTTTCAGTAACTTCATCTGAAACGGTTGCCTCAGAAAGAAATGCCCATTCTCCTCAGCACCCACCTTTACCACTTTTCACTACCTCAAAAAGGCCAATAAGAGGGGTTAGAGGCTAGCTTCGCCTAGAGATATAAGTACAAGGTAGGGAGATATAAGTACAAGCATATACACTGGAGTTGTAGAAACTTTCTTATTTGTATCAGTAGGATTCCAGAGAGCATGTAAGAAAATTGATTCTAGGGTTATTAGATCAAAAGAAAAAAATATGTAGTTAGGTAGGGCTGAATTTACTGATATGGGTATGTTCACCCAAGATTCATGATTTAAAGTGTTAGCTCAGACATTTAGAAATGGTGTTAACAGGGCCAGGGTGGTGGCTCACACCTGTAATTCCAGCACTTTGACAGGCCAAGGCAGGTGGATCTCCTGAGGTTAGGAGTTAAGAGACCAGCCTGGCCAACATGGTGAAACCCCGTCTCTACTAAAAATATAAAAATTAGTGGGGAGTGATGGAGGGTGCCTGTAATCTCAGCTATTCAGGAGGCTGAGGCAGGAAAATCACCTGAACCTGGGAGGCGGAGGTTGCAGTGAGCCGAGATTGCACCACTGCACTCCAGCCTGGGTGACAGGGCGAGACTCCGTCCAAAAAGGAAAAAAAAAGAAATGGTGTTAACAGTCTGCTGGGTTTGTTCATTGAAATCTGGACTCAACTGTGGCCTATAGTTGGTGAGGTGAAAACAGTGAAATTTTTGTAGCACACAACAAAGCTTTGCTACTCAAAGTGTAGTCAATGGACCAGCAGTGATGGGAAGCTTTTTATGAATGCATACTTACTCCCTGAAACTAAGACATCTGTATTTTAATGAGACTTCCATAGGATTCATGCGTATATTAAAGTTTAAGAAGGACTGCTGTAGATCACTGGTTCTCAATCTTGGCTGCACACTGAATCACCTGGAGAGCTTTAACAATCAATGATGCTTAGGTCCCACCCACAGAGATTGAGGTGCTTCCAATGTGCAGCCAAGGTTGAGATCCCCTCACAAGAATAGTTATGTATTCCAGCTAAGGATTTGCTTTCCCTGCCCACAACTCTCTGCCAGCACTATAATTAACAGACTTTCTGAACACTACACTACAGAATTCCAGAATTCTACAGAATCTCACTCAACATCACCTCCAACCAAGGAACTCATTTTATAGTGGAAGATACTACTGGAAATTAGAATGAAGTAAAGCATTCGCCCAGGGTGCAAAATTTAAAAGAGTGCTCAAAAATTCAATAATCAAGAAAAATAATATTTTAATGCAATATTTTAAAATCAAAATTAATGTAAACAATCCATAATGAGCAAAATATCAAACATTTAAATATAGAACCCAAGAGTATCTTAATGAGCCACACTGATACCATTAATGTGCATCAAAACTGCACATATGTGTTTTGATGTATATTTTTTTTTAATGGTTAACATTCTTCTTTTCTTTTTTCAGGGTCTTGCTCTATTGGCCTCCAACTCCTGGGCTCAAGTGGTCCTCCTATCTCAGCCTCCCAAGTAACTAGGATTACAGGTGCATGCAACCATGCCTGACAAATTTTTTAATTTTTTTGTAGAGACAGGGTCTCACTATGTTGCTCAGGCTAGTCTCAAACTCTTGGCCTCAAGCAATCCTCCCACCTCAGCCTCCCAAAGCACTGGGATTACAGGCATAAACCACCACACCTGGCTGTAGTTAACATTTTTCCAGAACATCAAAGTAGTTAAAAAATGCTAAAAAATTGAAAAGTAGGTGCATTAAAACTCACATATTACTTTAAGTTTAAATTTATTTATACCAGAAATTGGACTAATTATAGTTTTATTTTTCTGGCTTTAATGGAAACAAACACATTAATAATATTTTCAAAATCTCCTTCTTTGCTTCTCTGGTTTTGACAAAGTCTCTTGTTTTTTTTTTTTTTTTTTTTTTTGAGATGGAGTTTCACTCTTGCTGCCCAGGCTGAAATGCAATGGCATGGTCTTGGCTCATTGCAACCTGCGCCTCCCGAGTTCAAGTGATTCTCCTGTCTTAGCCTCCCGAGTAGCTGGGACTACAGGTGCACGCCACCACACCTGGCTAATTTTTGTATTTTTAGTAGAGACAGGGTTTCACCATGTTGGCCAGGCTGGTCTTGAACTCCTGACCTCACGTGATCCACCTGCCTCGGCCTCCCAAAATGCTAGGATTACAGGGTTCACCGCACCCAGCCCTGAACTACGTTTTAAGGGCATCATTCTAACTCCTATGTTGAGAACAGACTTTGAGAAAGCAGAGCAAAATCATAAAGAAAGCAATACAAATTTTTTCACAATCTAACCTCTAACTTCCTATCCAGTCTCAGCTATTTCCAACAGCCATTCACATTCTATGCTATGGCTGTAATAAACTACTTACAGTTTACTATGCACATTCTTCTACCTCTGTGCATTGTTAGTTGCTGTTATCTCTACCTGAAATATCCTTTTCCTCCTTCACTTTCATGTCTTACCCATTCAGTAAGTCTTATCTCAGATATCTATCTCCACCAGAAATTCTTTCCTAACCATCACAATCTGGATTAAATGTTGCTTCTAACTATAAGAAAAGCCATCTTAACTGACAGCATTGGACAGAGAGAGGACAAATCACTCAGCAAGGTCAGTTAACCCAGAGAATCATTTTTAAAATAATATGTATACTTTAAACATTTTGTTTTATTTTAAACATAAACGTATACAAATAACTGATATTTTGGTGTTGAGTAAGACCCTGGAGTATGGGCTTGCTAATGGGAATTACAGGTCTTTCTTGCGTATGCCACCCCTGTAAGGCCCTGGCTGTATTTTTCAGTTCTTTAAATGGGAATAGGCTGACACGGTGGCTCACACCTCTAATCCCAGCACTTTGGGGGGCCGAGCTGGGTGGATCACCTGAGGTCAAAAGTTTGAGACCAGCCTGGCCAACATGGTGAAACCCTGTATCTACTAAAAATACAAAAATTAGTTGGGCGTGGCAGTGCGCACCTGTAATCCCAGCTATTCAGGAAGCTGAAGCAGGAGTATCGTTTGAACCTGGGAGGCAGAGGTTGCAGTGAGCTGAGATCGCGCCACTGCACTCCAGCCTGGATGACAGAGCAAGATTCAGACTCAAAATAAATAAATAAATAAATACATAAATACATAAATGGGAGTAAAAACATAAAGACACCTACAAAGCAATTCGAGTGCAGTTTTTCTTAAACCATTTCCTCCTGAATCTTTTACAGTTGTTTTGACCATGCCTAATTAGTGATTTTTAGCAAAATTGCTTCCAAAGCACTTATTTTTATAAAAACATTCACGTTTTTTATACTCACATTTCATCAATTTATATAATATTTAATTAAGTTAAGAATGACACTAATATGTACAACTTGACATATACAAGGTTGAAAATAAACACAGCTGGCTCTTGAGTGACAGCCGTAGTTGTAAGAGTTTGGTCTCTAGAGCTAGGCTGCTTGGGTTCAAATCCTGGTCCTACCATTGCTAGCTGACTAAACTGGGACAAGTAATTAAGTTTCTCTATGCTTCAGTGTCCTTACCTCTAAAGTATGGATAGTAATATTACATTTTTCTTAAGGTTACCAGGAAGGTTAAGTGAGTTAATATATATAAAACATTTAGAAGACAGCCTGACATACAATAATCACTAGATAAAAGTTTGCTAGTAGTAGTAGTAGTAGTAGTAGTAGTAGTAGTAGTAGTAGTAGTAGTGGTAGTGGTAGTAGTAGTAGTAGTAGCAGCATTTTTTTCAGGTTAAATAACTTTCCCAGCTGTTATTATTGTTAAGGTTACAAGTCAACTTGTGGAATCAACAAAGCCTGGTATACTATTCCCTATGAGCATCCATCCTATATTTTATAGAAGGAATGGACAGCATCAATGAATCCAATGAGCTGGCTTAAGTGGAGGCCAATTAAATGAATTTCACATCCTGAAATCAGCCTTTTCTTCTAATTTACCACTTATTACATACTATATGTACATATTTATATGACTCTATAGATACAAGATCCTTGAAAGTAGGGACTACTTCTATTCATTTTAACACTCTTAGCACCTGGTACAATATGCACATTTATTCTTCCATGTACTATAAGGTTATGCACAGTGAGTCCTCAATAAAAATTAAAGATTGAGTAAATAAGTTACTGAGTGAAAACAAATTACACTTTAGATCATTCCTACTTTAAAAGCTTGTTTTTACTAATAGCAGCACACACTATACCACCCTATCTTTCATCATGACTTCTCCTTTATTTATTTGTAGAATACCTTAGTAAGTACTCACTAAATACCTGAATGAATGGATCTCACCAATCTAGCATCTCACCAATCTAGATATTCAAAAGCTTATTTTTTAGGCACCAAAACAACTGTATCTTTGATACTTTAAATGGAATAAAAAAAACTTAATCCCTGTCTTCATAAATAGCCTGCTAAACATAAA
Source organism: Homo sapiens (assembly GCF_000001405.40). NCBI lineage: Eukaryota > Metazoa > Chordata > Mammalia > Primates > Hominidae > Homo > Homo sapiens. The sequence continues at coordinate 51,522,200 of NC_000015.10, forward strand.
TCTCTTCTTGATGACTGACAGTCATATTTATGAACATTAACTATTACTAATGCCTTTAGAGATCTAATGACTTCAAGTACTGTCTTTGTAATAATAAATCCCAAATGTGCACTGGTACCTAATGTGGAACATTAGGAGTATCTCCAATCTAAACCAAACTTAGGGGCTGGGCGCAGTGGTGCACGCCTGTAATCCCAGCACTTGGGAGGCCGAGGCGGCTGGCTCACTTGAGGTCAGCAGTTCAAGACCAGCCTGGCCAATATGGTGAAACCCCTAGCTACTAAAAATACAAAAATTAGCTGGGCATGGTGGCAGACGCCTGTAGTCCCAGCTACTCAGGAGGCTGAGGCACAAGAATCACTTGAACCTAGGAGGCAGCGGTTGCAGTGAGCTGATATCATGCCACTGCACTCCAGCCTGGGCTGATAGAGCAAGACTCTGTCTCAAAAAAATAAAAACATAAAATAAATAAATAAACAAACAAGCCAAACTTAGGAATCTAAAACCAAGGTCACCTCACATTCAACATGTCCCAAATTTAACTCATTGTAAATACCTCAAAACTATCTTGCCATAGCTACTGGAACAACTATCACACTTGGAATCCTCTGTTTTCATATCCATATTCAAGCAGCTACTAAGCTCTGCTCTTCTCCTTTCCTAGACTATGAAATCCCACTTTAGATCAGGTTTGTTTTCCCACATGCTTAGTTGGCCTCAACAGACTCCCTGCTATCTCCATGCTTCCAGTACCTACCAATTCTACTCTACCCTGCAAGTTAATCACTTTATTTCCCTTCCTGTGCTTCCTAAATCTACCCCTCTACCTACAGAACAATATTTATAGCTTTCAAGTATCTGTTACAAAATTTTTAAAAAGCTAGCCTTTACTTGTCATCTACTAAAAATCTCATTTAAGGAATAGGAGAGCATGTGACAAATTCTTGCTACATTTTGCCTCACAATTAGTAGAAGAAGTAAGTAGGAGAACTGCTATTGTATTAAGAAAATCAAAACGATGAGCAGAAATAATGGAAATGTGACAGAAAGTAGTCATGTCATCTTAAGAGTTTAAGACTGAAAATAAGAGCAAGACTCTATAGTCTATATTTTAGAAAGGTTAAAAAATCCCAGAATGCCTTATAGCATGGGGGTCTCAAAGTCAAAATGGCTCAAGGAAGTCTGGAGGCTCAAGAGACTTTGAAAGTTCCTGACTATGCAACTACAAATATAACTGATGAGAAAAGAAAGTTGATCAGAGTAGTGGGTTAAATAGTGTCCTCCCAAAATTCATGTCCACCCAGCATCTCGGAATGTAACCTTGTTTGAACGTAGGGTCTTGCAGACATAACTAGTTTAAAAAAAGGTCACACTGGATTACAGTAGGTGCAAAATCTAATGACTTCTGTCCTTACAAAAAAAGGATACGCAGAGACACTCAGATGGACGAAGGCCATGAGAAGACAGTGATGCAGCTACAAGCCAAAGAACACCAAGGACTGCCAGGAGCAATCTAGGAAGAGGCAAGGAAGGATCCTCCCCTTGAATATCAGAAAGAGCATGGCCTTGCCAACACCTTGAATTTGAACTAAATGTATATACACCAAAGAACAGTGCTGAAAACTATGTGAAGCAAAAACTTATAGAAGTAAAAGGAGAAACAGACAAATTCACAATATAGTTGGAGACTGCAATACCTCGCTCTCAAGACTTGATAGAATGATTAGGGAGAAAATCAGTAAAGATACAGAAGAACTCAACAACACCATCAATCAAAACAGGATTAATTAACATTCATAGAACACTCTACCCAATAACAACAAAATACACATTCTTTTAAGTGCTTAGTGAGTGGAACATGTACTAAAATAGACCAGGTCCTGGGCCATGAAACAAACTTCAACAAACTAAAAAGGACTGAAATCATACGGTACATTTTTCTACCATGACGGAATCAAACTAGAAATCAGTAACAGGACGCTTGGAAGCTAAATCTTACACTTCTAAGTAATCGAGGGTCGAAGAGAAATTCTCAAAGGAAATCAAAACATATGAGGAAGTTCTCCTCTAGGTTTGTTAATTTTCTTGATTCCTCAACTTGATAAAGAGTATCTACAAATAACCCAACAGCTGGAGGTAGGAATAGAGGAAGATGGCAGAATAGAGGGCTCCCCCAATCGTCCCCCAAGCAAGAACACCAATTTAACCACTATACGAAAAAAAGCACCTTCATAAGAACCAAAAATCAGGTAAGCATTCACAGTACCCAGTTTTAACTTCATTATCACTGAAAGAAGCACTGAAGAGGTAGGAAACACACACTTGAATCACCAACACCACTCTTCTCCCACACCCTGGCAGCAGCAGCGTGGTGCTGAGAGAGTTTCTGTGCACTGGGGAAAGGAAGAGCAAGCAACTGTGAGCACTGAAGTCAGTGCTGCCTTGTTATATAGCAGAAAGAAAAACCAGACCAAACTCAGCTGACGCTCACCCATGGAGGGAGCCCTACCCAGAGGGGAATCGCTGATCCTATCTGTCTGAGCTTGATTCCCCAAAAGCCTTGCCACCACAAGGCTCAGGTTCTCTGGGGCCTTAAATAAACTTGAAAGGCAATCTAGGCCACAAGGTCTGCAACTCCTAGATGAGTCCTAGGGCTGAACTGGGCCAAAGACAGTGGGCTGGGGAGGCATGCAACCTACTGAGACACCAGGCGGGATGGCTAAAAAAGTGCTGGCATCATCCCTTCCCTAACCCCAGGCTGTACAACTCACGGCTCCAAAGGAGACTCCTTCCTTCTGCTTGAAGAGAGGCGACAGAAGAGTGGGGAGGATTTTGTTTTGCATCTTGGATACCAGCTCAGCTACAGCAGGATAAGACACCAGTCAGAGTCATGAGGCTCCCTTTCCAGGCCCTATTTCCCACACGACATTTGTAGACACACCCTGGGCCAGAAAGGAATCCACTGCCATGAGGGGAAAGACCCCTGGCAGGATTCATCACCTGCTAACTGAAGAGCCTCTGGGCCCTGAATAACCAGCAGCAATATCCAGGTACTGTGCCAGGGGTCTTGGATGAGACCCTGAGACTGGCTGGCTTGAGGTGAGACTCGGCACATTCCCAGCTATGGTAGCTACAGGGCAAGACTCCTGCTAGAGAAAAGGAGGGGCAATGTGCTCGCTTCGACAGCACATATATTAAAATTGGAGAGAAGCAGAGGCAAAAGTAAAGGGAACTTTATCTTGCATCTTAGGTACCAGCTTGGCCACAAGGGAGTAGAGCACCAAGCAGGCTCTTGGAGTCCCCAGTTCTAGGACCTGGCTCTTACAGCATTTCTGGATCTTCTGTGGGCCAGAAGGGAGCCCAATGCCCTGAAATGGTGAGTCTCAGACTAGGCAGCATTTACAACAAGCTAACCAAAGAGCTCCTGATCCTTAAGAAAACATTGGTAGTAGTCTGGAAGTACTCCCTGTAGGCCTGAAGTCCTGGTGGCCACAGGGTGAAGCTCGTCTGCCTTTGGAAAGGAGAGAGAAGGGTAGGAGGGACTGTGTCTTGTGGTTTGAGTACCAGCTCGGCCACAGTACAATAGAACACCAGGTAGATTTCTAAGATTATTGACTCTGCTCCCTACCTCCCAGATGGTACTTCTAGACCAGCCCAGTGTATGAGGGAACTTGTCACCCTAAAGGGAAGGACACAGGCCCGGCTGACTTTGCTACCTGCAGACTGCAGGAGCCCCAGGGCTTTGAGAGAACATAGGTGGTAGCTGGGGAGTGGTTACAGCAGGCTTTGGGCAAGAACCAGTGCTGTGCTGGCTTCAGGTGTGACCCAGCACAGTCCTAGAGGTGATGGCCACAGGGGTGCTTGTGACACTCCACTCCCATCTCTAGATGGCTCAGAAAAGAGAGAGAGAAAGAGAGAGGGAGGGGGAAGGAGAGAGAGGGAGAGAGAGGGGGTGGGAGAGAGAGAGAAAGAAGGGGGGTGGGTGGGGGGAGAGAGAGAGGGAGAGAGAGAATGGGAGTTTGTTAGGAATAAAGTAAAAGAAGAGAACAAGAGTCTCTGCCTGGTAATCCAGAGAATTCTTCCAGATCTTGTCCAAGACCATCAAGGCAGTACCTCGAAGAGTCTGCAAGAACCACAGCATTAATGGGCTTGGGGTCCCCCCAAAGCAGATACAGCTTAGATCACAAAACCCAAGTCCTTCTAAATATCTGGAAAGCCTTCCCAAGGACAGATACAAGTAAGCTCAGACTGTGAAGATTACAACAAATACCTAACTCCTCAATGTCCATGCACCAAAGAACATCTACAACTATCAAGACAATTCAGGAAAACATGACCTCACCAAATCAACCAAATAAGGTACCAGAGACCAATCCTGGAGAAACAGAGATATGTGACCTCCAGACAGAGAATTCAAAATAGCTGTTTTGAGGAAACTCAAAGAAATTCAAGATAACACAGACAACAAATTCAGAATTCTATCAGATAAATTTAACAAGAAATTTAAATAATTAAAAACAATCAAGCAGAAATTCTGGAGCTAAACAATGCAACTAGCATACTGAAAAATGCATCAGAGTCTTTTAATAGCAGAATTGATGAAGCAGAAGAAATAATTTATGAGTTTGAAAACACACAGAGGAGACAAAAGAAAAATGAATAAAAAACAACGAAGCACATCTACAGGATCCAGAAAATAACCTCAAAAGGGCAAATCTAAGAGTCACTGACCTTAAAGAGGAGGTAAAGAAAGAGGTAGGGGTGGAAAGTTTATTCAAAGGGATAGTAACAGGGAAATTCCCAAGACTACAGAAAGACATCAATATCCGAGTACAAGAAGGCTATAGAACGCCAAGCAGACTTAACTCAAAGAAGACTACCTCGAGGCATTTAATAATCAAACTCCCAAAAGTCAAGGATAAAGAAAGGATCCCAACAGCATCAAGAGAAAAGAAACAAATAACATACAGTGGAGCTCCAATACGTCTGGCGGCAGAATTTCAGTGGAAACCTTATAGGCCAGGAGAAAGGCATGACATATTTGAAGTGCTGAAAAGAAAAAAAAATTTACCCTAGAAGAGTGTATCTAGTAAAAATATCCTTCAAACATGAAGGATAACTAAAAACTTTTTCAGACAGACAAAAACTGAGGGATTTCATCAACACCAGACGTGTCATACAAGAAATGTTACAGGAGTTCTTAAATCAGAAAAAAGAGGACATTAATGAGCAATAAGAAGTCATCTGGGCCAGGCGTGGTGGCTCATGCCTGTAATCCTAGCACTTTGGGAGGCCGAGGAGGGCAGATTGCCTGAGTTCAGGAGTTCAAGAACAGCCTGGGCAACACGGTGAAACCCTGTCTCTACTAAAATACAAAAAATTAGCTGGGCGTGGCAGTGTGCGAGTGAGCTACTCGGGAGGCTGAGGCAGGATAATTGCTTGCACCCAGGAGGCAGAGGTTGCAGTGAGCCGAGATGGTGCCACTGCACTCCACCCTGGGTGAAAGAGCGAGATTCTGCCTCCAAAAAAAAAAAAAAGAAGTCATCTGAAGGTACAAAACTCACTGGTAATAGTAAGTACACAGAAAAACACAGAATATTACACTGTAACTGTGGTGTGTAAATTGATCTTAAGTAGAAAGACTAAATGATGAATCAATCAAAAATAATAATTACAACTTTTCAAGATACAGATGGTACAAAAAGATACAAATAGTAACAACAAAAAGTTGTAGCAGGACAAAGTTAAGGAGTAGAGCCTTTATTAGTTTTCTTTTTGCTTGTTTATTTATGCAAACAGTGTTAAGTCATAATTAGCTTAAAATAATGGGTTGTAAGGTAATATTTGCAAGCTTCATGGTAACCTCAAATTAGAAAACATACAGTGAATACACCAAAAATAAAAAGCAAAAAACTAAATCACACCACCAGCAAAAGTCAACTTCACTAAAAGAAACACAGGAAGGAAATAAAGAAGGAAGACCACAAAACAACCAGAAACAAATAACAAAATGGCAGGAGTAAGTCCTTACTTACTAATTACTTGGACTAAATGGACTAAATTCTCCAATCAAAAGACATATAGTGGCTGAATGGGTAAACAAAATTCAATAATCTGTGGCCTGCAAAAAACACACTTCACACATAAAGACACACACAGGCTGAAAATAAAGAGGTGGGAAAAGATATTCCATGCCAATGGAAACCAAAAAAGAGCAGGAATAGCTATACTTATATCAGACAGATATACTGATATCAGTATCATTATTTTCTGATACTATGTATCAGACAAAATAGTTTTCAAGACAAAAACTGTAAGAAGAGACAAAGAAGGTCACTATATAATGCTGAAGGGGTCAATTCAGCAAGAGAATATAACAATTTTAAATGTATATGCACCCAACACTGGGGCACCCAGATATATCAAGCAAATATTAGAGTTACAGAAAGAGATAGACCCCAATAAAATCATAGCTTGAGACTTCGACATCACTCAGAATTGGACATATCTTCTAGACAGAAAATCAACAAAGAAACATCAGACTTAATCTGTACTATCAAAAACAATAGATATTTACAGAACATTTCATCCAACAGCTACAGAATATACATTCTTTTCCTCAGCACATGGATCATTCTCGAGGACAGACCATACGTTAGGTCACAAAACAAGTCTTAAAACATTTTAAGAAATGAAATAATATCAAGCATCTTCTCTGACCACATTGGAATAAAACTAGAAATCAATAACAAGGAATTTTGGAAACTATACGAACATATGGAAATTAAACAATATGCTCCTGAATGACAAGTGAGTCAATGAAGAAATTAAAAAGAAAATTGAAAAATTTCTTGAAACAAATGATAATGAAAACATGACATACCAAAATCTATGGGATACTGCAAAAGCAGTACTAAAAGAGGGAAGTTTATAGCTGTAAGTGCCTACATCAAAAAACAAGGAAGACTTCAAATAAACAACCTAACGATGACTCTTAAAGAACTAGAAAAGCAAGAGCATACCAAACCCAAAATTGGTAAAGGAAAAGAAATAATAAAGATCAGAGCATAAATTAAATTGAAACAAAGAAAATCATACAAAGATTAATAAAACAAAAAGTTAATTTTTTGAAAAGATAAAACAAAATTGACAAGTTTTTTCCCAGACTAAGAAAAAGAAAGAAAAGACCCAAATAAATAAAATCAGAGATGAAAAAAGGGATACTACAACTGATGCCAAAGAAATTGAAAGGATCAACAGTGGCTACTATGATCAACTATATGCCAATAAATTGCAAAATCTACAAGAAATGGACAAATTCTTAGACACATACAACCTATCAAGACTAAACCACAAAAGAAGTCCAAAACCTGAATAGATCAGTAAAACAAGTAACAAGATCAAAGCCATAATAAATAGTCTCTAAGTAAAGAAAAGCCCAGGACCCAATGGTTTTGCTGCTGAATGCTGCCAAACATATAAAAAGGAACGAATACCAATCCCACTAAAATTATTCTGAAAAATAGAGAAGGAAGGAATACTTTCAAACTCATTCTATGAGGCCGTATTACCTTGACACCAAAACCAAACAAAGACACATCAAAAAAAGAACACTACAGGTCAATAACTCTGATGAATATTGATGCAAAAATCCTAAACAAAACACTACCAAGTAAATTCAACAATATGATTAAAATGATTAAAAGATCATTTATCATAACAGGGACACAAGGATGGTTCAACACATACAAATCAATCAATGTGATACATTTCATCAACAGAATGAAGGACAACAGAATGAAGGACAAAAATTTTTTAGCATCAATTAATGCTAAAAAAGCATGATAAAATTCAACAGCCCTTCATGATGAAAACTCTAAAAAAAGTGGGTATAGAAGGAACATACCTTCTATACCCTAGTATCATGCCGAATGGGGAAAAACTGAAAGCCTTTCCTCTAAGATCTAGAACACAATAAGGATGCTCACTTTCACCACTGTTATTCAACGTAGTACGGAAAGTGCCAGCTCAGGCAATCAGACAAAAGAAAGATATAAAAGGCATCCAAATTGGAAAGGAAGAAGTCAAATTATCCTTGTTGGCAGAAAGCATGATCTTACATCTGGAAACACCTAAAGACTCCACCAAAAACCATTAGAATTGATAAATTCAGTAAAGTTCCAGGATATCAATCAACATACAAATACCAGTAGCATTTCTATAGGCCAACAGCAAAAAATCTGAAAAAGAAATTTTGAAAAAGTAATCTCAGCTGGGCACAGTGGCTCACCCCTGTAATCCCAGCACTTTGGGAGGCTGAGGCGAGCAGATCACGAGGTCAGGAGATCGAGACCATCCTGGCTAACACAATGAAACCCCATCTCTACTAAAAAAAAAAAAAAAAAATTAGCCGGGCATGGTGGCACATGCCTGTAGTCCCAGCTACTCTGGAGGCTGAGGCAGAAGAATCACTTGAACCTGGGAGGCAGCGGTTGCAGTGAGCTGAGATCACACCACTGCACTCCAGCCTGGGTGACAGAGACTCCGTCTCAAAAACAAACAAGCAAACAAAAAGTAATCTCATTTACAATAGCCATACATAATATTAAGAACCTAGGAATTCATGAAAGAAGTGAAAGATCTCTATAATGAAAACTGTAAAACACTGATGAAAGAAATTGAAGAGGACAAAAAAAATGGAAAGATATTCCATGCTCATGGATTGGAAGAACTGATATTGTTAAAATGTCCACACTACCCCAAGCAATCTACAGATTCAATGCAATCCCTATAAAAACACCACTGACATTCTTTATAGAAATTTTTTAAAGATTTAAAATTCATATGGAACCACAAAAGACCCAGAATAGCCAAAGCTATCCTAAGCAAAAAGAACAAAACTGGAAAAATCATATTATCTGACTTCAAATAATACTGCAGAGTTACAGTAATCAAAACAGCATGGTACTGGCATAAAAACACACACAGAGAACAATGGAACAGAAAAGAGAACCCAGACACAAATCCACACACCTACAGTGAACTCATTTTTGACAAAGGTGCCAAGAATATACAATGGAGAAAAGACAGTCTCTTCAATAAATGGTGCCAGGAAAACTGGATATCCATATGCAGAAGAATAAAACCAGACCCCTATCATTAACTGCATACAAAAATCAAATCAAAATGGATTAAAGATTTAAATCTAAGACCTCAAACTATGAAACTACTACAAGATAACATTGGGGAAACTTTCCAGGACATTGGTCTCAGCAAACATTTCCTGAGTAATATATGACAAGGACAGGAAACCAAAGCAAAAATGCACAAATGGGATCACATCAAGTTAAAAAGCATAGGATACAATCAGCAAGGTGAAGAGACAACCCACAGAATGAGAGAAAATATCTTCAAACTACTCATCTGAAACGGGATTAATAACCAGAATATATAAGAAGCTCAAACAACTCTACAGGAAAAAATCTAGTAATCTGATCAAAAAATGGGCAAAACATTTGAACAGATATTTCTTAAAAGAAGACATACAAATGGCAAACAGACATATGAAAAGGTGCCCAATATCACAGATCATCAGAGAAATGCAAATCAAAACTACAATAAGATATCATCTCACCCCAGTTAAAATGGCTTATATCCAAAAGACAGGCAATAACAAATGTTGGCATAGATGTGGAGAAAAGGGAACCCTCATATGCTATTGGTGGGAATGTAAATTAGTACAACCATGATAGAGAACAGTATGGAGGTTGCTCACAAAGCTAAAATAGACCTACCATACAATCCAGCAATTCCACTGCTGGGCACATACCCAAAAGAACGAAAATTGGTATACTGAAGAGGTATCTGCACTCCCATGTTTGTTGCAGCTCTGTTCAAAACAACCAAGATTTGGAGGCAACCTAAGTATCCATCAACAGATGAATGGATGAAGAAAAAAAAAATGTGGTACTTACATACGACAGAGTACTACTTGGCCAAAAAAAAAAATGAGATTCCGTCATTTTGCAGCAACAAGGATGGAACTGGAGGTCGTTATTTTAAGTGAAATAAGCCAGGCACAGAAATACAAGCGTTGCATGTCCTCACTTATTTATGGGAGCTAAAAATCAAAACAACTGGACCCATAGAGATAGAGTAGAAGGGTGATTACCAGAGGCTAGGAGGGGTCGTAAGGGATTGGCAGGGAGGTAGGGATGGTTAATGTGTACAAAAAAATAGTTAGAATTAATAAGACCTAGTATTTGATAGCACAACAGGGTGACTATAGTCAATAATTTAATTGCTCATTTAAAAATAACTAGAAGAGTGTAATTAGATCATTTGTAACACAAAGGATAAATGTATGCGGTGATAGATACCCCATTTTCCATTATTTGATTACTAAGAATTGCATGCCTATATCAAAACATTTCATGTACCCCACAAATATATACATCTACTATGTACCCACAAAAATTTTAAAAAAATTTTTTAAACCTGCAACTAACATTATATGTAATGATCAAAGACTGAATGCTTTTCCTCCAAAAATGGGAAGAAGGCAAGAACATCCAATCTCACTTCTTATTCAACATGGAGTTGGAAGTTTTAGTCACTGCAACAAAATAAGAAAAATAAAAGCCATACAGATTAGAAAGGAAGAGATAAAATTGTTCCCATTTATAATGAGATGATTATCTACATGGAAAAGTCCAAGAAATCTACCAAAAACACTCCTACACCTAATATATGCATTCAGCAATGTTACAGGATATAAGATAAACATACAAAATTCAATTGTATTTGTATATTCAATTGTATTTGTATATTCTGGCCATAACTACATGGACACCAACATTAAAAAGACAGCACCCTTTACAGTCAGTAGAATAAATGAAATACTTATGTATAAACCTAACAAAACATTCATAGGACATGCATGCTGAAGACCACAGGAGAGGGAGATTGGGGACACTATTGAAAGTTGTTTACTGTATATATTTAGAGATGGGGGGGTCTCACTATGTTGCCCAGGCTGGTCTTGAACTCATGGGGTCAAGCAATCTTCCCATCTCATTCCCAAAGTGCTTGGATTACAGGTGTGAGTCACCGTGCCTGGCTACATTATATTTTGAGTACTATATTATTATTTGAAGGTAGACTATGAGAGGTTAAAGATGCATATTATAAAACCTTGAGGAACCACCAAAAACAAAACACTGAGTATAATGGAGAACAAATAGAACCATAAGAAAACACAAAATCCCCCAAATCATGGAGAATGACATCAATAGCAAAAAACTAAAAACAGGCAAAAATTCCCATTTTCAAAAAGGAAAAGAACATACTTCTGCAGGGCAGACCAAGGAGCTTAATGTCTACCTAGTACAATGTTTTGGTCACCAAGTGATGTCAAGGTGTGCACATTACACCTATCATATATTAAAACAAATCACCTCATGTAACTTTGACTTTCTTCGTTGACTGCAGAAGATAGAAAGACTGTATTTTATTTCAGCAAAGTATATGGCAAGCTGTCTCACAGAAATCCTTGAAACAAGCTGGAAAACATTCCAAAAAATGAAAATGGAGAAAGATTTCAAATGTATACTGCTAGGCTCTTTCTTCAGACCTGCCTATTTATCATATTAATAACTGACTCAGATGGTGCAGGTATAACACTCTTCAAACAGGCTGGTGACATAGTCATAAAGCAAAAACAAATACATTAAATAACATAATCCAGATTCAAAAAGATACTGAGAGATTGGACTGTTTAGTTGTGCTTAGCAAGATGAAATGTAATAGGAAAAATAGGTCTACATTTGGACCCCAAATCCAAATGTACAAATACAGAATGGAGAAGACAAGGTTTAGCAGAGAGCAGGGAGGGGGAAAGACTTCGGGATATTGACAGTCAGCTCATGATGAGTCAATTACATACGAAGAATGTGGAGTGACTGTCAAAACATAAATGTATCTAATGAGAGAGGTCACAATATTGCTATGTTTTAGTCATCCTACAAGGCTCAGAGTACAGACAAACTGAAAACTGCTCAGAAGAGTAACCAGGGTCAAATGTAAAACAGATAAAGAAACTTGATAGGCACAGGGGGAGCAGATTTGGCCTGAGGTAGTAAGGTTCACAGGTTACAAGAAAGCTGTCTTTTAATATCTTGAGGTACTCTCATACGCAAGAAATATTAGATTTATTCTAAGTAGAACTAGCACTAGCAAGTAGAATGTACACAAAACAAATAGCGTTTCAATATGATTGTGTGAGCTATTCAAGGATAGAATGAGCTGCATTTAGAGTTGAGTCTCCCTCATCGATGGCCAGATGACAAATTGGCAGGAATGAAGCAGAGGGGAATAAAGCATCAGATGGCTGGTGAGACCAGGTGACCTTTAAAATATCTTCCAATTCTAGTTCTATGATTCTATTTTTCTAGACTTTCTCTATGTCAAACCTTAAGCTCCAATCCAAATGGTTTTCTCACTGTTTCTGGAACAAGCTTTACACATGTACTTTCCTGTATCTATACTTACTTCCAGGCAATTTTCTCACTCAGGCAAAGACAAAGAATTTATCTTTCTAAATCTTATCCACTCATCAAGAATGAACCCAAATATTGTCCTTAATAAAGAATTCTATGCCTACCTTAATCTGATCTCTCTCTCTCCTCTGAATAATGAAACACTTCTAGGGCCATCCTTTTGGCAATTAATTACATACCACCCTTAGACTCCTCTTCTTATGTCTTAAACTGCTACTTAACTTTTTATTAATAAGCTCTCTCTTCAGCTAAATTAAAAGCTCCTTAAAGGTAGGTCTGAAACTTATATTTTGTATTCCCTCTACATCTAGGAGAACATAGTAGATGCTCAAAAATAGTCATTGGTTTTCAATACTGGAAACATTTTTATTAGAATAGTTGTTTTTATAGGTAAATGGAAAATCTACTGTTCAACTCTAGATACTAACATATATGACTTCCAGCTCAGATACAGAACTATCAGAATGAGATGCTGCCACCCACTGATAACAAATTCTAACCAGAGAATTTTTTAAAATGGTGAATCAAGCTTGAAAAAGTTCCAATTTTCCAACCTAAACATACAGCTTGGTAAAGATGCCTTAAAACTTCTTTTAAGCAAAGTAAGACTAACAGAACCAAACTAGAGAGTAAAATATGTTACAAACAAATAATATTTTAGAAAAAAATCCTTTTTATTTCTTTTCATGTAAAATGTATTAATGTGTGGTATGTACACTAAAATTTTGATTCATGTACCTTGGAACACAGCTTAGGAAAAAATAAATGTGTCATATATATGTCATATGCAGCCCAGAACATATACTTACTCCCTAAACAGCAACTAACAAACACAGGTCCTAGACAAAGTCAAAAGAGAATTCTTTATCTCCTTAGATAAATTAATAAAGATTATTAAATACTTACTGAAGATTCTGGGTCTGACAATTCATCTAATAATTTCCTTGCATCCACTACAGCTTGATAGAGTCTCAGATTTTTGCCATCAGAAGCAACAAAGCAAGCACTTGCAGAATTGCAGTATGTGCCTGAGAAAGGAAAACAAGGCCTCTGGGTTCTAAACATGTAGTGTATTTTTCTTATTGGCTAAAGGATAAGAAACAAGTATTCACATTTTTTTTAGGCTTAACCATGGTCTAGAATCATAATTAAACAGGCACAATAAGTAGATACAAAATTATTAACAAAAAGTTTAATTAAAAAATGGATTATGAGAGAAAAGGTTAAAAACTTCTGGAAGTTCTAAAAATCAGTCTCATGCCTGTATTCTGAATATTTATTAAAAATCACCTTAATGAAAACTGAATACTTATTAAAAATCTTAATGACAACAAATATAAACCATTTCGTATATAACAAATAATAGTTTAAAAGCTTGTGTTAATTTCACAATTACAATGAACACTTACCTAGACAGTAACTGGGAATGAGAGTTGGAAGCCAAGCCACATTAGAGAACGCTGAGGTATGTAAAGAGTTAATTCGAGCCAATTCTGATACTCCTCCAGTGTATGACAAAGGTCCTATTGGGTCTACACGCCACAGAATAAGTTCACTGTAGATTGCATTTGGGTCATGAAATGTACGAGTTGCTGCATTTCTAAGAGGTTGTTTCGAGGAACCTTTTATATGTTTTACAGGGTCCATTAATCTACTTAATTTATTGTCTGAGTCCCACTGACAATCTAATTCAGGAGTCAATAGAGCATTATGATGAGAGGATGTCAATAACAGTGGTAAAACTGAATGACATGCCAGGTCATTGAGGTGAAATCGATGACCGCAATATCTAAATTTGTGAGATACAGTTAGAACAGTGGTAAAGGCAGACTTATCAGCAAAAGTGACTGCCCACTGATTTAAAGAACCATCTATGTGTTTAGAGATCATCATTACTGTGGGAGCTAAGATGTTCATATGTGTACTGTGGGATCTAGAGTGTGGCTGTGATCCGTGAGGACTGCCTACAGACATCCCCTCCTGGTGTAACAGCGTGTGGTGAGAATCTTTTGTCGCATTTATACAGGCATACATCATGATATTTTTACTAAGAGAGCTTGCATCACCAGAGGGAAATGCAACAGGAATCCGAGAAGAAAAAGAAACCTGAAAAACATAATTATATGATTCAGTGCAAATAGTTTACCTCCTCTCAAAAAAAAGACTTCTATTCTCAAAATACCAAATCTCAGCTTCTTATCAAAAAATGTCATTTTCAACCTCTTTATGGTCCAGTCCCCTTGCTCTATTTAGGTAATACCATATCTCTATTCATGGCCTAAGAGAAGGCTGAAGAAAAAAAGTTCAAGTGCTTTGCTTGTACAACAAAATGACCACAGCCACAGATCTAAATAGCAATAAAGTTGAGAGAGATGACAAAGGCAGCTTCGTTTAGCTCATCAAATTGGCCACAAGGAGGAGCTCATCCTGATTCACATTTTCAGGGTAGTTTCTTAATCTTATTCAAAATATTATTAATTCCCTCAAAAATCAACACATATATTTAAATATTCAGTACTGCATTTCAAGGCCAAATTCATTATCTTCTAACTAATCAAGTTTGCTAAGCTTATGGTCACTGATCCCTTCTGAAAGAAAGAAGTATTCTTTACTCAGATGCTTATCAAAACCAAAATTTTCAGTAATTCTAAAAACATGCTAACTCTACAAAGCATTTATTTCTTTTTACTATTTTAAGAAATGTAATAACTATTTCATCAATAAAATATACCTGAACTTGTCTAAATATTCCAGGATTATATTCATCCAAATACTTCACATGCCACACTAGAAAGGTACCATCTACAGGGTGTATTGTAAAAAGCATATCAGGATTCTTATTCCATTCAGTTAGCAGCGTTTCAATCTTCCGATCAAGCAGAACCGTAGGCAGTGGCATTGGTACACTAAGTCGTGAGTAAGTTCTAGGACTTCCTTCTCTTTCTCCATCTTCATGTTCTGATGATCCTGTACCTGCCTCAGATTCTCTATCCAGGGATAAATCTGAACCAGAAAATATATTTATCAATACAAGCATTAAATAATTCATTTACATACTAGACTATAAATAAATGGCATACTATCTTTAAAAACTAAATCTCTTTTCCAATTTACAGTCAGAAAAAAAAACAAAGGAAACTTTTGTCTGAATTGAATGTTACTACAGTTACTACTTTTAGATAAATTAAAACTTCATTCACCCTATCATTATTACTACCATTTAGCAAAACCTGTTCCCCAGAAAAGGATATGGCTTCCAAAGAACATATAGAGTTAGATGATGTTTGCAGGGGCTAGCAGAGTACCTGATCCAAGGCAGATGGTCAGTAAATACTTGTGTAACAAATAGAAAAGTAAAAAGGAGGAAGAGCGGGAAGGAAGAATTCAAAACTAAAAGTGGTACCACAGAAAGCTGTTAACTTTGGAGTAAGTAAAATCTGAACACAGGATACTAACCATGGTCTAATTTCATATGTAAACCCCGTTCTCTATCCTCCTGTGAATGTTCCTCATCTTCTCTATCTGCATCATCATTTTCATGATCTACCTGCTTATCAGAAAGTTTTCGTAATTGATGCATAAATACTTCTGTAGATGATGTAAAATGAAATTCCTTGTTGTTTAACCAATGAACTACAAAGCCCCCATTTCCATCATCAACATTAAATGCAGTGCCAACCAAGACATTTGGAATATCTGTGGAAATAAAAGAGATTTCAATATAATTTTTTTTATTTCTTTAAAAACATGACAAGTGCTTACAATGACTAATCTATATAAAGAAAAGGTGCTAAACAAGTCAACATAATTTTAGCAGCATTTGTAAAAACTTTAACTGAATTTAATGGTAAATGTAAATCTTAAGAATTAATGATAGACATATGAAATTAAACTATTAACTTAAAAACAAAATACACGAATGCATCAACCTTCAGTGAATTCCAGTTTGGGGACAGGGGATGAAAAATTAAAGCAGAAAAGCAGCTATAAAAGAGATAACTAGAGAAGTTTAAATATGAACTGGATATTAGATATTATGGAATTACTTATCATTTTCTTAGGTATGATGATATTATGATTATGTGAGAGAATTTTAGGAGATACTTGCTAATGTAAGGGTGATACACCATGATAGGTGTAACTTACTTTGAAAAGACTAAGAAAACATTTCGACCATGTGCGGTGACTCATGCCTGTAATCCTAGCATTTTGGGAGGGAGAGGCGGGTGGATTGCCTGAGCTCAGGAGATCGAGACCAGCCTGGGCAACACGGTGAAGCCCCATCTCTACTAAAATACAAAAAATTAGCCCAGTGTGGCGGGGTGTGCCTGTAGTCCCATCTACTTGGGAGGCTTAAGCAGGAGAATTGCTTGAACCCGGGAGGTAGAGGTTGCAATGAGCTGAGATCACTCCACTGCACTCCAGCCTGTGTGACAGAGCAAGACTCCGTTTCCAAAAAAAAAAAGGAAGAAAGAAAGAAAGAGAAAAGAAAACATTTCATACACATACACACAGAGACATTTGCCACATATAAAGCAACTGTGGCAAAATGTTAACAACTGTTGAATCAAAGTGAAGAATATAAAAG
This sequence comes from Homo sapiens, assembly GCF_000001405.40. NCBI lineage: Eukaryota > Metazoa > Chordata > Mammalia > Primates > Hominidae > Homo > Homo sapiens. The sequence goes on from NC_000015.10 coordinate 51,539,345, forward strand.
TATTAACTGTACTATTCTTCCAACTTTTCTCAGTGTTTGAAACTTTACTAAATAGCTGTTGGGAAATAAAATCAAGAAAAAAACACAAGAAGGCAGGCAAAATTCTAAGTATAAGATAATTTCTCCATTTGAGGTAACTGAAATTTATGAAATTGATGAGTTCATGTAAGAGAGTATAAATTGGCCAGGTGTGGTGGCTCATGTCTGTAATCCTAGCACTTCTGAAGGCCAAGGCGGGAGGATCGCTTGAACTTAGGAGTTTGGGACCAGCCTGGGAAACACAGCGAGACACTGACTCTACAAAAACTACAAAAATTAGCCAGGTGTAGTGGCACACACCTGTGGTCCCAGCTACTCAGGAGGCTGAGGTGGTAGGATTGCCTGAGCCGGAGAGGTCAAGGCTGCACTCTAGCCTGGGTGACACAGCAAGACCCTGTCCTCCTCCGCCCAAAAAATGGTATAAATCAAAAACTTAATCTCCTTAATTTCAATCCATATTATAAATAATTCATTCAACAGAAGGAAAAATTGTCCTTTGCAAAAAGAAGTGAAAATCTAAAGATAAAATGCATGGACATTCTGGTAATGTTCTATTACAATAAATATGAATGTTAAATGCTCTAATTTGTTCTTTCTTTCCAGTTCCTGGATGACTATTCTGGTTTTGTGATAAAAATGAAATAAATCATATAAAATAGGATTTGTGAATTAGCAATCCTATAAAACACTACATCACCTATGTGCCTATGTAGTAATCTTGCTCAGAATGTTAAACCTAAATCTTATTAACAAATATTCAGACTGTGAGACATTTTGAAAGAAAACTGAGAGACAACTTTTTGAGACTAACAGATTTTTTTTTGACAATTGAGAAAGGGACTGTTCTAGATTGGAGGAATTTAAAGAAAATAATCTGCATTTAAGAAAGGAATCTATATTTGTATATGAATGGTATATTACATGATATTATTTTATCTATGTTCCTCACATGCAATAACAGTATTACAGCTATGGAGGCAAATTCCCTTTTTACTAAAAGATACATTCTTAAATATTTAGGTAATGGAAAATATTTAGGATAATTAGGGTATATTTAGGGTATTGTAATCAACAACTTTACTTTCAAATGGTTCCGTCAAAAATAAGGGAAGAGGCAGCAAAGACATATCTATACAGGCAGAGGAGGAGAACAAAAGAATAAATGACAAGATGTTAATATGTGGTAAATCTCGGTAAGTGGTATATGGATATTTGCTGTACTATTCTTTCAACTTTCTTGTAGTTTCAAAAAATTTTTTGAAAAAAAAGTGAAGAGGACAAGTCCTAACAATATAAAATTATTTGCATTTAGTAATCTATTTGGTCAACCTAAATGTTATATTTACATGCAGTAACTAAAAATGCATGATGTTAAACATTTTTAACAAAATTGTTTTTAAAATAATATGTAGGTAAGTTAGGATGAGCATGGATAAAATTAGTGAAGGTTAGTAAAGAAGATGGGGAAGACCAAGGCCCAATGGCTACAAGAACATATCCAGTCCTTAGGCTCAAATGATGTGACAGAATGCTCATCCTCTGTGATCCTATTCCATCTAATTAGGATAGTGTACACAGTTAAAAAGCCAAGGTTTCTAATATGTATTGAATTTAGTGCAGACTATCACGAATTGCATTTTGTTTTGAAGTTGAATTTTTATCACAGTAATTCAAGAAACGGTTCTTTTAAAAAGGTTAAAAATTCATAAAAATCTAAAACCACATTTTGAAAACAAATTATAAAGACATTCTTAGAATACAATTAAGATATTAGATAAGAAAGGATAATATAAGCAAAACAACATTTAATCAGATGGCAAAGCACTGCCCAACAGAAATATAATGCAGACCAAAAATGCAAGACATGTTAAGTAATTTTAGATATTTCAATAGCCACGTTACAAAAGGTAAAATGAAACAGGTAATAGTAATTTTAATAATATACTTTATTTGACTCAACATATATAAAATAGTATTTCAACAAGTAATCAATATGAAATAAAATTATTTATGAAATATTTTTCATTATTTTTTATACTAAGTCTTAGAAATTCAGTGTGTATTTTACAGCATATCTCAATTTGGACCAGCCACATTTCAAGTGCTCAAATAGCTAATACGGGGCCAGTGGCTACTCTATAAAACAGCACATATCTAGAGTTACCACTGCAGATCACCCTTTTAGAATTCTATTTACTAAATACTGTATTTACATACAGAAACATTTAAAAATAAAAGCCCCTTCACTCTGAAGCAACAGACCTCCAGTTCAATAACATACAACTATAACTTTATATAAAACTTTATATAGTTCTATGAGCAATGTAATATAAAATTTATAGCCTTTCTCCTACATTTCCATGTAGAAGGAAAACATATTGCCTTTAAATAGAAGCTCTCAAATATGCATTTGCCAACACAGAACCTGCCTCAAAATACTTCTCAGTCACATAGGGGAAAAAGGGAAAAGAAAATATTCAGGTTAGAAGGAAAAGTGTTTTCCTTAGTATAGGACAAGAAAGTCTACAAGGGTAGAAAACAAGATATGCTGAGATATAAGGAAAACTTTGTAAAAATATATTTAGAGGAGGTTATAAAGAAGAGTTGGGAAGATTTAAACTGTGAAGTGAGAGAAATTACACTAATTTACCAGGCTGCCACCACTTGTGATACCAGGTTCAATCACAGCTCTAATTTACTAGGAATGCTTGTTATAGTCTAGACAAAGATGCTCAGAAATAGTTACTGAAGTTAATACCCTGAGAATCACATAGTCCCAATCACATAGGCCCAATTCAAAAAATGGTACTTTATATTATATCTCTACTCCAATTAAGTATTTTAAAGGCAACATGAAATAATAAAAAACAGGTTATGAAAGTAGTTCCACTTTTCTATTTATTTACCTGACTTCAACATATTTATGGGAAATAAAACTTTATCCTTTACCTGTGGCAGGGTTGATGCTTGCTGCAATATGAAAATGACAGAGTGCATTTGCATGGTGGGAAATGTGTCTTTGAACTTCATGCATTGCTGTCTGGTCGGGCATTAATTCAGCATGAGTTACAAGAACAGATGACCTCCTCTGTCCTTTCCTTAAATTTTTCAAATGGTGTATTGTCTAAAATAGAAAAATAGTTGCTGAGTCCAACTCTGGAACCTCTAATAAATGCCAACCAAAGTACTCTTAATTATTAAGAGGTTTAAGATTTTTTTCTCCATAAAAACCTGATCATTTTAAAGGAAACTTTTTAAATTACAGTAGAACTATTTTGGATGTATTCTCTACAGTTCTTGTAAACTTTTAGTTCAAGGCAAAAAGCAGTGTGCAAAAATACTTATTCATGGTATCTATAAAACATGAATAAAGATTCCCGTTAATATTAGGAGGTCCAAAGATTTTTTTTTCAGGATATCCTAGTACTGAGACAGAATTTTCTAGTCATAAGAGTAAAAAAAAAAAATTCCTGAGTCTTCCTACCAGGAAGAATATTGCCTCCCCAATACTGCCTCTCACTTAGAATTAAACAGCCAGCTAAACAATCAAATTCATGATATCTATTACAAAGAACAAAACAGGGTATGAAAATACAGAATAACAAGGGGAACCTACTTAGATAGGAGTAGACAAGGAAAGACCTCATTAAAATGTTGATCTTTAATTTGTTTAAATTGTTTTAAACAATTTGCAATTTGGATATGTTTAAATAGAGATAAATCTATATGATTAAAATTCTTCATTAGCATGCGTGATCATGTGGACTATTTTAGTCATGGGGCCATGTCATTCTTGGCATTATCTTTTTTCTCCATATCACGGCCCCACCTCACAGTAATTCCTTATTCTGTAACTTAACCCACTCCGAAGACCATGTTTCATAATAATTTTTTATTACTTTCCTTTGTTCCCCACATTCAATTAAATAAAGTATAAAATGTTATCAATTCTTTCTTCATTAAAGTAACATAACTGGCACATCCTCTCAATTTCTACAGCCCTTCTCATTTTGCATATGGAAAACAGTATCAGGTCAATGGTGTGTCCCCCACCTCTGGTCTCCCACTACGGGGTTGCTCATTGCTTTGATAATAGGGTTAAGATTGACATTAGAGAACCCCTGGTCAAAACTGCCTATCAAATTATTTTCACTGGATCTTTGACATTAACCATCATTTTAAATTAGACTGACAAGACTGATCTAATACTGGCTATTTTCTCCTAGAAACAAAACATATAACTTAAGAATATATACAATTATATAGAACTAACAGTAAGGAGTTCCATAGGAAAGGATAGGATGTCAGAAAGCCAAGTGGCTCGTAAGTCAGACAATTACGTTTTTTCTTTTAAAAACTATCTTAACATATTAATTAATAATATTAATAAAAGACAGTAAAAACTTGTCAAATCACTGGTTACATATTTACTTATATTTCTGTTCTATTTTACATGGCAATAATTCAATTTAACAAACACTTGAAAAGCAATATATCAGGTACCATGGAGGATACAAAGATGTCTAAAAGCCCTTAGTTTCCAAAGGCTCATATATAATTTGAAGATAAAACACGTTACATAAGTATAAGTAAGTGATCACAAATATCTACTTAAAAATTAAGTACTTTGTCCTACTAAATATCAATATCAAAATAAAAGATAACTTTAACTGTTTTGACATCTGCTTTTAATTTCACTTACATTTTAAATATTGAAAAAAATGTAAAAATAGCGCCCAATCACAGACAGTGATATAGTTTAGATACTTGACCCTGCCTAAATCTCATGTTGAATTGTAATCCCCAATGTTGGAGGTAGAGCCTGGTGGGAGCTGTTTGGGTCATGAGGCGGATCCCGCATGGCTTGGTGTTGGTATTGCCTTTGCAATAGCGAGTGAGTTCTCATAAGATTTGGTCATTTAAAAATGTGTGGCACCTCCCCGCAACTCTCTCTTGTTCCTGCTTCCACCATGTGATGTGCCGGCTCCTGCTTCACCTTCTGCCATGGGTAAAAGATCCCTGTGGCCTCCCTAGAAGCCAACCAGATTCTGGTGCCATGCTTCCTATAGGACCATGAGCCAATTAAACCTCTTTTCATTATAAATCACCCAGTTTCAGACGTTTCTTCATAGCAGTGCAAGAATGGCCCAATACAGACAATACCTGAGGAGGCCTACTTCACATAAAACTTTTAAGGACCACATCCTTAACTTGTCAAAGTTGTATAATATTTCTGCTTGGTAAAATGGCAAAGCCACTTTGACTATGCAACCTTTAAACTGTCAATGTAAATATATAATGTAAAAGTATAGTCAATAATGTAGACTGTAAACAAATTAAGTATAAAAAACTTATAAAGTATTACTGCATAATATGATCTCAATCGTATAAAGAAAAATACACATATTCACAGGACTAGAATAGTTGAATTATAAATTCCGTATTTCTTCTCCTTTTCTTAATCCAATTCTAGAATAAGCATACAGTATTTGAATAATAAAAAACAGCCACAAGAAAAATAGTAATCTAAGTTTACTATAATAAATTTCTGACAATTCAAAATAATGCATATATCTCATTGTATTACCTAATCATATGGGACACAATCATTTGTGCTATGTGTTATAACGTAATTTCTTATAAAGCACTTTTATTTCATACTGTATTTAAAAATTATAAAAATTATTTCATTTTCAAAATCTTCAATCATGGAAACTCCAAAGCAGTTCATTTGTGTCTAATATCTTAATAAACATCTTTATTCTTAAGGAACAAAATAGTCATTTTTAACTAGAACAATAAGATTTTAATCTTTATGAAACAAAAGCAAAATATTTTTAATTACAACTAATTTCAAGGATCTTTACATATTTTACTAATACTTAGTCCCATAGATTTTCACATGTGACATGCAAAACAAAAGAATTAAAATAATATTATCTAGAACTTGAGCATAAAATATCAATTTTTAAAAAACTTTTAATAATATTTACCTATAAAACATGTCTGAGATCATTAATTTCTGCATTTGGCTTCTTAGTGGAATAAATGAGTAGTCTTACAAGCATAAATGAGAGTTTATTGCTATTAATTTCACTCATTACATGTACCATGTGTGCCATCTGCATGTTAGTTCATGAATTTCCACCAGGCTCACATTATCTTCAAAATTCATTTACCATTTTAAATAATATAATACCTCAAGAGCATGCTGTATTCTGTCTTTGTGTCTTCCAGCATGAGAAAGGCTGCTGGCAATGCTGGAAGTGGTAGTCTCACAAATCTGCTCACCCAAAAGACAGTCTTCTGGTAATAAAGTTTCTGCCCAGAGCCGGCACACACCATCATGACATGAAGTTAACAACACATTACAGACAGAACCCCTAACAACAAAGAGAAATAAATAAAGGTTAATGTGAATATCAATCCCATTAACTAATTAATATTTTGGTTCTTCATGCATAAAGATAACATTAGTGCAAAACACTATGGAAAAAAGGAATCAATCAAAGAGCTTGAAATCATATATAGCATCACTGTGAACATCATAAGAACCGGGAAATTGTTTTGAAAAAAGAAACAGAAATTACTGCCAGATTATACATTCAGGCTCTAGAGGATTATTAGTATCTCCTAAACAAAACATACAAACTAAACAGCAAAAGAAAACCTAATCATTGCAAATTAGAGAATGACCATAATAAAAGATCATTAAATGTAATTAAACTATCTGGCTTATGGCAGTAGTTTCATCACTTTACATCCTCCTTCCTATAACCCAAACAGTTACAAACAAATAATTATCTTCATCATAAAACTGTAAGGAGAATATAATTTCAAACTATAAATCCATTTCCATTAAGTTAAAATAAGCAAAAACGGCATGGCATGGAGCAGCTAAAGTAACTTACCTGTTTGTTACAAAGGAACAAAAAAATCATTCTCCCTTTAAAAAAATGCTCACACAGAATCTAAGTCAAAAGTATTCTGCAAATAGATGCAGATGACTTAAGCAGAATATATTTAGATTCAAAAAGTATATAAATTTCCCACATTATCATTTACTGAGCATCTCTACAATGTGTGCTATATTTCCTATCAGGCATAAACAATCCTCAGATATATTTAGTAGGTAAAATAACCCTCCCTCAAGAACAAACTAGATTTCTAAGCAAGCTTCTGAGTGCCCAACAGCTTTCTTAGACCTGTATATAATAAAGGAATCATTTGTATAAGCTTTTTTGCAGTTTATTTAATCTTCTAAATACCTTTAAGAGGTGCCACAATGATGAGGAAAAAATGTATAATAAAAAATCCTTTGAGAAGCTTCTGTTGACAGCTCTCAGATTTAAAAAAACAACAACAAAAAAAACACAACCTGGCCACTTTTTTCAGAGTACATTATATGCTTTAACACCATATACATAATTGACATAATACTGATCTATTTCCCTTCAATGTGTGCTTTCCTGTTATTTGCAAACATTTTCTTGCTAGGATCTGCTAGTACCACAGCTACTACCAACAATTTCATTGGCTGGACACAAAGTATGTGCAAAGGCCTGTACTAAGCACTTCCCACCCACAAACTACATTTTAGTTTCACAGTAACTCTCTGAGGTAGGTACTATTACTACCCTCACTCTACAGAGAAAAACTGAGGCATAGACAGCTTAAGAAATTTAGTCAAAAACTCATGAAGCTAATAGTAGGATTTGATTTCAGGCAGCTTGATGCCAGAGCCTATGCTATTAATTGCCACCATGTAAATAAAAGGACTTTATTTTCATTATTTTTATAAACATTTAAGGATGCAAACTAAAGCTACATGATTCATTCATCTAACCTGGGCATATACTTGCTAGTTTTGCGCCACGAAAAACCTGTCACAGCTCGGGGATGTGCCAAGTAAACAAAAGAAAATTGAGTAGAGGACTGTCTCCTTTTTACTTCATGATGATCCTGAGGTATAATTGAAGACTTCCAACCAGTCATAGGATACCACACTTTCAAAAGACAATCATCCTGAAAAATACATAGGTCAATATAAAATTAATTTGTACATACACAATTCAAAATTTAAGTGGTTTGAAGAAGTTTTAAAAATTAAGTTACATCTAAAAACTAATATGTGACTTATACATAATACAAAACTTATCTCAAAATTACATTACTTTAAAGAAAACTATTCTTGAAAAATAAATGAACAGTCTATTCATTATCAATCTTTTCTGTGTGATATTGTTTTTCAAATGCAGACTGATGCCAAATTCTCCCATTTAGACATAAATTGGTCAGTACAGAAAAAAGATTCTGATGCTAGCCCCTTGAATAAGTTAGTTAAGAAAGAATTAGAAAGATCCATGCTATCTTTTCAGTCATTGTTATCCTTTCCTTTTTGAAGTGGTCTTTAACAGTGAAGCCCTTCACCCTTCACCTCACGAACATGAATTGTTTCTTGCTCTATATCAAGAGTCAGCAAATTTTTCTGCAAAGGGCCAGATGGTAAATAAGTTAGGCTTTGTGGGCTACACAGGTCTATGACACAGATTCTTCTTTTTTTCTTACATCCCTTTAAAAAGGTAAAAAACATTCTTAGCTCTTGGGCCACAGTTCTCCGATCCCTACTCTAAGTGATGATAAAGAATGCATGGAGGTAGCTGTCAGGAACCACCTCAATGCCCACTTAAAATATTTACAAGTATAACAATAGGCACTGACTTAATCATTTTACTTAGTCCTAACAATTTAGTTAAAGGCTAAACAACTGTATTTTAACAGAAACTATCTTTTATAGTGCTTTATAACCAATAATAAAAACTGCATTAAAGGGAAATAATAAATGTTATCGCTTATGCAAAAATATAACCTCTGAGGAATTCTGCAATTATGTATTCCTGAAAAGTATGCATTGACCCAAATATTTTCATTTGGACTAGACAAACAATTCTGTTTTTTTCATCTTGGTACTCATTCTCAATTTGTGCTGCATAATGAAACAAAAATTTCCATTAATGTCTCTTTTTTTGGATATTTTAATTATACAGCAAATCTTTTAAGTGTTTGCCCTTAGACAGCCACTTAACAATGTACTAGTTGCTTTCCTCCAAGTATCTTCTTCAGCATAGCATCATTTTCACATAATCAAATTTACAGCACATTCTATGCAGTGGTTTCAGACTACGTAACAAAGAAATTCTACAGGTACCCGAGAGCCCCTCAAAAGTCACAATGGAAATACAAAGAGCCCCAGGAGCAGGTGATACTCTAGCCCTTCTCCCATTCCCACCAATCTCCCCCTCAAATGAAGCAGTCCCTATTTCATCTGTTATTGTCTAAAACTGTAAAACCACAACAAAATTAAGTAACTAGTAACAGAAAGTTATCTAGAAAATTCCCAAATATTTGAAAACTAAAAACTTCTAAATTACAGGGGAAATTTTAAAATATGTTGAAAATATGAATGAAAATGAAAGTACAACATATCAAAAGGGGGAGTTGCAGTTACCTGAGTGCATGAGGGAAATTCCTAGCTTTTTTTTTTAAGTTCACTTTTGTTTAGTGTTTTTGTGTTATTTATTTATTTAATCTCCATAGGTTTTGGGGGAACAGGTAGTGTTTGGTTACATGAATAAGTTCTTCAGTGGTGATTTGTGGGATTTTGGTGCACCCATCGCCCAAGCAGTATACACTGTACCCAATTTGTAGTCTTTTATCCCTCACTCTCCTCCCACCCTTCCTCCCTAGTCCCCAAAGTCCATTGTATCATTCTTATGCCTCTGCATCTTCATAGCTTAGCTCCCACTTATGAGTGAGAACATACGATGTTTGGTTTTCCATTCCTGAGTTACTTCACTTAGAATAATGGTCTCCAATTCCATCCAGGTTGCTGCGAATGTCATTTCATTCCTTTTTATGGCTGAATAGCATTCCATGGTGTGTATATATATATACCACAATTTCTTTATCCACTCATTGACTGATGGGCATTTGGGCTGGTTCTATATTTTTGCAACTGCAAATTGTGCTGCTATAAACATGCATGTGCAAGTATCTTTTTCATATAATGACTTCTTTTTCTCTGGATAGATACCCAGAAGTGGATAGCTGGATCAAATGGTAGTTCTACTGTTGTTCTTTAAGGAATTTCCAGAGTTTTCCATAGTGGTTGTACTAGTTTACATTCCCAACATCAGTGTAAAAGTGTTCCCTTTATACCACATCCCCACCAACATCTATTATTTTTTGGTTTTTTGATTATGGCCATTCTTGCAGGAGTAAGGTGGTATCGCATTGTGGTTTTGGTTTGCATTTCCCTGATCATTAGTGACGTTGAGCATTTTTTCATATGCTTGTCAGCCATTTGTATATCCTCCTTGGAGAATTGTCTATTGATGTCCTCAGTCCATTTTTTGATGGGATTGTTTGGTTTTTTCTTGCTAATTTGTTTGAGTTCCTTATAGATTCTGGATATTAGTCCTTTGTCAGATGTATAGATCATGAAGATTTTCTCCCACTCTGTGGACTGTCTGTTTACTCTGCTGACTGTTTCATTTACTGTGCAGAAACTCCAGGAAAGGACATGACAAAAAAAGGAAACCACAGACCAATATCCCTGATGAATATAGATGCAAAAATCCATAACAAAATACTAGCTAACTGAATCCAACAGCATATCAAAAAGATTGTCTACCATGATCAAGTAAGTTTCATACTAGAGTTGTAGGGATGGTTTAATATTCACAAGTCAATACATATGATACACCATATAAACAGAATTAAAAACAAAATCAAATGATCATCTCAACAGATGCAGAAAAAGCACTTGACAAAATCCAGCATCCCTTTATAATTAAAACCCTCAGCAAAATCAGCATAGAAGGGACAACCCTTCCCCTCAAGAAATCTTCTCATCCTAGCCCTTGCAAAACCCAGTTTTTCACTCAAAGGCATAATCTTCTCTCAAAGAAAATGCTGCCTTTTTAATTATAAATTGACAACTTATAATTGTATACATTTACATAGTATGAAGTGATGTTATAATTCACGAATATAACATGATAATTACATCAAGCTAGGTAACATATCCATCACCTCAAATACTTAATGTTTTTTATGGTGAGAAGACTTGAAATTTACTCTTAGCAATTTTAAAATATACACTATTCTATCACTAACTATATTCACCATGCTGCATGAGAACTCAAAAAAAGAAAAGATAAATTCCATTTTTTGAAGAAAACAGGATACTTTAAATTACTTGCAAATTTTACAAAATAACCAAGTGTTATTTTTTAAAATGTTCCAATACAAACTTTATGAACATAAACGAATAGAATTTCAGCAAACATCTCCTAGTAAGCGAACCAGAGAAAACCAATTCTTAAACTAAAGATTTAATCAGGTATGTCACGTTGGGTAGAAAAGGCTCTTTAGTAAGTAAGGCTTTATTTTAAGTTCAGATAGAAATTTAAAATACTCTTAAGCCTAAGAAAAATTTAATTTACCACATTTATAAAAAATAGATCTTACCAGCCAAAGTGCTCAATGGACCGTAATATTAAAAATCCTGGAAGTAATTGAATTTGAGTCTCACAACACCTGAAATAAAACCCTGTCATGTGTAGCAGAGGCGGTGGAAAATGCCTTCTAGTGGGAGATCCACAGTGACCATCTGTTTTATCAATTCAAATTTGGCTTTATTAACAGAAGCAGAACAGATTGTACCAAAAAAAAAAAAACTGCCCAACATTCCAAAGTTACTTTCTGTTCTTTTTATCAGGATAATCTTAATCAGATGTGGTATATTCTCAAAAATGTGAGAAAATAGCTTTTTCAATCCAAGACACATTTGCTTAACCTCCATAGGATCCTTACCAGAAAAGCATTATCTTTCCATAAGAATTATGAAACACTTAACTCTTAGGATAACTGGATATAAGCAGCTTAGGGAGACGTGACTAACACAATGAAAATAATACTCAATAATCTAGAAAATAAAATTTTTGTGGAAATTTTAACAGTTCATATGTCTCTTTCAGGGAAGGGTAGGCATCCTGTAGTTTGTATCAAGCTACTATTCTTAATTCAATCTAATTACATATATTTTACTATGTTTCATAAGAACCAATTATTATACATTTGATTATGTCCAGATACAGATTTATTAAAGAGCCACATTTCACTCTAAGCAAACTCAAGGGCTTTCCAACCATTCTCAGGCTTAAAAACAAAATCAGTCCTCAACGTACTAATAGATAATGATGATGTGCCATTAACTGCCTGTACAACTATGGAACATTTACAAGATTTACTCAAACAACAAGTATTTATTGAAAGAAGCCACTATGTGAATGGCTGGGGATATAGCTGAGGCAGAGGAAGAGACAGAAATAATAAAATACATTTCCTAATCCCACAGAGCTTATTCTTTAGAAAGGAAGGCAACATTAAGTAAGGATATAAATTATTGTTTTAATTACAATTGTGATAAGCACTATAAGAAAGAAGCAGAGGGCACCAGGAAAGTATTTAATAAGGAGACTTGACCTTGCCTGGGAGATCAGAGGATTTCTTAAGCAAGTGGTATTTAAACTGAGAGTTGAAGGATACATAAAAGACGACCAGGTAAAGAATAAGGAAGTCTGGGTATTGTAGGTATTCCCTAGACAGAGGGAACAGCACATAAAAAGACGTGGAAGCAGGAAAGAGCTTGGCATATTCAAGGCCTTGAAAGGACATCAGTGTCGTAGGCATTAAGGTGGGAATGAAGCTGGAGAGGCACGGAAGGGCCAGATCATACAGCAGAGCCTCACAGGCCATGGTAAAGATCATAATCTTCATTTTAGGAGCAATAGGAGTCATTAAAAGGTGGTGAAAAGGAGAACGGCATGTTCAGGTGGCTGGCTCCTGTGGGCAGACCAATCAGAGGATGTTTGCAGGACATCACTTAAGAGACTACTGTAAAGGTCTGCAGCCCCGAAGATGCTGACACAGGTAGTGGCAGTGGAGGGCAGAGACATGGACTTCAAAAACCTTAGCTGCTTCTGTGATCACTAAGATCATTAAAACTTTATGATTCCACAAAAGTTTCTTTGCTTTAATTTACGCACAGTTAGGCCTGTACTATCTACAGATGTTTAACTGTTCTCCCATGTGTTCTAGGTCTTTTGACAAAATTAACTGACATTCCCTCCTTGAACCTTTTTTCTTGGCTTCTCTAATGTCACATTCTCCTGGTTTTCGTTTTATTTCAGTGGTTACTCCTTCCCAGCATCCTTTGTAGGTATCTCCCCTCTCTCTATCATTTCTTAATGTTTGAGGATCCTGGGATTTGATCCTGAGTCCCATTCTCTTCTCTAATACACACGTTCTCCCTAGTTAATTTCATCCAGACCCATAACTTTAAACACCGCCTTTGGCTAAAGAATTCAAATTGCCAGAGAACTCCTGACTGTCTTATCCTATCTGATATGTTAACTCAGATGCATCTCAAACTTTGGTCTAACCACTACACTCCAGCTTTCTGTTGCTCTTTAACAAGCCCTGCTAATTCCTATTTCAGAGCATTTGCACTTGGTGTTTGTTCCCTTGGCCAAAAACACTCTTTCCCCTGAACTTCACAGTTGTCTCCTTCGTAGTATTCAATTCTCAGTTTAAAGGTTATCTCCTCAGCAAAGCTTTCTCTATAGATCACTCACTCTAACAGACACCCAATCACACTACTATATCATCCTGTCTTAATTTTCTGGACAGCACTTGTTAATACTTGATATTTTTTTCTGTCTTTCCTCACCAGAAATTAAGTCCTATAAGAACAAAAGCCTTGTCTATCATCTTCATCATAAGACTGCCAGCACACACAACAGTTCAGGGTATATGGTGGTGTTCAAAAGAATATCTGCTAAACATGTGAATGAAGGTTGTTAATTTCAGATATAATTTCAAATCAACTTTTTGTCCAAAATGCACTATCAATTTTACGTATATAAAGTCTATTATGATATGAATACAACTATAAAAGATTCTCATGTGTCTCACAAGTGCAGATTGCTAGAATTCTAAAATGCATTTTCTTTGCCCCGTTATATGATAAAAAAAAATCAAACAATATATATGTTAAAGTACAGTTGACCCTTCAATAACATGGGTTTGAACTGCACAGGTCCACTTACACGTGAATTTTCTTCTGCCTCTGCCACCCAAGACAGCAAGACCAACCCCTCCTCTTCTTCCTCCTCTCTCACCTACTAAATGTGAAAATGATGAGGATGAAGACCTTATGACCATCTACATCCACTTAATGAACGGTTAATTTATTTTCTCTTCCTTAAGGTTTTCTTAGTAACATTTTTCTTCTCTTCCTTAAAAGAGTATAGCACATATTGGATGCCACATGCAGGGTTTAAAAAAAAAAAAAGAGTAGAGTATACAATACCTATAACATACAAAATGTGTTAATTTATTGTTTATTTTATTGGAAAAGCTTCCAGTCAATAGTAGACTATTAGTAATTAAGTTTCTGGAGACTCAAAAGTTAGACAGGGATTTTTGACTGTGCAGGGGGTTGGATCACCTAACTGCCATGTTGTTCAAGGGTTAACTGTACATGAGTCAAGGAAAACTTAAGTGTATACAATACCTATCCATGATCATAGTGCCATTAACGATATTTAAAAGGAGGCAATAGGAAAACATGCTCCAAATGATGCACAGTGTGTACAATATCCAAGCTGACATCAGCAATGATTAACTGGGAATATCATAAAGCTGGATTCCAGTATGACTCTCCAGCAGCTCTCTGACATGCTGAACTGGTCCTATATTAAATCATCCATAGGTTCACCTATTATGGATTTGTTAAGTCAAAGGAATGACTGGCTTTATTAATCACTTATTAACGTGGTAATCCTAAGAAATATGAGTAACAAAAAAAAGACAAATCTGTGAGTTTTTTCAGTCAAATTTTAGGAGTAATGGGGTATTTGTTTTTAAAGATCCAAAGTTTTAAAGGTGACTGCCTGTTTTAGAGATCAAGACATGAATTACGTAAAATAAAATTAAAAAGGAAAAAAAGACATGAATTATATTATTTCTCAAACTGTTTTTCCAGTGATTCTGACAAGTGTACCCTTCATGAGATACCCACGCTTCTCAAGACATTACAGAAAATTCTTCACGTGTCTCTACATTTCTATCCAGAAATACTGTTTTATTATTTGTAGATTATTGAACTGGCTTATCAAAATTTCAGTGTTTTATTTTTAAAATCTAGTTTAAAAACAATGAGGCAAATTAGATGGAGTGGAGTGTGCAGGGGTGAGAGTTAGCAGAAGATGAGGTTGAAGCAGTGACGAGAGTCCTGGTAAGCATGGAGCATGCTAAACCATCACGAAGACTTGGTCTTTTGGTAAATGAAATGGAAAAGCTTTTGACGGTTTTGTACAAAAGAAGAGTGACAAGATCTGACAACATTTTAAAAAGATCACTCCAGGCCAGGAACAGTGGCTCACACCCATAATCCCAGCACTTTGGGAGACCAAGGTGGGCAGATCACTTGAGGCCAGGAGTTCGAGACCAGCCTGGCCATCATGACGAAACTCCGTCTCTACTAAAAATACAAAAATTAGCCAGGTGTGGTGGCACACGCTTGTAATCCCAGTCACTTGGGAGGCTGAGGCACAAGAATTGCTTGAACCCAGGAGGCAGAGGTTGCAGTGAGCCAAGATTGCGCCACAGCACTCCAGCCTAGGCGACAGTGAGAGACTCTGTCTCAAAAAAACAATTTTTTAAATCACTCCACCTGCTGGTTTGAACATAGATTGTACAGAAGTGCAGCAAAAATTGGGAAACCAATTAAAAATTTAATACAATAATACAAGTGATAAATAATGGTGGCTTCAACCAGATTATAAGAGTGGAGGTGGTAAAGAAGTAAGCAGATTGTGGATATATTCTAAAGGTGAGCCATCAGGGAGTAGATTGAGGGGTTAGGGAAGTAGAGATCAGGGAAGAGGTACAGGCAAAAAATACAAAGTTGAATGTCATCAGCATACAAAAATGGCATTTAAATGGCATCAGAAATCTTAAGACTAGAAGAGCCCTGGGCACTCCAACATTTAAAAGTAGAAAAGATAACAGTAACAACTAAGCAGGGGTAGCCAGAGTTAAAAACAGGCAGAGTACAGAAGACTTTTAGGGCAGTAAAAAGACCTACAAAATTGATAAACTCTTGGTGAGATGAATGAAGAAAGAGGGAAGGCATAAATAATATCAAAACTGAAGAAGAAATCACTATACATGTATTATAGATATTAAAAGATAAGGTGTTTTACACAATTTTGTGCTAATAAATTTGAAAATCTAAATAAAACTGAAAAATCATAGGTAAATACAACTTACCAAAACTGACATACAAAAGAAAAAGAAAATCTGAATAATTTAAAAAACTGAATCCTACAAAGAAAATTCCTGATCCAGATGGCTTCACCAGCAAATACTTAAGAATAAAACTATATCAATCTTACATAAACTCTTCACAAAAGAGAGCTTTCCAACCCATTTATAAGGCCAGCATAACATCAACATAAAAATCTGTCAAGGACATTATGAAAACGGGAAAATTATTGGCCGAATCTCACTCTAACACATAAATCTTAAACAAAAGATCAGCAGATCAGGCCGGGCGCGGTGGCTCACGCCTGTAATCCCAGCACTTTGGGAGGCCAAGGCAGGTGGATCACGAGGTCAGGAGATCGAGACCATCCTGGCTAACACGGTGAAACCCCGTCTCTACTAAAAATACAAAAAATTAGCTGGGCGTGGTGGCGGGCGCCTGTAGTCCCAGCTACTTGGGAGGCTGAGGCAGGAGAATGGCGTGAACCCAGGAGGCAGAGCTTGCAGTGAGCCGAGATCGCGCCACTGCACTCCACCCTGGGTGACAGAGCGAGACACTGTCTCAAAAAAAAAAAAGAAAAAAAAAAAAAAAAAGATCAGCAGATCAAATCCAGCAAGGATAACACATTATAATGAAGTTGGGATTGTTCCAGGAATACAAGGTTTACAAAATCAGTCCATGTATTTCATCTTATTAAAAAATTAAAAAGATGGCCGGGCACAGTGGCTCATGCCTGTAATCCCAGCAGTATGGGAGGCCGAGGCAGGTGGATCATCTGAGGTCAGGAGTTCGAGACCAGCCTGGACAAAATGGTGAAACTTCATCTCTACCAAAAATACAAAAATTAACCGGCATGGTGATGGGTGCCTGTAGTCCCAGCTACTTGGGAAGCTGAAATGGGAGAAATACTTGAACCTGGGAAGCTGAGATTGCAGTGAGCTGAGATTGTGCCACTGGACTCCAGCCTGGGTGACAGAGCGAGATTCTGTCTCCAAAAAAAAAAGATAAAAATTGTCTCATTAGATGCAGAAAAAATGCTTCCTAAAATTCTATATCGTTTGTGGTTTAGAAAAACAATCTAGCAAACAACAAATAGAAGGAAAGTTTCTTTATCTGAAAAAAAAGTATCTACCACAAACATCAACAGTAAACATTATATTTATGATGACACAGTGAAGGGTATCCCTTTGAGACTGGGAACAAGAAAAAGATAGACCTGTTGTCACCACGTTTATTCAGCACTCTGCTAGAGGTCCTAGACACTGCAGTTAAAAAAAAAAGGAAAAATATGAAAAATGGGAGAGTTACAAAAGATGAACTACAGCTTTCATTATTCATAGATTATATAATTGTGTACATATAAAATCCAAAATGATCTACAGATGAATTATTAGAATTAATGAGTTTAGTAAGGGTGCTGGGCATAAAGCCAATATACAAAAACTGCATTTCTATATACCAGTAACAATTATTTTTTAAAAATTTACATGATGATTCCATTTATAACAGTATCAAAAACATCAAATATCTAGGAATTAATCCCAAAAGATATTTGGGATCTTCACAGATAAAATTATAAAACATTACTGAGGAAAAAAAGGTCTAAAATAAATGGATACATCATGTTCATAAACGGGAAGACTAATTATAGTAAAGATGTCAATTCTCCCCAAACTGACCTACACAGTCAATGTAATACCAATCAGAATCATAAGAGGTTTTCTGTTTGCTTTGTAAAAATTATCATTTATTCTAAAATTTATATAGAAATGCAAAGGGCCAAGAATAGATAAGACGATCTTAAAAAAGAAAAACAAGAGGGGAGGACTTGCCCTACCAGATATCAAGACTTAATTTAAAGCTATAGCAATTAAGTCAGGTGACACTCATACAAGGAAAGACCAATGAACTAGAGAAAAGAGCCTAGAAACAGACCTACAGAAATATGGACATTTGATTTTATGACAAAAGTGGTAATGCAGAACAATGAAGAAAGGGAAGATTTTTTCCAATAAATTGTTCAAGACAACCAGATATCCATAAGGAAAAAATAAAACTTGACCTTCTTCAAATCACATCTAAACATTATTTCACATAGATTTTAGACCTGAATGTGAAAGATAAAACATAAAATGTCCATATTCTAGACCAGAGGCTCTTGGCCTGAGGTCCTCTGACCCAAAGGTCCTGTGGATAGACTTCAAGATATAAAAGATACTTTTGACACATCATTTGTATCCCATCATGCCTTAGCATTTTGGTGTGCCAGTTTCAACTGCAAGCATCTACATCTTTTTGTCTGAGGTCTTCTAGGAGCTGGTTATGAGTGCTGAGAACTGATGCCTGGCCCTCACCTGCCTTCAAATGATGTGTGTAAAGAACATGTGTAAGGAACACGATGCAAGTGAGGAACACGGGTTCCCAGAGGACCCAGAGATTCAAGCTTCTTAATACACTTAATAAAGGTTATTAAGTGCCTTCACTTCCCTCCTTCCAATCCAGTATATTTCGTGTGATCATTCCCCATATTAATTACTTACACTTGAATCCTTATCTCAGGGTCTGCTTCTGAAGAAACCAAGAAAACTAAGACCCAAAGGCATCATGAACCTTAATGGGGAAAAACAATTACTTCTCTATTTTCATAAATGCTAATTGAAAAAAACAAAGTAGTATTGGCAGTACATATGATTTTGTCTCTAACAGAATCAAAGATGTTTTCATATCACATGACAGTTACTGCATATTTCAAAGTATTTTTTACACTCATTTCTACTTTGAAATTGTTAGTTATTGGAACTACTACTAAACCGCACATGATTGCAGTCTTCCTGTCTATATTGTTCATGCAACCGTTAAGCAACTACCTCTGTGCCAACTAACTGCTGAGCAATAAAACAGTAAAATTTAACGTTTCTACAACTAGAGATCAACCCAAAAAGCCTTCAGTGAATTTTGTTGTTCTTGGAAAGCCTACCCTCACCTTAGAAAGTGAGATACTGAAATTTTAATTCCACATACAATAGCTAAACACAATTAAAACTGCCCATATTTTAAGTGCAATTTTTGTTACCGAATGCATTAATTTAAAAGTACATAATGTCTCTATCACAAACGTATTTTTTAATATCTTGAAGCTGTATTTCAATAATTTCTTTTGTAATGCTACGTATTTTATTTTATGCATTTAAAAACATCATACTACGAGGAAAGTTATTATAGGCTTCACTAGATTTGCAAAGGAATACACAGCACAAAAAAACTTAAAGCAACTCTGGCCTAGAAGATTATGTAACATAGGAAAACCCTCAGAATCTCACAGTATGAAAAACTTATTAAATAGGACTCAGAAAAACACTGATATATTTGACATTAAAATCAAATATCTCTCATCAAAAGATACCATTAAGAGAATGAATGAGCAACTAATGGAGTGGGAGAAGATCTTTGCAAAACATGTAACTGACAAAAAGCTCATACCCATAATAAAGAACTCCTACAAATCAACAAAAGACCAAAAACTATTTTAAAAACAGGCAAGGAACTTGCCCAGTTACTTTCTTTTAAATCAGTCATCCAAATACCCAATAAATAAATGAAAAGGTATTTAGCCTCATTAATAATCAGGGAAATGCACTTTAAAACTACAAGGAGGCCAGGCACAGTGGCTCACGCCTGTAATCTCAACACTTAGGGAGTCCAAAACAGGAGGATCACTTGAGGTCAGGAGTTCAAAACCAGCTTGGGCAACATAAGGAGATAACAACTCTACCAAAAAAAAATAGATAAAACTTAGCCAGCCATGGTGGTGCATGCCTGTAGTCCCAGCTACTTAGGAGGCTGAGGCAGGAGGATCGCTTGAGCCCAGGAGTTCAAGGTTACAGTGAGCTATGATCGGCCGATGTACTCCAGCCTGGGTGACAGAGTAAGACTCTGTCTCTAAAAAAACAAAAAGCAAAAAAAACTACACGGAGGTGGTACTTGACATCTACCAAATTTACAAAAGTTTAAAAGTCAGACCACATCAGCACTGGCTAGGAGCAACAGGAACTATTGTATACTATGAGAGTGTAAATTAGTATATCAACTTTGGAAAACAGATTGGTATTATCTACTGAAATTAAAGATACATATAACATATAACCCAGCAATTCTATTCCTATGTATATACCCAAGAGAAATCCACACAAGAGCCTAACAGACATGTACAAGACATCTGCTGCAGCATTATTTAATACATGTCAGAAATGGTATGGCAGATCAATGGAAAAAGAATGAACTATTCAGTAAATGTTATTGAGACAACTTTCATTTGGATTAGGGACTTAATTATAAGAGATTAAAATTTTAAGATTTTAGGAGAAAATAAAAAAGAATACTTTTATAGCATCACAGTAAGAAATTTTCCTAAACAAGATTCAAACTACAATTAACTCACTATATATTGTGGATATTTTTGTAAAATCTTTATACTTCAAAAGTAGATACTGAAATATTTACAGACGAATGACATCAGTGACACAAGCCTAAATAATCCAACTGGGGGAGGAGTAGTACAGATGAAACAAGATTGGCTGAGTGATAACTGCTGAAACTAAGTGATGGGTACATAGGAGTTCAGTACCTTTCTGTTCATGTTTGAAGAAAAATTTTTTTAATTTAGGGCATCATAAATAAAGGGAAAAGAGACCAGCCTGGGCAACATAATGAAACCTTATTTCTACCAAAAAAAAAAAAAAAAAAAAAAAAAAACTAGCCAGATGTGATGGTACACACCTGTATTCCCAGCTGAGGCAGGAGGACTGCCTAAGCCCAGGAGGTCAACGCTGCAATGAGCCGTGACTGTGCCATTGCACGCTAGCCCGGGTGACGGATTGAGACTCAGTCTCAAAAAAAAAAAAAAGAAAAGAAAAAAAAGAAAAACACAAACTCTGTTAAGTTCAGAACTGTGGAAAACTAAATATTACCTTATTTGGGAATTTAGATGAGTGAAACTTTTTTAAATAAAATAATAAACATGAAAATCAGGATTCTGGTTGCCTGGGGTGGGAGGGGAGGAAGGAGATGCATGGAGAAAGATAAAGGACCCATTTGTTTTATGTTCTTTGTCTCAAGTTGAGGAGTAGGGTACATGTGTATTTGTTTATTCTTTATTATATCTTATATAACATGTTTTATATATACTTTTTTAATTTATGAAATATTTTGTAATTTAAAAAAAATCAGAGAATTTTAAAACCTCTTAAAAATTAAAAATTTAATAGCAGAAAAAAATTACTTTGAAGTTACATCTGAAAAGTCCCCCAGAAATTAAAAGAAAAAGATGAATAAGTGGACAACAGTAAAGGGGGAAGATAGTAAAATAGAGAATTAGTGTAAAAGTATCCATATCTGAATAAGAAAAGATTCAGAGAGAGAAAGAAATAACACGAAAGAAATAATATAATCTCTCAGAATTGAAAGACATGAGTTTCAGATTTAACAGGTCCCCCAAATGTCGTAGCGTTAGTTGGATAGTGTGCTTTGGCTTTGATTCTGGGTGAGTGCAGGAGAGTAGTCTTCATACAATTTCTTCAGGTGTAGTCAGTGTCAGTGGTGGCTGTGAGTTACTCATTGGCTTAGGCTGTGGTTGGTAGCAGAGGCTGTAGTGAGGCTTTGCTGCAGACAGGGACACCAGACAGGCCAGTTCTGAGGCACCCGTGGTGGCAGAGGCAGGCCAGGCATGCAGGCCCTTGGGCTCCCAGGCAGCATACAAGACGCCAGTAGTCACAGGTCCAGGAGGACCAGTCCTTGGGCCTACAGGCAGCTTGCTCAGGTGCCAGTGGTTATGGAAAACAGTACGGAGTTTTCTCAAAAAAACAAAACTAGAACTACCATACAGTTCATCAATCCCACTAATGGGTATTTATCCAAAAAAAAGGAAATCAGTGTATCAAAGGGATAGCTACACTCCCATGTTTACTGCAACACTATTCACAATAGCCTAGATATAGAATCAACCTACATGCCCATCAGTAAATGAAGGGATAAATGAAATGTGGTAAATATACACAGTGGAATACTATTTGGCTGTACAAAGGACAAAATCCTATAACTTGTAGTAACATAAATGGAACTAGAAGTCATTATGTTACATGAAATAAGACAAGCACACAAAGAAAAAGTACCGTTATTTTCTCAATCTTATGTGGGAGCTAAAAAAGGAGATGAAGAGAAATTGGTTAATTGGTACAAATACACAGTTAGATAGATGGAATAAGTTCTAGTGTTCAATAGTACAGTAGGGTGGCAATGGTTAACAATAATATATTGTACATTTCAATTAACTAGAAGATTTGAAATGTTACCAACACAAAAAGAGATAAACATTTGAGGTGATGGATATCCTAAATACTCTAATTTGACCATCATTACACATTACGCATGTATCAAAATATCACATGTATCCCATATATATATCAATTAAAAAGTTTATTGAGATATAATATCGAAGGTCAGTGATTTTTCAACCCAATTCTATGCCCGAGAAAATCAAGCATAAGAAAAAAATCTTTCAGACACGTAAGGCCTGAAAAAATGTTTTTTCCCATTCACCTTTCTTCAGGAACCTATTGGGGGATATCTCCATCAAAACAAGAAAAAAGGAAGATAAATGATGCTAAGAAACAGAAAATTTAACAAAGGAGAGAGGCAAAGAGAATTTCCCAAAGTTGGTAAAAGAAAATCCGAAAATGGTAGCTCTGCTATTTTAGACTGGTAGAGCAATTAAGCTGAATGAGAGCAAAGAGAACTCATGTTCCCAGAATACCTCCTATGTGGGATTATACTGAGAAAAGAGTCAAAGCAGTTCTAAGGATGAATTAGGTATATAGAAAAAAAAGCAAACCATAAAACAAAGCAATTACTATCTCCAAAGTAATTACTATTAAGAATAATCTGTACAATCTTAATAACATAAACAATAACTTCTGATTTACCCAAAATCATGAGATACCTACATCAGGAAGATAGGAGCAAGTGAAATGAATATGTGTATATATTAGATGTGAAGATGATGTTGGGGATATCAACCCCTCACCTTTATCAAGCTAAAGCCTCAGCTTCTACAGTGGGAAGGCAAAAAATAATATATATAACTCAGGGGGCTGGGCAGAATCAAGAAATGGGAGCACCTGCAAGTTATTGAAGGACATGGAAGGAAATAGCAAAATATTCAACTTGACAAATAATTGCCTCCTGGACACAGGAATTAGCGTTGGAATAATGAGGCAAGCAGTACATCTTTTCATTGTGAATCCAGTATTATTTTACTTTTTAAGTTATGTACATATGCTATTTTTAAACACAAAACTTAGTTTTTAAAAACGCAAATAAGCCAAGGTCAAATAAGAGTAATAAGAATAGCCATTATTTCCCAAGCGCCTACAACCTGTGAGCAAAATACCAGGTCTTTTACAAACACCACTTTTATTCTTCAGGCCAGCTTTGCCAAGGAGGATTATCCCAGTTTTACAGATGAGAAAACTGAAAATAAAAATAAATAAGGAACATTTTAAATTCTTTTATTTGTTTATTTCGTATGTTTTTGTTTGATCCTTTACCTTTCCAGCAGTAGCAAAATATTCACCATCAGGAGACCATTCCATCAAATGTACAGATACTGAGGTTCTAAAAAAGAGAGAGTTAGGCAATTAGCCCTTTTAAAATCTGGTGTACTGTATATAAAAATGGTCAAGATGAGATTTTTGTAACATCAAAGTCAGAATCCTCAGAATAAGACTGTTTTTGCTTCCCTAAAAATATAAATAAAATATTTCACCTCCATAAAAATGTAAATTTATTAAAACTAATCCAACATTCACTTTGGGAAAAGAAGAATGTAAGTAACATGAATACAGTATATCTCCACCTACATGTCCCACCAACATCCTAAATATAACATGTTAAAAGCTGAGCTTATCATCATCCCTGACTAGTCTTCGTCACATAATCTATATGACTGTTAATAGTACATCTTCCACTTGAAAGAGTGGCTGGCAACTTTCACATCTTCCCCCTCTCCATCCTTACCTCAATCTATTAATGAGTATTTCCTATGTATCAACCCTGTCAACTCCTGTCCTGGGGCTATAACTATGAAAATACTTTCATCCTTTTTTTAAATGATTAACTATAGCACAAATTAAAGAATGCTATTATATGGGTTTTGGTTAGAAAAAAATCTACTTTCTAGGCATCTAAATGCAATGGTACCATCAAAAAATAAAGATCTTTGTGAAAGGAAACATATTTTAGGAAGCACTTGCTTTTAATTAATGAATATAACAATAGAAATAGACACTAACTTGCACTGCCAGACACACTTCCAATCATTTAAAACAGGAGGAACTGTATTATCAATTTCTTCCTCCTCTTCCAGAATATCATCTCCTGGAGGAGCCCACAACTGAATAGAATCAGTTGCTGTCAACAATCTATTATCTGAAAATTAAAGAATGTTATGATGAATATGCAAATATTATATAGGGAAATAAATGCACATGGGCTTCTGTTTAGATCTGTAAACTATTAATATTATGTGAAAAGTAAGCAATATCGCCAACGAAAAACACTTGGTATATATTTTTTTAAAGTCCCTTATAAGAAAAAAGAATCTTCTGGACAACAAAGATTCTTAAGGAAGATTTGAGAACAACAAAGTAAAGCTTACTGGCAAAGAGCTATTATTATCAAGCAAGTCAAAAAAACTAACAACAAATGTATTAATAGAATAACAAAGTCCCCAAAACTCTGATATATACCACATAAAATGTCCTCGAGATATAAGGCATAACTACAAATTAATAAAATGTGGTTTTACACATGAAATATAAAAAGAATCCTTATTAATTGTGAATATAAAAAGGGACAACAGCTATTATCATTAGAAATTCCTAATTTTTCAAAATTAAAGATAGTAATTTCCTGATACAAATGATAAAATGAGGTGAAGTTTTTTTGGTCTCTGTTTTATTTCCAATGGTGTTTCTTAGCAAATACAACAAGAGTAAAGGGCAGTACACATTAACTAGGAAACAAATCATAACTGCTTCTTGAAATAAAACACACAAAGGCAGGGGAAAAAACAGAATAGTAAATTAAGCATTGCACAAAGCACTGTATACCAAGAAGGAAAAATTATATTCATCAACAAAAAGAAAATATAATACATTGATCATTTTCTTATTATGGGAGACTATATCACATTATTATCATACATTTAAAACAAATATTTAATTTAAATAATTTTAAATACAATTGCTAAATACCTTGAGGATCCCATGCTAAGTTGTATGTCACAGAACTCAAAAAAAACTGCCCAGTTTTAAGCCACTGGCACTTGAGTTGCTGAAATACGTAGACAAAAAGAAATAAGAAAAAAGAAAAAGATGTTTTTCAAATAATATCCCAAAACACTACCATTTTATCATTTTCTTCAACTTAAGACTTTAAGATCTGGAACAAAGATGAAAATATTTCACTATTATTTTCATATACTGTTTTTAACGTAACTTTCATTGGTTCCACTACTATTTATTATACCATATTGAGCTCCTTGCCATGCCCAAACAAAGCAGGTTCTCTCACGCTTTTTCTCATGCCTATAAATACCTTCTTATATTTAGGATATCCTATTCCTCACGTCTCCATCTGCAAACCCCTATCCTTCCACTAAGATTAGCTAACTCATCATCTCTGCTATGAAGCCTTCTCTGACATCCTGGCAGCACCAATACCACTTTTACATTCTGCCATTATAACACTGATCACATGGAATTAGTATTGGTCTATACATCTGACTCTCCTCCCACTAAATTGCAACTCTTCAAGGGCAGAAACTGTGTCATAATTTTGTTATCTTCAGCGTTTGTAATGGCTGGCATAAAGATGTTAAATGTTTACATATTTCTTTGTAGTACATAAATATAAAATGTCCTTTTGTGAGAGGACATTTGTGAAAAGCTTTGCAAAGCTATGTTACCTTAGGCAAGCTATATGTTAACGGCTTGGCAAATAATACTGTTTAAACGGTAATGCCATTTTGTGTTATAATATTTTAAGAATATTTAACAATTTTAAAATGTATACAAGGTTTCCTGACTACCTCAAGGCAGAATTTTAAAACATAGCTGCATCCCAACAGTTTGGGAGGCCATGACAGGAGGATTGCTTAAGGCCAGGAATTTGAAACCAGCCTGGGCAACATTGCAAGACCCCCATCTCTATAAAAACTTTAAAAATTAGCTGGGCATGGGAGCTCACACCTGTAGACCCAGCTACTTTGGAGGCTGAGGCAGAAGGATCACTTTAGCCCATGAGTTTGAGGTTATAGTGAGCTATGATGATCACACCACTGTATTCCAGCCTGGGTCACAGAGCAAGACTCTATATCTAAAAAAAATGTGTGTGTGGGGTGTGTGTGTGTGTGTGTGTGTGTGTGTGTGTGTGTGTGTGTGTGTGCATCTGCAAACCCTGCACTTCATTATCCAAAAATTATTTGATATTTTATAATCAGAGAAAATGCTATTTTTAAACCCTACCACTGCTGACCAAACAACAATCACAACAGCATAACACTAAATACTGTTCAACAAATCTATTTTAGTGTAGTAATTAAATAATTCCTAAAATTATAGACATCCCTAATATTCTTTCCTTTAGTGTTCCTCAGAGTGCAATCTGTGGAGCAACTACCTTGAAGAAATTTGGGGAATGAGACCTGGAAACCTAAATGTTTAGTATGTGCTCTAGGTGACTCTTAAGTAGTCCAAAATTTGATATCCATTTCACAATACTATTATAGGGAAAGATTAATATTTTAATTTATACTGTTTTGGGGGAATGTAAAAAGATATATTCAAATACATATATTTAATGAAAAAATACCAAAACCATTTGTTTTAAGGCATTTCACTTAAAAATATACTTTAAAAATTATTTGTAAATATATACTCAGCATTCAGATTTAGCATTTGCAATTTTGATTATTTCTGAGTGATGGTAAAAATGTAATGCATGCAGGATGTTTTAAAGGGCTTAATTCTAACCACATTAGATGTTTTGAACATTAAGTAAGACAAATATAATATAGCACCCAGTATGAATCTGAATGGTTCACAATGTGGTATGCTTAACCACTTAGCTGAGCTGGTAAGTGAGCTTTTTAAACTCCTAACTTCTTCATTCAACCAACATTTAGGAATACCTACTATGTTCCAGATACTTTTTTTTTTTTTTTTTTGAGATGGAGTCTTGCTCTGACTCCCAAGCTGGAGTGCAATGGTGCAGTCCAGGATCACTGCAACCTCCACCTCCTGGGTTCAAGCGATTCTCCTGCCTCAGCCTTCCTAGCAGCAGGGACTATAGGCACGTGCCACCACACCTGGATAATTTTTTTATTTTTAGTAGACACGGGGTTTCACCATGTTGGCCAGGCTGATCTCAAACCCCTGACCTCGTGTTCCACCCGCCTCAGCCTCCCAAAGTGTTGGGATTACAGGTGTGAGCCACCACACCTGGCTGTTCCAGATACTGTTCTAAGTACTGGGGACTCATCAGTGAAAAAAGCTTCCTACCCTTATGTACCTTTAGATAACATTTTACATAGTAAACAATAAATAAATAAATGCTGTAAAAAAATTTTTAAATAGCAAGATAAGTGGGGGTACAATTTTTTAAAGGGTGGTCAAGGTAAACCTCATTGACAAGGTATTAGTGAGCAAAGACCTAAAGGATCTATGGGAGCTATCCTTGGAGATAGCTGGAGGAAAAACATTCCTGACAAAGAAAACAAACAACACAAAGGCTCAAAGAGGGAAGGTTAACTGAGAAACAGTAAAAATGCCAATGTGGCCAGAGTAGAACCAGAGAGGACAAGAACTTACGAGGTGAGCTCTGAGACATAGTAACTGTGCTACTGAGTAGAAGGGAAGTTGTAGTCTACAAAAGGCTTTTGGCTTTTTATCTGAAAGAAATATGGAGCAGCTGGGCATGGTGGCTCATGCCCATAATTCCAGCAATTTGGGAGGCTGAAGTGGGAGGATCACTTAGCCCCAGAGTTCAAGACCAGCCTGAGCAACACAGGGAAACTCCATCTCTACGAAAAATTTAAAAATTAGCTGGCCATGGTGGTACATGCCTATAGTCGCAACTACTTGGGAGGTTGAGGTGGGAGGACCATTTGACAGGTTGAGGCTGCAGTGAGCAGTGATCATGCCACTGCACTCCAGCCCAGGGGATACAGTGCGACCCTGTCTCAAAACAAAAGAAAAAAGAGAGAGAAATATGGAACCATTACAAAGTTTTAAGCAGAGAAATGTCATGATCTCCTCTGTTGAGAACAGACACTGGGGCTGAAGGCAGCAGGAAACCAGATATCAGATAGATATTAGTAATCCAGACAAGAAATAACAGTAGTTCAAACTAGGGTAGATCTCAGTTAACACAGTAAATGTCAATTTGCAATATTCTAGAGACTTGGGTTTCTAAAAGCACTAGGGATGTATCCGTAGTGAATGTAAGGATCCTAACATAAAGCACTAGACCAATTTTTCACTGATACTCTAGTCTATTTTCAGCACTAGCTCCTAAGGAGCTTTTTATTAACATCAATTGGATTCTAAAGTTAACTAGATTCTAAAAGTATTCTATTATTGGTTAATACTTACACAATTTCTTTTATGAGAATTTATGCCCAAGGGCTCAAATATACAAACAGCATTACCATATGAAGCTGCAATCTAAAAAAGAATAAATACAGCATTAATATCTAGAAAAGGGTAAAATAAAGATATCTTCCTTTTCATAATAATGTATAAACTAATTACATATAATCTCAATACAGTATTCATGGTTTATTTCCTTCCATAAATATACCTGGAAGTGTACTGGAGTTAAGAGTCTCTCCCCTGTTATCAAAAAATTCAGCAGGCTTTATTTTACATATCATATACAAGGTTGACCTATTCAAAGAAATCATATTTGGATGGACAGCTGCCAAGATGGCTGAATAGGAACAGCTCTGGTCTACAGCTCCCAACGAGATGGACACAGAAGGCAGGTGATTCCTGCATTTCCAACTGAGGTACCAGGTTCATCTCACTGGGACTGGCTGGACAGTGGGTACAGCCCGCAGAGGTTGAGCTGAAGCAGGGTGGGGCGTCACCTCACATGGGAAGCACAAGGGGTCAGGGAATTTCCCTTTGCTAGCCAAGGGAAGCTGTGAGAGACGGTACCGGGAAGAACAGTACACTCTAGCCCAGATACTGCACTTTTCCCATGGTCTTCACAACCAGCAGAACAGGAAATTTTCTCCAGTGTCTGGTTCAGCGGGTCCCACCCCCACGGAGCCCAGCAAGCTAAGATCCACTGGCTTGAAATTCTCACTGCTATCACAGCATCTGAGGTTGACCTGGGACACTCGAGCTTGGTGGGAGGAGGTGCATCCGCCATTGCTGAGGCTTGAGTAGATGGTTTTACCCTCACAGTGTAAACAAAGCTGCTGGGAAGTTTGAACTGGGTGGAGCCCACCACAGCTCCCCGAGACAGAGCACGTGGGGGAAGGGGCGGCTGCAGGCACAGCTTCAGCAGACTTAAACGTCCCTGCCTGACAGCTCTAAAGAGAGCAGCAATTCTCCCAGCACAGCATTCGAGCTCTGATACAGGACAGACTGCCTCCTCAAGTGGGTCCCTGACCCCCCCGTGTACCCAGACTGGAGACACCTCACAGTAGGGGCCTACAGACACCACATACAGGAGAGCTCTGCCCGGCATCTGGCGGGTGCCCTTCTGGGACAAAGCTCCCAGAGGTAGGAACAGGCAGCAATCTTTGTTGTTCCGCAGCCTCCGCTGGTGATACCCAGGCAAACAGGGTCTGGAGTGGACCTCCAGCAAACTCTAGCAGACCTGCAGCAGAGGGGCCTGACTGTTAGAAAGAAAACTAACAAACATAAAGGAATACTATCAACATCACCAACATTAAAGAAAAAAGGTAGATAAATCCATGAAGATGGGGAGAAACCAGTGCAAAATGGCTGAAAATTCCCAAAACCAGAACACCTCTTCTCCTCCAAATGATCACAACTCCTCGCCAGCAAGGGAACAAAACTGGATGGAGAATGACTTTGACAAACTGACAGAAGTAGGCTTCAGAAGGTGGGTAATAACAAACTCCTCCAAGCTAAAGAAGCATGTTCTAACCCAGTGCAAGGAAGCTAAGAACCTTGAAAAAAGGTTAGACAAATTGCTAATGAGAATAATCAGCTTAGAGAGGAACATAAATGACCTGATGGAGCGGACAAACACAGCACGAGAACTTCATGAAACATACACAAGTTATCAATAGCCGAACTGATCAAGCAGAAGAAAAGATATCAGAGACTAAAGATAAACTCAATGAAATAAAGCAAGAGGACAAGATTAGAGAAAAAAGAGTGAAACAAATGAACAAATCCTTCAAGAAATATGGGACTATGTGAAAAGACAAAATCTATGTTTGATTGGTATACCTGAAAGTGACGGGGAGAATGGAACCAAGTTGGAAAACACTCTTCAGGATATTATCCAGGAGAGTTTCCCCAACCTAGAAAGACAGGCCAAAATTCAAATTCAGGAAATACAGAGAACACCACAAAGATATTCCTCGAGAAGAGCAACCCCAAGACACATAATCATCAGATTAACCAAGGTTGAAATGAAGGAAAAAATGTTAAGGGCAGCCAGAGAGAAAGGTCGGGTTACCCACAAAGGGAAGCCCATCAGACTAACAGCAGATCTCTTGGAAGAAACCCTATAAGCCAGAAGACAGTGGGGGCCAATATTCAACATTCTTAAAGAGAATTTTCAACCCAGAATTTCATATCCAGCCAAACTAAGCTTCTTAGGCAAAGGAGAAATAAAATCCTTTACAGACAAGCAAATGCTGAGAGATTTTGTCACCACCAGGCCTTCCTTCCTTAGTGAAGGAAGCACTAAACATGGAAAGGAACAACTGGTACCAGCCACTGCAAAAACATACCAAATTGTAAAGACCATCAATGCTATGAAGAAACTGCATCAATTAACAGGCGAAATAACCAGCTAGCATCATAATGACAGGATTAAATTCACACATCACAATATTAACCTTAAATGTAAACAGGCTAAATGCCCCAATTAAAAGACACAGACTGGCAAACTGGATAAAGAGTCAAGACCCATCAGTGTGCTGTATTCAGGAGACCCATCTCACATGCAGACACACATACAGGCTGAAAATAAAGGGATAGAGGAAGATTTACCAAGAAAATGGAAAGCAAAAAAAAGCAGGGGTTGCAATCATAGTCTCTGATAAAACAGACTTTAAATCAACAAAGATCAAAAGAGACAAAGAAGGCCATTACATAATGGTAAAGGGATCAATTCAACGAGAAGAGCTAACTATCCTAAATATATATGCACCTAATACAGGAGCACCCAGATTCATAAAGCAAGTTCTTAAAGACCTACAAAGAGACTTAGACTCCCACACAGTAATAGTGGGAGACTTTAACACTCCACTGTCAATAATAGACACATCGACAAGACAGAAAATTAACAAGGATACCAGGGCTTGAACTCAGCTCTGCACCAAGCAGACATAATAGACATCTACAGAACTCACCACACCAAATCAACAGAGTATACATTCTTCTCAGCACCACATCACACTTATTCTAAAATTGACCACATAATTGGAAGTAAAACACTCCTCAGCAAATGCAAAAGAATGGAAATCATAACAAATAGTCTCTCAGACCACAGCGCAATCATATTAGAACTCAGAATTAAGAAATTCACTCAAAACCTCACAACTACGTGCAAACTGAACAACCTGCTCCTGAATGACTACTGGGTAAATAACAAAATGAAGGCAGAAATAAAAGATGTTCTCTGAAACCAATGAGAACAAAGACACAACATACCAGAATCTCTGGGACACATTCAAAGCAGTGTGTAGAGGGAAATTTATAGCACTAAATGCCCACAAGAGAAAGCAGGAAAGATCTAAAATTGACACCCTAACATCACAATTAAAAGAACTAGAGAAGCAAGAGCAAACATATTCAAAAGCTAGCAGAAGGCAAGAAATAACTAAGATCAGAGCAGAACTGAAGGAGATGGAAACATGAAAAACTCTTCAAAAAATCAATGAATCCAGGAACTGGTTTTTTGAAAAGATTAACAAAATACATAGACCACTAGCCAGACTAATAAAGAAAAAAAGAGAAGAATCAAATAGACACAATAGAAAATGATAA
This sequence comes from Homo sapiens, assembly GCF_000001405.40. Lineage (NCBI taxonomy): Eukaryota > Metazoa > Chordata > Mammalia > Primates > Hominidae > Homo > Homo sapiens. Next base: position 51,572,096 of record NC_000015.10, read on the forward strand.
AGGGGATATCACCAATGATCCCACAGAAACACAAACTACCATCAGAGAATACAATAAACACCTCTACACACATAAACTAGAAAATCTAGAAGAAATGGATAAATTCCTGGACACATACACCCTCCCAATACTAAACCAGGAAGAAGTTGAATCCCTGAATAGACCAATAAGAGGTTCTGAAATTGAGGCAATAATTAATAGCCTACCAACCAAAAAAAGTCCAGGACCAGATGGATTCACAGCTGAATTCTACCAGAGGTACAAAAAGGAGCTGGTACCATTCCTTCTGAAACTATTCCAAACAATAAAAAAAGAGGGAATCCTCCCTAACTCATTTTATGAGGCCAGCATCATCCTGATACCAAAGCCTGGCAGAGACACAACCAAAAAAGAAAATTTTACACCAATATGGCTGATGAACATCAATGCAAAAATCCTCAATAAAATACTGGCAAACCAAATCCAGCAGCACATCAAAAAGCTTGTCCATCACCATCAAATCGGCTTCATCCCTGGGATAAGAAGCTGGTTCAACATACACAAATCAATAAATGTAATCCATCACATAAAGAGAACCGATGACAAAAACCACATGATTATCTCAATAGATGCAGAAAAGGCCTTTGACAAAATTCAACAGCCCTTCATGCTAAAAACTCTCAATAAACTAGGTAATGATGGAACGTATCTCAAAATAATAAGAGCTATTTATGACAAACCCACAGCCAATATCATACTAAATGGGCAAAAACTGGAAGCATTCCCTTTGCAAACCAGTACAAGACAAGGATGCCCTCTCTCAACACTCCTATTCAACACAGTACTGGAAGTTCTGGCCAGGGCAATCAGGCAAGAGAAAGAAATAAAGGGTATTCAATTAGGAAGAGAGGAAGTCAAATTATCTCTGTTTGCAGATGACATGATTGTATATTTAGAAAACCCCATTGTCTCAGCCCAAAATCTCCTTAAGCTGATAAGCAACAAACATATGAAAAAAAATGTTCGTCATCACTGGTCATTAGAGAAATGCAAATCAAAACCCCAATGAGATACCATCTCACATCAGTTAGAATGGTGATCATTAAAAAGCCAGGAAACAACAGATGCTGGAGAGGATGTGGAGAAATAGGAACGCTTTTACACTGTTGGTGGGAGTGTAAATTAGTTCAACCATTTGTGTAAGACAGTGTGGGAATTCCTCAAGGATCTAGAACCAGAAATACCATTTGACCCACCAATCCCATTACTGGGTATATACCCAAAGGATTATAAATCATTCTACTTTAAAGACACATGCACATGTATGTTTATTGTAGCACTGTTCACAACAGCAAAGACTTAGAACCAACCCAAATGCCCATCAATGATAGACTGGATAAAGAAAATGTGGCACATATACACCATGGAATACTACACAGCCATAAAAAAGGATGAGTTCATGTCCTTTGCAGGGACATGGAAGAAGCTGGAAACCATTATTCTCTGCAAACTAACACACAAACAGAAAACCAAACAATATGTCCTCACTCATCAGTGGGAGTTGAACAACGAGAACACATGGACACTGGGGGAAACATCACACACTGAGGCCTGTCAGGGGGTCGGGGGGCTAGGGGAGGGATAGCATTAGGAGAAATACCTAATGTAGATGATGGGTTGATGGGTGCAGCAAACCACCATGGCACGTGTATACCTATGTAACAAACCTACACGTTCTGCACGTGTGCCCCAGAACTTAAAGTATAATAAAAAATATATATATACATATGGGAAAAAATCATATTTTTCATAAGAATTTTATTTTTAATATAAAATAACTATTAAAAAATACATTTCAAAAGCATGCATCTTTGTCAGAAACTTTATAATCCAGTGAAAATAATATAAAATCTATGAGAAAAGCATCAACTAATAACAGGTCTTAAAAATATTTCAAATAAAATGGCCTAATTATACCATCAAACAGAAAATACCAATTGGGACACCATCTAGAGGAAGGAATACAAAAAACAGGCTAAGGAGAAGTCAGGGAGCCATAAACTGCACCTGGGGGAAAGAGCTGATGAAGACATCTCCAGAGGACTGAAGCAAGAAATTTAGGGACCAGGAGGATTTTGTTCCAGGTCACATACCTGGTAAGAAAAGACATAAATCCCTCTGTTCCCAGAAACTACCACAGCCTGTTTTCCAATAATTTCTTGAAGGCTATTTCTAAGTTCACTCTCCTCTTGGTAAGATGGAATTAACTACAGGGAATAGACCAAAAACCGTCCTTTCTGACACCTCTGCACCCTGGTTAACCTTTAAAACTCAATTAGGTATATATTCTTTTAAGGCCTGCCAAAAATATCCCCTGTGATTTTAAGGCACTGTTATACCAAAAAGTGATTTTAACTCTTATCCAACATCTAACATTCTTTCCAAGAAAAATCATAATCCACAACAGAAAGCTACTTCAAATGACACTTACGCAAAAAGTGTTGTGAATAATTCCATTCAACATGTCAATCAATGAATGAATGATTATAACAGACTAATACAAGGTCACCAATGTGAAAGTTATCACCACAAGGACTGGGGGATAAAAGGACTAAACGAAGATGTCAATAAAGACAATAAAGATATTATAATTTTGCCTTATTTACATTAAACCATCTCAAGAAAAGTAGAAACACAAGTTGCTCTGTTTCCCATGGTATGAATACCAATGTCTTATATACTTTTTTAAAAAGTTTTACTTCCAGAGAATGTGTGTTCATTGCGATTATCACCAGCACTTGAGTTATTTACTAAAATTCACCTCTGACAACTATCATACAACTTTAGGCAGGCTTAAGCTACCTTGCTTGGCCTAGAGAGAAGAGCAACAAAAAATTAAAAAGAGAAATCTGACACTCCCCATGTTTTCTAAACTAAGTGTAAGCAATGCTTGAGGGTGGGGAGTACCTGGGGGGAAAAATTAGAAAAGCAAGAAACAAGTACCAGGAAACACCAGGAAATCGTGTTTCAATACTAGGTCAAATGTATCACTGAACTGTCAAGTACTGGTACATTTACACAAATATTAAGGCTTGATATGGGCAGTAGGATAGGGCAGGATAAATGGTATGATAAAGTAACCATAATTTATCATTCAGTATAAATTTGTATGATTACTATTTATCACCATGAATATTCTGATTTAACATACTCTTGATCAAATTTGTTACCCAATAAATAACAATTTCTAGAACACTAAGATTGTTTAAACTGTTACAATGATTACAGGTAAAAACCTTATTACTCTATTCTCGTAGAGACATTCAACTCGGCTACATAATACTGGCCTTACTGAATTGCTGGAGTATACAGCAAACATCCTATATTTACTTGACATGCCACCAAAATTTGATGTACATTATGTTTGAAAATTGGGGGAGAGGTACATATGATGAAATTTTAACTATTTCAAAATAAAACCTCTGTTTTAAAGCCTGAATGAACCATAAGACTCTTCACTCAACAAAAAATCTTTCATTATGTTAACAGACTTTACAAAGCACTTCCTATATGACAAGCATGATATTAGATATTAACAACTTGCAGAGTTTCTTAATAAAACTTTGATGTTATAGTATGAGTGATATAAGGGGTGCTAGGTAGAGAAGAAAAAAGTTTACTTCCCCTTACTGGCTTAATGGCTGCTAGAAGTATTAACTGGCAGAATATCAGTATGCACAGGATTGTAAGGCCTACAGATCTTTGAAGACAGTATACATACAGCTGTAGAACAATTATCAAATTATCAGTTTAATGGCACTTTACAATTTGTATAAACCTATCACTTTGCAACTTCTGCTAATAATCACCCAAGCAATACATAAGAAATTATACGCAAGCTTTGCATAAAAGGATAAGAAGATTCTGAGATTATTAAACACATTTTTAAATGACATTCAGTAAAGAAATTAAATCCCTTACTCTTCCTTGTTGGTTAGAACACTCCACACAGCTGACTTGGATGTTTCCATGCTTAGCACCAGGAATGATCTGTACACATTCAAAGTCATTTGCCAAAATAACAATATCACAGCCTGATCCATATGCCTAAAAAAAAAAAAAAAAAAAAGTTTTACAATACATAAGATATGTAACTTTTGAAATCTTATTACATACTATTTTATCTTAGATTTTATTGCCATTATAAAGTATACCTTGGGACATTTTACAAAATAGTTAATATAATATCAATTTCTAAATAAGAACATTAAAAGTCACATTAAAAAATAAACTGATGACACTCCATGCATTATCATTCAACAACTGTTACTAATAGGAAAAGGGTTCTTCCAGTTCTTAGAACAGCCACTGTTCCTGCAGGTCATAAGTCATTCTGTTTAGACTTTCTCTCCAAAGTTCATCTCAGTAAACCCTAAAGTATAAAAGCTCCATCTAAAAATACTAAGCCACTGAAGACTGTAACTGTGTTCCCAGGGTTCAAACCAGGCTTAAGAAATATCAAGATAGAAATCAGGCATGCATTTTCCAACACAATTCCACATGCCTTAAAGAGCTAGTTAAATAAACATGAACAACAAAGGCAGAATTACATGCACTAAGGCAATGGCTAAACTTAAATGCATCAAGACTCAAATGAATCCACAACGCAGCCTGCCTCCAACATCCACCATCCATCCCCAACATCATCAGGCCTGAGGGAGAAAGGAAACCAACCCAAAGTTGTTTTACCAAAGGTAAAAAAGTCAAATAAAATAGAAAATGAATGAATTTATATAGAATATTGGGCAAATACCACTATATGATCTTGAAAATAGACTACAACACAGAATTAAATTGTTGGGAAAATTCCCATGTCCAACTCTAATGAGTAAAACCACACATTTCTTCCTATTGCAACACTTCTTGCTGTATGCTATTCCTGTTTTGCAACTTTGTGAATTTTATGACCTAAGGGTCAGAGAGTTGGGACATATTTCTTTTTCTTCCAAACTACTTATGATTAAATATTCAAAACAACCTAACAACCCAATTCTCAAAAGAAAAGCTCCATTAAAAGCAAGATAAACATAAAACTTATGAAATGGTATTTTTCCGCACTGTTTCCACACCCTTAAGCAGTGTGGTTACGACCTACAAAATAGAGATATCCAATAGCCAGGGCTGACATGTGATGACATCTGAATCAGTGACCCATGCCCTGAAGGGATCCATATAAGGCTGCTAATGAAAGAGGGAAATGAAGATAAAGACCAGACAGGAAGACATTAATTCTACTAAAACTTCCAATGTTACCAAAATCCTGCCATAACCACTATATAAAACATCTTCAACCCATGTGTTTATAAAAATCAAAAAGTTCACCAAAAGAAAAGCAAAGACAGAATTTCAAGCAAGAAAAATATGGAGAAAATCACTCACAGGAGGAAATGATCACTTACATTCTTATAGACAAGGCAGACTTGGTTATACCATGAATTCAGGAAAGCCAAACTGAAGGGGAATATTGAGTATATGCAGAAGAAATGTTTGGATCACCATGCTAATTTTTAAAGTATAGTATTAAAATAACAAAAATCATCTTACTCTTGAGGAACAATTTCAAAATTTCCAACGTGCCTTATATCATTATCTCAGCAAAGTGGATTCATGGAAAAAGCAGACTTTATCTAGTTTGAAATCACACACACAGTTTTCAGTTTTGGTTATGCCATGCTGTGCTATCTTAAGAAAGTTATTTAAGTTCCCTAAGCATTTCCTCATGGTAAAATGAAGCAAATAATACTTGTCTCTTAGGATACTTGTGAAAATTAAAATGGAAAATTTACACAGTCATTTAAGAAACAGAACAGTGCACCAAGTCTCAAGTCTGGGCTAGGGACTGAGAACACTAAAGTGCAAGACATGGTCCCAGTTACTCTAATGGGGAGATGACTAGGTAAATTACTAATTACAACTAAATGACAAACTGCCATGACAGAGACAGTCATAAAATAGTAGAAGACAGAAGAAGTACTCAACAAGTGTTGGATCACTCTCTCTTTATCTTTGCAACAAACCTGGAGGGTAGATACTATCACTGTATAAAGAAAAATTCAAGTGCATTAATTTGCCCAAGATTACTGTTACTAAATGCAAAGTGTTCAAACTCAGGTCCTTACAATTCTTACATTCTTTTCCCTACATTATATATCAAAAAGACATAAAATATTCCAGATAAATATTAGTACACTTTGTTTCTCTAAAGATGTGCCATCCCTAGCAACTAGTGCTACTTAAGATAAATTCACTCTTACGGCTCAGTCACTGAAAAGGCTTTTTACTCTTCCCTAGATAACCATAATTGCCTGATGTTTTCCAGAGAATGTGTACTATACTCCATTTTTCTGATCCGGCAATAGTTCAAATTGGATGCATCAAAATCACCTAGGAAACCTGTTAGAAACACAGACTGCTCAGTCCCACACCAGACTAAATTAAAATCTACATGGATAAAATAATTTGGCAATATCTATCAAAATCTTAAGTACAATATACCTTTTGATCAAATATTCCCTATTTTACCCTATAAGTATATATACAAAAGTTTGCCAAAATATATGTAGGACATTCAGAGCCTCAGTATTTATAGTAGCAAAAACTAAATATAATCATACCACTCATCAGTGAGGAGTAGTTAAATAAATTACTGAATTACACTGGAATACTACACAGCTACTAAAAGTTAAGAGGCTGGGTACAGTGGCTCATGCCTGTAATCCCAACACTTTGGAAGGCCAAGGCAGGAAGATCACTTGAGCCTAGGAGTTCGAGAATAGCCTGGGAAACACAGTGAGACTTCATCTCTACAGAACATCCAAAAATTAGTTGAGCGTGGTGTCACACGACTGCAGTCCCAGCTACTCGGGAAGCTGAGGTGGGAGAATCACTTAAGCCCGGGAAGTCAAGGCTGAAGTGAGCTATGATTGCACCACTGCACTCCAGCCTGGGTGACTAAGTGAGACCCTGTCTCAAGAAAAGGAAAAAAATGGAAAGTTTAAAGACCACTGGTTTAGAATGGTCTCAAACCCCCTACCAAACTAGTAATTCCCATCAAAATGGAACAACTTATGTCTGGTGCTAGTTTCCTGTTGAACCAGAGTTACGCAATGCCTACCATTTTATATAATAACCATGATTACTGCTAGAATGGAATCTCTTAAACTATTGCACACTAACAGCTTGAAAAAGTGCACAGGGGCATTTTCTAAAGAGTCTAATGCATAAATAATCCAAGGGTGGAAGAAAAAGGGACTCATATAATCAGTCAGTACTGAATCACATGCATTCTGTAATTGAGGGCCCATGAGATTTTAATGGTTTTAAGGCATGTTTAATGTCTGTCTGGTTCCCACTATACTGAATGGTTCATCAGAGCAAGGACCTTACCTTGTCCTTGTTTACCATTGTGGTCCCAACACCTAGCACATAAGCAGCTGTCAATAAATAGCTGTATAGTAAATAAATTATTAAAGTCTTCCTAACCGAATGTCTGGCTCCAGAAGTCTAAGTACCTAGAAACTTAGTCAAAGAACTTGGAGTTGAAACACTGACACTGCCTTGTTGCTAATAATTTGGCCAACCTATCCTCATAAGCTTAAGAAAAGAGGGAGAGATTCTGACTGATTTTCCAGCTAACAGTATCAATAAATGTAGAAGATCTACTAGAAGAGAATCTACCAAAGCCTTCCTTATAATTCACCATTTACTGAATACCTACTATGATCAAGCTGTTTTGCTAGGGTCTTTACAAAAATTATCATTATCTTCACAGGCCTGCTTTTGAAGACAGAGAAGCTGAGGCCCAGAAAGGGTAAGTAATTTGCCCTAGTTCACTGAATGAGGATTCATTTGCTTCACAGTAAAGTTCCTGCTCTTTCCATTGCATTGCCCTACCTCTATTCCATGAAGATCCTGTTGGTGCTAGAAGGAGTGTGTTCATTTTTGTAATCCCAATTAATTTACCACATCATGGAGCACAGAATAAGCATTCTGTAAAGACCAACAGTTTATACAAAATCTATAATTTACTCAAAAGATTCCCATTCTCTCAATTTTAGAGAGATCAAAAGTGATTTTGTTCCATTCTTTTTCAGAATCTAGTTTTACCAGAGGAAGAATTTATAGTGCAGGAGGAAAACAGGGTGTTCGTTAAGACTACAAGCAAATACTAAATTGACCCCAGAGAGTATGGATGTGGGCTCCTTTGTGTTAGATAAATGAAATACTTCTGACTAAGCTAAGTTAGTAAAGTTAGTAAACTAACCTCTTCACATGTGGGAGATAGGCCACAGGATTATTATAGGGAGGCAAGGAAAAGGACTGCAAGCCTTTTCTGGAGAAATGGAATCCCTTGACCGGATTATCCCTCCTTGGATTCTTTGTAGAGCTGACCTGTGCCAGAGCACAATATACGAGTGTACTGCTCTTCTAACAGTACTGACCTATAAAACACTTTATCTTGAAATCAAGGATATGGCTCAGCCCCTACACACAGAGAAGGCCCAAGAAAAGAGGAAGAGTCTTAGAAAAATTGCTTTCCTTCCATTCATGTGGGAGGATTTGTTTTATAAAAGGACTAAACTGTTTCTCTGATGATAAAGAATGATTAGCTGATATTAGTAATTCACAGCTCAGAGATAATTCTGTAGCATAAGCTGTTACATCCAAAAAAAACTTTAAAAATATTAACCCTCACTTGTTATAATCCTATTCTTATAGACCAAATCCATCCTATTAGGAAAGAGAAAAGTATTCTCTGCTTTGAACATTGAAACTAAAAGTTTTCAACCTGAAGTCTAATAGACATAAGTCATAGATGGCCTCAGTAGGTCTCTGAACTCCGAAAAATTGTATTTAAAGTTGTGCGAATGTGTTTCTTTTCTTTGCTGTGGTACTATTACCACAATAAAGATATTGCTGCTTTCTTTAGAGCAGGGGTCCCCAATTCCTACTACCAGTCCATGGCCTGTTAGGAACTGGGCCTCACAGCAGGAGGTGAGCAGTGAGTGAGTGAGCAATACTGCCTGAGCTCCACATCCTGCCAGATCAGCGGTGGCATTAGATTCTCATAGGAACTCAAGCCCTATTGTAAACTGCACATGCTAGGGATGTAGGCTGTATGCTCTTTATGAGAATCTAATGATAAACATAATGTGCTTGAATCATCCCAAAACCATCCCTCTCCTTCACCCCTCGCTGTAGAAAAACTGTCTTCCACAAAACCGGTCCTTGGTACCAAAAAGGTTGGAGACCGCTGCTCTAGAGGGTTTAATGTCCTAATGAACAATGCAAATTTTGAGATCACTGACAACCACTGACAGATGCGTCTAAATTTAAGAGACAAAAAAAGCACTGATAAGGGAGTATTAGGCATGTTGAGAGGTCTTTTAAAATGCAGTGTGAAGAGGCATAACACACTCATTCAGTCTTCTCTAACTTTAGTTTTATATATAATTGTCTTAACTACATTATTTTCAGAAAAGAAAACTAATACTCTAATCCCACAAACACTGTTCTAATTTCTCAAATTTCCTTTATGTCTCAGATAAATTGAAGTGGAGAGTAACAAAAGGAAAACTTTTAAAAAGCTTAAACAAACATGACCACATTTCCTATGAAACTATAGCATACAATAGATTAATTACATTAGCATTTACTATAGAATAGTTGGATGTTTTAACATCCCGGAAGTTACAGGGTCAAAGTTTGAGATCATTGACAACTACTGATAAGTGTCTAAACTTCAAAGACCAAAAAAAAGAAACAAAACCTGATAAATCAAGGTGTACTAAGCATGTTGAGAGGTTTAACAAAGTACTATAATCTTACCAAGAATACTATATCAAGAGTGTTACTATTAAACTCCCACCGCTCCCTGGGAGTGAGTTTTGATCAATGTAAATATGTCTACTTTTCTACTGAAGAAGGTACATTTTATTAAGAGTTAGAAAAATAATTACAAGAAGGAGGTACCATTTATTAAAAACCTACTGGGTGACAAGTATTATACTATTTTCATTCTATATTCCTAATCTTTCTTTCAAGACTGCCACAATCCTAGAAGTTGGTTATTAATCCCACCTTAATATTTTTGAAAAAGGAATTTCACAGGATTTAATCAAATTCCTATGTCACAAGGTAAATACATGACTATAATTCAAACTCAGCCCTCTTTACTGTTTTTTCCACTTTACTAATGACATTTTTCTATCGTTTCGTTTTCTGTTGCTCAAATTTTTTGCTCTTTATTAATTGCATTTAAATTCTTCACTTCTGCTGTGATCTTTGCTCATAAACAAAAAAACTAACAGGAAGGCAGGGTTGTCTGGGCTTTGATGGTTACTTGGCTGTACCAAGAGATCTTATAGAAAGTCTTAAGAGGCCAGTGTTGACATATGAAAAATCTTACAACCAAGAGGACAAAACACAGATTAACAAAGATTTCCCAGGAAAACACCCATTCCTTCTCTCCATTTTAGTCACCTAATTAAAACCCTAGCTCTTTATGATACTCTCAGAATTATTAATTTCTAAAAAGGACAAATAGGTTTCCTTAATACGTTCCTGATTAAGCAAGAAATTTCACAAGTCACATATACATTGAAATCATGTACAAGGTAAATAAGGCACATAAAATGTTTAATATTAATGTTTTCAGTAACAAGATTTTCTTTTTCATAGAGGAAATCACACATATATTAAATTTTAAAATTAAATAAGAAAATGAAGTCACCTTCTCATCCTTTTCACCCTTCTTACCCCTCCCCTCCTCATTCCCAGGAAGCAATTACTTAATAATTACCTATGAACCCTTCCTGAAATGTTCAATATATAAAAGTATATCTTTTATATATCTTCTTTTAACATAAATGGGATCATGCTATACACAATTCTGCCACTTATTTTCCACTTAGTTAACAATGTATCTTGAAGAACTTTCTACATCAGCACAGAGGAAATTACTTCATTCTTCTTTTTTTTTTTTTTCTTTTTTTTTTTTTTTTTATTATACTCTAAGTTTTAGGGTACATGTGCACATTGTGCAGGTTAGTTACATATGTATACATGTGCCATGCTGGTGCGCTGCACCCACTAATGTGTCATCTAGCATTAGGTATATCTCCCAATGCTATCCCTCCCCCCTCCCCCGACCCCACCACAGTCCCCAGAGTGTGATATTCCCCTTCCTGTGTCCATGTGATCTCATTGTTCAATTCCCACCTATGAGTGAGAATATGCGGTGTTTGGTTTTTTGTTCTTGCGATAGTTTACTGAGAATGTTGGTTTCCAATTTCATCCATGTCCCTACAAAGGATATGAACTCATCATTTTTTATGGCTGCATAGTATTCCATGGTGTATATGTGCCACATTTTCTTAATCCAGTCTATCATTGTTGGACATTTGGGTTGGTTCCAAGTCTTTGCTATTGTGAATAGTGCCGCGATAAACATACGTGTGCATGTGTCTTTATAGCAGCATGATTTATAGTCCTTTGGGTATATACCCAGTAATGGGATGGCTGGGTCAAATGGTATTTCTAGTTCTAGATCCCTGAGGAATCGCCACACTGACTTCCACAATGGTTGAACTAGTTTACAGTCCCACCAACAGTGTAAAAGTGTTCCTATTTCTCCACATCCTCTCCAGCACCTGTTGTTTCCTGACTTTTTAATGATTGCCATTCTAACTGGTGTGAGATGATATCTCATAGTGGTTTTGATTTGCATTTCTCTGATGGCCAGTGATGATGAGCATTTCTTCATGTGTTTTTTGGCTGCATAAATGTCTTCTTTTGAGAAGTGTCTGTTCATGTCCTTCGCCCACTTTTTGATGGGGTTGTTTGTTTTTTTCTTGTAAATTTGTTTGAGTTCATTGTAGATTCTGGATATTAGCCCTTTGTCAGATGAGTAGGTTGCGAAAATTTTCTCCCACGTTGTAGGTTGCCTGTTCACTCTGATGGTAGTTTCTTTTGCTGTGCAGAAGCTCTTTAGTTTAATTAGATCCCATTTGTCAATTTTGGCTTTTGTTGCCATTGCTTTTGGTGTTTTGGACATGAAGTCCTTGCCCATACCTATGTCCTGAATGGTAATGCCTAGGTTTTCTTCTAGGGTTTTTATGGTTTTAGGTCTAACGTTTAAATCTTTAATCCATCTTGAATTGATTTTTGTATAAGGTGTAAGGAAGGGATCCAGTTTCAGCTTTCTACATATGGCTAGCCAGTTTTCCCAGCACCATTTATTAAATAGGGAATCCTTTCCCCATTGCTTGTTTTTCTCAGGTTTGTCAAAGATCAGATAGTTGTAGATATGCGGCATTATTTCTGAGGGCTCTGTTCTGTTCCATTGATCTATATCTCTGTTTTGGTACCAGTACCATGCTGTTTTGGTTACTGTAGCCTTGTAGTATAGTTTGAAGTCAGGTAGTGTGATGCCTCCAGCTTTGTTCTTTTGGCTTAGGATTGACTTGGCAATGCGGGCTCTTTTTTGGTTCCATATGAACTTTAAAGTAGTTTTTTCCAATTCTGTGAAGAAAGTCATTGGTAGCTTGATGGGGATGGCATTGAATCTGTAAATTACCTTGGGCAGTATGGCCATTTTCACGATATTGATTCTTCCTACCCATGAGCATGGAATGTTCTTCCATTTGTTTGTGTCCTCTTTTATTTCCTTGAGCAGTGGTTTGTAGTTCTCCTTGAAGAGGTCCTTCACATCCCTTGTAAGTTGGATTCCTAGGTATTTTATTCTCTTTGAAGCAATTGTGAATGGGAGTTCACCCATGATTTGGCTCTCTGTTTGTCTGTTGTTGGTGTATAAGAATGCTTGTGATTTTTGTACATTGATTTTGTATCCTGAGACTTTGCTGAAGTTGCTTATCAGCTTAAGGAGATTTTGGGCTGAGACGATGGGGTTTTCTAGATAAACAATCATGTCGTCTGCAAACAGGGACAATTTGACTTCCTCTTTTCCTAATTGAATACCCTTTATTTCCTTCTCCTGCCTGATTGCCCTGGCCAGAACTTCCAACACTATGTTGAATAGGAGCGGTGAGAGAGGGCATCCCTGTCATGTGCCAGTTTTCAAAGGGAATGCTTCCAGTTTTTGCCCATTCAGTATGATATTGGCTGTGGGTTTGTCATAGATAGCTCTTATTATTTTGAAATACGTCCCATCAATACCTAATTTATTGAGAGTTTTTAGCATGAAGGGTTGTTGAATTTTGTCAAAGGCTTTTTCTGCATCTATTGAGATAATCATGTGGTTTTTGTCTTTGGCTCTGTTTATATTCATTCTTCTTAATAGCTGCACAGTATTAGTATTTCATGTTGTGGCTTTGCCATAATTAATTTTGGTTGTTTCCAGTCTTTTACTATTTCAAACAATGCTTCGATGAACATGTATGTATAGATGATATATGCGTATGTGTCCAAGAATCCCTACAGGATAAATTCTAAGATATAATATGCTGGATCAGTGATTAAAATTAATTGCAACTGCAAATTGTCTTCCAAAAAGATTATAGCCCCAAGCTGTATAAAAGTACCTATTTCTCCACTTACTCACTAACCCCAATCATTATCAAATGTTTTAATCTTTCCATTCCAACAAAACCTGACATCTCCCTGTTCTAATTTGTATTTTTATTAGAAGATAAGCATCTTTTCACATATTTATCAGCCATTTATATTTCTTTCTCTGTAAACTGACTATTCATATTATTGGTCCATTTGTCTTTCTGCAGTTTTTCACACCTACAAACAAACCCTTACCATTATTAACTCCCACCCACCACAAGGCACCGCCAACTCCAAGATACATAAAACTCCTACCATTGAGATGTAAGTCCACACTACAGTAAGAAAAGCAGGGAAGGGGTAGCATTTGAATAAGTTCTTTTGTCCACATGATTGAGAACACACTTTACTGACATGATTCAGTTATTCTAACTGCCCAAAGTCCACTCGAGAGTGCTGAATAAGCAAAATAAATACATGAAAAAGGAACTAGACAGTATGAAGAAAGCTTACAGCAAAAAAGTTTAACCTAAGTCAATGATGAGTACGGAAATGTTGGAAATAACCTAATAACGACTGCTTGTGTGGTAATCAAAGGGACTGTTCCTCTTAGAAACAACTCATATCAGAAAATGCAAAATTAACAAAATTTATGCAAGAGCAGTAGAAAAACGCAAAGCTGTGGGTGCTATGTCGAGGGAAACATAAGACAAAGCTTGACTACAAATATGTAAAAACAAAAATCTATGGGAAGAAAAAAACAACAGAAGAAAACTTAAGAAAACGTTCTAAGCGTTTATGAGTAAGTGGTAAAAGGCAAGATGATTTCAAATTTCTTCCTAACTACTCCAAAACAGCAACTGGCCTGAAAGAAAGAACTTTCTTTATAAAAGTAAAATTTTAAATTTAGACTTTAAAAAGAGTAATTTAATGTTACTAAAAAAAAACTAGCCAATTTTGATAATTTACTAATAGATGGAGCTATAACAAACTTCTAAGTACTAAGCTAAAGAGAAACAAACTTGTGGTCCAAACTAAGTCTATTTATATACCTCTGATAAAGAAGAAAAACGTGTTTTTTTCACTGGTGGTAGTAATATCTGAAAGGAAAATGAGACCTTGAAAAGCAAAATATGCAATAATTAATTATTTGCTCTAATTAACCATTATAAAACCAACTCTATCTCCAGCTTGCCTGCATTCTCAATAAAAGGTAGATCCGGAAGTGGAAATCAAAAATCTTATATCTTATATTTTATATGTCAGTGCTTTTAATAACTATTTATATGTCAGTGCTAAGAATAAACCATTCAAAGTATTCATTGTCAAAAATCTCTAAAAAAAAAAAAAATCAATACTGTAAAAATCAGTCCCATGGCCTGGCCAACATATACAAAAACCTACAGTCACCTTTTAGCCTCAAATTTATTCTCAAAAGCTTGGAGTATGTAACAATTTGCTTCATAACAAATAATGAAGTAAAATACTACTTTTTAAAATAGCTACTTCTAAAGAAATAAAAATAACTTTTTTTATTATACTTTAAGTTTTAGGGTACATGTGCACAACGTGCAGGTTTGTTACATATGTATACATGTGCCATGTTGGTGTGCTGCACCCATTAACTCATCATTTAGCATTAGGTATATCTCCTAATGCTATCCCTCCCCCGTCCCCCCACCCCACAACAGGTCCCGGTATGTGATGTTCTCCTTCCTGTGTCCATGTGTTGTCATTGTTCAATTCCCACCTACGAGTGAGAATATGCAGTGTTTGGTTTTTTGTCCTTGAGACAGTTTGCTGAGAATGATGGTTTCCAGCTTCATCCATGTCCCTACAAAGGACATGAACTCATCATTTTTTATGGCTGCATAGCATTCCATGGTGTATATGTGCCACATTTTCTTAATCCAGTCTATCATTGTTGGATATTTGGGTTGGTTCCAAGTCTTTGCTATTGTGAATAGTGCCGCAGTAAACATACGTGTGCATGTGTCTTTATAGCAGCATGATTTATAAACCTTTGGGTATATAGCCAGTAATGGGATGGCTGGGTCAGATGGTATTTCTAGCTCTAGATCCCTGAGGAATCGCCACACTGACTTCCACAATGGTTGAACCAGTTTACAGTCCCACCAGCAGTGTAAAAGTGTTCCTATTTCTCCACATCCTCTCCAGCACCTGTTGTTTCCTGACTTTTTAATGATCGCCATTCTAACTGGTGTGAGATGGTATCTCATTGTGGTTTTGATTTGCATTTCTCTGATGGCCAGTGATGATGAGCATTTTTTCAGATGTTTTTTGGCTGCATAAATGTCTTCTTTTGAGAAGTGTCTGTTCATATCCTTTGCCCACTTTTTGATGGGGTTGTTTGTTTTTTTCTTGTAAATTTGTTTGAGTTAATTGTAGATTCTGGATATTAGTGCTTTGTCAGCTGAGTAGGTTGCAGAATTTTTTTCCCATTCTGTAGGTCGCCTGTTCACTCTGATGGTGATGACCCAATATTGTTTAGGGGTTTTTTTTTTTTTTGAGATGAGGTCTCACCCTGTCCCCTAGGCTGGAGTGCAGTGGCACAATCTCAGCTCTCTTCAACTGCCACCTCCCAGACTCAAGCAATCCTCCCACTTCAGCCTCCCAAATAGCTAGGACCACAGGTGCAAGCACCACACCCTGTTAATTTTTTGTATTTTTTGGTAGAGATAGTATTTCACCATGTTGTCCAGGCTAGTCTCGAACTCCTGGGCTCAAGTGATCTGGCCAGGAGCGCTGGGATTACAGGCCTCAACCTCCTAAAGTGCTGGGATTACAGGTGTGAGCTGCCACACCCAGCCACAATACTGTTTCTCAATTTGTTCTTAATACATTTTACATTTGAAAGTTTTAAAGTTAATTGTATATTATGTCATATATACCAACATAAATTAATATTTATGACAACTTCAAATTATTTTTGTAACTATTGGAAATTTCTGGAAAACCATTTAATCTAAATGTTGATATTTTGAGGGAAATAGTCGTAACAGTGTCCCAAAAACTTTGCTCAAATAGTATGATTAAACTATTAAATTGTGATTATACTATTAAACTGTAATTAAACTTCCAACACCTTCAGTATGATGGAAAGAGCATATTCCTGAGAATCTAGAGGAGCTAACACTGTAACAATGGGTATATCACAATCTTCCTATAGATGTTTCCTTCAGCAGCCAAATGAAAGATTTCAGCTAGATCATTTGAGACCCCTTTTTTACACTGTATTTCTGTGGCTGTACACAAATTTGCTTCAAAAAGTCTCCAAAAGATTAAATAATCCAGTGTGCACTATTTTACATAGAGCCGTAGGTAAGCAGGCACAGTATGTTCTTTACTTTGTGATGTTTCCCCTCCTCACAGATGGCAGAATTAGAGGATGGTCCAGAATAATGACTAATAACCATCTGGAAATGACGGTGGCTAATAACCAGCTGGAAAAGATGAGCTAAGCCAATCAAAGTCTACTCCGGGAAATTTAAACCAAAAGACCCAGAGTTACCAGAAAGAGTGGAGCTGAAAAGTCATGCATATTCAGAAATAAGGCAACTATTAAGAATCATGTGCAACTTGAAGAGGAACTCACAAGTTTCAGAAGCAAATAGATCAGATGCCCAAAGACAAGAAAGACCTGTAAGAAAACAATGCATAAAATCCCTAAAACAAAGCAGTTGATACTACCAGCTTTCTATTTCCAATTACTCTGAAGTCCAATTGCTCTTCCTTGATGGTTTATTGTGTATCTTAAAATAAACCTTGCTCTTACTTCAGTACATTTGCCTCTTGCCCTGACTAGAAGCAAAACTGGTACAAAGATTAGGGATATACAGAGCAGGGCTTCAAAGAAAATGTGGATTTGGCCATGAAATTAGGGTAAGGAGTACAATGAGAATTCTGGGAGGAAAGAGAGCAAAACAGGATGCATACAGTGATAGCAGTTACTAAAGTTATCTGTGATTGCTTGGAACCCAGAATATGTGATTGCAAGGCTTTTGAGCATTAGATAGCTAAATGTACTTTTTTTCAGCCTTTAATAAAGTATAGAAAAAGCAATGAGCTAGAGTATGGTACAGCATCAAACCATACAACTTTTCTGGAAAATAATTCGATATTATGAATTAAGAGACTATAAAGAGAATTAAATAGAGTACTTTGATTCAGTAAATCTCTTTTTAGGACTCGACCCTAAGAAAACATCCAGACATGCAAACAAAGATCACAATTAGTATTAAGATGTTTATTGCACCATTATGTAAAGCAATAAAAAAGCAAACAATCTAAACAACACATAATAGAAAAATTATGCTTTATCATGTCAAATGTATTGTTCATCTTATTCACAGGCCTTTCTAGAGAAAAGTGCCCCATCTACAGTCCTTCTGAAAGAGCAGCCCTGGCAGACCACGTGATCAACAGTATAAAACTGACTGGATCTGGCGTTGACACTTGATTCCAAAGACCAAGAATTTAATACCAAAAGCCATAGGCTAGCCAGCAAGCTATGATGTGGTCTGGCTTAAAAGAGTGAACTGGGTCAGATTCTACTTCCTAGATATTCAACTAGTAAAATCAAGAAATGTAGCAGGTATTAACAGGCACTAAAGCCAAAATGGCTTTATGTACACAGAGGCCAGGGAAGTCACTGTGATTCTCATGTAAGCCAGTTTTAATAGACCCAACACAAAAAGAGGAACAGACACTGTAAGAGACCACATAGCCCACTAGAAAGAGTAAGCAGTCCACAGAAATGAGTCCCTGATAACTGAGGCTCAGCTGTACTACAACTTGTGTTACAAGACTCTTGGAAGATTTGTCTACTATTCTCTTTTCTATATCCTTACAATAAATTTCCCATTACTAAGGTAATCTGCCTTGACTAGTTCCATTTTAATTTTTTTTTTTTAAGAGATGGGGTCTCAATATGTTAGTTGGACTCAAACTCCTAGGCTCAGGTGATCCTCCCACCTCAGCCTCCCAAGTAGCTGAAACTACAGGCATGCCACTGCACCCAACTTCCATTTTAACTCTTTATTCAACAACTATTCATAATACGATAACTGCTAAGCATTAAGTCAACAAATGTCTGTTGAGCAGTTACTCTAGACCAGGCACACAGGGCATAATGTGGTAGAAAATACACACAGGATCCTGCCACATGTGCTTATATTTTGCTAGGACAGGAGGAGAGAGAGAGAAGTGGACAGTAAGTTTTTGTTTGTATTTTTTTAATTTGTAAAGGCTTGAGATTCTCATTAAAAATAGCAGACAAGGGGGGTGGAGCCAAGATGGCCGAATAGGAACAGCTCCAGTCTACAGCTCCCAGAGTGAGCGACGCAGAAGATGGGTGATTTCTGCATTTCCAACTGAGGTACCGGGTTCATCTCACTGGGGAGTGTCGGAAAGTGGATGCAGGACAGTGGATGCAGTGCACCGAACGTGAACCGAAGCAGGGCGAGGCATCGCCTCACCCAGGAAGCGCAAGGGGTCAGGGAATTCCCTTTCCTAGTCAAAGAAAGCGGTGACAGACGGCACCTGGAAAATCGGGTCACTCCCACCCTAATACTGTGCTTTTGCAATGGTCTTAGCAAACAGCACACCAGGAGATTATATCCCGCGCCTGGCTCGGAGGGTCCTACGCCCACAGAGCCTCGCTCATTGCTAGCACAGCAGTCTGAGATCAAACTGCAAGGTGGCAGTGCGGCTGGGGGAGGGGCGCCCACCATTGCCCAGCCTTGAGTAGGTAAACAAAGCGGTGGGAAGCTCCAACTGGGTGGAGCCCACCTCAGTTCAAGGAGGCCTGCCTGCCTCTGTAGACTCCACCTGTGGGGGCAGGGCACAGCTAAACAAAAGGCAGCAGAACCCTCTGCAGACTTAAATGTCCGTCTGACAGCCTTGAAGAGAGCAGTGGTTCTCCCAGCACTCAGCTGGACATCTGAGAACGGACAGACTGCCTCCTCAAGTGGGTCCCTGACCCCCGAGTAGCCTAACTGGGAGGCACCCCCCAGTAGGGGCAGACTGACACCGCACATGGCCGGGTACTCCTCTGAGACAAAACTTCCAGAGGAACGATCCGCTGTTCACCAATATCCGCTGTTCTGCAGCCTCAGCTGCTGATACCCAGGCAAACAGGGTCTGGAGTGGACCTCCAGCAAACTCCAACAGACCTGCAGCTGAGGGTCCTGACTCTTAGAAGGAAAACTAGCAAACAGAAAGGACATCCACACCAAAACCCCATCTGTACGTCACCATCATCAAAGACCAAAGGTAGATAAAACCACAAAGATGGGGAAAAAACAGAGCAGAAAAACTGGAAACTCTAAAAATCAGAGCGCCTCTCCTCCTCCAAAGGAAAGCAGCTCCTCATCAGCAACGGAACAAAGCTGGACGGAGAATGACTTTGACGAGCTGAGAGAAGAAGGCTTCAGACGATCAAACTACTCCGAGCTAAAGGAGAACGTTCGAACCCATGGCAAAGAAGTTAAAAACCTTGAAAAAAAAAATAGACGAATGGCTAACTAGAATAACCAATGCAGAGAAGTCCTTAAAGGACCTGATGGAGCTAAAAACCAAGGCACAGGAACTACATGACGAATGCACAAGCCTCAGTCGCTGATTCGATCAACTGGAAGAAAGGGTATCAGTGATGGAAGATGAAATGAATGAAATGAAGCAAGAAGAGAAGTTAAGAGAAAAAAGAATAAAAAGAAACGAACAAAGCCTCCAAGAAATATGGGACTATGTGAAAAGACCAAATCTACGTCTCATTGGTGTACCTGAAAGTGACAGGGACAATGGAACCAAGTTGGAAAACACTCTACAGGATATTATCCAGGAGAACTTCCCCAATCCAGCAAGGCAGGCCAACATTCAAATTCAGGAAATACAGAGAACGCCACAAAGATACTCCTTGACAAGAGCAACTCCAAGACACATAATTGTCTGATTAACCAAAGTTGAAATGAAGGAAAAAATGTTAAGCGCAGCCAGAGAGAAAGGTCCACCCACAAATGGAAGCCCATCAGACTAACAGCTGATCTCTCGGCATAAACTCTACAAGAGCCAGAAGAGAGTGGGGGCCAATATTCAACATTCTTAAAGAAAAGAATTTTCACCCAGAATTTCATATCCAGCCAAACTAAGCTTCATAAGTGAAGGAGAAATAAAATCCTTTATAGACAAGCAAATGCTGAGAGATTTTGTCACTGCCAGGCCTGCCCTAAAAGAGCTCCTGAAGGAAGCACTAAACATGGAAAGGAACAACCAGTACCAGCCACTGTAAAAACATGCCAAATTGTAAAGACCATCGAGGCTAAGAAGACATTGCATCAACTAATGAGCAAAATAACCAGCTAACATCATAATGACAGGATCAAATTCACACCTGACAATATTAACCTTAAATGTAAATGGGCTAAATGCTCCAATTAAAAGACACAGACTGGCAAATTGGATAAAGAGTCAAGACCCATCAGTGTGCTGTATTCAGGAAACCCATCTCACGTGCAGAGACACACATACGCTCAAAACAAAGGGATGGAGGAAGATCTACCAAGCAAATAGAAAACAAAAAAAGGCAGGGGTTGCAATCCTAGTCTCTGATAAAACAGACTTTAAACCAACAAAGATCAAAAGAGACAAAGAAGGCCATTACATAATGGTAAAGGGCTGAATTCAACAAGAAGAGCTAACTATCCTAAATATATATGCACCTAATACAGGAACACCCAGATTCATAAAGCAAGTCTTTAGAGACCTAGAAAGAGACTTAGACTCCCACACAATAATAATGGGAGACTTTAACACCCCACTGTCAACATTAGACAGATCAACGAGACAGAAGGTTAACAAGGATATCCAGGAATTCAACTCAGCTCTGCACCAAGCAGACCTAATAGACATCTACAGAACTCTCCACCCCAAATCAACAGAATATACATTCTTCTCAGCACAACACCGCACTTATTCCAAAATTGACCACATAGTTGGAAGTAAAGCACTCCTCAGCAAATGGAAAAGAACAGAAATTATAACAAACTGTCTCTCAGACCACAGTGCAATCAAACTAGAACTCAGGATTAAGAAACTCACTCAAAACCGCTCAACTACATGGAAACTCAACAACCTGCTCCTGAATGACTACTGGGTAAATAACGAAATGAAGGCAGAAATAAAGATGTTCTTTGAAACCAATGAGAACAAAGACATGACATACCAGAATCTCTGGGACACATTCAAAGCAGTGTGTAGAGGGAAATTTATAGCACTAAATGCCCACAAGAGAAAGCAGGAAAGATCTAAAACTGACACCCTAACATCACAATTAAAAGAACTAGAGAAGCAAGAGCAAACACAGTCAAAAGCTAGCAGAAGGCAAGAAATAACTAAGATCAGAGCAGAACTGAAGGAAATAGAGACACAAAAAACCCTTCAAAAAAATCAATGAATCCAGAAGCTGGTTTTTTGAAAAGATCAACAAAATTGATAGACCACTAGCAAGACTAATAAAGAAGAAAAGAGAAGAATCAAATAGATGCAACAAAAAATGATAAAGGGGATATCACCACTGATCCCACAGAAATACAAACTACCATCAGAGAATACTATAAACACCTCTACACAAATAAACTAGAAAATCTAGAAGAAATGGATAAATTCCTCGACACATACACCCTCCAAAGACTAAACCAGGAAGAAGTTGAATCTCTGAACAGACCAATAACAGGCTCTGAAATTGAGGCAATAATTAATAGCTTACCAACCAAAAAAATCCAGGACCAGATGGATTCACAGCCAAATTCTACCAGAGGTACAAGGAGGAGCTGGTACCATTCCTCCTGAAACTATTCCAATCAAAAGAAAAAGAGGGAATCCTCCCTAACTCATTTTATGAGGCCAGCATCATCCTGATACCAAAGCCTGGCAGAGACACAACAAAAAAAGAGAATTTTAGACCAATATCCCTGATGAACATTGATGCAAAAATCCTCAATAAAATACTGGCAAACCAAATCCAGCAGCACATCAAGAAGCTTATCCACCATGATCAAGTGGGCTTCATCCCTGGGATGCAAGGCTGGTTCAACATACGCAAATCAATAAATGTAATCCAGCATATAAACAGAACCAAAGACAAAAACCGTATGATTATCTCAAGAGACGCAGAAAAGGCCTTTGACAAAATTCAACAACCTTCATGCTAAAAACTCTCAATAAATTAGGTATTGATGGGTTGTATGTCAAAATAATAAGAGCTATCTATGACGGTCTGTCATATCACAGCCAATATCATAGTGAATGGGCAAAAACTGGAAGCATTCCCTTTGAAAACTGGCACAAGACAGGGATGTCCTCTCTCACCACTCCTATTCAATATAGTGTTGGAAGTTCTGGCCAGGGCAATCAGGCAGGAGAAGGAAATAAAGGGTATTCAATTAGGAAAAGAGGAAGTCAAATTGTCCCTGTTTGCAGATGACATGATTGTATATCCAGAAAACCCCATCATCTCAGCCCAAAATCTCCTTAAGCTGATAGGCAACTTCAGCAAAGTCTCAGGATACAAAATCAATGTGCAAAAATCACAAGCATTCTTATATACCAATAACAGACAAACAGAGAGCCAAATCATGAGTGAACTCCCACTCACAATTGCTTCAAAGAGAATAAAATATCTAGGAATTCATCTTACAAAGGACATGAAGGACCTCTTCAAGGAGAACTACAAACCACTGCTCAATGAAATAAAAGAGGATACAAATAAATGGAAGAACATTCCATGTTCATGGGTAGGAAGAATCAATATCGTGAAAATGGCCATACTGCCCAAGGTAATTTATAGATTCAATGCCATCCATCAAGCTACCAATGACTTTCTTCACAGAATTGGAAAAAACTACTTTAAAGTTCATATGGAACCAAAACAGAGCCTGCATTGCCAAGTCAATCCTAAGCCAAAAGAACAAAGCTGGAGGCATCACGCCACCTGACTTCAAACTATACTACAAGGCTACAGTAACCAAAACAGTATGGTACTGGTACCAAAACAGAGATATAGATCAATGGAACAGAACAGAGCCCTCAGAAATAATGCCACATATCTACAACCATCTGATCTTTGACAAACCTGACAAAAGCAAGAAACGGGGAAAGGATTTCTTATTTAATAAATGGTGCTGGGAAAACTGGCTAGCCATAGGTAGAAAGCTGAAACTGGATCCCTTCCTTACACCTTATACAAAAATTAATTCAAGATGGATTAAAGACTTAAATGTTAGACCTAAAACCATAAAAACCCTAGAAGAAAACCTAGGCAATAACATTCAGGACATAGGCATGGGCAAGGACTTCATGTCTAAAACACCAAAAGCAGTGGCAACAAAAGCCAAAATTGACAAAAGGGATCTAATTAAACTAAAGAGCTTCTGCACAGCAAAAGAAACTACCATCAGAGTGAACAGGCAACCTACAGAATGGGAGAAAATTTTCGCAAACTACTCATCTGACAAAGGGCTAATATCCAGAATCTACAATGAACTCAAACAAATCTACAAGAAAAAAACAAACAGCCCCATCAAAAAGTGGGCGAAGGATATGAACAGACACTTCTCAAAAGAAGACATTTATGCAGCCAAAAGACACATGAAAAAATGCTCATCATCACTGGTCATCAGAGAAATGCAGATCAAAACCACAATGAGATACCATCTCACACCAGTTAGAATGGCGATCATTAAAAAGTCAGGAAACAACAGGTGCTGGAGAGGATGTGGAGAAATAGGAACACTTTTACACTGCTGGTGGGACTGTAAACTAGTTCGACCATTGTGGAAGTCAGTGTGGCAATTCCTCAGGGATCTTGAACTAGAAATACCATTTGACCCAGCAATCCCATTACTGGGTATATACCCAAAGGATTATAAATCATGCTGCTATAAAGACACATGCACACATATGTTTACTGCGGCACTGTTCACAATAGCAAAGACTTGGAACCAACCCAAATGTCCAACAATGATAGACTGGATTAAGAAAATGTGGCACATATACACCATGGAATGCTATGCAGCCATAAAAAATGATGAGTTCATGTCCTTTGTAGGAACATGGATGAAGCTGGAAACCATCATTCTCAGCTAACTATCGCAAAGACAAAAAACCAAACACCGCATGTTCTCACTCATAGGTGGGAACTGAACAATAAGAACACATGGACACAGGAAGGGGAACATCACACACCGGGGCCTGTTGTGAGGTGGGAGGAGGGGGGTGGGATAGCATTAGGAGATATACCTAATGTTAAATGACAAGTTGATGGGTGCAGCACACCAACATGGCACATGTATACATATGTAACTAACCTGCACGTTGTGCACATGTACCCTAAAACTTAAAGTATAATAATAATAATAAAAAAGCAGACAAACATGCACCTACATAATCCCTCATAAAACCTCACAAAACCCACTAAGACAATGTTTTAAATTCAGAGGTGTACCTAAAACATCCTCCACAAAGAATAAATTAAAGTGAGTACATGTGTAACCACCACCCAAGAAGAGAAGAGTATTTCCAGCAACTCAAAAGATTATCTGTCCCTTCCAAATTACACTTCTCCGTCTCAAGCAAAAGTAGCCACTACCCTTTTTGGGAAATCACCCCCTTATTTTTCTTTGTAGTTTTTCAACCTCTGTATGCATGCCTAAACAATATGGTTTAGTTTTGCCTCCCCTCTGAACTTTATGTAAATGGAATCATACTGTATGCTTTTGTGTCTCTTTCTCTGAACATTAGGTCAGAAGTTTATCCTGGTGTATGTAACTGTGATTCACTCACTTTCATTTCTTATTAATATTCCCTGGTATGTACCACAATTTATCCACTCTAATGTTGATGGACATTTTGCCTATTACATACAATGCTGCTATGAACATTCTTGTAGGGAAATCTCGCATACGTGCATGCATTTCTCTAGAATATACACACAAAAGAGGAACTGATGGATCACAGGTTAGGCGTATCTTAAATTTTGGCATTAATGCTAAATTGTTTTCCAAAATAGTTGTACCAATTTATACTGTCACTAGCAGTGCATGAGAATTCCCATCACTGGACATCCTTGCCATCACCAGATACATGTGAGAGTAAGTAATTTTGTGCAAATCTGTTAGGTATATAATAGAATCTCCTGATTTCAATCTGTCTTTTTGTGATTATTAATGAGCTATGGCTCCTTTTCAAATATTTACCGGTCATTTAGATTTTCTCTTGTGACGCACCTGTTCAAATATTTCATCCGTTATTGTTATCATTTTCTTATTTGTAGATATTGTTATATTCTGGATACTAGTCCTTTGTCAAATATAGATGTTGCAATTCTTTTCTCCAACTCCACAACTTGCATTTCACTTTTAATGCTATCTTTGAGGAAGTTCCTAATTTTAAAGTAGTCCAATCTATCATTAATCTCCTTTTATGATACAGTACTTCCTTTACTTTTAGTTTTTTATTTTGACATAATTTCAGGCTTACAAAAAGTTGTAAATTTATACAGTTATACAAAGTTATAAAAAGTTCCTGTATACCACATTCCCCAAATGTTAATATTTTACATCTGCTTTACCCTTGTCTCTGTATACATACATATATTTTTTTCTGGACCATTTGAAAGTTGCAGGCATGATTCCTTTTTATTCCTTAATACTTTAATGTTTCCCCTTAAAAATGTCTTATATGACCACAGTACAATTATCAAGATCGGGCAATGGATACTGATAAAATACTATTATCTATAGAGCTTAGATTTCTTGAACTGCTGCAATAGTGTCCTTTATAGTAAAAGAAAATTCCAGATTAAGTGTTTAGCTATGTCTTTTTAGACTCCTTTAATCTGGAATAATTCTTCACTCTTTCTTTGTCTTTCATGGCATTAACACTTTTGAAGAACACAGATCAGTTATTTTATAGAATATCTTAAAATGCAGGTTTCTCTGATGTTTCCTCTCAATTAGATTTAGGTTATGGGTTTGGGGCAGGAATACCACAGAAATGTAGCAATGTTCTTATTGCATTTTATCAGGTGGCACTTCTGTTAATTTGCCCCATCTCTGATGATGTTTACTTTGGACAGCAAATGCAGATAGTATCTTCCAGGTTTCTCCTCTATGTTGTTTTTCCTTTATAATTAATAAGTATACTGTGGGAATATATTTTGAGATTATGTAAATATCCTGTTCCTTACTAAACTTTCATCCATTAGTTTTAGTACTACTATGATGGCTGCCAAATGGCAATTTTCTAATTCCATCGTTGCATCATTTGTCAGTTTCCCTCTGTAAAGAAGAGCGTTCCTTATTTGTGTACTTATTTATATCAGTAAAAATTCATGGATTTTTATCTTATTCAAAGGGTTATAATCCACTATCATTTATTTTCATACCCAGATTGTCCCAGATTTGGCCAGTGGAAGACCTTTAAGCTAGCTCCAGTGTCATTATGACATGCTATGACCATTCTTTGAGCAATTCCTTACTTTCTGGCACAAGAAATTCCAGATTCATCTCATTTTTCATGCTCCAGCCTAAAATCAGCTATTCCTCCAAGAAATAGTGGTTCCTTTTAGTGGACAAAGGTATTTAGAAACCAAGATCTAGATGCCAGTTGTGTTCACTGCTACAGGGGTATCACTGCTTCTAGGCCTCTCAGCTGACAGTTAGGAAAACAAATGTGTGTGTATGTTTATGTATGTATCTATAGACAGACACACACATATCTATTTTCAACTGTCCACTGAAAGGGCTTAGGATCAAAGACACACCAATACAAACATCCGTATCATATCTACATATCTCTATACCTATACATCACTGCTCTATGTCTGTTTAAATATACACAAATATATGCATGTATACATACACACATTATTCATATAAACATGTAATATATTCATATGTGTATAGACACATACACATCTATGAGGTCACACTAATGCCTCTAATGCAATTATATTGACAAGGTTCATTCTGGCCTTCCCACTTTCTCTTTTTTTGAGATGGAGTCTCGCTTTGTCACCCAGGCTGGAGTGCAGTGGTGCCATCTTGGCTCACTGCAACCTTCACCTCCCACGTTCAAGCGATTCTTCTGCCTCAGCCTCCCAAGTAGCTGGGATTACAGGCACGTGCCAACATGCCCAGCTAATTTTTTGTATTTTTAGTAGAGACAGGGTTTCACTGTGTTAGCCAGGATGGTCTCAATCTCCTGACCTCGTGATCTGCCCGCCTCAGCCTCCCAAAGTGCTGGGATTACAGGTGTGACCCATTGCACCCGGCTGCCTTCCCACTTTCTACACTTGTAACTCTCTTCTTCAATAATGAGAAACCTGGCTCACAATATCCAAAATATTTCTATCTGCAATTGTGGTTTATTTGTGTAGTGAATTCCTATAATTTTAGGTTGCCTTGGCATTCGTTTCAAGTATAAGTCTGACTTTCTCATTCAAGAATCAGGGCTCAGTCACCCTTGACACAGTTTTTAGTTCTCCATTTCCTCCCAGGTCCTCAATGTGGTCAATCAAGATACCTGCCTTTTACAACCACCTCCTGGTTATCACCTCCTTTTAGGAGAGCTAGGTAGAATCTACCTGACTCACCCTAATGACCCCAAACCCTGCACAGATATGCCTCAGTGACCACCTCTTAGTCACAGCATGACTCATGCCTGCTTGCTCCAACCTACAAATTAGAACTCCTCATAGGAAACTTGCTTGGTTAAGAACACCCTGGACCCCAGTAAAGGCTTTAGTTCCCTAGGTCCTTTCTCTTTCATCCCATCCACTGGTTGCACTTGCGTGTCCTAGGTGGCACCCCTCTTCCTGTTGACCTTGCAAGGTGTGCTACTTTCTCTTCTCTCTAAAATCTGAAATTAAAACTGCTTGTTATTTCATGCGTTTTGTTTTACCATCTCCTCTGTAGCTCACCTGACCAACACACCTGAACCTAATTCTCCGCTTGGTCAGGGTTCTCCTAGAGCGTGGCTGTCTTGGTCAAATAAACTGGACACGGATAGGACAAGAACCACAAGGGTATCTGCCAGTATAAGTTTCCTGTGAGAAGAACACCTGGCCATAGGTCTGACATTTAAGCATTAGGACATCTACCAAGATAAAAAACTATCTCATGAAAGACAGACTGTAAACATCCATGACCATCTCATATGGTCATATCCCAGCTCCACAATAATCCCTGGAGCCCCATCAGGACAGACATACAGTTAACAGCCACTCTCCAGAGAGTTTACAGACACTCTCAAGAAAGATCAAATTAGAGGAAAATAAAACAATTTGGCCAGGCATGGTGGCTTATGCCTGTAATCCCAGCACTTTGGGAGACCGAGGCGGGCGGATCACAAGGTCAGGATATTGAGACCACCCTGGCTAACGTGGTGAAACCCCATCTCTACTAAAAATACAAAAAATTAGCCGGGCGTGGTGGCAGGCGCCTGTAGTCCCAGCTACTCGGGAGGCTGAGGCAGGAGAATGGCGTGAACCTGGGAGGCGGAGCTTGCAGTGAGCCGAGATTGCACCACTGCATTCCAGCCTGGGTGACAAAGCAAGACTCCATCTCAAAAAAAAAAAAAAAAATTTGATGTTTTAAGAAATCTTTTGCAACCTCAAGGTTAGCAATACATTTTCCTCTACATGTATTCCTCTGAATTCTCCCTTCTAAAATATGTATTGTTCTGTCTTGCACATCTCTAATCTACTTGGAGTTAATTTTTATGTATGGGGTGAGATAGGGACCAAGTCTTCCTTCTTTCCTATGTAGATAACAAGATGTCCCAGCACCACTGATTGAAAAGATCAACCATCCTGTTACTCTACCATGCCAATTGTGATATAAATCAAACATCAACAAATGTGTGGGTCTCTTTCTGGTGCTGATTTTGGTGTATTTGTCCTCAGACTGCCATCTCACTATCTTAATGACTACAACTTTTATAAGTCTTGAGCTGGTAGAAGTCTTCTTTATTGCTCTTCAATATTGCCTTATCTATTCTTGGCACTATCTAGCTCCATAAAATTTTAGCATCATTCTATCAAATTCCACAAAATTCTCTTAAAATTTTGATTGGGAATGCATCAAAGATACATAAATAAGCTTGGAAATGGTTGATATTTTTACAGTAGTGAATCTTCCAGTCCATGAACATAGTATTTATCTCCTTTAAGTCTCTCAATAAAGTTTATTAATTTTGCTTATAGGAGTTTTACACATATATCATTAGATTTGTTGCTAGGTCCTTTTTGATGGTATGAAAAATGACATCATAGCTCCAGTTCCAAGTAAAATAAAGTAACCACAGTGATGTCTCTCCCACTTGATGCAGCCATAAAACATAAACAGAAAGCACAGAACAGCTATTTGAGGACTCTTAATAAGGTGAATTATAGCAGATAAATGCGGTAAGAAGAATGGAGTTTGAAGTTCACTATTCTAGCAGAGTTTCCCATTTTACTGAACTAAGTTAGGCCTGGACTGTCAGGCCTAAACCAAGCAGCAAAAACAGAGAGCTCCAGGAGAAGCCATTTACTTTTGGCTCAAGGAATGGGAAAGGAGACTCTTAATGTTCACAGAAAGGGAGGAAAAATTCTCCCTTTATCTTTTTTTTCCCTTTTCTCTATTTTCTGATATCACAGCCCCCAAATAATTCCACAGTTCTACTCTGAGGTGCCATGACCCCAAGAGAGTAGAGTGGATCCACGTTGCTCTTTTTCTTTCTCTACAGGTACTTTGGCACTGAATATAGACAGGTACAGTCACAGGAAGTGACTGGTTTTCCAGCCAGAAAACCAGAAAGTACCAGGAAAGTCACAGAAAGAGGAGTCTGGAAAGGCAACTCAACAAACTTGCTTGTAAACTCCCGGGCTCATCCCCAGGCTGTGCAAGCATAATCTTAAGCTTAAACAGCAGAGCAAAGACCTTGAGACCACTGCCCAGGTTCCATACTGGCCACTCAGTGGCACATCACAGGATAGAGTATATTCAGCTAGCACTGCAAAGGCTTTGAAAATGGAACTTACATGGAAACTACAATATACAGAAGGTTGGTCAAACCTTTCCATCTCAACCCAGCCAGCTCTAATTCCTGCTAAAACAAAAATATCAACATTCTCCATAGGATTTACAAAAGGCCCAGAGTCGCATAACGTAATATTTTTAAATGTCCAGGCATAATCCAAAATTACTCATATAAAGAACTAAGAAAATCTCAACTTGCAAGAGAAGAGACAACAAGACACAGATGTTGAAATCAACTGACAAAGATGTTAAAATGGCTAGTAGAAAAATGTTTAAAGAAGTGTGGGCACTCCCCAAATCAATAACATAGGTTTCCATCTTAATCAATTAGAAAAAGAAGAGTAAAACAATTCCAAATCACATAGAAGGCAGGAAACAATAAAAAAGCAGATATCAATGATATTAACAGAAAACCAAGAGTGAATATGAATGAAATCAAAAGAGCAATATAACATAAAAACTTCAGCAAGATAGGCAAAGAGAAAAGACACAAATTACCAATATCAAGAATAAAAGAGGGGTATCAGTACTAACCCTGCACACATTAAAAGTATAATAACGAAATGCCACAAACAACTCTATACGCAAACCTATAAAAATGAAACAGATGAAAAAGACCAATTCCTCTAAAACCAAAAACAGTAAAAACACACCCAAGCTGAAACATATTACTAGGATAGTCCTTTAACTATTAAATAAATTAAACGTATAGTTAAAACCCTTCTGAAAAAGAAAACTCCAGGCCCAGATTGTTTCACTTATAAATTCTACTAACATTTAAAAAAGAAATAACACCTATTCTACATAATCCTGAGAGAAAGTAGAAAAGGACAAAATACGGCCGGGCGCAGTGACTCACGCCTGTAATCCCAGCACTTTGGGAGGCCCAGGCAGGCAGATCACGAGGTCAGGAGATCGACACCATACTAGCTAACATGGCGAAACCCCATCTCTACTAAAAAACAAAAAAAAATTAGCCGGGCGTGGTGGCAGGCACCAGTAGTCCCAGCTAGTCACGAGGCTGAGGCAGGAGAATGGCGCGAACCCGGGAGGCGGAGCTTGCAGTGAGCTGAGATTGCACCACTGCACTCCAGCCTGGGTGACACAGTGAGACTCCGTCTGAAAAAAAAAAAGAAAAGGACAAAATACTTCCAAACTCATGAAGCTAGTATTACAATGATACCAAAACCAGACAAAAACAGTACAGGAGAAAAAACATAATAAAAAATATTCTTAATGAACACAGATGCAAACACACTCAATAAAATATTAGCAAATCAAATCCAGCCACAAATAAAAACAATAATATACCATAACGAAGTGGGGCTTATACTGGTACTACAAGACTGATTCAATTTTCAAAACTCAATCACGGCAATCCACACATTAATAATTTAAAGAAAAAATATATAACCATATTAATGCATACAGAAAAAGCACTTGACAATACTCAAGATTCCTTTATGATAATAACTTTCAGCAA
This sequence comes from Homo sapiens, assembly GCF_000001405.40. Taxonomy (NCBI): domain Eukaryota; kingdom Metazoa; phylum Chordata; class Mammalia; order Primates; family Hominidae; genus Homo; species Homo sapiens. Next base: position 51,604,229 of record NC_000015.10, read on the forward strand.
ACAAGGAATAAAAAAGAATCTTCTCAGCCTTATAAAGGGCATCTATAAAAAAAAAACCTAGTACTGCAATAAGGAAAAAAAAAAAAAGAACACATACATTGGAAAAGAAGAATTCAAACTGTCTAATTTGCAGCTAGTGTGGATATCTACACTGAAAATCCCAAGAGATTTACAAAAAAAAAAAAGAAGCCTAGTGCTAATAAGGTCACAGGATACAAAATCAGAATTTCTGTGCAGCCATGAACAACTGGAAACAATTGGAAAATAAAATGTTTAAAAAGATACCATTTTAACATAGGTCTGAAAAATTAAATACTTCTAACAAAACATGTATCAGATCTATATGCATAAACACTGATGAAAAATCAAAGAAGATCTAAATAAATATAGACATATGTTCATAATTGGAAGACTCAAAGATGTCACTTCTCCACAAATTGATCTACAGATTTAAAAGAAAGGCAATCAAGTTCATTCCCAGTAGGATTTTTTTTGTAGCTATGGACAAACTGATCCTAAAATTTAAATGGAAAGGTAAAGGAACTAGAATAACTAAAACAATTGTAAAAAAAGAGAATAAAGTTCAAAGAATCACACTACTCAATTATAAGACTTACCATAAAGTCAATAATCAAGACAGTGGTATTGTGGCAAAAGGATAGAGACATAGATCAGTGCAACAGAATACAGATTCCAGAAATAGACCCACAAAAATATAGCCAATTGATTTTTTACAAAGGTACAAAGGCAATTCAATGGAGAAAGGGCAGCTTTTCAACAAATGGTGTTGGAACAACTGGATGTTCATATATCAAAAAAAAAATCTAATCTGATATTTTACACAAAAATTAACTCAAAATGAATCATAGGATCTAAATTTAAAACACAAAAAGCTTCATGAAATATACAAAAAACATCTTAGCATGATACCAAAACTCGACAAAAACAGTACAACGGGGGAAAAAAACATATAAATATATGTATTTTTTTTAAACAGCGTCTCACTCTGTCACTCAGGCTAGAGTGCAGTAGCATCATCTCAGCTCACTGCCACCTCTACCTCTTGGGTTCAAGTGATTCTAGTGCCTCAACCTCCCAAGTGGCTGGGACTACAGGCGTGTGCCACCATGCCTGGCTAATTTTTGTATTTTTAGTAGAGACAGGGTTTCACCGTGTTGGCCAGGCTGGTCTCGAACTCCTGACTTCAAGTGATCTGCCTGCTTTGGCCTTCCAAACTGCTGGGATTATAGGTGTGAGCTACCCGGCCCAGCCCATACAGATTAATATTCTTTTTTTTTTTTTTTTTTTTTTTTTTTTTTTTTTTTTGAGACGGAGTCTCGCTCTGTCGCCCAGGCCGGACTGCGGACTGCAGTGGCGCAATCTCGGCTCACTGCAAGCTCCGCTTCCCGGGTTCACGCCATTCTCCCGCCTCAGCCTCCCCAGTAGCTGGGACTACAGGCGCCCGCCACCGCGCCCGGCTAATATTTTGTATTTTTAGTAGAGACGGGGTTTCACCTTGTTAGCCAGGATGGTCTCGATCTCCTGACCTCATGATCCACCCGCCTCGGCCTCCCAAAGTGCTGGGATTACAGGCGTGAGCCACCGCGCCCGGCCCCAGATTAATATTCTTAATGAACATAGATGTAAAAACACTCAAAGAGCTAAAAAAATAAAAAATACTGTGAGGAATTAGTGGGCCAAAATCTAAGAGAAAAGGAGAACATAAGGCTGTGCTCAGCACTGAATGCCAATTTGTCCTAACAGCATTTGCTAATCTAAAAGAGTGAGGGTAAAACTGAGCTGCATTTTGATGGTCTCTTGGATCTAGAGGAACAAAAATGAAAGTGCTCCATCTGACAAAAGATGGGACTCCAATAAACTACCCAACACTTTAAACTGAAATCTTGAAGATTAATCCACATAACATTAGAGACCTAGAATTAAACCAACACACTTATAGAGATTTTGTATGTGTGTGTGTGGGGGTGTGGATGTGAGATGGGAGTTTTGTTCTTGTCGCCCAGGCTGGAGTGCAGTGGCGCGATCTCAGCTCACTGCAACCTCTGCCTCCCGGGTTCAAGCAATTCTTCTGCCTCAGCCTCCCGAGTAGCTGGGACGACGCTATGCCCAGCTAATTTCGTATTTTTAGTAGAGACAGGGTTTCACCAGTTGACCAGGCTGGTCTCGAACTCCTGACCTCAGGTTATCCACGCACCACAGCCTCCCAAAGTGCTGGGATTACAGGCATGAGCCATGGCGCCCGGCCACTTGTAGAGATTCGCATCTGTCTTTGCATCATTTAGATGGTTTAGAAAATTTCAAGCCTTGCGCTTGAATTAATGTCTTCCCTAAACAGTAAAATCCCCAAGACATGTCACCTAATTAAATTAAAATTCCCTTTTGGGTAAGATACCACCATCTTGGGCCTTAGGTTATTCCTAAAAGTCTTTTTTCAAATACACAAAGTCAACAATATCTATCACACAAGGAAAAAAGACCTCATGAAAGAACCAGTGTAACAACCAAAACTAAGAACTTACGGATGGCTTTAACAGCAAATTAGACATGGCTGAATATAGGATTTGCAAATTGATTAGAAAAAAACATCTAGAATGTTGCACAAAAGGATAAAAAGATAGAAAACATGGGGCCGGGCAAGGTGGCTCAGGCCTGTAATCCCAGCACTTTCGGAGGCCAAGGTGGGCAGATCACCTGAGGTCAGAGTTCGAGACCAGCCTAGCCAACATGGCGAAACCCTGTCCCTACTAAAAATTTAAAAATTAGCTAGGCATGGTGATGGATGCCTGTAATCCCAGCTACTCGGGAGGCTGAGGCAGGAGAATCGCTTGAACCTGGGAGGTGGAACTTGCAGTAAGCTGAGATTGCTCCACTGCACTCCAGAGCCTGGGTGACAGAGTGAGACTCTGCCCCCACCAAAAAAAAAAAGGCCGGGCGCGGTGGCTCACGTCTGTAATCCCAGCACTTTGGGAGGCCGAGGCAGGCGGATCACAAGGTCAGGAAATCAAGACCATCCTGGCTAACACAGTGAAACCCCGTCTCTACTAAAAATACAAAAAATTAGCCAGGCACGGTGGCAGGTGCCTGTAGTCCCAGCTACTCGGGAGGCTGAGGCAGAAGAATGGCTCGAACCCGGGAGGCAGAGCTTGCAGTGAGCCGAGACCGCACCATTGCACTCCAGCCTGAGCGACAGAGCGAGACTCCGTCTCAAAAAAAGAAAAAAGAAAAAAAAAGATAGAAAACATGGCAAAAGGTATTAGTCACAGAAATAAAGTCAGAAAGTCTGAAACATATTTATTTGTTTTATAAGGTCAATCAGGGCAGAGGCAATATTTGAAGAAACAGCTGAAATTTTTCAATAAATGATGAAAGATATTAATTTACAGATTTGAAAACTCCCAAGCAGATTTTTTAAATGTATACATAGACCAAACACAGCAAAACTTCAGAAACACAAAGGAAAAAAATCTCAAAGGCAACTAAGAGAAAAAAATATATAACTTTCAAAGAACCAACAGTAAATTAGCAGTTTACGTCTCAACAGAAACAGTAGAGACCAGAAGACTATAATCCTCAAGGTGCTGAAAGAAAACACTGCCATGCTCTACCTACCTGTCTACCTGCTAAAAGACAGCAAAACGGCCTTTCAAGAATGAAACAAAATAGGCTGGGCTCACACCTGTAATCCCAGCACTTTTGGAGGCTGAGGTGGGCAGACTGCTTGAGGTCAGGAGTTCAAGACCAGCCTGGCCAACATGGTGAAACCCTTCTCTCCTAAAAATACAAAAATTAGCCAGATGTGGTGGTGCGCACCTGTAATCCCAGCTACTTGGGAGGCTGAGGCAGGAGAACCACGTGAACCTGGGAGGCGGAGGTTGCAGTGAGCCAAGATCACACCACTACACTCCAGCCTGGGCAACAGAGCAAGACTCAGTCTCAAAAAAAAAAGAATGAAACAAAATAAAAACAGAACTACAATTCAACCCAGCAATCCCATTATTGGGTATATGGCCAAAGGAATATAAATCGTTATACCATGAAGACGCATGCATGCGTATGTCCACTGCAGCACTATTCACAATTGCAAAGACAGGGAATCAACCTAGATGCCCATCAATAATAGACTGGATAAAGAAAATGTGGTACACATATGCCACAGAATACTATGCAGCCAAAAAAATGAGATCATGTCCTTTGCAAGAACATGTATGTAGTTGGAGGCCATTATCCTAAGTAAACTAAGGCAGAAACAGAAAACCAAATACCACATATTCTCATTTATAAGTGGAAGCTAAACACTGAGTACACATGGACACAAAGAAGGGAACAATAGATGCCACAGCATACTTAAGAGTGGAAGGAAGGAAGAGGGAGAGGATCAAAAAACTACCTATCGGGAACTATACTTATTACCTGGGTGACAAAATAATCTGTACACCAAACCAAGCAACACACAACTTACCTGTATAATAAACCTGCACATGTACCCCTGAAACTAAAAGTTTAAAAAAGAATGAAAAAAAAAGGCTTTTTTAGACAAACAAAAGACAACATTACAACACTAACAGATTGATACCAAGGAAATTCTAATGGAGATTCTCCAGGAAGAAGGAAAATGATCTCAAATGGAATGTAAGAGAGGAAGGAAGAAACGAAGAGCAAAGTAACATATGGGTAAATCTAAGTAAGCATTGACTCTGTAAAATAATAATGTCTTCCAGGGTTATAAAAATAGGCTTACCATAGAAGGATATATTATAAGCAGGAAGGGAGTTAAAAAGCAATACAAAAGGTTCTTGAATTGTCTACAAAGAATGTAAACCCTCATAAGGCTTCAATAAGTGAAATAAGTTAAGAATGCATCCTGTAATTTCTAGAGTAACTAGCAAAAGAATAGAAACAGAATATGGAGTCTTAGGACTAGAGGGAAAAAACTGAATGAAAAAATTCATTTCAAAAGACACAAGAAAGGAGAAAAAGGAGCAAAGAACAAAAGGAACAAATAAAAAGCACATAGTAAGATTGTGAATTTAAACACAAACATGCCAGTAATTACATTAAGTATAAATGAAGTGAAAGTTCTAGTGAACACAGAAATTGTCAGGCTGTATTTTTAAAAATCCAACTATGTTTTACAGTCATGTGCCACGTAACATTCTACAACGGACCCGGTCTACAATGGACCACACATAAACTATGATGGTGGTCCCATAAGATTATAATGCCATATTTTCACTGTACCTTTTCTACATTTAGATATGTTTAGATACACAAATACCAATGCAGTACAACTGGGTACATTATTCAGTACAGTAACAGGCTATATAGCTTTGTAGCCTGGGAGCAACAGGCTATACCATATAGCCTAGATATGTTCTAGGCTATACTATCTACGTTTGTGGCCGGGTGTGGTGGCTCACGCCTGTAATCCCTGCACTTTGGGAGGCCAAGGAGGATGGATCACCTGAGGTCAGGAGTTTGAGACCAGCCTGGCCAACATGGTGAAACCCCACCTCTACTAAAAATACAAAAATTAGCCAGGCATGGTGGTACATGCCTGTAATTCCAGCTATTTGGGAGGTTGAGGCAGGAAAATCACTTAAACCCGGGAGAACGGAGGTTGCAGTGAGCAGAGATTGCGCCATTGCACTCCAGCCTGGGCAACAAGAGTGAAAGTCAGTCTTAAAAAAAAAAAAAAAAACTATCTAGGTTTGTGTAAGTACACTTTATGATGTTTGCACGACGATGAAATTGCCTAGCAATATATTGAATGCATCTTCATTGTTAATCAATGCATCACTGTATTTGGAAGAACGATCTGAAACGTAACTATGCAGAAAAGTTGAAGTAAAAAGATAAGACTGTACAAATGCCAACCAAAGAAAGCTAATAAAACTATATTAATGCCAGAGAAAGTACACTGCAGAAGCACTGTTAGAAATCAAAAAGGGTTACTTCCTAATGATCAACAGATCAATTCACCAAGAAGATATAATAATTTTAAACTTGTAAGCACAAATAAATAAAACAAAATTAACAAAACCACAAGATAGGAATAAATGCATATTTATAGTAGATTTTAACACATCTCTCAGCAAAATGAATAAGCAGACAGAAAAGCGGTAAAGTTTTAGGAGATTTAAAGAACATGATTAACAACCTTGACCTAAAATATATAAAATTCTGTCCAACAATTGAAGAGGACACATTTTCTTTAAGCACATATGAAACACTTATAAAGGCCAGGCACGGTGGCTCACGCCTGTAATCCCAGAACTTTGGGAGGCCGAGGCGGGCAGATCATGAGGTCAGGAGATCGAGACCATCCTGGCTAACATGGTGAAACCCCGTCTCCAATAAAAATACAAAAAATTAGCCGGGCATGGTGGCCGGTGCCTGTAGTCCCAGCTACTTGGGAGGCTAAGGCAGGAGAATGGCATGAACCCAGGAGACAGAGCTTGCAGTGAGCCGAGATCGCGCCACTGCACTCCAGCCTGGGCGACAGAGCGAGACTCCATCTCAAAAAAAAAAAAAAACTTATAAAAACTGACCAACTGAAATTTCAATAAACTTAAAAAGACTAGAAGTACATACCGCATGCCACTTGCACACAATACAGCTATGCTAGAAATTAGTAAGCATATTTGTAACTTTAAAAGTCTCATATATTCAGAAATTTACTTCCAAATTACTTATGAGTGCATGGTTTTAAAAACAGCTTTGTAGAATGCAGAGAATGCAGATCTTGGAAGAAAACGTACATTCTAAATTCATCTATTAGGGAGAAAGACAAAAATGAGCTAAGCATTTAGCTCAATAAGGTAGGGGAAAAACAGCACAATTAATATAATATAGAAGAAAGGAAATAATAAATTAAGAAAAACATTAATAAAATAGAAAATAAGTATATAACAGAGAGAAGTGGTAAAGCTAAAGTGGGTTCTTTAAAAAAGATTAATAAAGTTGATAAACCTTTGCTGAAGAAAAAGGGAGAGGCACAAATAACCAATGGCAGTAATGACAAAAGAAGCAACAGAGATGCTGCAGACCTAAGAAGATATTAAGAGGCCGCTGTGAACAACTTTATACTCATAAATTTGAAAATCTACACAAAATAGAATAAATTATTAGCAAAATAACTACCCAAAAATCATTCAAGAAAGAAAATTACAGGTAAACATTCTCAAATCAGTAATAATATGAGCTTCCTCCATGAGGCCTCAGTCCAATTTACCAAAATGTTAAGTGGGGTTATCTCTGGATTGTGCCATTATAAATGATTTTCTCTTTCTTCAGCATTTTTCAAATTATCTACAAGGGCATATGTTACTTTTTACATCTTGCGGGGTGGGAGGGAGAAATGGGAGCTTTGTGTTCCAGTCTTAATTCTATCACAGTACTAACTAGGTGGCCTTCATTAAATCATTTAACTTCTCAAAAGTATTAGTATCCCCATCTATGAAATTGAGAGGTGAAGCTAGCTGGACTTCCTGGGTCGAATGGGGACTTGGAGAACTTTTCTGTCTTACAAGAGGATTGTAAAATGCACCAATCAGCGCTCTGTAAAACACACCAATCAGCAGGATCCTAAAAGTAGCCAATTGCAGGGAGGACTGAAAAAGGGGCATTCTGATAGCACAGAAACAGAACACAGGAGGGGACAAGTAAGGGAATAAAAGCTGGCTACCACAGCCAGTAGCGGCAACCCGCTCGGGTCCCCTTCCATGCTGTGGAAGCTTTGTCCTTTTGCTTTGCACAGTAAACCTTGCTACCACTCTTTCTTTGGGTCCATGCCATCTTTAAGAGCTGTAACATTGACCGCGAAGGTCTGCGGCTCCATTCTTGAAGTCAGGAAGACCACGAACCCACTGGCAGGAACCAATTCCAGACACAAAATGAAGATACTAGACTAGATTTAATTTGTAAAGCAGACTTAATTTCACGTACCAATTTAATATACAAGATAAATATTAATCCTACTACTTTTAAAAATTGCCTTGTTTTCTATATACCAACCACATAGAGATAGCACTATTTAATACTGCCAGGAAGAATGGCTATAGTTCAATTATTCCATAATCAAATCGTCACATTAGTACATGATCCCCAATTTAACTAATTTATAGCTAATAACAATATCGGGGGAAATTCACCCCCAATATTTCATATAGGTTATTTTCTATTTTCCCTAAGTGTCGGCCAGTCTGGGAAATAAAGGGAAAGAGTACAAAAGAGAAATTTTAAAGCTGGGTGTCCGGGGGAGACATCACATGTCAGCAGGTTCCGTGATGCCCCCCAAGCCGCAAAACCAGCAAGTTTTTATTAGTGATTTTCAAAAGGGGAGGGAGTGTACGAATAGGGTGTGGGTCACAGAGATCATATGCTTCACAAGGTAATAAAATATCACAAGACAAATGGAGGCAGGGCAAGATCTCAGGACCGGGTTGAAATTAAAATTGCTAATGAAGTTTCGGGCATGCATTGTCATTGAAAACATCTTATCAGGAGACAGGGTTTGAGAGCAGACAACCAGTCTGACCAATATTTATTAGGTGGGAATTTCCTCATCCTAATAAGCCTGGGAGCACTAAGGGAGACCAGGGCTTATTTCATCCCCCATCTATGACCGTAAAAGACAGCCAGCCCCAAAGCAGCCATTTTAGAGGCCTCCCCTTAGGGACGCCTTCTCTTTCTCAGGGATGTTCCTTGCTGAGAAAAAGAATTCAGCGATATTTCTCCTATTTGCTTTTGAAAGTAGAGAAATATGGCTCTGTTCCACCCAGCCCACAGGCAGCCAGACTTTAAGGTTATCTCCCTTGTTCCCTGAACATTGCTGTTATCCTGTTCTTTTTTCAAGGTGCCCAGATTTCATATTGTTTAAACAATTTGTGCAGTTAATGCAATCATCACAGGGTCCTGAGGAGACATTCATCCTCAGCTTACGAAGATGACGGGATTAAGAGATTAAAGTAAAGACAGGCATAGGAAATCATAAGAGTATTGACTGGGGAAGTGATAAATGTCCATGAAATCTTCACAATTTATGTTCAGAGACTGCAGTAAAGACAGGTGTAAGAAATTATGAAAGTATTAATTTGGGGAACTAATAAATGTCCATGAAATCTTCACAATTTATGTTCTTCTGCCATAGCTTCAGCCTGTCCCTCCGTTTAGGGTCCTTGACTTCCTGCAACATAACAACATACACCAAGTCCTCTTATACAACAGTACACTTCAATAGCTAGTTTATCCTGTATGCACAATGTCTAGGTGCCAAAATATTTTTTGAATAAAGGATAACCAGTAAGTTATACGAATTCTTCTGGGAACTGGAAACTTTCAGTTTTACTTTCTATATTTCAACACTGTTGGAATTATAACTTTTTTACAATGCAGATATTATATTAATTTTTTAAACCAAAAAAATCTGAATTCTTTGGGGTTTTTATTTGCTTTTTGCTTCTAATGGCCAAACTGTGCTTGTAATTATGTCTATATAAAATTTGTCCAGCATAAAATTATCACAGTCATGTTTGAATTTTCCATTTGTCCACATATTAGCATATTCTTAAAATTTCTTTAACAGAATCTTGCTTCTATCCAAGAGTACTCCTTTGGTTGAGCTGAGATTACCACCAAGTAGGGTGGCCACCTCAATCATGTCTTTGCTAGGCTCCTCAATTTTCAATTCCAGGACCAGCTCAGCTGATTGTTAACATGTGTTGTGGACTATATTGTGTAACCCCAAAATTCATAGCTTGAAACTCTAACTACCAACGTGACTGTGTTTGGAGGTAAGGCCTTTCAAGAGGTAATATAAGGTTAAATGAGATCTTAAGGGTGGGGCCCTATAAGACTAGCGTCCCTAAGAAGAGAAAAAGACACCGCAAGTGCATGTACACAAAGGAAAAGCCATATGAGGAAATAACAAGAAGGGGGCAATGTACAAGACAAGGAGAAAGTCCTCCAGATAAACCAAATCTGCTGACACATAGATCTTGGACTTCCAAACTCCAGAACTGTGAGGAAAAAAAATCTGTTGTTTAAGCTACCCAGTCTGTATTATTTTGTTATGGCAGCCCCAGCAAATTAATACAACATATTAAACTCCTAAAGTACAGAATCTCTACACTCCAGGTATTTGTCAGGCTAATCTCTAATTCATTATATACTTAAGTCTTTCAAAAGCACCACTGAGGAAAATTTGAGAACCACCTGTCAATTCCTCCTGATACATTAATATATATCCTTGGAGTAAACCAGGGCAGCACAGCTTTACACCTATATTATATCAAAGCTCTCTGCCTTCATCGTATAAAATTGATTTTTCTAAATATGACTTAATGCCACTGACCTATACCAAGAAGTATTATAAAAAAATAGCCTTATGAAAAGATCACTGTTTTTACTATGTGTGTATTACACTAAGTATCCTTTCCATTTACTAATTTATTGAGTACTTTTTTGTACCACCTTCTGTTTTAGGTGCTAAAGAAATAGCAATAGAGGGCATTGCAGGCACTCAGGTTTTTATTCTGAGTGGAAAAAAAAGCCACGTGAAAGTCTGGAATAAGGGGCTAACAAGATTTTATTTGTATTTTAACAGGAGCATTCTAGCTACTATGTTGAAAATAAACTGAAGGAGGATAGGCTAGAGTCAGAAAAGGCAGGAAGACCATTTAAGATTCAACTGCCATTATCCAGGGGAAAAAAATGATGCTGTCTTGCACCAAGGTGGCAGCAGTAGAGATAAGAAGTAATCAGATTCTGGACGCATTTTGAAGGTATAACCATTAGAATTTGCTAACATTAGATACGGGACATAAATGGAAGAGAAAAGGTAGATTACAAGGAAAGTAAAGAAAAGTGGAGTTGCTATTTATTGATTTAGGGAAGACTGGAAGAGGAAAATGTTATGAGGTCTTTGTGATAGCTATTAGACCTTCAAGGAGGAGATGTCAAAGAAACAGCTGAGTATACAAATCTGGAATCAGGCTGAGAAGAAGCAATTAAGCATGGTAGGAGAAAACTAAGAAGGCTAAATGAAGACAGTGTTTCAATAGAGCAGAAAAAGCATTTTTATGAGAGAAGGGAGAAACTGCTAGAATCATGCACTTGAGTAGGAAAGAGAGATGCAAACCGTAAGGTACAAATCAGGGTTTGTCACAACTTCAGTACTACTGACATTTTGGGCTTGGTAACTCTTCATTGTGGAGGACTATCCCGTGCACTGTAGGACGTTTTATCTAAATCTCTGGCCTCTCCTCACTAGTTGGCAGTACCAATTCCCCACCTCCAGTCACAGCAATCAAAAATGTCTCCAGACACTGCCAAATGTCTCCTGGTGGACAAAATCACACCCAATTTAGAACCTAAATGGAGGAAGTGGCCTTTGCTGAAAACATTGGTTATTCATCCACATAAAAGGAATGATGGGAGTTATTATGGGAAAGGTACATGATGATAATATGATTACCTCCTGCTGATTAGATCCTCTTAAGTGTGGATGCAGTCAAGGCCAGAGATGATATGAAGAAGTTGCTAGCACAAAACCAAAATCATTACTCCTAAGAAAATGTATGGAATTTTGTTTTTGAACTACAGCTAACGGATGAGCTACATATATCTGTGAAATGAGTCTAAGCCAGAATGTTTATGAGTTTTTTGTGTCCATCTATGCTTACTTGCAAAACACACTTACGACTTTTTGAGTTTCTCCTTAGATCACAAGAAGAAAACACTACTGATTTAGTACGAACCAATGGGTTTCTCCTAAAATCACAGGAAGAAAACAACAATTATTTAGTATGAATTAAATTAAATGTTATTACTCCCAAGGCTCAGTTTTTAGAAGACAGTGGACCTAAAGGAACATCTCTCCAATGATAATCCATCTAAGAGGGTATTATTTATTCCCCTAAAATCACTCCCACCAAATTACCATGTATATTATTTAGAGGGGCCTAACTCTGTTTTCTGTATCTGAAAGAGATAAATGATAACCATTACATTTTTTAGGTGTTCAGGACTAGGGGTAGATAGCATTAAAGGAAGCCTCAGGAATCATGAAATGAGAGGATTTGAGAGTAAAACTTGCAGGCAAACGAAAAAAAAAGAAATTTAAGAAAACAAAAACCCACACACACAAAAATAAGAAGTGCAGGCAACTGGTTTCATATTTACATCAAATTCCAGGATTACATGAGCTATCTTTAAGAGAGAGTGAATATAGTCATGTCACCTTTGTTAAGATGTACTTGTCCCTCAATACCAAGTTACATCATGGATCAGGGTTTCAGAGCACTAACATAATGCAAAAGGATTCTACAAACTCGAAAGGACTGAAAACCCTAAAACTTCTACTGAAATATTTGGCTTCCAAATTTGTTTTAAAAAATTACTGACAAATGGCCGGGTGCAGTGGCTCATGCCTATAATCCCAATACCTTGGGAGGCTGAGGCAGGAGGATCACTTGAGGTCAAGAGTTCAAGCCAGCCTGGCCAACATCGTGAAATCCTGTCTCTACTAAAAATACAAAAATTAGCCTGGCATGGTGGCACGCACCTGTAATTCCAGCTACTCAGGAGGCTGAGGCAGGAGAATCGCTTGAACCTAGGAGATGGAGGTTGTGGTGAGCAGAGGTTGCACCACTGCACTCCAGCCTGGGTGACAGAGTGAGACTCCATCTAAAAAAAAAAAAAAAAAAAAAAAAACTGACAAGCTAGAGAAGTCTGACTAAATCTGAATTTTAGATATTCTATATTATATCCCATTTTAAGTACTGCCTTGGTTTCACAGAAGGAAATTAAATTGGTCAGGCATGACTTGTTTTTCTACTGTGCCATTATGGTTGTCACCCAACATCCTGTGCTCTTTCAGATAATTAAATACTGAGACTCTGATTTGTTCTAAAAATTTACCAAGATCCAAGTTAAGATAATCTGATTATAATTTCTAAAGTAATATTTTAAATAGCCCAAATCCTAAGAACAGAAACTAAAATAAAGGCATTGCACGGGAAAAGGAAAGCTGCGAAAGGAGAACCTAAACACCATCACACTGGTCCCATCTCCCACCCAATACTGTACTATGACAGTCGCAGGCAACTATCATCTGCCAGGTGCCAAGGACCAAAACCTAATCAAGAGGCTTCTCCTCAGCTGTAAGCCCAAAGACTCATTCCTAGACCCACTACTTCATAAATGCTCTGAATGGCCTATCTACTGAGCCAGAAAGGAGGTCAGACTCCCCGACTGTGAGGTCTGATCAAATCTTGTAAATACAAGTGAGATCTGATCAAGTCTTGTAAATACAAGTGAGAAGCAATATACGATAAAGACTCCAGACCTACAACTTCAACACAACCACTTTATGTTTCTAGTCCATTTTCTCTTTTGACCCCTGAAAATCTCTAGAGAAGTCCATATAATTTTCATTCGTGGTCTAAATACTTAAAGAATATCTTTAAGAACTTCTTTTACAGATCAAAGACCTAAACATGTTTAAGTGATTTCACCAACACCATACAAGTAGTTGGTCTCTGACCTCCCATTTTTGGGGAAGACATTATTCAGAACCTTACCAGAGTTTCTGAGTAGTTGCTAGGAGTCTTCTTGCTACAAGCAAGAAGGCTAATTAACAATCTACGCAGGGACATAAGAACTTATAAACCCTATATTCACTTACTGGTTGACACTAAGCCCAAGCCCACAAGGTTTTAAATGTATCCGTTTAAACAAACAAGAAGCTACACTCCAAGAACAAAAAGGCCAATTTCTCTTAGAAAACAAGTCCATTCTAAATTCTTGACTTCTGTCTTTCACTTTCCTCTCAGCACAGGTTAACACATTAATAACCAGCCAGTACAGAAGCATGTTTCTAACCAACCCCTTGATTCCCCTGGCCAAAAGTTCTCTTAGTCTTCCTGAATTCCCACTTAAATGCTGGTAATATTGCACAGCTGGCCTACTGTGGTTAGGTATGTGTCTTTTACTCTCGTATTAGACTACCAGGTTCCTACACTTCTTCAATAAACTCCCTGAAATCAAGACTATGTCTTGTAATTCTTTTTTTTTTTTTTTAATACCCACAAAGCTTAGCACACCTATGTGTTCAACATTTGCTAAATGTATAAACTGGTTGATCATTTTCAAGGTTTGGTGTTACCATAACTCTAGGACTGAAATTTTATTCTACAATAGAGTTAAGACATATCTAAATGCCATAAAAGAGGTTATACAACATTATTTTCTAATTTTTAAATGAATGGTTTTCCATTTATTTCCAACCTTTTGTTGGTATTTTAATTTAAAAAAAAAATTGAATGTCAGAATACCAGGTACGTTTTCCTGAAAAGCTACAGGTAATGTTTGCATATTATATTTTTTCAACATTCTAAGAGTGTCTGTTATTTAATGAAGAAGTCCTGTGATTAAAAAGTAACTTTTGCAAAGAAAACAGTCACTCAATAATTTATCCTTCGTATTATGCCATTCCTTTGCTTCTGTTGTTCTTATCTTTCCAAACCTTACTCTTCCATAAAACCTCTTCTTGTTTTCCCAACTACAATCTCTTCCATCTGCCTTATGTTATAATTATATAAATCATTTTAATCTCTGCCAGTATATTATAAATTCCCTAAGAGTGCAAATGACTTACTAATTTTTGTAAACTTTGATCAATGTGTTGAAATCATGTCACACTGGAATAATAGTAACTGCCCCTATACATCTCAAAATAGTCTGCAAGCCTTAAGGCCAAATGAATTTTTAATTTAAAAAATCATCACGTATGATCATTATTTCAATTAATATTTTAATATGTGCAGTAAAGTTTAAAAAATAGCCAAGGACTATCTTTCAGAAAAGTAATAACATAAATAATGAGAAATTTACAATATCTGTTGCATAAACCCTCAAAACATTCACTGAAGGGTAGTAAGAAATGTCTTAAAGGCAAAATAAAGTATAATAAAGCTCATACACGGGAGAAGATCATCTCTTTGAACTACCAGAGATTTGACTTATTGCAGGATAACATTTCGAAAACCTAGATCTTACACTGAAAAGAACAAAATTGTTCAAAAGGTGATGTTTTAAAATGTGATATCTACAGCTACATTTACGAAATCACAATCGAATGTTTAAGGAAACAGCTGTATACTGCCTAAACACAAGTGAAAAGCATCATAGCTTACGTGATACCACTAAAACCACAGACATCAGCTGAGATTGTCCACTACAGACTGCAGTACCATGTCAATATTGCACAAATTGGGACATCACGACATCAAGTAGTCATTCACAGCCAACCAATCACGCCACCCACCATGCACAGCAAAATATATAACACACATTTCTTTCAATTATTACACTGTCATAAACTCAAAATCCTTTTAGAACAATTCTGTTCTTCAAAGATGTATCAATTTTAGACTCTGAAATAAAGTATGTATTGTATTTTGAAAAGGTTCTCAGGCTACCATGAAACACAACATCAGCTAAGAATCATGAGTTAGTTGCAAGACAGTAGTTCCTTCTACACTATGTCTGGGAGGCCTTCCATCCATCCACTAACCCACCTACGCACCCACACACCCTCTCCAGAGCAGGCACTCTGATATTAAGAAGGAAATACTACCAAGAAAAGCCCACACAATGAGAAGTCACAAGACCTTCATTCCAAGTCCTGGCTGGTCCCCCTTTTAATCATCTGATCCAGAACTAAAGTTTCTTCATCTGATTGCTCTAAAATCAAGTGACAGGCTCCATGAAGAGGAGCTTGCTTTTTATTTTTACTATTATATTACTTTATTTTATTTTACTATTATTACTATTTATTATTCCTATATTTACAAACATAGGAACTTAAGTATTTGTTAGTTGATTATATATAGACTGCTTGAAAGCAGCTTGTTTTTTGTTTTGTTTTGTTTTGTTTTTCAATCTGTTTTTCACAAAGCCCAAGAGATCATTTCTAGTTCATGGCAAAATTAAAACTGGATCAGTGCGCTCAAAACTAAGGTAGTTAAATGAGATGGTGTGCAAAATGGGTTTGTATTTACATTTGTCAAAAGACCAAAATAACAGTGTCACAGGCAGGCATCCTAAACCACGTAAATTTTGAGTCGAATTTGGAAACCCAAAAGGACTGTCTTGTTGCAACATAAAAATGCAGTTTAGAGTAAGAAGATCAGTATGTAACAGAGGGGCCAAAGTGAGGAGTACATATAATTAAAAATAAAGTCAAAGATGGAGAATACTTGACAAGTTTACATTTCCTAACACAGCTATTAAAAACAATTACATATTCTTAAGCCAAGAGTAATATAGTAAAATGACACTTGAAGAAAATTATCCTAGCAGCGGTGTGGAGGATGAAGAAGTTATCGGACATGACAGTTTTGAAAGCTTTTATATTAATACCAATAAGATTGTAAAATAAGGTGGTGGTTAAGGATATGAAAAGGAGTAAATCTGGTAGACAGTGCAGAGTCAACTAGACTTCGTGAAACGCTGAATTAGGGAAGTGCAAGAAGATTTGAAAATGACTCTAAGCATCTGGTCACAAGTGGCCTACAGCATAACCACACCTGCACAGCACTAACAGTTCTTACACAGGCTTTTCCAGGCTGCATCTGAACCCGTTTATTTAGTTCTACATACCAGACCTGCCGTGAGACAGCACTCCACTTTAGATGGAAGCAGAAAACTACCACCACCATTCTAGCAGGAAAATATAACCAAAGATTCCAGCTTTGTTTCTTGATGAAAGAGGCCCACTCTTCTAACCCTGAGGAACTTCCTATCTGCACTACTGGGGAACAGGGAAATTTCTTCTCTCTATCCCCAAAAACCAAGATTCTCCACACACTTGAAGACAAAGCTCAGCTCTATATGAATATTTTAAGTCACATGTACATAAAACACAGATGACAAAAGGGGTCGTTCTAAACTGGAGCTAGGCCAAGTGGATTACACTAAAAAATTAAAATGGCTAAAAAGCAATCTTCTGGGGTTAATGTATCACAAAACGTCAAAAAATAAATTCTGTTCCAGAATGCACTGCTACATAATGATTCTGCAGTTTTGCTGAAGCTTTATTTTCCGCAGTTTTAAAAACACTGTTGGAAAGCAGACATCAAAGGGTTTTCCTTGTCTAAAAAGCATACCATTACGGAATTTCCAGTTTTATCAAGAAGAACAGTTTACAAAATATATTTAATAAAGGTCTGGCTGCCTACAGTTCCTTATAAGGAAGACCATGTATAAATTTCATTCTTTAAAAAAGAACTCAATTTATGGGAGTCTATCTATGAGTAAACGAAGCTCCAAGGCTTGGTTTAAACATTTCCACTCTCAAAAAGGACTGATGAGTCCAATCTCCTTGAGAAACATGTCTACTTCATCTAGCTTTTAAGGAGATTCTAAAACGTTATGTATACATACACTTTTCTCAAACAAGCACTGTTGTAAATTTTTCACATTGCCTTACTATATTAAAAAAAAGGCTACCTTACAGATTAAAATATTATCTAGGAGGATTACCAAACTACGACCTCCTGATAAATGAGACAGCTCTCCAAGCCACTGTGACTCTAACCTTTCCATTCTAAATCTTTCGGGCGCGGAGGATGAATTTTTCTATCTTTTTGTTGGAATTAAGATCCTGCATTATCAGGAGATACAGAGTCAGGCTTAAAGCCACAGACTCCAGCAGCTCCTCGCTGCCCTAGCACAGCGGGCAGGGGGAGCCAAGGCGCAGCATCGCCTCCACGCTCCGAGACCAACACCAAGTCTCTTCACCTCCACGCTCCGAGACCAACACCAAGTCTCTTCGCCTCCACGCCGAGAGCAGCTGCGAAACGGACGCTCTGGGGTTTCAGCCGCACCACCACTTTCCTCCACCGCAGACCGAAGGGCCGCCCTAGGAGGAGCCTTCTAGTCCAGTCACCTCAGGCCCGTTTGCTTGGGGTGGAGAGTGCGGTGGATTCCTAAGCCTTTCCCCTAACGGGTGATTTCCTACACCAGACGCAGGACCCACGGTCCCACGGGTCCCAGGGGGAACTAAACCCCAAGGCTGCAAAGGGGCCACGGGTGGGGCCCACCAACATCTCACAGCCTCCTGAGGAGGCGTGCGCCCTGGACAGGAGGTCCCTGCCCCCGCGTCTGGCCCCTGGTATCTTCCCCTAGGGCTCCCGGCCGCCGCTCACCGTGAAGGGGACATCCCCGACGCTGCCCACGGAGTAGCAGTTGTCTCCAGGGTTGACAGCTCCGGTGAGGACCTGATGCAGATGCATCTCCGGAGCCCGGGCTGGACAGAATGCGCGGGAGGTGCGACAAGCTCCGCGCCTGACCCTCCTCGGGCTGCGAGAGCCGTTTCCCTCTGTGCCTCCCTCGGAAACCCGCCCCGCGGAGGCTCTGGCTTAACTCCTCGCCCCCCTTTCGCCTTCCCTCCGCCTCGTCCCTGCCATGGGAGCTCCTCGACCGCCGCCGCCGCCCGGGTCGCCGCTCAGCTGCGGAAATGCCCGGATGTTCCCACTGCCTGCTGCACCGGCGCACAAATGCGGGAGGGCAAGGGTGCTTGTGAGGCGGGGGAGGGCACCGGGGGGAACGCGCGAGCCGGGAGCGTGCAGCAAGGGAGCGGGCCAGCGCGCGCGCCCACCGCGGGGGAGCGAGGTAGAGCCCTCCCCCCGCGGCAAAGCTCTCAGCTCAGTCTTTCTTCCCCCCATCACCCGCGTTTGCGCGTGCGCGCGCCGTGGTTTCCAGGGCAATTGCGCGCGCCACGCCGACCCGCCGTCCCGTGATTGCGCGCGCAGACGTGCGGGAGTTCCCTTGGAGCCTCCCGGGCTGTAGCCGCTGCGGACTGGGGCGGAGGTGGGGGCGGGGGCGAGTGGGGTGCAGGTCGCTCGGGGCCACGCAGCAGTCGGACGCCGGGGACGCGCCACGAGCCGGTTTTGCTGTGTTGAACGTATTCCAGAATACAGTGTGCAATGGTCAGTGCCGTTGACCTCAGAAGGACACCCGTCACCGGGAATTTCCACCTGGAGATATCTTAGATATCTTCAGTCTTTTCGAAAGTGCAGTACATAAGATATTTTATTTTACATAAACAATGTAGGCATCTTGCAACTATTTAGAGAAGCCATACTCCCCTGAAAGCTAATTATTTTGCTCCCACCTTTTGTCACGGTTATTCTAGACAGCAAAAAGCCGCCTTAGAGACGGGTGACTCCTTTCGACTTTTTTTCATGAGTAATTTCATGAATTAGCAGAATCGCCTGATTTTCCAAACTATCTGCTAAACTTTGAATGGTTGATAACAAGGATCATCAGCTCCCTGCCACAGGCCAATTCATGGCAAATGTTCTAACCCATACTATGCTTAAATCACAGGGTAAGGAAGTAGGGGACACCAAGACATAACTATCTGTAAAACCAGGCAGAACGCCAAAGGTGGTGTGATTGAGATATAAAAGTCTTTATGCACCACAGAAGAGGAAGAAGAATGTTGACTAAGGGCGTGGATAAGGCATTATGGAGACATAACCTGACATAAACGCTGAGTTTAATTTTGACAGGCTGAGATAGACAAGAAATGCTGCAAATACAGTACAGAAAATAGAGGGGGTGTTGAAGGTACAAAGATTAATGTTTGAGGCAGATGATTTATAGGGTAGGGAAAGTAAATAATACTTAGCAAGAGATCAAGGTATCCAAGTGGTCTAACTCTTGGCCTACCAAAACATATTATGGAGAGTCTTGAATGCTCCAAGAAGCCCAGATTTCACTCTGCATGCAGTGGGGGTATATCAGATGTTTCTGAGCAAAAATTTATATAATCAGAGCTGCTTTGGGAAGATGACTTTGTAGCATTTTGAAGCATAAAGGGAAGGGTGGGGAAGATTGGAGGCAAAGATCTGTCAGTCGTTGGTAATCTTTTCAGTAGAAAGTTGCAGGAGGAATGAAAAATAATACCTAATGACCTGCGGCATTCTCTCTCTTTCTCTCTCTCCCCCCTCCCTCCCCTTCCCTCCCCCCCCCTTCCTCCCTTCCCCCGCGCCATATCCAAGGGTTCCTTTTTGTTACTACTAGATTCTAGATGAGTCTCTTAATCTTTGACCTTCACTGCATTAGAAACCAAGTCAAAACTATCATCAAACAACAAATTGTACTCAGGTTTCCAAGAGTGTTACTAATTCACATTATTTAAACCATTTCACATTTGGCTCTTGTTTTACAGCATTCCATGAAGTTTTGGCCCATTCACACAGTTGTGAAGTTGTGAGCCTCTTTCTTCCTCTCGGTATCAAACTCAAAATCTGAAGCCTGTATCCACCTGTTCTCTTCCCTCATGAATCCTTTAAATGGCTTCTTGATAGCTGTATCTTAAGGTTGCAAATGACTAATTAAGTCTCCTGGAATTACAGCTGAGCCTTTTATTGTCCAATCTGATCAGTCAAAACTCACTCCAGACTAATATGGCAAGTTTCCTTGGTAGCCCACCAGGGCAGCTAGACCACACTTTTGACTGTCCACAATTTCATCTCTTCCTTGTTCATGCAAATTTTTTCATGGACCTAAAAACAAATTGGAAATTCTTTCTTCTAATTTTGGAAAGGGCTTTCTTTTAAAAATTAGAAAAAGTAGCAGTTTTGTATCATTAACAAAATATGCTAATCGAATTGTAAGATATAATTTATCATGTCCACAACTCTTTTTTTTTTCTTTTTGCTTTGATTTGAGATCCCAACACAACTCTTAATAGTACCTTTGGGGTTGGGTTTAATGGCCCATTGAATGTGTGCCATTAAATGTGGGACTTAGTTTCCCAGCAGTATCACCTACCGATGTGTACTAGTTATCAATTACTGTGCAATAAATTACCCCAAAATTTATCAGCCAAAAATAACAGTAGAGATTCATTACCTCACAGTTTCTGTGAATCAATAATTTAGTAGTAGCTTAGCAGGAAAGTTCTGGTTCAGAGTCTTTCATGAGATGGCAATCAAAATGTCAGCTACATGCTAAATAAAAGAAGCTGGACACAAAAGACCACATAATTCGTTTGTATGAAATCATTTGTATGAAATTTTCTGAAAAGACAAATCTACAGTCACAGAAAATAGGTTAGTGGTTGCCTGGGGCTGAAGGTGGAACTGAGAGTGACTGCTAATGGATATGAGGTTTCTTTTTGGCATGAGATAAACATTCTAAAATTAGATTGTGGTCATGGTTGGGCAGTTCTGTAAAATTACTAGAAATCATTGAATTGTATACTTGAAATTAGTGAATTGTATGGTAATTAAATTATACTTTCAATAAAGCTATCTAAAAAAGAAATAGCCAGGGATACAGTCATCTGAAGTCTTGACTGAAGTTAAAGGCCCTGCTTCCAAGATGGCAGGCTCTCATGGCTAGCAAGTTGAGCCTAATAGATAGATGGAGGCCTCAGTTCCTATGTGTTCCTCTCCATAGTGCTGTGTGAGTGTCCTCAAGACACGGCGGCTGACTGCTCCAGCAGCAAGTGATCCAAGAGAGAGACCAAGGTAGAAACTGCAATGTCTTTTATAAACTAGCCTTAGAAGTCACACGCCATCATTTCCACCATATTTTATTGGGTGCACAGGCCAGCTATAACTTAGTGTGGGAGACTATTTCCCAAGAAAGTGAGTGCCAGGAAGGGAGAGTCGTGAGCAGCCATTTTGGAGGTTGTCCACTACACCACGGAACTCAAGGACTTTATCTTCAAGAGTCAAGGGGCAGCCAGGCGCAGTGGTTCACGCCTGTAATCCCAGAGCTTTGGGAGGCCGAGGCAGGCAGATCACCTGAGGTCGGGAGTTTGAGACCAGCCTGACCAACATGGAGAAACCCCGTCTCCACTAAACATACAAAATTAGCCGGGCGTGGTGGTGCATGCCTGTAATACCAGCTACTCAGGAGGCTGAGGCAAGAGAATCACTTGAATCCGGGAGGTGGAGGTTGCTGTGAGCCGAGATCACACCATTGCACTCCAGCCTGGGCAACAGAAAGTGAAACTCTGTCTCAAAAAAAAAGAGTCAAGGGGCATGACTTGTGTCATTATTACTCTTACCTACAGAGGTAACTGGAATTTCTACTCATAAATCTACAGCATCGTAATGTTGATCTTTGATATATCTGTTATTAGTTCTTGTTGAGCTATCTATATAATTTAAATATTAAATTCTCAAGTGATTCCATTTGTTTGAGGATCTAATACCTATTTTTTAAAAATATTTCTTCCAGTTGTGGGGACCTTACAGTTTTCCTAGGATGTCTAACACTTTAAGCTTCTGGTTTCTTCAGTAGTATAGCAATGGAAGCCCTGACTTTCTGTTACCAGTTCATTTTGCAGTCTATTGTGTTAAAGCCTGAAATTGATGTTGTAACAATACCTGTATTGCTTTTCAGTCATAAACTATAGCAATGATGCATTTTAATCTAAAATATCATAGGTGTGAACCTATATCAGTTATCACTTTAACAAACCCCTCTGAAACACAGTGGCTTAAAACAACAATTATTATTATTTCGTATGTTCTGTGAATTGGTTGGGAAGTTCTGCTGGTTTCACTCATACAACTGCAGTGAACTGTGGTAGAAGGTCCAAGATGGCCTCATGTCTAGCAGTTGATACTAGTTGTTGTCTGGGGTGCCTCAGTTCCCCTTTATGTGGCATCTTGCCCTCCATAGACTAGACCAACGTTTGTACATGGCAGTCTCATGCTTAGCCTTGAAGGGCAGAGTCACTTCTATCATATTCCTTGGTCAAAACAAGTCACAGAGCCAGCACAGATTCAAGAACTAGGAAAACAAATCCACCTTTCAATGGGAAGAACAGAAAAGTCACATTGAAAATGGGTATAGAAGAAGTTATCGGCATCTTTACAAAAAAATCTGTATCACAGCCTCAAACTCTAGCTTTGACCATCTCTGTGGCCTCTGATTTGTTATATTTGCTTTTGCTTTAGGTAAGAATGCCACTTATAGGATGAAAAACAAAAACTTACGTATCTGCTCTCTTTCTCTGCTAGAGGTAGCATTAAATTATTGTCTTTTTGGTGACTGTAACTCAGACTCTTAGCTATTTCTCATTCATTATGCATTTGGCTTTTTATCTCTAATGTAAGTGCATTGGACATGGGGCAGTTTTTACATACCTTTCTCTGGTGTAAAGGTGAATCTTTATGCATCTTATAAGCAGGTGAATACAATAAGTTTTCATCTAGTTAGATTATTTTGTTGCTAGGCTCAGAACACTGACCATTTAGAAGGAGTACAGAGAATATTGGTTCATATTTTTGCAGGTACCTATTTATGATTGTACTGTGAAAAGTAATATGCTCTATGTATACAATTTATTTCCTTAATGATCACTGATTAGCACTTTTATAAACTCATTTAAGCAAGAGCTTAAGTGGTAACTAATTTTTTAAACATTTTATCGTATGAATGATTATACAGAGTAGACCAGACACAAAAACTATTCACCCTTGCTTATCTTTTCAACTTCATCTTTCAACATTCCTGACCTCTAAATGTAGGGTACAACCACACTAGTATACAGTAATTCCTTTCAAGCCTCTGGCCACTGGCTAATTTCCCTTTCCAGAAACTCCCTCACTATTATCATTACCACCATTTGGTCGGGCGTGGTGGCTCATGCCTGTAATCCCAGCACTTTGGGAGGCCAAGGTGGGCAGATCACCTGGGGTCAGGAGTTCGAGACCACCCTGGCCAACATGATGAAACCCCGTCTCTACTAAAAATACAAAAAAAAAAAAATAGTCAGGTGTGGTGGCATGCGCCTGTAGTCCCAGCTACTTAGGAGACTTTGCTTGAACTTGGGAGGTGGAGGTTGCAGTGAGCTGAGATCGCACCACTGCACTCCAGCCTGGGCAACAAGAGTGAAAACTCTGTCAAAAAAAAAAAAAAATCCATACTCTTTGCCTATTTCACTCTTTCACTCCTACTCTTCCCTAAAAATTCAGTTCAGGCACCCCCATTTCTGGAAAACTTTGCACAGTGTGAATTAGATTCCTTTGTTATATACTCACAGTATTCTCTTACCTTTTCTGCCTAGAGGGCAGGGACTGTGTCTTGATGTTGACAATTTCTGATTGCCTTACCTATTATCTGTTTTCTCCTCATCAGGACCCTCAGTTTTTAGCTGGGAAATAGATGCCTGGAATAAAGAATACATTTCCCAGCCTACCTTGTTGCCACTTGGTTATATGGCTAAGTTGTGATCAATTAGATGTTGATCAAAGCAGAAGTACAGTAGTTTCTGGAAATTTTCCTTAAAAGGTAGCTATCATACCTTTTATGCCTTCTTCCTTCCTTCCTCCATCCTGTTTCCCTAGAACATAGATGAGATCACTGAAGCTCCATTTTGGAGCATGAGGATGAGGGTTCAACCCTAGGGATGGTGGAGTAGAAAACTGGAAGCTGCCGGGTTCGGTTGATCACACCTGTAATCCCAGCACTTTGGGAAGCTGAGGTGGGTGGATCATTTGAGCTCAGGAGTTCCAGACCAGCCTGGGCAACAAGGCGAAACCCTGTCTCTACAAAAATACAAAAATTAGCTGGGCATGGTGGTGCATGCCTGTAGTCCCAGCTACTCTGGAGACCAAGGTGGGAGTTTTGTTGGAACCCCAGAGGTGGAGGTTGCAGTGAGCCCATATTGCACCACTGCACTACATCCAGCCTGGGCAATAGAATGAGATGCTGTAAAAAAAAAAAAAAAAAAAAAAAAAAAAGAAAAGAAAAGAAAGAAGAAAAGAAAAGAAAGAGAAAAAAAAACAACAACTGGAAGCTTGTCACTTGTCACTGAATTCCAGGCAACTGTGGAGCCTTCTCACCAGCCTTGGTCTTCTCCATCTGGATTTTTACATTAGAGAGAAATAAACTTCTATATTATTTAAGCCACTGTGTTTTGTGTCTCTGTTAGAGATGTTGCTAATTCTAACTCATACTCTTAGCTGTGTGTGTGTGCGTGCGTGCGTGTGTGTGTGTGTGTGTGTGTGTGTGTGTTTAATTGCTAAAGCCTGGCAAAGTACCTGGAACACAGTAGGAACTCAAGAAATGTTAACTAAGCCAAGTAGTTATTAACTGTATCAGGGTACATTATGTAAATTTTGTGAAAATGTCACAAATATTTTAGAACTTACATACCTTTCCAAGGCCTCAGAAAACAAAATACTACATCCTGTCGGGAGGGCAGATGGTAGTTGTGGGATAGAAAGCCAGTAGTGTTGAGATAAAGGATAAGGACTGAACAAAAGTTGAAGTTAGTTACTAAATCAGGCATGGCCTGCTGGGTAGTCAACAGACCATTTTGTGCATCTGAAGAAATGAATTAATTTTGCTGGCATGGTACTTAAGCAAAATACAATTTTAAAGAGAGAGAGAAACAAGTTCATTCGGTGCTAGACTTAGAGAGAAAAATGAACTTATGTTGTTCTGGTTGCTGAGAGAAAAATCAGTCAACAATCAGGCATTGTGGTGTTGAAATCACCAAGTATTGCACAGTACTCTTAGGGGTGGGCCAGGATGGTCACACTCCTAAAGGGAAGTGAGAGGGGAGAGGAATCAGCACTTCCTCATGGTGAAGAGATGGCATCCCTGCCTGCAGGAAAAAAATTGTATCTGGGGGCAGCAGAAACAAGCATGTGCCAGAGGGTCTGGGTCCAGTGTTTGTTTTTTGTTGTTGTGTGGTGGTGGTGGTGGTTTGTATTTCCCTGCATGTGGGTGTGCCCACATGCATCAGGTGTTAACCAAAAAAATCTGACGTTATCAATTGACTCTCCTTTTAATCTAGTTCTATATACTGCAAGCATATTTGTATAGGCATATTCCTGTGACCATTAACCCTTTTACATATGAAGAAAGATTATGAAAAATGTTCAGGATAGATTAAGGTTTTTATTGCATTTTTCAAAAAGAAGATTGTAAAAAGAGAAAGCTGACCACCAACATATGAATGGATAAATTGTGCTATCTACATACAATAGAATATTATTCAGCCATGAGGAATGAAGTACTGACATATGCCATAATGTGGATGACCTTGAAAACATTATGCTCAATAAAGGAAGCCAGACACAAAGGCCCCACTGGCTACACATTTATATGAAAATTTCCAGAATAGGTAAATCCATAGAGATCTTAGAAAGCACATTGGCATTGCCAGGGCCCAGGGGAAGAAATGAATAGGGGTACAGGGTCTCCTTGTGTAGTGATAAAAATGTCTTGGAACTAGATAGAGTTAATGGTTGCACAACACTGTGAATGTATTAAGTGCCCCTGAATTGTTCACTTCCAAATGGTTAATTTTATGTTATATGAATTTTACCTCAATAAAAAGAAACAGTCATTTTTTGTTAATTAACAGAAACTCCATGTGTGTACAAAGAAAAAGTTCTAGAAAGTATGTTAACAGCACTCATGTCTAGTTGATAGAATTATAAACAAGTTTAATTTCAATTTTTTTCCACATTTGTTTCCAATTTTTCTGCACTGAATATATATGAGTTGCTTTTATATTGGGAAAACAATGATTTTAAATTTTTAAACAAAAGATGGCCTTTCTTTAAGTCTATGAAGAAGTTTAAGAAACTAGGAAATCATGCTCAGATTAACATTATGTATTCCATATCAGTTGCAAAATTAAATTTTAAATGAAGATATAAAGTTTTATGGAGTATATTTCATTATTTTTAAAACACAATAATTTGTCCACACTTATATGTAAAATTTCAAATGCAAATGCAAAAGACATGTTTAAATTTGTTTAAAAGACAGGCATTGCAGAGGGTTCCTAAACAAGTCTATGGGCCTGCTGGGCCTTTGATCTTGGAGTGGATGATGACTTCCATAGCTCTACAACAGTGTCAGTAGGCCTACAACCTCAAAATCTCACCACCTTTGAAAAGCAGTTGGTAAGGAGCCAGTAGTCTTTCTGGTAAACAGAGTCCATGAACCCCACCGTATTAACAGTTTCTTTTGCCTAGAGGTCTTTCTCCCTTCCCCTCTTCAAACACGGCTCCACCCCAATTCAACATTGTCTTCAAAGCCCAGCTTTAAAATCACCTAGGTAAAACCTTTCCTCCCAATGATGTTAAATAAATTTATCCCACCCTCTGTTCCCCTAAATCTTTGTGTCTTCACTATGAGATTTATCTTATTACTTATATCACAATATACTTTTTCAGTGAGTTAGCAGCACAACTCCCATGCAAATATAAAATGAAATTATGCCAAAGATTTTGTTCAACTCATTCCTTGATTAAGAAACCAGTAAGATGTTAAAATAGTTCAAATAAGAATTTGACTTATGGAGATTTATATCTTCTACCTGACAGTTCATTTGCATTGCTTATGAAAATGAGTTAGTTATATTGCTATCAGTTTTCCAAAAATTTAGCTTTTATTCTCAATGTTTTTAAATAGCCTAGTTAATAGCAAATCAATCAAATAATATCAGACAATCCTTAAAATTCTCCTAGGCAATGCCCAGCTCTTCACTGAAGGTATACTTGACAATTTATTTTGCCTATTTCCAAGTCTTGAATAATTTTTCTTGACAATTCATAGCTTAGATCTCTGTCTACAGAGTCTGTTTGCTAGAGTATGAGCTCAAAAGTATATCTTCAGAGATTGGTTAAATTAAATACTGAGAGCGTCTTCATTCCAGGCAGCAACAAATACTCTAGGGATACAAAGATGAGGCAAAGGCAGAAAAACTTCTTTCCCTGACTTCAGGGACTTATTTAGTACATATTAAAGCACATAAACAAATAATTTATATACGATATGAAAGAGCTATACCTTAAGATAAATCTGTGGCAAGTACAAAATGGAATTGTAAGAGAGCACGATTAGGATTATTTTTAGGGAATCGATACACATATTCCTAATGCAAAAACTCATTCATGACTTCCCTACAGAAAATTCAGTTCAAGCACACACAAACATTTTGGCACGTGAGGAAAGAGGCTATAAAGAAAAAAAGATAATATGATAGGTAATATTTATGGAGCACATTATCTTTAATGCTTATGACTACCTAATAACATAGGCAGTTTTATGAACCCCTTTTTATAGATGAGGAAACAGAAGCACACGGAAGTCGTACAATGCAAGACTCTGTAGACAGAAATCTAAGCTATGAATTGTCAAGAAATTCATGGGAATAGGCAAAATAAATTGTCAGATGTACCTTTGGTGAAGAACCCTCTAAGAACTGAAAGTCTAATGAAGTAGGAAAAATACAAAAATGATACAATCCCATACAATGTAACAATGGTATTAAGAGTACAGTGTAATAATTATGCCAAATATAGTGGACACGTTTTGAGATGCCAATCCAAATCATGCCCCCTTTGAAATTTCCTCCATCTATCATCTCTGCTAAAAGGGGGATCCTAACTGACTATGTTTGTCCCATCTGATCTCCACAAAGTCCTGGATCAGCTGATTGAATTGGGGCTCTACATCTATTCAAGTGAAAACTAATTTATAGGCTGGGCTGCACCATCCAGATTTTCTGAGCTCGGAATGTGAATTTGGGACACAGAGATCCTCACTTGAACAATAGCGGATGTAGGACTTTAAAGAACTTGCAAAGGTGGGATTGAAGGGAGCACAAGGACAGGCCAAAGTGTGGAGCTGAGGAACCCTAAATGAGCAGAAAAGGCTGTGCTGCAGAGAGAAGCAGGACACAAGGTAGAGCACAGCAGGAAATGGAGATCAGAGGCCGCAGCAATGGAATTACAGACTCTGATCCTGGCTTTCCAACTGCACATTCTCAGTGGCCCAACTGCCTTTTCTTTTCTGAAGTCCATGAAATGCCTGCTGCATCCTTTTTATTAAACTCTTTTGTTGCCCTTCCTTTTTCTTGATCAGTCCTAAGTTGCCCAGTTCCTGAAGCATTCACCAGGCAAAGAGGTATGAAAAGCATATGCGAAAATAGAGGCAACAAGTTACACGGTACGCTCAGAGAAAGCTAATCACCTTACAGCGACTGAACAGCACGTTACGTTGTGATTTCTATAGGCATCCAGACTGATGCTTTGATCAATTAGTATTCATTTACCTGAATTCGCTCCTTCCACCCAAGCCTGCTCCCTGTACTGCTTCTCACATGGTGGCTTTTCTTCCTATCTCTTCATCTACTGCAGTATGAGTGTGCCTCTGCACCCCTATATTCCTTTATGTCCAGTTGGATGAGTGACTTTCTCATTTATTTGAGTTGGAGTCATGATGAGTACCAAGTCCAAAGCTAGCAGACCACACTTAACTTTTGTTTAGACTTCTTATGAATTATAATTTTTCTAACCATTTTTTCTAACAAAAGTTGGATAGTTTTTTGTTTGTTTGTTTTTGAGACAAGGTCTTGCTCTGTCACCCAGACTGTAATATAGTGGCTCCATCACAGCTCACTGCAACCACAACCTCCAGGACTTGAGTGATCCTCTCACCTCAGTGTCCTGAGTAGCTGGGACTACAGACACCTGCCATTACACCTGGATGATTTTTATTTTATTTTATTTTATTTTTTTTTTGAGATGGAGTCTCGCTCTTGCTGCCCAGGCTGGAGTGCAATGGTGCAATCTCGGCTCACCGCAACCTCCGCCTCCCAGCTTCAAGCGATTCTCCTGCCTAAGCCTCCCGAATAGCTGGGATTAGAGGCATGTGCCACCATGCCCAGCTAGTTTTGTATTTTTAGTAGAGACAGGGTTTCTCCACATTTGTCAGGCTGGTCTTGAACTCCCAACCTCAGGTGCTCCTCCCGCCTCGGCCTGCCAAAATGCTGGGATTACAGGCGTGAGACACCATGCCCGGCCTACACCTGGATAATTTTTAAATGTTTTGTAGAGACAGGGTCTCCCTATGTTGTTGGTCTCAAACTCCTGGGCTCAAGCGATCCTTCCACCTCAACCACCCATAATGCTAAGACTACAGGTGTGAGCCACGGCGCCTGGCCAAAAGTTGGATAGTTTTTAAAAAACACTGGCTACTTACAGAAAGAAGTCTAACTTAAGAAAACCGTAATTCCCTAAAACTCTTTCAGAGTTAAAGAAAAAAAGTCATATTTGCTTTTATGGAACTAAAATAATTATTAGAGTTTTGGCTATTGATCTGTGACCAGTGATTCCTATAGGACACTCTCTGCCTATTCTCACGCTACAAAATCAAGCCAGGTTTCAGATTCTCTTCACTTCACACCCCCAGTAAGATGCTTTTTCTGCCTTATCAGCCTCTAATAATTTTTTTTAAGTCAAAGCAAGTTTATTAAGAAAGTAAGGGAGTAAAGAATGGCTACTCCATAGACAGAGGAGCTGCATGGGCTTCTCAGCTGCTTATACTTATTGTTAATTCTGGATTATATGCTAAACAAGGGGTGAATTATTCACGAGTTTTCCAGGAAAGGGGTGAGCAATTCCCAGAACTGAGGGCTCTTCCCCTTTTTAGACCACATGAAGTAACTTTCTGATGCTGCCATGGCATTTGTAAACTGTCATGGCACTGGTGGGAGTGTCTTTTAGCATGCTAATGCATTATAATTAGCATATAATGAGCAGTGAGGACAACCAGAGGTCACTGTCATCACCATATTGGTTTTGGTGTGTTTTGGCCAGCTTCTTAACCACAACCTGTTTTATCAGCAAGGTCTTTATGACTCGCATCTTGTGCTAACCTCCTATCTCATCCTGTAACTCAGAAACCCTAACTTCCTACACATGCAGCCAATTTACCCAGCCTCTATTCAAGATGGAGTTGCTCTGGATCAAACGCCTCTACATATTTCCCCCCTTTCTTTTACAAGGGAACCCTTAATCCTAAGGGTTATAAAGGGATGAAGATCTATCTTCTGTAAGAGATGGATCAGGCTGAATAGGGGCAATGATATTCCTGCCTAACTATTAGGGTCTTTTGCATCCAGGGCAAAGAGGAGCTCAGTCAGAAAGTGTTGGTATGGCAAGGGCCATTCATAAATCTTGAGTTTCTGGAAGATTAATAAGTGTTCAATTTAAGGAAACATTCAGTAAGCTTATCCTGCATTCCTACACAAAGAGTACAACAGCAATATATTCCACAACATAAAGCAAAATAAATAAAATTATCCCAAATAAACTAAATTAGAAGGCTTTCCATGAACTGGCAACTGTTGGAACCAAGCTGATACTGGGTTGCTAGCTGATTCCAATAAATGTCCAGAATTAGAATACTGAACCAGATTTTTACACTACCCATCCCTCCTGTTTCTTCTGAACTATAGTCAGAGATCACTGATTGGTTCACAGGAATAAGCAGGGTTAATCTAAATTGCAACTAAGCTATAGCATTGGGCAGTTTCCATTGCCCTTCCCAGAAGGAGCCTAGAGCAGCCAATTTTGAGCTTGCACAGGCTTTTAACTGCTCAAGATAATTTTTAGGGCTAAGTATAACATGAACCCCAAAATTCCTGTTCCCTGGATAGCAGAGACCAAGAGAAAGTAACAGCACATGGTTACAAGGTCAAGCTCCCAAGGACATAAAACATGATGAGAGGGAAACTTCATCTAATTTTTTTTGTTTCAGAGACCTGCAGCAAAGTTTGTAACTGACCAGTTTCCTGGAGTGTCTTGAACAGCAGGCTTACGGGGGTCCTAAGCCGATATTCTATCCTAAAGTACTCTTCTTTATGACAGAACAATGCAGAAAGACAAATTTATAGCACAAAGTACACCAGATTCACTATATCTTAAGATTGGCCTCACACATCCTTTTTTCCATTAATCAAAACTTTGCAGAGAAGATAAACATTGATTTTTACCATTCACTCAACCAGTTTGCACAGGGAGAAAGACGAGAAGTCTGACTGGTAAGAACTCCTTACCCTTTGGCAAGCATGCCAGGTTTCTGGGTTTTCTTTCCCTGAGCAGCCCTAATGACCTTGCTCACCTCATGAAAGCCCTGGGGGCCAAGCTGCAACTCAAAGGAAAATCATCTTTTTCGTTTCATGGAATCATAGGCAAAACCCTCTCGATATTGTAAGATGTCACCCAACCAGCCGCATGGGGAACCTGAATTAACATTTTCTATTCCATTTTGCTCTAGCCAGGGTAAAATAAGTGTGACAAAACAGACATTAGCCACTCCTCTTAGCATCCAATATTGAACTGGCAAGGGTCAAGCTTGCCCCCGGATGAGCCCTGTCATCTTTAATCCAACTTCGACCAGAAGTTTCAAAATGTGATCTCTGGGCAAGATGGTCGCCCTGTGTAACAGGAAAGATAGGAAAGGGAAAGGAGAGAAAAGGAGAAAACCATTTTCTGTGGCAGTGTAGGGAAGGTGAGGAGCTCAGAGAGGCCAGAGAGAGACCCACCCATTGCAGCAACACTGAATCAAAAGTTCAGGCAGCTGCTTGTCGGTAGTGAAGGGATTTTTTTTCCAGCAGTCCCATCAGCTCTCTATTTTCCCCTTTGGGGGAGAAAAAAAAAGCTCCCTATTTCCCACGATCCTGTACATACCTAACCCTGTCACCTACAACCTTCAGCAAACAGCACAAGGCAGATTAATTCAAAGAGAATAGCAGTTAACATCCCACAGTGCCAAACCCATTTTTAACCAAGAGGGACTCTACTGAGAGGGGCCTCTAACCCCATAAATCTTAGGAAGGACTCTAACCTTCCTAAGTTGGGCTTCAAACCCAAGTTTGGTCAAGCATTCTTGCCTTTTATTAAGAGGGGCCTTTAACCCTGTCTGTCTTAGGAGGGACTCTAACTCCCCTAAGTTGGGCCTCTAACCCAATCCCATCCTTTACCTGAGTACCCCACCACTTACCCAAAGTCAGCCAATTAGTGTTGCGGTCTATTTCCTTCGGGTCATGGCCTCCTCAGTATCATCCCTTCATGGTTCACCAGGAAGATGTTACCGGAAAGGGGTCTGGATCCACATCCAAAGAGTGGGTTCTTGGATCTCACACAAGAAAGAATTTGTGGCAAACCTATAAAGTAAAGTGAAAGCAAGTTTACTTAAAAAGTAAAGGAATAGGCCAGGCGCAGTGACGCAAGCCTGTAATCCCAGCACTTTGGGAGGCCGAGGCGGGCGGATCACAAGGTCAGGAGATCGAGACCATCCTGGCTAACACGGTGAAACCCCGTCTCTACTAAAAATACAAAAAATTAGCCGGGCGTGGTGGCGGGCACCTGTAGTCCCAGCTACTCAAGGGGGGCTGAGGCAGGAGAATGGCGTGAACCCGGGAAGCAGAGGTTGCGGTGAGCCAAGATCACACCACTGCACTCCAGCCTGGGCGACAGAGCAAGATTCTGTCTCAAAAAAAAAAAAAAAAATGTAAAGGAATAAAGAATGGCTACTCCATAGGCAGAGCAGCCATAATTTTTCACTTTTTAAAAAAATATTTTGAATCACCCTGTGTAATAATTGATTACGGGCTAGCTTTAGAACCCTTGCTTTTGTTTTGTCTTGTTTTTTAATAGCTTTCTCTTAGAGTTTGGTTAATAAATTGGCAGTGGCTTACAAATTAATTGTACATATAGGAGCAAAGTAATGTTATTTTGAGATTATCTCATTATATGATAACAATATAATAGGCTTCTGCTTGAACCCTAAGAGGAGCCAGCATGACAAGCTAAACACTCTGGGATAATTACACCATCTTTATGATAAATTATTTACACCTTTAGTGCAAAACCTTTCAGATCAGCCAGTTATTATTCTGTCCTTGACTTCCCCCACCACACGCCCACCTCAAACATCTCGACCAGGTTGAAATAATGTGAAAGAAAGGTGTGGAGATGGGAGAGCATTCTTTTTTTCTTTTTTCTTTTTATTTCTGACAGGTTCTCACCAGGTTGGAGTGCAGTGGTGTGATCACAGCTCACTGTAGCCTCTACTTCCCAGGCTCAAGCGATCCTCCAACCTCAGCCTCCTGAGTGGCTGAAACTACAAGTGCGAACCACCATGACCAGCTAATTTTTTTTTATTTTGTGTAGAGATAGGTTTTCACTTTGCTGCCCAGGTTGGAAGGAGCATTCTAGACTCTACCATCTAGTCCTTTGGGTTCACAAGATTTTTTTTCACCTTTTAATTCACTGTTCTGGTTTCTTTCTAAATAAGAATCCAGGTTTACTGAGAAGGAATTTTGATATCACATTCATGTATCAGGAACCAAAGGATACTTTTTTCTTTTTTAAGATATGGAGTCTCACTATGTTTACCAGGTTGGTCTTGAACTCTTGGCTTCAAGCAATCCTCCCACCTCGACCTCCCAAAGTGGTAGGATTACAGGTATGAACCACCACACCCAGCCCCAAAGGGTAATTCTTAAAGACTAAGATAATATGTCTTGTATTTTTCTTTTCTTTCTTTTTTTTTTTTTTGAGACGGAGTCTTGCTCTGTTGCCCAGGCTGGCGTGCAGTGGCGTGATCTGGGCTCAATGCAACCTCCGCCTCCCTGGTTCAAGTGATTCTCCTGCATCAGCCTCCCGAGTAGCTGGAATTACAGGCACCCACCACCATGCCCAGCTAATTTTTTGTATTTTTAGTAGAGATAGGATTTCACCATGTTGGCCAGGCTGGTCTCGAACTCCTGACCTCAGGTAATCCACCCACCTCGACCTCCCAAAATGCTTGGATTACAGACGTGAGCCACCGCGCCTGGCCTCATCTCTTGTATTTTGTCTAATCTAAGATGTCACTGATTCTAAGACAAACCATTATGTTATATAAAACAAAACAAGAAAAGGAACAAAAACAGCCAATTAAACTGTGACACATTGCTTTCTTATTACTTGGGATATTTATTTCAAACTTATCAAAAGATCTCTTGATTTTTTTTATCATATTGAGCTCTCTTGAGCCTACACCAAAAAATATATATATAAGCAAAATAAATTGGTCAAAACTTCCCAAAACTCTCTCTCACTCAGACTTCAACTCTACTGAATTACTTTTCAACTCAGAATTGTCAATGTCAGGTTTTTCCACACATCATTCTCTGTGCCATCAAAAGCATTAGTGTTGCAGAATTTCTGCGAATGTTTCAGTATTATTTCTGAGATTTTCAATAAGCTGTTGACACCTGTTCTAAAGAGTTGATGCAGATGCACAGACAACAACCACTATGTCATGGTGATTGCTTGACTAAGAGTGGCAAGACAAAGGAAGAGGAACCTAGGGTTTTGGTTCCCAAATACCACCTGGAAAGCCTGTTGAAATTCAAGATGGTGGGCTGGGCGCGGTGGCTCAAGCCTGTAATCCCAGCATTTTGGGAGGCCAAAGTGGGCGGATCAGGAGGTCAGGAGATTGAGACCATCCTGGCCAACATGGTGAAACCCCGTCTCTACTAAAAATACAAAAATTAGCTGGGTGTGGTGGTGAGCACCTGTAGTCCCAGCCATTCGGGAGGCTGAGGCAGGAGTATTGCTTGAACCCTGGAGGCGAAAGTTGCAGTGAGGCGAGATCGCGCCACTGTACTCCAGCCTGGAGACAGAGGGAGACTCCATCTCAAAAAAAAAAAAAAAAAAAAAAAAATTCAAGATGGTGGACTCCTACTCCCAGAGATTCTGATTTTGTAGTCTGGTGTCGGATTCCTTTGGTATTTCAAATGAACAAAATCCTAAGTGGGAGGCAATCTAGCACAAAGACTCGAGAAACATGCTAAGTTCAAATCCTAGATCTATCACTTGCTAATTATGTGATGTTGGGCAAATTAACCATGCCATATCCAGCTTTCTAATCTGTAAAATGGGAGTGATAATACCACTTACCTCATTGACTGTTATAAGAATTAAATAAATTAACACGTATAAAGCAGTTAGGACACTGCCTAGCACAGAATAAATGCTACACAAGTGTTTCAGGTCAAATTTAATAATAAAAGTTATTATTATTATTAAATTTTACCTAGCATAGTGGAGACACTATGATGCCTAGGGAGAGTGCTGGTGGAAATAATCAAAAGACCAATTATTTAACATATACTGTGAACCAACTGCTCAAAAAATAGCACCTTTCTTTTGCCTTATATATTTGGAGAATTCAATAGAAGTTTATAATAAAGCTATAATCCAGCCAGGTGCAGTGACTCATGCCTGTAATTCCAACATTTTGGGAGACCAAGGCAATGGATCACTTGAGGCTGGGAGTTCAAGACCAGCCTAGCCAATGTGGTGAAACCCAATCTCTACTAAAAATACAAAAATTAGCTGGGTGTGGTGGCATATGCCTGTAATCCCAACTACTGGAGAGGCTGAGGCACGAGAGAATCACTTGAACCCGGGAGGCAGAGGTTGCAGTGAGCCGAGGTGGTGCCAGTGCACTACAGCTTGGGCGACAGAGCAAGACCCTGTCTAAAAAAAAAAGGGGCTGGGCGCAGTGGCTCATGACTGTAATCCCAGCACTTTGGGAGGCCAAGGCGGGTGGATCATGAGGTCAGGAGATAGAGACCAGCCTGACCAACATGGTGAAACCCTGTCTCTACTAAAAATACAAAAAAATTAGCCAGGCGTGGTGGTGAGTGCCTGTAATCCCAGCTACTCGGGAGGCTGAGGCAGGAGAATTGCTTGAACCTGGGAGGCGGAGGTTGCAGTGAGCCAAGACTGCGCCACTGCACTCCAGCCTGGGCGACAGAGCGAAACTCCATCTCAAAAACAAAAAAAAAGTAAAAAGAAAACAAACTAGGCCAGGCACGGTGGCTCAAGTCTGTAATCCCAGGACTTTGGGAGGCCGAGGCAGGCGGATCACAAGGTCAGGAGATCGAGACCATCCTGGCTAACACGGTGAAACCCTGTCTGTACTAAAAATACATAAAATTAGCCAGGTGAGGTGGCGGGTGCCTGTAGTCCCAGCTACTCAGGAGGCTGAGGCAGGACAATGACGTGAACCCAGGAGGCGGAGCTTGCAGTGAGCCGAGATCACGTCACTGCACTCCACCCTGGGCAACAGAGCAAGACTTCATCTAAAAAAAATAAATAAATAAATAAGAAAGAAAGAAAGAAAATAAATAAATATAGATATATATAAATCCATGTCCTATCTTCTAGTAAAATCAGTAGAAGTAGAAAAAATACCCCTCTCACTGAGCCCTCTCTGGCAAATACTACATATCTTTTTTATAATAACAAAATTCCACTTATATATTTTATGATGAGAATGCCTAATTCCAGTTTTCTTAAATAAGGGTCCATCTCCAATATTGGATCCAGAGCTGCTGGGAGGGAAAGACTTTGTTTTTGGCTTCAGTTTAGGATTATTTTGGTTTTGCCCACTTTTACTTTATTTTTATTTTATCCTGTGTTTCCTTTATTTCTCCTAAATTTACCTCATAAATGTCAAGGCATATCCCTTGATTCTAGTTAGTCGTGTTTAAGTAAACAAGCTTCCTTTCATCCTGTCTTTGTTGTGATTTTTAGAAGTGCTTGTTATTTATTCTCGCATTCATTCAACAAACTTTATTTGTGCTCCTCACTTGGCTTGGGACCTGTTAGCAGCTGGGACTACACAGAGTCTGCTCTTAAAGAGCTCGGGGTCTAGTGGCTCCATAAACTATATTATTAGTGCCTATGTCCAAAACTAAAATAAGCACTTAGTAAACATTTTTGGTTGAAGCAATGAAACTTCCTTGTTTTCTTCTCTTAGGATTTGTAAATTGAGAAGTTCCTGCTAGTTCTTGACTTACCCCTGGCTCAGGCTAATGTCGAAATACAAATACATTGGGCCTCAAGCTCTCAAAGATTAGTTACCACCTTAAACAAATGATTAACAGATTAAAACTTTATGCTTTACCCTGCAAATTTTTAATAAATACCAGAAATGGAAATGTCACTCAACAACTTTTAAAAATTAAACTTGAAGGTCTATATGCAAAGCAAGATCAATTAGCTTTCTATATGATCTTTACCTTGTTCCATTTTCCTGATTTAGTTGTAATTTACACAAAGATTATTTCTGGGAACTATGAAGTAAGTTCATTTATCCAATACCAGAACCACTAAAAGACAGAGTTCTCCCCTTTACTGCAAATATGACAAAAATAATGACAATGGGGAATATATATGGAGACTAAGGTTACCAACTATTCTTTCTTTGGAGGAACAATCCTTTGTTTTCAAATTATATTTTTCCAGTTTGGGAGGAGAGGAGCGCTAAAATGTTTAATCTTTATGGAAACAAAGGTCATAGTACAGAGTAGTGTGACTTTTTTAAAAACATCCTTACTGGGCAAAATAAAAAAGTTTGCAAGGTTATTTTTATTCCTTTTCCCACTTTGTTATTTATTTATATCTCTGAAGTTCAAAAGTCTGGAAACTGTTATCAGAGAGTGAGATCCATAGACATTTGGGACATCAATGACGTTGACTTACTCACTTATTTAAGACATCTCCGGGCTTGAACCCAGTCACCATAAGTAGTGTAATGACTGTTCTCAAACTTCCCAAAGCAAGATCAGATCTTATCCTGTACTATGATCTTGTCCAATAATTTGTTTATCTTATTAAATTGTTTTTCTTATGAAATCCTGTCTACCTAATGCTCTACTTTTCTGTGATTCAAAACTAAGATGTTGAAGAACCAATGATCTTAAAAACAGGACAGGACTTGTTTCCTGAATGTAATGTGGAGGAAAGGGCACAGGCTGTAGAATCAGAGGGCTGTTCAGACGCTGCTTCTGCCAGCTACTCACTGTGTAATCTTAGGCAGTTTATTTCTCTGATCTTCAGTGTTTTCATCTGAATAATGAGAATAAAACTACATTTCTGAGTGTAAGGACTAAATGTAATAATATATGGCTATTCTTAGGATCTGGCACACAATGGTTGCTCAATAAAAGTAGCCATTATAGCCGGGTGCGGTGGCTCATGCCTGTAATCCCAGTACTTTGGGAGACCGAGGCAGGTGGATCACCTGAGGTCAGGAGTTCGAGACCAGCCTGACCAACATGGTGAAACCCCGTCTCTACTAAAAATACAAAAATTAGCTGGGCATAGTGGAATGCACCTGTAGTCCCAGCTACTCGGGAGGCTGAGGCAGGAGAATAGTGTGAACCTGGGAGATGGAGCTTGCAGTGAGCTGAGATCGCGTCACTGCACTCCAGCCTGGGCGACAGAGCGAGACTCCATGTCAAAAAGAAAAAAAAAAAGTAGCCATTATCACCTATTTACTTTTTTTTTTTTTTTTGAGACAGAGTCTTGCTCTTGTTGCCCAGGCTGGAGTGCAATGATGTAATCTCGGCTGACTGCAACCTTTGCCTCCCGGGCTCAGGTGATTCTCCTGCCTCAGCCTTCCCAGCAGTTGGAATTACGGGTGCATTCCACCATGCCCAGCTAATTTTTGTATTTTTAGTGGAGATGGGGTTTCACCATGTTGGTCAGGATGGTCTCTAACTCCTGATGTCAGGTGATCCACCTGCCTCAGTCTCCCAAAGTGCTGGGATTACAGGCGTGAGCCACTGCACCCGGCTATTACCTATTTTCTAACATTACCTCTATGTAGTTGGAACATTTTTGATGATTTTTTAAATAATATAAATACACAAAGACATTTTGGGTTTTTTTGTTTTTGTTTTTTGGGCTTTTTTTTTTTTTTTTTTTAGACGGAGTCTTGCTCTGTTACCGTGCAGTGGCATGATCTTGGCTCACTGCAACCTCAGCCTCCTGAGTTCAAGTGATCCTCCTGCCTCAGCCTCCCGAATAGTTGGCATTACAGGTATGCACCACCAAAACCAGCTAATTTTTGTATTTTTAGTAGAGAGGGGGTTTCACCACGTTGGCCAGGCTGGTCTCAACCTCCTTATGTCAGGTGATCCACCTGCCTTGGCCTCCCAAAGTGCTGGGATTAGAGGCGTGAGCCACCATGCCCGGCCACAGAAAGATATTTTGAACAGAAAGACAGTACAGTTATATCCTTCAACCCCCCACTTCTCACCTTTCACTACCTTCTTATCCAACTATAAAGCAT
The DNA here is from genome assembly GCF_000001405.40 of Homo sapiens. NCBI lineage: Eukaryota > Metazoa > Chordata > Mammalia > Primates > Hominidae > Homo > Homo sapiens. Next base: position 51,644,234 of record NC_000015.10, read on the forward strand.
GGTATTTCAGAGCTAGTTTTTAAGGAAGAAATTGTTGAAGTTAGTCAAAGACGAAGTATGAACAATTAAAGACAATGATGTACCCCCAAAAGCCCACAAGATAGAGGTTCCAAAAATGAAATGATAAAAATGAACATGTAATGGGTAAGATTAATTATCTACCCACAAAGATCATTTACAGTCAGCAGTAAGGTCTAAATGGGTGCCTGTGTGTCATCTCCAGTGAGCACAATTCTATTGGCATGTCTATAGCTGTAACCTAGTTTGGTGCCTAAGAGGAAAGGGGTGTTTCCAGTGGAAGGAACAATGAGCCTGTACTAATCAAACCACCTTCATAGATAATTTGGCTTCCCTATTATATGTGTAAGGAAAGAATATATTGATGCAGCTGTCTTTTGTCATTACAAATGAATAAATAAGCAGTTTCTTGTGAATTTGATGTGTGAATTGATCCTTCTGAACTCAGTCAGTCAGTCGGCAGAAAAAAATCAAGTGCCCATGGAGCACTCTACTGAGGTTCACAAAATACTGCCCTGGAAAATCAATCCAAGAGGGGCTGGCTCCTGTTAATGAAGATGAGGAGGATGAGACTGCTGATAATGTTGATGATGATAGCTACTATGTGTCGGGTGCTGTGTTAAGTGCTTTACAAAAATTTCCCTGTGTAATTGCCATAGCAATCCCTCTTACAGATTAGAAAAAATGGGGTTTGGAAAGGTTAAGAAACTTGCCTAAGGTGACACATCTGTGAGCTAAGATTCAAACCAGATCTAAATGGGAAGCAAAACTACTTGATCACTGTTCTTGATTGCTTACCTCAAAAGAAGAGATCTTCTTTGGATTCTTAATGAACTTGCCTAGGACGTTTCCTTTCAATTCCATGAAAAAGTAAATACATTTTATGACTCCAACTTGCCTCTTAATAAGAAATGCCAGAAGGTTTAATTCAGGCAAATAATGTATTAATTTTCTAAAAAGAATGTTGTGGGTACCAAAAACTACAAACTAGTAAACCTGGAAAAATCTTTAATGGAGAATAAAACACAATTTGTGGCAATTTAAAAAAGAAATATATTTATCAGGAGCCAACAAGGATTCACCAAGAGCAAGTCATGTCAAATTTATTTAGTCTAGTTTTCAACAGCAAAACTAATGCCATAGACATCTTTTATTTTCTTTCCGTGAAAAATATGACAAAATCCCTACTGATTATCACACCAAAATATTATGCTGACCAAGGCCCCCACAGGCCTCTATAAAACGGCAGATCCCTTGGCAAATTTACCATTGATGAGACTCTAACTTCAGCCTGGCCAACTCAGAAATTTAATTTCCTCATGCTTACAAAGCCCACAAGAAACTAATGACTAAAACCAGCCACTTTTTATTGAAAAGTCATACTATATTGAAATGTATTTTACATATAGAAAGAAACACAAATCTTTAGTGAACAGCTTGGAGAATTCTCACAAATAAATATATATATACTGGTATAACCATCAATCATTCCAGAAAAGTTCCTCATCCCCCTTTCTGGCCAATACCTCCACCTCAATAGCTTTCTCGTTTCTACCACCAGGGATTAGTTTTACCTGATCTTGAGCTTTACATACAGGGGATTTTACACTATGCATCCTTTTGTGTCTAGCTTCTTATACTCTACACTATATTTTTGAAATTCATTTACATTGTTACGTGTATCAGCATTTTGTTTGTTTGTTTTTTTTTTTACTGCTAAGCAGTACTCCATTGTATGAATATAGTTTATGAATTTGGGTGATAGACATTGCAACAAAGCACCATTTTATTTAGACATGATAATATTAATCTTAGGCGTTTCCCTTTTTAAGGATATGCTTGCATATCACAGCTTTTGGGTTTTAGTTGAATTATCTGAAATCCCCCTGTACCTCCATTTCCAGTTCTTGCACGAACGACTTCGATATTACCCTGGCCTAATGGGTGACCTGCAGGATTTATCCCAGATGTCTGGATTAATGGTGTTCTGGCCACCTGGAGGAGTCACAAGAGTCAGTCCTCCTCTCTGCCTTGGTCTGAAAGGTGTGGCTGAAGACACAGTATAATTGTCAAATCTATAGATGGCCAGAATAGCTGATGTGAAAGCTAACAGAATCAAAATTTATAAGAATTTAAAGCAGACTGAAGCACAAAATCAAACCAACAATATAGACATTGAGAACTAGATATAGGTTCAGAAAACATCACTCACAAGTACAGTTTTGGAGTAATCTGGTTTGCCAAAATTTCAATTTGAATACACAGGTTTATAAAAATGACTGCATTAAAATAAGCATTTTTAAATCCTACTCTGCATTGATTCAGACTGTAACTGGGAAACAATTTTCAATTCTGGCCACCACAGTTTAAGAAAACTTATAATTCTGGTAAGTATATTCACAGCGAGATGACCAGTACTAATTCATTCATTCAACAAGTATTTGAGCATTTACTTTGTGCTGGGCACTGTCATGCTGATGGGGGTATAGCAGCAAGGAAAACGACTAAGGCCCTGCCTCATGGTACTTATATTCTAGAAGGAATACAGAAAATGAACAAATAAAAATATAATATGTTAGGGCCCAGGAAGTTCAATGAAGAAAAATAAAGCCAGGTAAAGTAATAGAAGAGAAGGGAAGGGCTTTTGGGAGGAAGTGGCCAAAGCAGACCTCTCCAAACAGATGACATTTGAACAAAGACCTGAACGATGTAAGGCAGGGTTCAGCAAACTATGAACAGTGGGCCAAATTTGACTGCACACCTGTTTTTGTGTGGCTCGAGAGCTAAGAATGGTTTTTATATTTTTAAAATAGTTAACAAAAAAATTTTTTAGAGAATAATACTTTTTGACATGGGAAAATTATATGCAATTCAAATTTCAGCATCCAAAAATAAAGTTTTATTGGGACACATCCGCACTCATTTATTTACTTATTCTCCATGGCTGCTCTTGCATTATCACAGCAGATTTGAGACCATATGGCCCACAAAGCCTAAAATATTTACCATCTGGCTCTTTATGCAAAATGATTGTTGACCCCTGATATAAGGGAGCAAGCCCTACCATTATCTAAGGGGAAAACGCCCTGGAATAGATAATGGCAAGAGTAAAGGCCCTGAGTCAGGCCTGTGGTTGGCTTGTGATCAACGAACTGGAAGGAAGCCAGTGTGGCTGGATGGCAGGGAGAGAGGGTGAGACTAGTAGGAAATGGCAGGAAGTGAAATCAGAAAGGGAACTTCAGACCAGATCTGCTTGGGGTAAGGATTTTGACTTAAGTGACACAGAAAGCCATTTAAGGGGTTTGAAAAAGGAATGACATAGTGTGACAGCTGGCTGGAACATGGCTGGATGGGGAAAAAAATACATCTATTTTCTCTAAGCATCAGCTGCAATTTAACATTTCAGTCATAAATATAGACAACAAAACACAATTGTATTTAGCAGTACCTGTGACTTTGTCACCAATGAATATCACTTTTTTTTTTTTTTTGAGATGGAGTCTTGCTCTATCGCCCAGGCTGGAGTGCAGTGGCGTGATCTCAGCTCACTGCAACCTCTGCCTCCTGGGTTCAAGCGATTCTTATGCCTCAGCCTCCAGAATAGCTGGGATTACAGGCGCCCGCCACTACGCCCGCCTAATTTTTTTGTATTTTTAGTAGAGACGGGGTTTTACCATGTTGGACAGGCTGGTCTCAAACTCCTGACCTTAAGGGAACTGCCTGCTTCGGCCTCCCAAAGTGTTGGGATTACAGGCGTGAGCCTCTGCACACTTTTTTATAGATAATGATTATTGTAATTATCTTAAAATATCATTTATGAATAGATCTATTCAGAAATTATTAGACCTTGTACTATAGCTTGTTATTAAATGAATTAATAAAGAAGTATGTATGTGTATTCAGAGTGAACAGGCAACCTACAGAATGGGAGAAAATTTTTGCAATCTACCATCTGACAAAGAGCTAATATCCAGAATCTACAAAGAACTTAAACAAATTTACAAGAAGAAAACAAACAACCCCATCAAAAAGTGGGCAAAGGGTATGAACAGACACTTCTCAAAAGAAGACATTTATGCAGCCAACAGACACATGGAAAAATGCTCATCATCACTGGTCATCAGAGAAATGCAAATCAAAACCACAATGAGATACCATCTCATGCCAGTTAGAATGGCGATCATTAAAAAGTCAGGAAACAACAGATGCTGGAGAGGATGTGGAGAAATAGGAACACTTTTACACTGTTTGTGGGAGTATAAATTAGTTCAACCATTGTGGAAGACAGTGTGGCAATTCCTGAAGGATCTAGAACTACAAATACCATTTGACCCAGCAATCCCATTACTGGGATTGGTATAGGTATACCTGTACCTATACCTATACCAATACCTATACCAATACCTATACCTATAGGTATAGGTATATACCTATAGGATTATAAATCATGCTACTATAAAGACACATGCACACGTATGTTTATTGCGGCACTATTCACAATAGCAAAAACTTGGAACTAACCCAAATGTCCATCAATGATAGGCTGGATTAAGAAAAATGTGGCACATATACACCATGGAATACTATGCAGCTATAAAAAAGGACGAGTTCATGTCCTTTGCAGGGACATGGATGAAGCTGGAAACCATCATTCCCAGCAAACTATCACAAAGACAGAAAACCAAACGTTGCATGTTCTCACTCATAGGTGGGAACTGAACAATAAGAACACTTGGACACAGGGTGGGGAACATCACACACTGGGGCCTGTTGGGGGATGGGGGGCTGGGGGAGGGACAGCATTAGGAGAAATACCTAATGTAAATGATGAGTTGATGGGTGCAGCAAACCAACATGGCACATGTAAACAAACCTGCACGTTGTGCACATCTACCCTAGAACTTAAAGTATAATAATAAAAAAAGATGTATGTGTATATATAAAACTATATCACAAATTTGATTTTTTGATATTTTAATAACTGTATTCCAATGTAATTGATTTCCTGTTTAATGCTTTGTATTTCATATTATGTGTTTTTAAATGTCTCTCTGGGGCCCATATGCTCTACAAGATTTTCCAAAGGGTCTAGAGCCCAATAGAAACTGATATAAAAGCAGTGAGAAGCACTAGAAGGACTAAATTAGAGAAGGGAGGACAAGGCAGGTCCAAGATAGGTATTTTAATTTCTCTGGCACATAGTAAGCACTGAATATATGTTAATTACTATTGTTATTGCTAATATTTTTATGTATACCCTTATAGTTTTTTAGCTGTGTGTGGCATATACTACTTTGTTATCTCCATTTTTCACTCAAAAGTATATCATAAACATCATTCATTGTCATTACATACTTTTAAACCTCATTTTAATGGTCAAAGAGTGGTTAATTGCAGAGACGTATCATTATTTATTCAATTAATCCTCAATCGCAAGATATTTAGATTCTTGTTTTACTTAGTAAAAATAAACACTGCAATAAACACCAATGTTAAGTCTTTGCAGCATCAGTGTTAAATCTTAAAGTATCCATAATTATTTCTTTAGGATAGACCCTAAAATTAGAATCAGCATGCATTACTCAGTGTGCTGGATGTGAAATCCAGTCTGTCCAAGATTTCCACTTCAGCTGTCCTCTTAGTTGGGATTTCATCTTTCCTCCTTGGTTCACACATACATAAGCAACTGTCTGAGCTTACCCTCCTGGTTCAACCAAAGCCCCCAGTGTTTAAACACACACACACACATACACACACACAGAGAGTCAGTTTTGTCTGTTCTTACTTTCTGTACAGAATTAAGGCAACAGGAAGGATACATGAAATCAAGGGACAAAAGCTAAATTCCTACCATCCACCTGGTGGCAGTATTTCCTAAACGTTGGCAGAATATACAGGCAGTAATAGGTACCTTCTGTTATTTCAATAGTATTTTCTATGCAAATCCAGTCCTATAAAGTGGTGTACCATGTCACAATGAATGAAAAAAAGAATTATTCTGGCAAACGCTAGGTCAATACAGTTGTATAGTAATTCTAGAAGTTTCCTTTGAGGACTGCCAAAACAAATATCTTTGTTTAAAAACAAAAAAAAAAAAAGCTATTTTTAAAAAGCTTGTAAAATTAATTTTTCTCATTAAGAATATTATAAGATTGCAGACATTTTTAGAAATAGAGAAAGGAAGTCACATATATTTTTACTAACATAACCCGTTAGCATATTGTTATGCTCCTTTCTGATCCTTTTTTCTCTAAGCACATTTTTATAATTGTAATCAAGCTATACATAAAATTGGCTTATACTCTCCTTTTGGCATTAATCACATTGAAAAATTAATATACTTAAATAAAATATATTAAAGTATACTTATAAAATATACTTATTTCTGGGAGAGGTGGTCACAGGTGATATTTACTTCTTTAAACACTTTTGTATTTCCTACTTTTAAAATCAGAAAAAATTTAATCCTAAAAAATCTATTTGATTCCATTTACATCCTATACAACCCCACATTTCTATCCCTAGGTGAATCTCCAACAAATAGGTATAAAAATGTGCCTCAAAATGCAAAGGTACCAAGAAAAACAAAACAAACAAACAAAAAAGGCAAAGGTACTAAATTGTTTACAGGAACATCACTTCAATTCTCAGTTGATGGCTTTGCTTCCCATTCACTGAGAAAATGACCTACGGCATCTTGTCTTTATTAGCTCTCTGACTTCACTCCATCCCTCTCTACTCCTTTCCTCCTTGCTCACTTTACTCCATTCCCACTGGCCCCTTTGCCATGCCTAGAACAGGCCAGGCATAATCTCACTCCAGGGACTTTTACCATACTCTTTCCTCTGGAGGCTTTGCCCCAGATATCCACAACGCTAGCCCCCTCATTTCCTTCTCAAGTCTACACAAAAGTCACCTCCTTATTGAGACCTTTCAACCCCACCTCTAAATGTCATGTCCTTCTTCTCTGCTTTATTTTTTCTCCTATACACCCATAACTTTCTAGCAATGTGTATTTTGCTTATCTGTTTTATTTCCCTTTCCACCTGAATGCAAACTCTGTGAAGGCAGGTTTTGTGTCAGTTTTGTTCAGTGACGTTCACTGAGTGTTTTGTTCACTGCTTATTCTATTTGAGGCACAGAATATGAATGGCACATGATATGTACTCAAGAAATACTTACTGAACAAATAAACGAATAAATGATGGCAGCCTGAACTAGGGCAGAGGGGAGATTGAGAGGAGGGAGATGGACTGGACAAGCAGAATAACAGTGAATAGCAGGTTGTGGGATATGATGGTGCAGTCGCATAGGACCCTCAGTGCCTCTGGATAATTGGCTTACATCTTCTTGAGATGCAGCATGAGTGAGGGAGGAAGGAGCTTGAGTAGTTGCATTTGAGACTTGAGATGCTTGCCGGTCATCCAGTGCTCTAGGTAACTGGATATGTATGTGGTCAAGGGAGTGGTCAGGGGTGGAGATACAGAGGATGGCCTCAAGTCTGGAAATACAAATAATATTATCTCATGTATTTTAATATCAATAAAAAATACATTACATATTTACTCCTGTTTCCATTGTAGAATCTTCATTATTATTGGGGAGAGAGTAAATGAAATGAGTTCAATCTTCCAAGGATGGCTAATCTTATGTATGTAGCTGCCTATATAAACTTTCCAATAATTCACCAAGTGTTGGCCTATTTCTATTACCTTGGCTTCCTTAATCTTGACATAAATGCTCATAAGAAATTTTTGAAGTGTAAAGGACAGCCTCAGAAACAATACAGCAAATTCCAGGCAGCCTCCATAAAAACATACAGCATATAGAGTTCTATATACCAACAAAAGGCTACAAAAACCCTGTAATTAGCCTTTTGCCTGTGGAATTAGTTTAAAGATAATGTCTATGAGTGCTGTAGATGATTAGATCTTAATTTTATAGTCAGAGTTATACTACTGAGAGAGGAATAATATAAGGTGGCCGTAGGAGATTAGAAAATTCCAGGCAACAATTTCATATGACTAGCAAAAGGCAACTGTTGAAATAGCTGCAGAGGCTATGGGCTGATAAGACCCTGAGAAACAGGGTGTGGACCAAGATGGCTAAGACTGACTGAACCCAACATGTCACTGGATTTGACGTAGGTTTCTCCTAGAACCTCATTATATGCTCATTAACGTAATCACATGCCCACCAGCACCATGACACTTCCAGGAACACCCATTATTTAGTGCAAAAGTGGGTGGCACCACAGTTTTGAGAAATCTTCACCTTTTTCCAGGAATCTTCATGAATATGTCACCCCTTGGTTACAGAAACCCATAAAGATAGTACCCGAAAACCTTGTGTGCAACTCTCTTGAGTACACCTGCACTCCCCTTTCTTGAGTGTGTACTTTTCGCTTTGCAATAAATCTTCATCTTTTCACTATTTTCTGACTCATCCCTGAATTTCTTCTTGTGATGGTGTCAAGAGCCTGGATACCGGTTGAGGTCAAGGTCCCACTAGTGTTTGTGGACCTACCCCAGCCCATCAGTATCATTACCACCTCAGGACTATCATATATATATATACGTATATATATATATATATATACACGTATATATATATACACACACACATATATACATGCTGGGGAATATATATATATGTGTGTATATATATATGTATATATATACATATATATACATGCTGAGGAAAGGTGATTCGGTTCCTGATTTTGAAGGCCCTAAAGCCTCATTAATACCTAAATAATCCCTTTTTCACTGCCTTGGACATACTTACCCCTAACTCCCTCACTTCTTGAATTTTTCCTGCCTCCTTACGTTAGCAACACCTCTCTCCACCAGACCACCTAATGAGAGCACCATGACTCCTGAGGTCAAGGACCATATTTTGTTCAACATCATATTCTCAGCACTAACACAAAATGGGTGCTCAATAAATGCTCAGATAGCAAGTGGCCAGGGGAGGGCAGGTGAAAGAAGTTCCATCTGAAACATAATCCACGTTATTACCCGGTGTGGCAAACACTGCTGGTTATCTTATGGCAGTCATTTCTCCCTCGAATCTTTCCAGTTTTGACCATTGGGAGCTCTTTCAGTTGGCTTTCATGCCTCCATCAATGTAGATTTGTTTTGAACACTTTCTTACTTTCAGGCACTACAAGATGCTGCAGGGTCGTCTTGTATATCTTCTGCCCGTCTTACAATCACCTGCTTCTCCAAGGATCCTTGATTCCTTTTATTGAAGGATGGTGTTAGAAACCAAGATTTCTGCATTAGACATGCTCATTGCTGTTGGAGTGTCATTGCCTATAGATTCAACATACATAATTTAAAATGTGGTAGTAGCCCCATTATTTAAAAAAAGCAAAAAAAAAAAGACTGAAATTGACTTTAATTAAACCAAGTGTTTCCAACATATTATCATTTCAATATGTAATCAATGCAAAAAATGATTAATCAGATTTTTGCATAGTTTTTCTTTCACACCGAGTCTTTGAAATTCAGCCCATCTCAATTTGGATTAATCACATTTCAAGTGCTCCACAGCCCACATGTGGCTAGCAGCTACTACAGGAATAGTGAAATTCTAAAAGCTTTATGATTTCAGCCTTTGCTATGTGGCCTATTATCCATCTTGAACTATTTTTTGTATATGGAATGAGTGACTATCAAAATTTGTTTATATTCAGTATCAAAAAATTAAATCTTCAGTGCCATTTGTTAAAATGACTTTCCTGGCCAGGTGCGGTGGCTCACACCTGTAATTCCAGCACTTTGGGAGGCCAATGGGGGTGGACTGCCTGAACTCAGGAGTTTGCAACCAGCCTGGGCAACACAGTGAAACCCTGTCTCTACTAAAATACAAAAAATTAGCCGGACGTAGCAGCGAGCGCCTGTAGTCCCGGCTACTGGGGAGGCCGAGGCAGGAGAATCACTTGAACCCAGGAGGTGGAGGATGCAGTGAGCTGAGATTGCACCATTGCACTCCAGCCTGGGTGACGGAGTGAGACTCCGTCTTGAAAAAACAAACAAACAAACAAAAATGACTTTCCTTCTCTATTGAATGGACTTGGCACCTTGAGCCTATTGCTAGATTCTTTATTCTGCTCCATTGATATTCATCTAGTTGATTACATAACTTTACATATGTAACTCACAGTAACTTTCAGACTCAAGTGGTATAAGAAATCCAACTCTATTCTTTTTCAAAATGGTTTTGGCTCTTCAATTCCTTTGCATTTTCGTATGCAAATTTAAGAATCAGCTTGTCAATTTCTTCAAAAGACCTTGCGGGGATTTTGATTAGGGCTGTGTGAAATCCATAGGTCAATGTGGGGAGAATGGAAATCTTAACAATGTTGAGCCTTCCAATATATGAACATTCCCTTTCTCTCCATTTATTAAAGTCTCTTAAAATTTCAGCGATGTTACAGTTTCAGCATAAGGATCTTGCACATTTTGTTAGATATATCCCTGGACATTTGAATTTTTTTTGTTTGGTTGGTTGGTTTTGGGTTTTTGTTTTGTTCTGTTTTGTTTTGTTTTGAGACAGAGCCTCACTCTATCGCCCAGGCTGGAATGCCCTGGCACTCTCTCGGCTCACTGCAACCTCAGCCTCCTGGGTTTAAGTGATTCCCCTGCCTCAGCCTCCCAAGTAGCTGGGATTACAGGCATGCACCATCACACCTGGCTAATTTTTCTATTTTTAGCAGAGATGGGTTTTCACCATGTTGGCCAGGCTGGTCTCAAACTCCTGACCTCAAGTGATCCACCTGCCTTAGTCTCCCAAAGTGCTGGGATTACAGGCACAAACCACTGTGCCCGGCCCATCTGATGTTTTTTAAGGCTCTTGTAAATTGTATTTTAAAAATTCTGTATTTTTAAAATTATTTATTTTCTAATTGTTACAAGTATAGTCATACTTCAGTATCCATTTGAGATTGGTTCCAGACCACCCCCATCCCCTACAGTTACCAAAATTCATGGATGTTAAAGTCCTTTATATAAAACTGTTACCGGGGGGTCCTTGCTCCCAGAGCTCCCAAGATGGCAGTGGGCCACTTCCAAGATGGTGGCAAGCCTCATGTTCTCTGACCTGGGGTTCTTGGCCTCACGGATTCCAAGGAATGGAATCTTGAGCCATGCAGTGAGTGTTACAGCTCTATTAGAAGCCGTGGGTCACGGAAGAGAACCATGGAACCCAGTGACTAGTGTTCAGCTCGATAAGGACGAACCTGGGCACTTAGCCGTGCAGGAGCAATCTCAAGCCGTTAGCCCAATCGGGAGCGGCAAGGGGCGCCTCACTGGATCAGGAGCACAGCAGACACCCTGCCGGATCCGGAGGGATGGAAGTCAGCGGCAGGTCTGTGGCGGCGGCAAACAGCAATGGTGGACGGCGAGCGAAAGCTCAGCTCCAGCCGTAACAAACACAGACCAGAAGAGTGCAGTTGGGAGATTTAATAGAGTGAAATAGAGTGAAAACAGAGCTCGCATACAAATGGAGGGGACCCAAAGAGGGTAGCAGTTGCTGGCTGGAATGCCTGGGTTTATATCCCCCGATTATTGTCCCGCCCACTGTGTTCTCAGGCGATAGATGATTGGCTATTTCTTTACTTCCTGTTTAGCCTAATTAGCATTTTAGTGAGCTCTTTTTCCTACCTGACTGGTTGGGTGTGAGCTAAGTTGCAAGCCACGTGTTTAAAGGTGGAAGCGGTCACCTTCCCAGCTAGGCTTAGGGATTCTTAGTTGGCCTAGGAAATCCAGCTAGTCCTGTCTCTCAAAATGACATAGTATTTGAATATAACCTACTCACATCCTCCTGTATACTTTAAATCATCTCTAGGTTACTTATAATACAGAATACAATGCCTATAAATCACTTCATTTGCGTGATTCAGCATAGCACTCAGCACATGGCAAATTCCAGTTTTGCTTTTGGAACGTTGTAGAATTTTGTTTCTGAAGATTTTCAATCTATGGGTGGTTTAGCCTGTGCGTGCAGATCCCATGGATACGAATGACTGACTGTCTCTAGAAATATAGGAAAGTTTCAGGTATTTATTTTGTATTCTGCAATTTTGCTAAATTCATTTATTCCGTTAAAAAACTTGACTCTAGGCCAGGCGCGGTGGCTCACACCTGTAATCCCAGCACTTTGGGAGACCGAGGCGGGTGGATCACGAGGCCAGGAGCTCAAGACCATCCTGGCCAACATGGTGAAACCCTGTCTCTACTAAAAATACAAAAAAGTAGCCAGGCATGGTGGCGGGCACCTGTAGTCCCAGCTACTTGGAAGGCTGAGGCAGGAGAATTGCTTGAACCTGGGAGGCAGAGCTTGCAGTGAGCTGAGATCACGCCACTGAATTCCAGCCTGGAGCCTGGGCGACAGAGTGAGACTCCGTCTCAAAAAAAAAAAAAAAAACAACAACTAGACTCTGTTGGCTTTTCTACATACACAATCATGTGTAGGAGAAGAAAAATAATTTTTTACTCAACTGTCATAAATTCTTAGTTGAAATGGACCCCCGTAACAAAAGACAGATTAACAATGGCCAGACATAGTGGATCACGCCTGTAATCCTAGCATTTTGGGAAGCTGAAGCGGGTGGATCACCTGAGATCAGGAGTTCGAGACCAGCCTGGCCAACATAGTGAAACCCCATCTCTACCAAAAATACAAAAATTAGCCAGACGTGGTGGCGTGTGCCTGTAATCCCAGCTACTTGGGAAGCTGAGGCAGGAGAACTGCTTGAACCCAGGAGGCGGAGGTTGCAGTGAGCCCAGATCACGCCACTGCACTCCAGCCTGCCTGGGCGAAAGAGCAAGACTTCGTGTCAAAATAAGTAAATAAATAAATAAAAGATTAACAAGAGAAAAGCAAACAGATGTTTATTAACAAGTACATTTCATATATACCTGGGAGAGACCCAGGAAATGAGTGGTTCTCAAAGAACTAGCTTTGAATTCCAGCCTATATACTATTTTCAACAAAGAATGGCAAATTTTTGGAGAAATGACAAGACATAGGAAAAGGACTTTGAGTCTCTAGGGGAGGTAACTTGTGAGAAGGCAAATAAAAAGGCCAGTTAGTAATACTTTTTTTTTTTTTTTTGACAGAGTCTCGCTCTATCACCCAGGCTGGAGTGCAGTGGTGCTATCTCGGCTCACTGCAAACTCTGCCTCCCGGGTTCACGCCATTCTCCTGCCTCAGCCTCCTGAGTAGCTGGAACTACAGGCGCCCACCACTGCACCCGGCTAATTTTTTTGTATTTTTAGTAGAGACAGGGTTTCACCATGTTAGCCAGGCTGGCCTCGATTTCCTGACCTCGTGATCCACCTGCCTCAGCCTCCCAAAGTGCTGGGATTACAGGCGTGAGCCACCGGGCCCGGCCAGTAATGCTTGTTAATGTAGAGCTCTCTGATGCCGTCTCCAGACCCATAAGGGTCTACAGTTGTTTTCAATGGTTAACTTTTGTTCTCTCTGGTAGAAAGTGTATGTGTGTGGAGCATGGGGTCATACCTCTTGTCTTTGTCAAGGTATGTTCTGCTTCTATGGAAATATAGGGATGATAGAAAGTTTTCCTGCACCTACTGTTTCTTAATTACCTTTAGCTCAACAATCCTTATGCCAGAGGCATATTTGTGGTGGTGTATTCTGGTCTCCCACACATGTTATTTATGAATAAATGGTTTTATTTATTTTCCCTTTTAATTGATATTTTAACCTAAATTGATTTGTATTTCATATCAAGAGAGTGGACAGTTTTTGATACAAACTCTTTGGAAAGAAATTTGGCAATATAAACAAGAAATCATAAAATTATTATACTCTTTGATTCAGTAAAGTCCCTCCTAGAAGTCTATGAAGGAAAGTGATTCTTTTCTTAAAAAGAAGTGTGATACACCCACTCAGTGAGCTATTTGTAGACATTAAAAATGAGATTATAAAAACATGACTGTTAAGATGCTTACAGATGAGTGTTGTACACCCAACTAAAAGTGGCTTAAAGTTTAAATAATGTCTCCACATAACAAAAAGACCAGAGAAATCTGGGTGGGGTGGCTCACCCCTCTAATCTCAGCACTTTGGGAGGCTGAGGCAGGCAGATCACTTAAGGCCAGGAGTTCGAAACCAGCCTGGGAAACATGGCAAAACCCCGTCTCTACAAAAAAATATAAAAATTAGCTGGGCATGGTGGCACGCATCTACAGTCCCAGCTACTCGGGAGGCTTAGGCATGAGAATCACTTGAGCGGGGAGGTGTAGGTTGCCGTGAGCTGAGATTGCACCACTGCACTCCAGCCTGGACAATAGAGGGAGACTGTCTCAAAAAAGTAAATAAATAAATAAAAATAAAGACCAGCGGTAAGGCAATTCCAAGACTTACTAAATAGTTTGGTTTTGTTTTTTTTAGAAAAACAGGTGATATGTATATATGAAGCAAGAGAATAAGGTCTGGAGACAGGGAACCTTCACTTCAGCCTCTGATTGGTCGCAGGCCAAGTCTTCATTTTCACAGGGCATAACTCCACTTCAGCCTCTGATTGCTTGTGGGCCATGTCTTCATTTACATAGGGTGTAACCAATAGGAAACCTCTAAAGAGTAATGAAACCCCAGAAGATTTTGCAACAGGTGCTCTTGAGCTTCTTGCTTAAGCCACTCCCACTCTGTGGAGTGTACTTTCCTTTCAATACATCTGTGCTTTCATTGCTTCTTTCGTTCATCTGGTTTTTTGTTGCTTTGTTTGTGTGTTTTGTCCAATTCCTTGTTCAAAACACCAAGAACCTAGATGACTCGTCAAGACCCTCCACCAGTAACATATACATTAATATTTAAGAAACACTGAAACTTAAGAAACTTCCTCTTAAGTCACATTGACCTGGGTTGCTATCAGAAATGAATTAGTTGTTCTCAATCCTGGCAGCTCATCCAAATAACCTGGGGAAATCTTTGCCAAATACAAGGGCAAGATTTTTTCTTATGTTTTCTTCTGGATTTTTTATAGTTTTAGCTTTTACATTTAGGCCTATTATTCATTTTGAGTTAGTTTTAGCATATGGTGTGAGGTTGGAGGATTTTTTTTGGCCTATGGCTACCTTAAATATAACTCAAAAGTCACAAACTATAAAAGACAAAAATCAGTAAACTAGACTATCAAAATTAAAATCTGTTTTTCAAGAGAAAAGAAAATGAAAAAGCAAGCCACAGGCTGGGAAAAAATATTGAGAAAGCAATCAAACAAACCAGAATGGGGTTTTTAAGGAGAAGGTAACTTTACAAGACAATTGACCTGGTGTCTTTAAAAAAATTATTAGAAAATAATAATTGTGCATATTCATGGGGTATATAGTGATGTTTTGATAAAAATAATTCATAGCAATCAGATTACGGTAATTAGCATATCCATCATCTCAAATATTTATCCTTTCTTTATGTTGGAAACATTCAATATCCTCCTTCTTGGCCTGGTTTCTTTACAAGTCAATGGCATGAGAGAAAGAAGCGGGGAAGGGAAGACTGTTCTAGAGTACAAGAATTTAAGAGATACAATAATCAAATGGTTTGAGCAAACCAACTAAAAATAACATTATTGGGAATAATTGGGAAAATTTCAGTATGTAGTGGGCATTGGGTCAGTGTTTCTCCACCTGTGGTGAAGGAACAGTTTTTCCCCAATCCATTGCAGAAAGTTACAGTTGTGAAATAAAATAAAAATTAATTAGTAGAAAAATGAAGTAAATAAAAGATGCACAACAAACAAGAGTCATTGTTTTTACTATTGTTGGAGTCAACAGACATAAAATTATCCTGTGAAATTGTTGTACTTACTTCTAAATGGCTATTCTCAGTTTCTTTACACATTTCTTCACAGACAGACAATGGTTTATGACCAGAACCACTGATAATGGTAATGATAATGATAATGGTAGAGAATAGAAAAAGTCCTGACATTTCTAGGAAAAGACTGATTGTACCAAAGCTATTGTAACAAGTAGCCACTACAACTGCTTTTTAACCTGCTTAATAAATAAATTATAGTTCTGTAATCATGGTAAAAATAACTGCAAGCACTATTTATATATACATATACACATATATAAGCATATATATGTATTTGTGTGTCTGTGTGTGCATATATAGTGTATATTCATGAGGTATATGTGCAATTTTGCTACATTGATATATTGCATTGTGGTGAAGTCAAGGCCTTCAGTGCATCCATCACTGGAGCAACACACATTGTACCTACCAAGCAACCTCCCACCCATCTTCCCATCTTCCCAGCCCTCAAATCCCCATTGCCCATCATTCCACATTCTGCTTTTATATGTACACATTACTTAGCTTCCACTTATAGGTGAGAACATGCGATATTTGTCTTTCTGTGTCTGAGTTGTTTCACTTAAGATAATGGCCTCTGGTTCCATCCACATTGCTGCAAATGACAGAATTTCATTCTTTTTTATGACGAAATAGTATTCCATTGTGTATGTGTACCATATTTTGTTGATCCAATCCTCTATTGATGGGCACCTAGGTTGATTCCATGTCTTTGCTATTGTGAATAGTGCTGTGATAAATATACGAGTGCAGGTATATTTTTGATATAATGATATTTTCCTTTGGATAGATACCCAACAGTGAGATTGCTGGGTCAAATGGTGGCTCTGTTTTTAGTTCTTTGAGAAATCTCCATACTGTTTTCCATGGAGGTTGTACTAATTTACACAGAATTGGTTTTAAATCCATTTAATCAATCAATGACAATTTGCCTTGGCCCAATTTGCAATTTAATCCATTTGTGAATCTCCTGCTTCTGAAAGTCAGTCCATTGAGACTGATTCCAATGAACATGTTTCTGAATGCCAAGCCATCAGAAACAGGCTCATCTGAGTGACCTTGTGTCTACAGCTGATGAAAACCTAATCCCACTTCTAAAAATGCACCAATCTCTGAACTACACTCTTTTTAAAAACCCAATACAAGGTCGTCAATCAGTTCTACACAGATAGATTGTCCCTGACCAGCATCCCACTCATTTACTTAAGTAAGTGATAAATACAGCTTTGTGCTTTGTGTTTCAGATGTTGAATAGTGGTCTTGTTCTTTGACAGGACATAAGAAAATGTCTTTATACCTTAGAGATGCTTACTGAAGCGCTTAGATATAAAATATAGCTATAGATCATGATAAGTGAAGAAAATAGGGTGATGTGATAGAGACTAGAGAAAAATGACTTTAAGGTGGGATTAGGGAAGGTCTTTTTTAGAGGTGTCATTTTAGCTGAGACCTGAAGGTAGATGCCAGTCGGGCAAGGAGCCTATGAAAGAGACTTCCAGTCAGAGCTTGTTTGTGCAAAGGCTCCCAAGGTGGGAAACACAACATCCTCTAGGTTCATCTGTGTTGTCATAAATGACAGAATTTTTTGCTTTCTTAAGGGTGAGTAGTATTCCATTGTGTATATATGCCACATTTCCTTTATCTATCTATTCATCCATTGATGGACACTTAGGTTGTTTCCATATATTGGCAATTATGAACAGTACTGCAATGAATGGTGGAATGCAGATATCTCTTTGATATCATGGTTTGTTTTTTTTGAGACAGAGTCACGCTCTGTCACCCAGGCTGGAGTACAGTGGCACGATCTCGGCTCCCTGCAATCTCAGCCTCCCAGGTTCAAGCAATTCCCTTGCCTCAGCCTCCCAAGTAGCTGAGATTACAGGCTTGCACCACCATGCCCAGCTAATTTTTTTTTCTTTTTTGAGACGGAATCTCACACTGTCGCCCAGGCTGGAGTGCAGTGGCGCAATCTCAGCTCACTGCAACCTCTGCTTCCTGGGTTCAAGCGATTCCGCTGCTTCAGCCTCCCAAGTAGCTGGGATTACAGGCACCCGCCACCATGCCCAGATAATTTTTTGTATTTTTAGTAGAGATGGGGTTTCACTATGTTGGCCAGACTGGTCTCGAATTCCTGACCTCATGATCCGCCCACCTCGGCCTCCCAAAGTGCTGGGATTACAGGTTGTGAGCCACCACACCCAGTCCTGTATTTTTAGTAGAGACAGGGTTTCACCATGTTGGCCAGGCTGGTCTTGAACTCCTGACCTCAAGTGATCTGCTGTTTTGGCCTCCGAAAGGGCTGGGATTACAAGCGTGAGCCACCATACCCGGCCATGTATGTCTTCTTTGGAAAAGTTGAGTATTTAGTTTGATAAGAAAAGAAATGATAACACAATACAGATTTTGAAAAGCTGACAAACAGCAAAACATCACAAAATCCTTAAAAAGCATAAAATTTTCATTAACTGCCTAATACATCTTTATACCACCCTTCTTCCCCATTTTTGGCTGCAAATTTTTTCATATGACATTGATTTTATAGTATCAGTTTACATGGAGAGAATAGAAAAAAGCTCAATCTGTCCTATAGCATGTTGATCAAAATTTGGTTTTTTAAATTTTTGTTTGTTGAGATGCTTAAAACATACAATGTTACACAAGAACATACTCTCTGTTTGTAATACTGCTACTATTTATGATCCACAAACACAGGAATTATGATCAAGTCTATAATGTGAGATCCCTATCAGAAAAAAACATGTATTTAAAGCTGTTTACCCAGCATTATCAAATATATACTTGAAAAAAAAAACTTCATTTTGACAAGGAACTAAATCTGCTATTTATAATTTTACACTTCTGATGATTAGAAGAATTTTCCACATGGTAGCTTGGGCTCAATATGGTTCTCTTTTTACTTTCAACTTTTCCATGTCCTTATTTTTAAAGTATGTATCTGATGAACAGCATACAGTTGGGTTATTGTTTTACTGGTCTGACTCTTTGTCTTCAGGTTGGAGTATTTAGTCCGCTTGCATGCTCCTCATATTGTTCTCTGCAGCAATGTTGGTCATCCCAGTTACTACATCGCACTTTGGGTGTTGTTTCTCCTCCACTGTTGACATACTACTTTGGTGCCAGAAGCTATAGGACACATTCACATTGTGATGGGACCTCTAGCCATGCACTTTTGTGCCTGGATACCAGATGAGTTGGCACAGTTGGCAGTAGGCGTGTTCTAGGAATCCATTCTTATATCAGCCAGACTAGCAATAATCTAACTCAACATGGAAGTGACTATGAGACACTTAAATTATCCTACTAAACTCAATATATCCCAACTTAACTTTCCTTTATCTAACTTCCAGAAATGCCTATGGCTATTCACCCAACATCCAACATGGGGAGAAATTTGGTGGGAAGTTAGAGTACAGAGTTCTGAACTAATTGAGTTTTAAAGATTTACTTTTTAAAATTGTGTGAAAGTATATGGCTATGTGAACTAGCTAGGGCTTTTCCCTGGGCCTTGGAAGGGGCTTGTACAACCTTAAGTAAGCTTCACTAGCTTCACAGTAAACCTGTTTTGAGTATGGCTAATAATGGCTTGAGCAGAAGTAGGGTAAAATAGCCATTCAATTATGATTTGCTGCTGACCCTGTTGAGAGAATCTGACTATGGACCTCTGCTTCCCCAGATTATCTGAATGATAATAAATATTACAAATAAGACAGAGATCTTTGAGTGGACAGGGCAAGAGAGGCAACTGGACTGTGGAACCCTAGATTAGTATATCGGAAAATTTAGAACAAGTTCTTTTTTCCCTACTGTTGTCTGTTGACCTCTGTTGGGATTTTATGAATATAATACTTCTAAATTTTATATATGGCTAAAATTGCCCTATTTTGTAATCTCAATGTAGAAATGACAATGTAATAACAGGTTTTTCCTGATTTGTTAATTTATGTGCATGAAAAGTTTTACATACATTGGTATAAAAATTATTTAGTTATATGTATTTTAAATTCCCTTCATTTTAGAAAGAATAATGTTTTATGAAATGAAATGCAATACAAAATTCTATAACATTTGAGTTGTCTTTTCTTTCTTTCTTTTTTTTTTTTTTTACAGAGTCTTGCTCTGTCACCCAGGCTGGAGTACAGTGGCACGATCTCTGCTCACTGCAACCTTTGCCTCCCAGATTCAAGTGATTATTGTGCCTCAGCCTCCTGAGTAGCTGGGATTACAGGCATGTGCCACCACACCCAGCAAGTTTTTGTGTTTTTAGAAGAGACAGGGTTTCCCCATGTTGGCCAGGCTGGTCTTAGACTCCTGGTCTCAAGTGATCTGCCTTCCTTGGCCTCCCAAAGTGCCGGGATTACAGGCATGAGCCACCACGCCTGGTCGACCTGTACTTTTATATAGCCCTCATTTTTGTCAAAAAGTACTTATACTCCTGTATTTAATCAAACATCTTTTAGAGAAATCTTTGGATAATTCTTTTGGATTATTATTACAGATTTTACAATTTCCTGGCCTTACAGGTTTTTCTTTTAATGAGAATTTTCCTACGGAAAGGAGAGGAAATAGTAAAATTAACCCCCATATACTCATCTAAACTTGACAATGATTAACATTTTGCCATAATTGCTTCCTCTATATTTTTTCTGATGTTTCTTAAGGTAAATCATAAAGATCATGTTTTTTCATGCTCTAAAGATTTTAGTAGGCATCTCTAAAAATTAAGAACATGTAACAACAATCCCTAATGAAATTAACAATAATTCCTTTTATATCATAAAATACCCATTCTATATCTGAATTTTCCAATTGTACAAAAATATTCTTTCTAGAGGTTTGTTCAAAATGGCATCCAATCAAAGCCCACAATTTGCATTTGTTACATCTCTTAAGTCTTGTGCAATCTGGAACAGTTTCAGTCCACACTTATCCTCCCATGACAGTGACTTGTTGAGGAGGCTAGAAAAGTAGTCTCTTCTATTAACAGTCTGGTAGAATTTTCCACCTTCTGGAGTTGTCTCATTGCTTCCTCACGGAGGCAGGATTTATTCCTCTAGCCCCTGGAATTTAGATCTAAAGGACTTATTAGATTCAAGTAAACTTTTTTTGGCAAGACTATTTTAGTGGTACTTTAAATTGCATTATAGCAGGATGCCCATATGTCTGGTTGTTCCACTATTTGTGATGTTAAGATTGATCCCTAGATTCAGGGAGTGACAGACTGATTTCTTTAAAAAATAACAGCCTTATTCAAATATAATTCATATACCATGCAATTCACCTATTTAAAGTGTATAGCTCGGTGATTTCTAGTCTATTCACGGTGCTGCGTAACCATCACTGTAAATATTTTCAGAACATCTTCAACACCCCAGAAAGAAACCCTATACTCATTAGCAGGCATCACCCCCACTTCCCAACTACCACCACCACCACCCCCAGCCTTGAGCAACCACTAATCTACTCTTTGTCACTATAAGATTTATCCATTCTGGACATTTTATATAAATAGAATTATACAATATGTGGTAACAGCCTGACTTTTGCATTGTAAAATTGCACCCTGCCATTCATTGCCTCATGACTAGCAGTAATCTGTCAGGGCAAATATTATTTAAATAGTGAAAACCTTCTTTTCTGATAGTGTTTATATTGGGCAGTGAGAGGAAAAATACATATTTTTTCCAATTTTAAAAATTGTGGTAAAGTAAATATAACATAAAATTTATCATCTTCACCAATTTTTAAGTGCACTGGTCAGTGGCATTAAATACATTCATAATGTTGTGCAACCATAACCACCAACCATCTCCATAACTCTTTTCATCTTGTAAAACTGAAACTCCATACCCATTAAACAATAACTCCCTATTTTCTCCTCCCATCATCCTCTGGCAAACACCATTCTACTTTCAAAATACACAGTTTTAAAATTAAAATATTATATCAAATATCGTTTTTTTTTCTTTTGAGATAGAGTTGTGCACTGTTGCCCAGGCTGGAGTGTAGTGGTGCGATCTCTGCTCACTGCAACCTCCGGCTCCTGGGTTTAAGTGATTCTCCTGCCTCAGCCTACCAAGTAGCTGGGATGACAGGGATCCGCCATCGCGCCCAGCTAATTTTTTGTATTTTTAGTAGAGTGGGGGTTTCACCATGTTAGCCAGGCTGGTCTTGAACTCCTGGCCTCAAGTGATCCGCCCACCTTGGGCTCCCAAAGTGCCGGGATTACAGGCGCAAGCCATTGCGCTCAGCCAAAATATCCTTAAGTAGCACTTAACTACCTTTGATCTGTAGAAACCTTTTTTCCCATTGACTTGTAATTTCTTACTATGGCATATTTTAAAGACACATATTCTTTAAAAATTTATGATAGTGCAAAAAGAAGGGAAAGGGTCTTTGAAAAAGATTACTTGGCTGCTTACCAAAATCAGGAAGGTAGTCTTCCATCGCACTTGTGTTTTTTCCCTCAGCTCATTTCAATAGGACTCTAGTATGCAATTACAAAATAATTTATAGAGGTACTCAATATGTACCTTGCAAATATTTAAATTAATGGTTCTGTCTCTAATTTAACTGCATACTAAGTTCTTCTGGGGAGCTTGTGAAGACTTCCAACGTCAGCGTCCAGGTTCTATTCCATACCAGAGAAATTAGCATCTTAGGCAGCATATAACAGCTGATAGTGATGCTTGTGTACTTAACCTCACAACACATCAAGAGGCACATAATGTTGAGTTGATGCCAGTGACTGATGCTGAATTTGGTCACCAAATTAAAATGATGCCTACTAAGTCACTCCGTTGCAAGGCGTATTTTCTGTTTGCAATTAGCAAGTAATCTGTGGGGTGATATTTTGAAATCTTGTGACTACTCTGTTCCCCAATCATTTTTCACCTAATGGTTTAAGCGGTCATTGATAATTCTTGTAATATGAGGTTGTAAAGTGATGATTTTCTAGTTCTAGAATTCTTTTCTGATTTGTTAGCTTGCATTCTTCTGTAAAGAAGAAGGATTACTCCCCAGCCCCTACCGTTTTTTTGTTTTTTGTTTTTTTTGAGTATCCATTATGGATTCATGGATTTTTATTTGTCCAAAGTATTACTCTCAGATATCCTCAGTCACTACAGTCATTATTTTAATGCTAAAATTGTCTTGACTTTGCTAATCGAGGATCACTTTAAACATGGCCTTGGGTCTTCATATATATATATATATATGTTAGTTTTTTTTAAATTCAGATATAATATACACACAATAGAGGACCTAATTACAGCTTGAGGAATTTTTAAATACGTATACAGCCATGTAATTACACTCAGATCAAGATATTTACTATTTCCAGTACCCTAGAAGGCTCCTTCATGTCCCTTCCCTACCAATACTTACCCCCAGACCCAGAATAATCACCATTCTGACTTCTACCACCATAGATAAATTAGCCCATTCTTGAACTTCATATAAACAAAAACACGTGTTCTTTTGTGTCTGGCTTCTTTCACTCGTCATTATGTGTGCGAGATGTATTCCTGTTGTTGCATGTGGCAGTAGCTCATTCTTTTCTACCGCTGATCACTTCAGAAATGAAACTGCTAAACCAAGGGGTACATATCTTTTCATCTCAGGCATCTGGCATATGTATTTTTAGGCTTTTGATTTATATAACCCACCTGCTTTCCAAAAGGCTTATGCCAATTGCTCTCTCACCAGAACGATATACTTAAGGACACGTTCTTCCATATCCTTGCCAAATCTAGCATTTATCTTTTCAAAAACCTTTCCTAAATTTGAAAGAAAACTAATAGTTTCTTCCTTTGAAACATTGTGCTTCTCTTATTACTCATTGGGTGTTATTTTTCATAAGTTTTTGACCACTCACATATTTATTATTTGCAATATTTCTTTCTGAGTGTTCTTTTCAAAGACTGAGCTAGTTGTGGAGACAAAATAGGAACACAACCCTTTGTTATAATTATATATGTATAGTATGTATTGTATTTATACATATGAATGTAAAGTTCAATTATATTATAACTTTTAGTAATTGAATGTTAACCAATGTTATGCAAGAAAGTAGATTCCATGGCTAAAGAAGTTTAGGAAATGTTAAAAACTATTTTTGTTTTGTTTTTTAAATTGTGGACCTCATAAACTTTATGATGCTAATGTGTAATGCGAATCTTCTAATATTCCTGTGTTCCTAAGAGGAAAATTTATATAAAGTTCTGAAGAACACAATTTGGGTTATTCTGCCTTAGAGCACATTCTTAAAGTAAGATTTATCAGGAAAACTAAATGAAATGTCCCTTTTTTTCCCTCACCTTGGCTGTGGTAAGCCGAATTATACATCTTCTTCCACCTCATCCCACCCCCAAAGATGTTCTTGTCTTAATATGTGGAACCTGTATGTTACCTTCTACGACAAAAGGGACTCTACAGATGTGATTAAGTCATGAGGATGATCACATCCTCATGATGAGAAGATTATCCTGGATTATCTGGGTAGGCCCAGCCTAATCACATGGGTCCTTAAAGGAGAGAACCTTTTCAGGCTGTTGTCAGAGGGAGATGTGACCACTGAAGAAAGGTCAGAGGGAGAAGCAAACTCGCTGGCCTTGAAGATGGAGGAAGGGGCCATGAGCAATGAATGCGGCAGCTGCTGGGAGCTGGGAAAAGCAAGGAAACGGAGTTTCTTTAGAGTCTCCCCTACTGTCTCCAGAAGGAAGGCAACCTTTCCGACGCCTTGATTTCAGCCCAGTGAAACAAGTATTGGAATTCTGACCTACAAAACCATAAGATAATAAATTTTTGTCATCTTAAGCCCCTAAATTTGGGGTAGTTTGTTTCAGAAGCAGTAAGAAACTAATATACTGGTCAACATTTAGTGTTGTCAATATTTTCAATTGTTGCTAATTTGAAAATTCAAAAATGATATTTTATATTCATTGTAAAATGAACATTTTATAACTTAATGAATTTTCTTCCTATTTTTGAATTTCTGTTTGTGTCCTTTTCCTATTTTTCTTTTAGAGTGTTTCCATTTTATCGTTGATTTATATGAGCTTTTTATATATTATGGAAATTAAGTTTTGCAGGTATTTTCCTGGTTTTTCAAACTTATAACACTTTTGTAATTTTTTAAAACATGAATTTTAGATATCTTATCATTCTTTTTCTTTATGTTTACTTTTCTTTCTTTCTTTCTTTCTTTTAAGGCAAGGTCTTACTCTATCTCCCAGACAGGAGTGCAGTGACATAATCACAGTTCACTGCAGTTTCAACTTCCGAGCTCAAGGGATCCTCCCTCTTTACCCTCTGTGGAGTAGCTAGGACTACAGGCATGCACTACCATGCCCTGTTAATATATTTATTTTTTGTAGAGACAGGGTCTGGCTTATTGTCCAGGCTATATTGTCCTGGCCTCGAGTGATCCTCCCACCTTGGCTTCTAAAGTTCTGGGATTACAGGTATGAGTCACAGCACCCAGCCCTTTATGTTTTCTATCTGTAATGTTTAGGATAGTGTTTTTCTTCTCAAGATTATGAAAGTAGGCTGAGCATAGTGGCTTATGCCTGTAATCCCAGCACTTTGGGAGACCAAGTCAGGAAGATCTCTTGAGCCCAGGGGTTTGAGACAAGCCTGGTTAATGTAGGGATGCCCTGTCTCTGCGAAAAATTAAAAAATTAGCTGGGCATGTTGGCTCACATCTGCAGTCCCAGCTACTCAAGAGGCTAAGATGGGAGGATTGCTTGAGCCTGAGACATCAAGGCTACAGTGAGCCATAATCATGTCACTGCACTCCAGCCTGGGTAACAGAGTGAGACCCTGTCTCAAAAAAGCACACAAACAAAAAGACTGTAAAAGTATTCACACATTTTTTTTCATGTTTTCACTTTACATGTTTGATCTGTATACAATTTATTTCAATGAAGGTGTGAGGAATACATTCATTTTTCTTTTTCTTTTTTGTTTTCTTTTAGACAGGGTCTCACTCTGCCGCCCAGGCTGGAATGCTGTGACACAATCATGGCTCACTGCAACCTTGATCTCCCTAGACTCAGGTGATCCTATCACCTCAGCCTCCCTAGTAGCGGAGATTACAGATTCATGCCACCACATCTGGCTAATGTTTTATTTTTTGTAGCGATGGGGTTTCACTGTGTTGTCCAGGCTGGTGTCAAAATCCTGGGCTCAAGCAATCCACCCACCTTGGCCTCCCAAACATTTTAATAAAAAATTGTTAGCTAATCATACAAACATCATTTAAATGTGCCCTCCAATGTTCATGTGTTGAAAACTTAATCACCAGTGCAACAGTGTTGTGAAGTGGGACCTTTAAGAAGTGATTATGTCATGAGGACAGAGCCTAACCCTGGAATTAATGGGATTAATGGACTAATGTCCTTATCGTGGGAATGGGTTTGTTGTAAAAGTGAGTTCAACTCTCTTGCACACTGTCTTGCATGTGATGCCTTCCACCATGTTATGACGCAACAAGAAGGCCCTCACCAGGTGTGACCCCTTGATCTTGGACTTCCCAGCTCCAGAACCATGAGGCAAATAAACTCCTATTGTTTATAACTTATCCAGTCTCAGGTATTCTGTTATAGCAGCACAAAACAGATTGATTTTAAATGCCACTTGTACAGTGTACTAAACCACCATATTGCAGGGAAACTAGTTAGAAAGCTATGACAGTGGTTCTATTTCTGGACTGTTTTTTTCTATCCCTGTGCTGGGGCCAAATTGTTTTAGTTACTTTAGCTTTATAATTTAATATCTGGCCAGCCAGCTCACCTTCATTTTCTTTTAAAACTTTCTTGCTTATTCATTTATGTGTTCATTCACTCAAAAAATGTTTATTGAGCACCTACTCCATGCCAGACTCTGTTCCACGTGTTGGAATATGAGATAGACAAGGTTCCTGGCCTCAAAGAGCTTGCATAGTCTAGAGGAGGAGATGGACCATGAAGCAAATTTATTAAATGTTGTCATAAATACCAAGAAAGAAAGAAATAGGGTGATGTAATAGAAGATAATTGAGTAAGGACAGGATGAGGAGCTAATTTTGTAAAGGCAAGCTATAAGCAGAAAGAAGAGCAGGTGCAAAAGTCCTGAGTTGGGACAAAGCTTGTCATATTTTGGGAGTGATATGAAGGGTGGCCTTGGGACCAGAGCAACATGATAGAAGAGAAAAAGTGGGTATCTTCCATGTTCTCCTTCTCCTAACTTCCACTGTCCACCTTGCCCTGTGCCCAAGAAGGCTGACTTCTAAGGGTTGCCTCAATGGCACCCTTGTCCTCTAGTTTCTGGTTGAGTTCAGTCACTGGGGGGCACTTGTAGGAAATGAGAGGAAGGGAGGAGAGTGGAGTCAGGAGATTTATTTCCTTGGCTGCCTTTCTGATGGGTTGTCTCCTGCTGGCTGCATCCTCTACTGAAGGCTGCAGGTCCTGTCAGTTCTCACACCAGGCTCAGGCTTTGGGTGGTAATGGCTCCCTGCTGTGACTGGGCATAGGGGGATAAAACTTCCCATGTTGCTTTGCCTAAACTCCACACTTATCTTTGATCAGACTCATTTTTTAAAGATCACCCTGGTTGCTTTAAAGTATGAACTGGAGGGATGGAGGTATACGGCAAGAGGAAGGGAAGCAGAGAGAGACTGATAGTAATGTAATTAAAACCAAGACTGACTTGGAAGAAATCTTGAATGTATAGATACTGAGAAACACAGGACTCAACTCCATTTATTCTTTCAACTTTTTCCATGACTATTTACATGCCAGGCACTACTATAGGCACTCAGAATAGATGGATCAATACATTATATTATTAGATAAATAAATTATATAATAATAAATAGATGGATAAATAAATTATATAGCATGCTTGAACGAGACAAGTGGCAAGGAATAATTAAAAAGTAGAACAAGGTCATGGGGTTTGGAGTACAGGAGTGGAGAAAGAGGGTGCAATTTTAAAAAGCCCATCACTGAGAAGGTGACATTTGAGCTAAGGCTTGGGGAAGGTGAGGAAATAAACCATGTAGACAAGAGGGTCACAGTCAAGGCTCCAACGTAAGGGTGGGTCTGGCCATGTCAGCAGCAGCAGAGGCCAGTGTGCCTGGAGCTCAGGGAGCTAGGGAGAGTAGAAAGAAAGAAGGTCAGACAGGCCACAGGAGCAGCAGAGAAAAAGGAACTGCTGGTTTCTCTTCCCTGCCCCCACCCCGCCCCCTCCATGAGTCAACAACCCATCCTCTCTTTTGGGAAGAGCTGAGGACTTTCACACAGGCTCCTCCTGGCCACTGTTTCATGCCTTATTGAAAGCGGGGCGGGAGGTGGGGCCGGGGGGAATCACTAATCACTCTTAGTTTCTCAGATTACATTCATTCGAAGTATACCTATGTAGTGTCTGACAAGAAATGCTGGCCTAATTCTTCAAGGATTGTTAATTGCACCACTAATCTTGCAGAAGAGTTGGCAGCTAAGTCACTTTGGGTCACCGGAGGACGACTGGCTGGAGGATGGGCTTTAGAGCACCAGAGCAACGTTATTGATTTTCTGCTCCACTGAGGAAGATGTTAAATTGTATTTTCAGAATACCACTGGGAGAAGGAAGAGGAAAGAAGAATAGTCTCTCTTACTACTCCCTCCCTCAGTGAGGAGTAAATTTAAAATAAACCTTTTGTACAAAGCTTTTTATTGTGAAAAATTTTGAGAGGATAGTATATTGAACGCCTGTGTATTCATTGCCAAGAAACAATAATTATCAACTAATAGCCACTCTTATTTTTTCTCTTTATCTATTTATCTAACTGTGTATTTTCTTTTCTTGGGTATTTTAAAGCAAATTCCAGGCATCAATATCTGTTGAGCACTTACTATAAGTCAGATGCTATTGTAGATGCTAGGAATACAGCAATGAAAAATAGTATGCAGACAAAAATCCCAGTCCACATAAATCTCACATTCTAGATGTGGGGGAGAGATAACAAATAAAAACAATAAGTGAAGGTGCAATACACTGGATGGTGGTAAGTGCAATGGAGAAATAACAAGCAACTGATAAGAAGGGGGATTGCAGGGGAAGGGGTTACAATTTTAAATAGGGGGCCAGAGTATGTGTGGTGAGCATTGAGATACACTCCTCAGATCCCCCTTCAGGACACAAAGACTTATTCCTCCAGCTGCTGAAAAGAACCTCTTCATCCGAGGTCATGCTGGAAAGGCTCACACCCCGTGACTGATCTACACAGAAATGTAAAAGCTGAGCCCTCCCACTCCAGCTCAGGACAGCTCTGAAGAGTCCTCTCATCTTTAGAATTCCTTGTAGGTTTGGCAAGGTCTTCTATTGAGACTGCATTGCAGCTCAATTTGTCCCTCTGCCAAATCCTACTTCTTTCCCATTCCTTCTCTTCCATAGGAGTTGGTTCAAGAGCACTCCCTAACAAACTTCCTGCATACTAATTTCCACTTCAGAGTTGGCTTTCCAGGAAACCCAACTTGAGACAGTAGGACTTCCTAAGAACATGACTTTTGAGCAGAAAGATAATGTATGTAGGGGACTGAGTCATGGAAATATCTAGGGGAAGAGCATTCCAGGAAGAGAAAACAGCAACAGCAAAGATCCTGAGGTAGAAGAAGCAGGCCTGTTGTGTGTGAGCAAAAGCAAGGAACCTAACATGGCTGGATTAAAGAAAGCAAGGGAGACAGCAATAAAAGATGAAATCAGGGTTAAAGCAGGGAACCAAAAAGTGTAGAGACATACACACCATTTAAGGACTTGGTTTTTTCTCAGAGCTGCTTCAACTTTCTAGGCAAGATTTCCAGATATTTTTAATCTTCCAGAACCATGAGTCAGGTAAGTGGATTAAACCCACATGGATCAAGGAAGCCCTCGTGCCACACATAAGAGGGGCTTCTAAGCCACCATTACCACTCACTTGAGAGCCCAGCTTTGGACAATGCTCTAGTGCTACCGGGCCAGAGTTTCATCAGTCTCTAGGTCATTGTTTTTCTTTGGGAAGACTTTAGAAGCTCCCTCCGAGGAATCTAACATGGAGCCAAGGCAAGGAACAAGAACTGTCACCTTGGTCCATTGGAGACTGCCTGCATCTGGACATTGATTCCTCAGTCCCTTGCTATCATTTTTTATCAACCAGGATCTGGTACAACTAGATAGAAGCTGCTTCCCACTGTCTATGGTTGGGTTGACCTCTAGGGAGAAATTCTCTTTGAGTTATCACATCCAGGCCCCAGATACTGATGTAGAGGAAATACTACTTCATGGAATCTGAAATTTAGAAACTTAGACTCTCTTAGAATCTATAGATAAGAACTTAAAAAGGGGCCAGTTGTGGTGGCTCACACCTGTAGTCCCAGCACTTTGGGAGGCTAAGGCAAGTGGATTGCTTGAGCCCAGGAATTTGAGACCAGCCCGAACAACATGGCAAAACTCCATCTCTACAAAAAAAAAATTAGCCAGGTTTGGTGGCGCACGCCTGTAGTCCCAGCTACTTAGGAGGCTGAGGCAGGAGGATCGCTTGAGCCCAGGAAGTTGAGACTCAAGTGAGCCAAGATCATGCCACTGTACTCCAGCCTGGGTGATGGAGCGAGACCCAGTCTCAAAAAAGCAAACAAACAAACAAACAAATACTTTTTATAACATTAAAAAAAAAAACCCAGAACTTAAAATGGGAATCCTTCTGCCCTGTGGAGACCTCTCACTGCGTTCATAAAGAAGAGAAATGGAGAGCTAAGGTCTGCCATGAGTGCTGGCGTGACGCTTAGACTGTACCCATTTCTACATATCCCAGCCAGTCCATTTCAGTTCCTTTAATGGATCTGGCACAACCAGTCAAAGCAGGAAACAACCTGCATAAAAAGCTACTGTAGGTGCCTAAGCACCAAGTCAAAAATTCTTCCAGACCAACCTTCTTCCTAGTACTCCGGTTCATCAATTCACTGAGTTTCGCTGCCCCTTTAAGCAGTGAGCTCTGGTTCTTGCTTTTGGATCTCTTGCTTTGGTGACCCAGTTTATGCCATTGATCACAACTCCAATCATGCCTTCCTTTAAGACATGATTCTTGGCACTTGTTCATCATCTTCACTCATTATAACCATGGAGCAGAAACAACTCATGCTCAAAGCCCACCACACCTAATGACAGAGGAATCCCAATTCCTGCCACCCTGTAATAGTCACAGTAGGCCCAGAGAGCAGTGATTTCGTGGAGCCCCTTACTTTGAGCAAAGTCTCTAACTCCTTTAGCCCTGCCACATTCCTATGCTACTAATCAGCATCTGTATGACCTCCAGGACAGGGGTGAGTCAGGGCAGGTGCCCTTCTCCACCTTGTCCTCTACCTGACCTCAGAGGTCCATGAAGGATGACTCTGGTGCACCTACTGCTCTGTCACCTCTGCACAACCCAGAGAAAGGTGCCTTCCAGCAGCCAGAGGCCAAGCTTCTGATGCTTACTCTCTCCTCCTTAGAAATCCAGATGATCTTGACCAACACTTCTAAGAGTTTGAAGCAGCTCACTCAGGGCCAGCCTGACCACCACACTAATGAAGGGGGTCAAGAATGGCCTTAACTTCATGCAAGCTGAACACACGTTGCATGGCTAGTACCTTGTGAAGATTCAAAAGGGAGCACATCCCCTCTGTATTTTAGCAGATTCCCCAAGGCTGAACCCTATAGAAAGAAACGCCACTTTGTACCTTTTATCTCCCTCCCTGCTAACCCCCATACCTGCATCACTGAACAGGGGGAAGAACTAGAATAGTTTCCTATTCCAAATTCCTAGTGCCACAAATCCCAGCTCCAGAGCCTCACAGGGCAGAGGGTGGGTGCTAACCTGAGGAGCATTTGGGAAGTCTTAGCCCACCTCAAGCATGCCCATGTCTACCTGGCGGCATTGTCCCTGGAAAATGAGGGAATGGGCAGGGCTAATGAGGAATTTGTGCGGTTTGGCCACTTGAAATATACTCCTGGAATACACGTGGAAAAAAGGTACCAAGTCTCATGTAAGAGAACTGCTATAGATAGATTCATAAGATGATAAGATTCCATTCAACAAACACTTATGACCTCTTTACTACATACGCTAGGCACTGAGGTAAATAGATGAGTACTGACAAGTCCCTCCCCTCTAGGAGGTTACAATGAAAAGGACATGTAAGTAATGACAGTACACTGTGAAAAACTGTTTAGAATGGCACTCAAGTAGTAGCAGAGTGTCAGAGAAGACAAAAAAACCCTCCCACCAAATTTTAATTTCCCTTCCACTGACCTTATCACAATGTGTTCTCACATCCCAAATGAAAACAGTTTATTACAATTGTCTGAAACATAATGGAATATGAAACATTGTAGTATATAAAATTATTTACATAGACTGTGTTGTTTTATTGTTCTTTTCTGATTATAAAACAGCATAGTACATACTCATGTTGAAAATATAAGGAGCTCAGAACTGCATAATGAACAAAGAAAAATCCTAACCAGGTAACCATTGTAAATATTATGGGAAATAGACTTCCAGATAAATTTCTAGGTATGAGCATGTGCACACACACACACACTTTTTTGTTGTTGTTGTTTTTTTGTTTTTGAGGCAGGGTCTCACTCTATCAACAAGGCTGGAGTGCAGTGTTGCAATCATGGCTCACTACAGACCCGGGGCTCAAGTGACCCTCTCACCTCAGCCTCCTGAGTAGCTGGGACTACTGGCATGCGCCACCATGCCCAGCTTATTTATTTATCTATTTATTTATTTATTTATTTTGTGGGGGTAGGAGAGATGGGGTCTCCCTATGTTGCCCAGGCCAGTCTCAAACTCCTGGACTCAAGAGATTCTCCTGCCTCAGCCTCCTTAAGCGTTGGGATTGCAGGCCTGAGCCCCTGCGCCCAGCCACACACACTTTCTATAATAGGAAACACATTGCTGATAGGCAACCTGATATTTTCACTCAATAATGCTAATTCATTTTAAATACTATATTTAATGGTGTCATGTGCATCTGTTGTTTTCTGTTTACTTTATAGCCTCACCCTGATTCCTTCTGGGAAGCCATTCTACCCTTGTGGTTCTGGAGTGAACACTCAAACATAGTTCTTGCATCTTCCTCCTATGCCCCCAGGGTAGGTGACTGACCCAATCTGGTTCAACTATGGTACAAGCAAGATAAGTGAACAAGACAAGTTTACTACTTTCTCCTCCTACCCACTCTCAGATTTATTTCTGGCACCTTTCAGTCTGTAGGTGGCCTATATGATCTTGTCATTTGGGCCCACTTTCCTTATTCATGTGCCCTTTTCTTTTCATTTCCATGCCTTCACTTTCCTTAAGTCTTGTTATTTGCTCATTTACATTATTCTTTGTTATTTCAACTTTCCTCTGATGGTGAATTTCTAGATTTCACATTTATTTCTCCTTTCGTCTATATCAGCAGCCACCTCTAGTGCTGGCATCCTGTGTCAGTCTCTTTCACAGCAACAGATCCATTCCTATAACTCTGTAACTGCAAGGGCCTTGCCAGCTCAGGCTCTCTATTCTTAGCCCTTTCATGAACATCTCTTCTGTGAGACTACGCCTTTGTAATGAAAGTGCTGAGTGGAGAATTGTCCTGACAGTGTCAAGATCCTCCAATGTGGGATAGCCATCATAGCCTCAGGATTTGAAGACCAAAGGTAAACAGGAAACCCCCCATCCCTTCATTTATTTAAGCAGATGGATTTCTAGACACTGTAAGAAGGGCTGAGAAATCAAAGATGAGTGAAACAAGATCCTTTCCTTGAAAAATTCACAGTCTAGTGTGGTAGAAAGCCAGATATGTAAGCATGTAATCACAGTGAGAGATATAATTTTATAAATATATGTGTAAAGTTTTCTTAGAAAAAATGTGCAACAACAGGACATACCCCTAAAGTTTGCATTGGTTATCACTATCAGATATTTCCCCTTTTTCCTTATCTGTATTTTCGGAAGTTTTTCCTTCAATATGTATTTATTATTTTGGAAATAAGGAGAAAGAAAGCATCTACACAAAGCAGCATATGGGATATATGCCCAACTGGGAGTGTGCATGGTATCCTGAGGAAGAAATGATCTCATCTAGGAAGTCAAAGAAAACCTTGCAACATCTGCCCTTCCATTCTTACTCATATGTGTCTCTCACATGTCAACCAAATGCAATCGTGGTTCAAGTAAACCAACTGTAAAAATATTTACAGTATGAGGCAAGAGGGGGAAATTTGAATCTGACTGGATATTTGATGATACTATGGCATTATTATAATGAGGAGGAGGTATGTTAAAAGCATTGCAGTAACATTAGAAAAAATAATCCTTATCTTTTACATAAATATACTGACATACTTTGACATACTTATGGATGAAATGGTATGAAGTCTGGGTTTTTGTTGTTGTTGTTGTTTGTTTGTTTGTTTGACAGAGTCTCTCTCTGTTCACAGGCTGGAGTGCAGTGGTGTGACCTTGGCTCACTGCAACCTCCACCTCCCGGGTTCAAGTGATTCTCCTGCCTCAGCTTCCCAAGTAGCTGGGACTACAGGCGCGTGCCACCACGCCCAGCTAATTTTTGCATTTGTAGTAGAGACGGGGTTTCACCATGTTGGTCAGGATGGTCTCAATCGCTTGACCTCATGATGAAGTCTGGGGTTTTTAATGGATAAACAACTCATTGGGGTATGAAGTGGACGGAAATATAGAATAAAAAGAATGGTCATGAGTTAATGATAATTGAGGTTGGGTAGTGGATTCATGCATGCTTATTTCAATATTTCCTCTACTTTTGTGCTTGAAATTTTCTATAAAAATACAATAATAATTAATATATTTTTTCTGTAATAAATGAAAGCATCCTACAAATGTCTCTACCTTCAAGACTCAGCTCAAAAATAATATTCTCCACTAGTGAATGAGCGCACCACAATTGTTCCATTTGTGTTGACAAATGAACAAGCAGCATTGACAAACTCACTGTGCATTGTACATTGTTGATTTAATAATTATCTGATCTGTGTCAATGTTATTTGTCTTGTAATTTCAACATATATTTTCATATTATTCCATGTTTATAGTGTTCTCACACATAAGAATCAAATATTTTAATCTTTTTATTATTAATAAAAGGGCTGTCTTCTCTTTGAAATCTTTCCTGACCATTCATTCCATTATTTGGACAGACTCTACTTGAGCTTTGCAAATACAAAAAGGACACATAACACTCTCTTGTACTTATTCATTCACTTATATTTCAATAAGAATAGTGTGTTGCATGTGAAACCTGTTCACCAAATAGTTGTTGTTATATTCACAATATTTTCTCTCTACTAGGCTATAGGACTAGCAGTGACTAGTGTCTTACTTGTCTTTGTACACCCAGCAACTATCTCAATACCTGGTACATTTCAGATGCTCAATAAACACCTGTTAAGTGAATTGATGAATAAATACAATTTAGGATTACTCCATTCACAGACCTATACTAAGTCCAGTGGTATCATCCATAAGGCTGAATAATGTAAACTAATTCATGCCTATGTTTTACTCAATGCTCCACCACTCATTTGATCAGAAACATAACATGATCCTAGATTTAGTGTCCATTTAACATAATCACTTTAAGTCCAAATGGCAGAAAGAGACAAAATACCCTTTTTCTTTTGGGCAAGCAATGCAATGTACTCAACAGACATCCCTGACCTTCATCCCATCCTGAATCTCTCCCAATTGCAAACATGTATTGAGGAGATAAATGAGTCAGGAATGGGACAAAGGACAAAGTGAAGCTGAGGGATTAGGTCAGTGAGTCTCAGGATCAGTGAATGGCTATTTCAGATAGCGTTGGGTAATGTTTCATAAAAGCTGAAAACGTTTCATGACTTATTTTCTTAGGCTGTATCAAAATATTCTTGGTATCAAAATGACTAGTTCAAAACATGTACCCATTTGATCTTCATAATAACAGTGTGAGGTAAACAGAGCCTGTCATTTCCATCATAAAGAAAAGGAAACTAAGGAAATATACCCTTCATTCAGCTGGGATTTTAAAATATGACTTAATTTTTTAATGCAGTATACTGGGATAATAATGCTATGTTATTACTGCCAATAAAGAGTTTTTTGTTTTGAAGGAGCTGTTAGATTTAGAATACTCTTTAGATCCTCAAAGGAAGTATTTGAGTGACTTCCAAACTCAAAAACCTCCGGAGCAAGGGAGATTTGTTTGTCAGCTTGGTTGTTTGTTTGTTTTTAGGTACTTGAATAACTTCCTCCTTGAAAAGGAGGGTGCAGAAATCAAAGGCCTGATTGTGCTGAATCCTTCTCTTTGGTCATTATTCAGACTGGTTCCCAGCATGCCGCAGTCCAGAGGAAAAGGTCCAAGTTCTGTTTAAAAATCAGAGACTAAAGAGCTTACTCAGCATCCTGCTCACATTAATGTTGCTTGTTTTCATCATTTAAAGTCTTTTGATAGTTCCTTGTATACAATAACCTTAGGCTTCTGGGAATATTCTCAGAACATAGGAAGCACCTCCCTGACTTAGTAAAGATGAAAAATGCTTTTCATGACTATCCCCTCTCTTGAAGGACCCCCTGGAACAGCCAGGTCTTTGGGCATAATTAAATTCTGGGCAAGATTTTACAGAAATGCAGCTTCTTTTTTCTAATTTAGTTGTGTGGTGTGTGTGTGTAAAGTGGGGGAGGTTCCACTTGGTGGGGAAAGGAGAATTTGCCATTGCTGCTCGTCTACTCAGGACTGTTTCTGTTGTTGTTGTGTTTCAGCATCAGAGAGTGAGAGTGTATTGCAGCAATCTGACTATTTGGAAGACTGTTCCTTGAATTTCCCAATTCAAAAGCCTCGGTAGAGCTGAGGGATGCTTGATACGTCAACACAGACCACAAAAGGCAGGGCTTTTCTAAAGAGATTATAATTATATCTACCTTTTGGGTACAGGAGGTGAATGGAAGGAAGGGATTCTGGAGCAGATATCCCAAAAGAAGAATCCCGAAGCAGAACTCCTCGCACAAGGTTATCTAAATCTCCTTGACAGGTGCACAGGCAGAGAAGGCATTTGGCCCTTGAAGTAACATTTACTTGAGAGGTTGGGACAATTCTGTCACGCTTAGGACAAGCCAGCTGACCCTGAGCCCAGGAGCACCCTAGGACTGCAGCACAGAAAATACACCAGCTGGCCGGTCGCCCCTCCTTTGTTCCATTCCCGGGGGATTGGAGTAGCGTTGGAGTCACCGACGCCATCCCCTCCCGCCTCTGGCGTGCATGGAGCATGCGCTTCCTTCCTCACTTCCTCTGCAGGAGGGAGCGAGAGTAAAGCTACGCCCTGGCGCGCAGTCTCCGCGTCACAGGAACTTCAGCACCCACAGGGCGGACAGCGCTCCCCTCTACCTGGAGACTTGACTCCCGCGCGCCCCAACCCTGCTTATCCCTTGACCGTCGAGTGTCAGAGATCCTGCAGCCGCCCAGTCCCGGCCCCTCTCCCGCCCCACACCCACCCTCCTGGCTCTTCCTGTTTTTACTCCTCCTTTTCATTCATAACAAAAGCTACAGCTCCAGGAGCCCAGCGCCGGGCTGTGACCCAAGCCGAGCGTGGAAGAATGGGGTTCCTCGGGACCGGCACTTGGATTCTGGTGTTAGTGCTCCCGATTCAAGCTTTCCCCAAACCTGGAGGAAGCCAAGGTATGTGAACACTTTTCTTCTTCCTACCTTCCTTTTATTTCGCCACGAAAAGGTAAAGTTTGGCATAATACGTGAGCTGTAAATCACCCTGACGCGTTTTCTGATCAAATCATATCCATGAATACGGACAGAGAAATCAGTTCGAATTTAGAGACAGAAGACAGATTTTTTTTCTTCACTTTTAAAATGATAGAGCAATAATATGGGTTGTTTTTAAAGATCTTATTTTGAAAAGGGAAGGGAACCTTTTTCACCTAAAGTGGCTTGGATTGTTTTCTAGTTGCCTTACAACCTTTCTCAGACAGTCTATTCATTATATATGCAGTATATGATGAAAGAGCTTTTAGTGTGCCAATAATACCAATCCAAATTATGCTCTCTCTAGCTGAGAATAGCTGATAACCCTAGTGTTAGAACTATATGTTAAATTTCTGGTCAGAAAAAAAAAAAAGTGTGATTCTGTCAGCTCAAGAAATACACCAAGATAATAAACAAGGCAATATTGATAATTACTATTATTGTATAATCTTGATAATCTTTGTTAATATGCATTTGTTTCATAGTCATCCAAAATTATTTCTCCTAATATTTTTCCTTTTTATAAAAATTTTATTTAATAAGAGGCATATTTTGTCCTTCAACGCACAATTAAATTTATATTCACATGTGTTTATTCTAGACAAATCTCTACATAATAGAGAATTAAGTGCAGAAAGACCTTTGAATGAACAGGTAGGTCAAAAGTAACATTATGAATGCTATTTCATTTTGATTTAGTTATTATTATTTAATGTAATTATGCTGTGACATTTTGGTCATTTTGAATTTACAAACATCAGGAACTTAATAGTTAATTGACAGAAATTAGGACGGGAAATCTAGTTTTGGTAAATTCTATGCCCTAGCAGTTATTTACATTGAGTTCTGTATAATGAATACATAGAGTAACTATATAATAACCCAGTAAGCTCAGCATCACATCCACTCTGTTGTAAGATTGCCTAATTTACCAGAGATTTCTCTTTCAACAATATTATAGGAGAAAGAAATTAACACTGACTGAGCATCTACCCTTAATTTTATCTCATTTAATTATTATAACAGTGCTCTGAAATAGGAATTATCCACATTTTACAAACAAGACAATTAAATCCCATGGAGATTAAATCATTTGGCTCTTGTACTTGGTAAGTAGTGGAGCAATGATTTTAAACCAAGTCTATCTCCTGTTTGCTTCACAGATTGCTGAAGCAGAAGAAGACAAGATTAAAAAAACATATCCTCCAGGTAAAAAGAAATCATATTGATGTTAATTTAAATAATGTAGGCTATGAGAATCTGAACTAAAATGGCTGTGTTGGGTTTGGGGCTATTCTTCCAGAAAACAAGCCAGGTCAGAGCAACTATTCTTTTGTTGATAACTTGAACCTGCTAAAGGCAATAACAGAAAAGGAAAAAATTGAGAAAGAAAGACAATCTATAAGAAGCTCCCCACTTGATAATAAGTTGAATGTGGAAGATGTTGATTCAACCAAGAATCGAAAACTGATCGATGATTATGACTCTACTAAGAGTGGATTGGATCATAAATTTCAAGGTAAATGAGAAAAAAAGAACTTTTTGTTAACGTGGAGTTTCCTATAATGGGTTAAGAGAAAGTCCAATATTTTAAAAATATCTTTTAAACATTCATAATCCTTTATTAGTCAAGTCCAAAATTGAGATAAAGCATATATTTACTGATAACATGTAGAGCCCCAGCTCCACAGAGTGCCATATTTTATTTTCCCTTTAAAAATTCCTTTAGTGATGCTCTGAAAACATTTTTTAATCTAGTATTTGTATTTTATGGTATTAAATTCATTTGAACATTCAGATTTATTTTAACAATGAGTACACACAAAATATCATAATTTTCAAATAATTAGATCAGTAAAGTACCCTCCCACCCTGCACAAAAAAGGTGAAATATCCACTATTTCCTTTTCAGTGTTTCCTCCTAGCCATATCTTTTCTCCTTAGGTCATCCTAACCTTTACGTGGCTTCAATTACATCTATATCCTAACATCCCATATCACTAGGCCAGACTTCTCTTAGCTATAGACCTATTTATCTGTTTACCTATTCGACATTTTCCCTTGGCAGTGTCAGAAGCACCTCAAATTTAGCATGCCCATGATTAAACTCATAATCTGTGTCCACTTCACAACCTAGACCTCTTAGAGTACTGTTTCTTTAGGAAAGGCACTACTATCCATCCAGTTTTTTAAAGACAGAAATCTAGGATCAAACTATTTATCTTTTCCCTCACCTCTCAAATTCTAATCTGCCAAAACTTACTAATTTTATGTCTGTGTATCTCTCAATTGTTTTTCTCTGTACTTGTCCAAACTCCAATCCTTGTCCAAGCTCCAATTATGTCTCATGTAAACTATAGCAAAATCTACAGTTCTCCCAGCAACCACTCCGCCTCTCCCCAACTCATTCTTCATTTGGCAGCCAATGTGGTAGTTTCCTTACCCGAAGTCAGGAGTTCAAGACCAACCTGGCCAACATGGTGAAACCCCATCTCTACTAAAAATACAAAAATTAGCCAGGAGTGGTGGTGGGCACCTGTAGTCACAGCTACTTGGGAGGCTGAGGCAGGAGAATCACTTGAACCCAGGAGACAAGGGCTGCAGTGAGCCAAGACCACGCCACTGCACTCCAGCCTGGGCGACAGAGCCAGACTCCATCTTAAACAAACAAACAAAACAGGAAAACCAAAGTCCTTAATGAAGCTTGCACAGTCCTGCATGGACTGCTTCCTGACTACATTTCTAGGTTCATCCTGCACACATAATCTGATAGAAACCTTGTTCTTGCCCTTCATGGCACTTCATGCAGTTTGTAATTTTACCTTCATAAGTGTGATTATTTATGATTAATGCCTTTCTCCAAAACTAAACTGAAAACTTCATAAGAATAGAGACATTGTAACCCCAGTGCCTGGAAGCCCATGAATTCATTGAATAAATTTATGAATGAATGAATGAATGAACAAATGAAATAATATATGAGGGAATAAATGAACTGCCATACCTAGGCATTAAGAAGGAAAGTGTGTTTTTCATTTTTGAGAACCAGTGCTTAGGAGTAAGTACAGGTTTTCTTCCCTGTCCTTATTCTGTTCCATAGCTACAGGAGATTTATGTTGATTATCTCTGCCAGAAAACAACTGACTATTAAATTGGACTTTCATAGGACATAATAACCTAGGAGTGTTCTGAAGTGTCACGTGTACCTATGAAGTGGGATGGAGGCAATGGGTTTATATTTTGACATATATCATATGCCATGCTACTCAGGGAAATTTACTTTTTAAAATCTTGAATTCGACTTTTTTACCTAAAATATTGGGACTACAAATAGACACTGATTATAACTGCATACAAAACAGATTCAACCACTTCAACTGAAGTGATCATTTGATTTAATAAAATAGCCTAATATTGAGTTGGCTGGATTGGTCAAACTTGTTGTACATGCAGGCAGAGACATAGATCTGTTTTTGATCTGACCGCTAATTTGAGCAACTAATTTTTTAACTGTTCAACATTTTATTACCATCCCAAGTATGTTTGGAACTACAAAGTGCTAGTCCTAATGACTTCAGGTTTACCGTAGGAGGTATTAACTCCACTTGAGATCACAGAGAAGACAGGCCAAGGTTCTTGGAGAAAATGATTTGTGAGTAAGCTTCTGGTCTCCCCTTGTGCTCTGGAAATCCTGAAACCAGAGGGTTTTTGGCCACTAAGTTGAATAGAACCTCAGATGCATGTAGACTTCATCCCAGAGGGGAAGGTAAAGGAAGCTAACTTCTGCCGGATGTGTTCCCAGACCTACTCTCGCCTTTAGGAAGCTTCCAAACAGGCTTGTACTATAGGACCCATCAATTCTCCTTTTCAGTGTTTTCTATAGTATGCACAATTTAGGATCTTTCCAAATTTCTCTTATAAAGTAGTGCTTTGGGGCTCCTGTATGCATTCGAATATTTATTGAGCAATTGCTATGTATTGGACTATGAGGTAGACAATAAACCCTGTGTAGTCAGGGAGCATGCCTAACCTTTACATCACTCTATTTCCAGTGTCTGACACATAATAAGACTTTAATTAAAATATATTGAACAAATGAATGTCAAGTGCTATGTTAGATGCTAGGGATTCAAAACATAACTGGGCAGATGATGACTTGGGACATGACCCTTTGACATTCACTTAGAATGTTGTGGCTACTTAACAAAAGTTATGTGTTAAACCCATGTTTGGCTCCCCTCTGGGAGTCTATACATGGAGGGTGAAATACCCCTTCATGAGCAGGAGGGAAGCCATTCTGAGTCATACTATCCATTTTAGAATAGTGAAGGAAATCAGGGAAAGGTGAGGAGCAATGGTCACACGTTCCACTGTTTACACCATCCAGCAAAGCACTGCTAGGGGAGACCTAAGTTCCTGGCTCAAGAGAGTACAGCAGTGCAGCAGAGCAAAGACTCTTCAGTGGGTTACTAACATCCTCCCTGTTGTGAAGTAAATGGACTGAAAAACAGTCATCTCAGTTATTTTCCAGGTCTAGGAGGCAACCAATATTCCTCCTTTTACGGATCCTGAGGGATAGATAAGTGGGAAGGGAAATAAATTCTTCCACCTCTGCATAGACTGGGGCAGTTTCTGCTCTATGTATTCCTGACAGCCTGACTTGCAATCCGCAAATGGAAAAATCAGACACATAATAGTGAGTCTCTGCTCCTGAAAAATAGATGACGATCCAAATTTTCAGCCAGCCAGGAGGAGAACTGATTTTATGTTTGTTTGTTTGTTTGTTTGTATGTTTGTTTGTTTGTTTTTCTTAGGGGCTTTTCTGCTTTTTTGTCTCTCTGGTACTCAGCTCAAAGGGCTCATGGCTCATGGGCTGGCCAACAGCTCAGCAATTTTGTACTGACAGAGAACTTCCAGTCCTCCATGTATAATTACCCCCACTCATTTTCCTAAGCTTCTTTCCAAACAAGAAAGAGATATTCTGCCTGAGGCTGCATATACCTCTATTTTCATAGAGTCTGAAAGAAAAGCCACGGGATAAATTCCCTGTCCAAATCCCCAAAACCCATGGAAGAAAAGAGCAGAATCAGAATAGAAATACTAGGCTCTTCTTTCTTTGAGTGAATATGATGAGGATTGTCTGGGCAGAATCTGGCCGGAGATTCAATTTCCATTTTCTCTAGGAGATAATTGCTGTTCCTTTGTTTCAAAATACAAATCCACTGTGCATAATAACAATAATACATTAGCTTTCATATATTAGGTTGGTGCAAAAGTAATCGCGGTTTTTGCCATTACTTTTAATGGCACAACAATCCCATGAAATAGATACCTTGTTAGACTCCTTTACAGTGATCCAAGGATATAGCTAACCAGAGATATCACTGGGGCTAAAATTCTGATCTTTCCAATCTTTCCAGAGGAAACAGGGAGAATTAAGTGCATTGTAAATTTGATCCATTCAATGTAGTATAGATTGGAGATGACTAATAATTGATTCCTGGAAGATCTCCATGGATGTGCTACAATGCTTCATTGCCACCAGCCCTTTCCCTCAGGATGGGCCCTTACTTTAGTCTGAAGTTGTATTGCCAAATGTATTCCTAGGAGAGCCAAGGGAGCATATGAGCATGCTTCTCTGCAAAGATTTACATATTGCTTTGTGCAGATCTGTTGCCATATTTTAAAAGTTTAAATTCCGGGCACATAAACTACAGTAAGATCCCTGTTCTCTAAGGATGAGTTTTGTCACCTTAAGCTGCCTTTTTTACATAAAGACACTCTAATACAAGTTCAATTAGAAGTAAATATTTATTTTAGGTGAGTCATAAAATCTTCAGTACACACTGTCTGATTCTGGGTGTGAGGTAGAAGTCCCTGCCCCTACCCCAGGAATTTGCCTGCAAAGGTAGTACATGTGGGGATATTACCAAACTATCTATTCCCTGTATGGAACTGGAATATCAAATCATACAATATATAGAAGGGTACATTGAATAATATGACATGCTATATAAATATGGCATACTATGTTAATAAAAAGTATAATATGGTTTGTATTATTGGTGATAACAATAAATGGAGACTACTTTTCTGTTGCCTTTAGCTTTTCCTTCCTCTTATAGTCACCTAAGAAAGTTTCAGAATGTCCATTATCATACTAAGTTTTTAACATGAAGACCAATTTTATTTCAAACCGAGGGTTTCTGTGGACCGAGAACCACCATAAATACATTTCAAACATATCTGAATATACAAAAGCGAAGTACAGATTATAAGTATAATATGATGCATGAAATAGATCTATGATCACTATGGTGTGAAGTTGTGGTCGTTCTGTCTAGATGATCCAGATGGTCTTCATCAACTAGACGGGACTCCTTTAACCGCTGAAGACATTGTCCATAAAATCGCTGCCAGGATTTATGAAGAAAATGACAGAGCCGTGTTTGACAAGATTGTTTCTAAACTACTTAATCTCGGCCTTGTAAGTCATTTGGTAGGAAATAAACCAAATTCCTAGTGCAGTTTAGAGTATGCCAAGAAGCCAAGTCACTTGCCTCAAGTAGCCAAGTGTTTATAATGTGTCTTCCTTCTACTAGGACCCGTAGGTTTTAAGGACAAGCAAAGCACCATTCTTTTTTTTCTAGGAGTTTATCATCCATCAGAAGAACTAGGCAAGTAGACACACGCCCAAAATGCCAGCTGCTTAAAAACCATAAGAGCCAGAGAATAGCTTATATCCAACTGGCAGTAAGGAAAGGCTTCAGAGGAAGAGGCGTATGAAGGAAGCTTAGAGGGATGGTT
Source organism: Homo sapiens (assembly GCF_000001405.40). Classification (NCBI taxonomy): domain Eukaryota; kingdom Metazoa; phylum Chordata; class Mammalia; order Primates; family Hominidae; genus Homo; species Homo sapiens. Next base: position 51,688,723 of record NC_000015.10, read on the forward strand.
AGGATATAACCAGCAGAGGTAAAAGACATGTATGTGACAAAAAAAGAAATAACATGAGCAAAAGCATGTGATGTGTATTTTTGAAACTCCAGGTGATCTAATTTGAATCCACCTCAGCTTGGCTCTTCTGCCCTGACCTGGCCCTGACAGGCTTTATTAAGATGCTAATTTTGTAGGATGTCAAAGGTTATCTGACTATGACCCAAAGCTGTGGAGGGGCAATGCTCAGGGTGTTTCTCAAAATATGTGGTCCATGGGTTTCAACAGATAGAACTAACAGCTTGCATGGTGGGCCCGAAGATACTTCTTCCAGGAGTGCTGAGCAATCCCTATAACAGCCAGCATGTGGTGCAGGCGTAAGTGAGGGCTGTCTGAAAGATGGTTCAGAAGATTCCTCTTTAAAAAATACATGTTTGACTACAGTTTAGTCCACATTATTTTTTAATAACAAGACTGGGAATATAGCAGTTATATATGTTTTGCCTTTTTATGATAGATCACAGAAAGCCAAGCACATACACTGGAAGATGAAGTAGCAGAGGTTTTACAAAAATTAATCTCAAAGGAAGCCAACAATTATGAGGAGGATCCCAATAAGCCCACAAGCTGGACTGAGAATCAGGCTGGAAAAATACCAGAGAAAGTGGTATGTATGTGTATATATGCATATGCATGGGGGTGTGTGTGTGTGTGTGTGTGTGTGTGTGTGTACTTCTATCTGTATAATAATTGCCTTACTTGATACCAAAGAAGATTTGAGGTATGTGGCATTTTTAGCCCATTTATATTCAGGCCAGACATGTTGGCTCAAACCTGTAATCCCAGCACTTTGAGAGGCTGAGGTGGGAGTTGAGACCAGGAGTTCAAGACTAGACCTGGCAACATAATGAGACCCCCATCTCTACAAATAAAAATAATTAGCTGGGTGTGGTGGCACAAGCTTATAGTCTCAGCTACTCAGGAGGCTGAGAGGAAGATCGCCTGAGGCCAGGTGTTTGAGGTTGCAGTGAACTATGATTGCACCACTGCATACCGGTCTGGGTGACAGAGTGAGACCCTGTCTCAAAAAATTAATTAATTAATTAATTTAAAAATATGTATATACATAAAATACCAAAAAGTTAAAAGATATAAATGATCTCTACTCTGAAAATAATGTAAAGATTATGTTATATTCTATTATTTGGTAAAGATTACATCTTATACCCCACAGTAAAATAATACATAATAATATGTGAAGTAACAATATCACATAATAACATCTGTGTGTACAGTCCCAGTGAACTGCAAGCAAACATCTCACAGTTCTTTTGGTATCCAACATCTGTTCACAGCAGATGTCATCATCTGTGCCCAATCCCCCCACAAAGAAGTGGGTTGACTAGATCTTCTGCTACACCAGCTTTTGTGTTCCCCAGAGCTAGCTGCCTAATGCTGCCTCTCTGTTCTTGGCAATGCTCTTCCACCTGCTCCTTCCCCTTTTCATTGGTTTAGATGCCTATTTACCCAGGCTAATTTCATCCTTCCTTCCCTTTGTTGGACTCCTTGCGTCTTCATTTTTTCCTTAGCACCAACCAAGCTGTTGAGATCTTTCTCCCCACCTTGAATTCTCTTTAAAACTTTAGATGAAACTGACCATAAGGGGATATCAAATTCCTCATCTGTCCTTTGATTTTCCTCTGTAAAGCACCCAGACCCATGGCTCCTCATCTCCTCCAGCATCTTATCTCAAATACAAAGACTATAGAGGCTGATGGTTCTGTTTTAGAGAGGAGAGAAAATAGAAATTGGGTCTGGATTTCTTTTTTTTTTTTACTGGATAGCCTAAAAACTTTCCTCTGCTCTCCTTACTTCCAATCCTCACCAGCTGCCATCTTTTAAAGCAGCTTTTGAAGATTCACCCACTCAAAAAAAAAGTTCTAGATTTATCAAAAAAAAAAACCCTTATGACTTTTGCTCAAGCTTACCAGTCTGAGCTAAAATGGACACAGCTATTTCCATAATTCTTCATTCCCATTACATACTCCTATTCACCTATCTCTAAAATGTTCATATGCTTGACCTGTTTACTCATGTTACCTGAATGCATCAATGCAAATAAAACACAAATGAAATATTATTTCAACAAATATTTATTGAATACTAACTCTGTACCAAGCACTGGAAATACCATGCCTATTTAAAAAGACATAATCCCTGACTCATGAAGCTCAAAGTCTAGTGGAAGAGGTAGATCATGTTTAAATCATCATGTATTTTCATTACAATTGCATTAAGTGCTCTGAGGAAAGAAACATGGTTCTATGAGACCTCAAAAAAGGAGGCTGACCTGGACTTAGGCTCAGGAAATGCTTCCCTAAGGAAGTAACTTGAGCTGAGAACCGAAGATCAAATAGGAGTTAACTTGTGAACATGAGAGGCAGCACATAGAGAAGGATGTGTGGAGTATCCAAGCAACTGAAACAAGCACAGTGTTGCTGGCACAGAAAGAAAGAGCAAAAAGAGAAGAGACTGGGGAGGTGGACCCAGGCCAGACCATGCAGCGCCTTATGAGCCATGGATGGACTCTGATCTTTATTGTAAGAACCATGAGAATTTTCTGGTCCCCTGAAGAATTTTAAGCAAAGGAGTTACATGATCAGATTGTTAAAAAGATAACTCTGGCTATAATGTGGAAACGCAGTATTGGGCATAGATTTGGGGAGGGTGATGTTGCAGTTAGCAGGTGAGAAATGAAGGCTGCTTGGACTAGAGTGGCATAGTGGAGGGAGAAATGTGCAAATTTGGGATAAATTTTGAAAGTGGGGCCAACAAGGCTACTGATGGATTGGATGGGGGAAAAGGAAGAAGAGGCAAGAAAGGCTGTTAAATTTCTATCTAGTTCACTGAATGGAGAATGAACCATTTACTAAGATGCAAGTCACTGAACAAAAACCAGGTCTGAGAGAAAGATTTTGTACACTCATCCAGACAGCACTTAAACTTTACCCAAAAATTCCCAGGTGTGACTGCTCTGCTAGGGATAGACATTCTAACAGGCTTTCCTGTATCCTGGCACCAGCCCTCCTGGTGGATTCTGTGAACTCAAAGCTTCCCTCTTCATTAAAAGGCAGTTTTTCCTGGGGAGACTCATGATAATTTATGGAGGTAAACATGGCCAGAGAAAGAGCCCAGAAATTCCCGTTTTTCCCCTGAGCAGGAGCTGGGGTCTTCAGGGGGTTTTCCCTGAGGTAGAGCACCTTTCCCTGAGCTTCAATGACCTTTTCAAATGACAAGAGCACACATATCTAGAAATGGGTTTGAACCTGCAGGAGCTTGCAAACGAGGGGGAATTCTTGCACTTCACATTTAAGGGCATCACAAAGGAAGGAATCAAGCTGGAGTTTCACTAGTTCTAACAAAATGTTCATTTTTTATTGATTTTTCCCCACTGGAGACTCCAATGGCAGCAATTCAAGATGGTCTTGCTAAGGGAGAAAACGATGAAACAGTATCTAACACATTAACCTTGACAAATGGCTTGGAAAGGAGAACTAAAACCTACAGTGAAGACAACTTTGAGGAACTCCAATATTTCCCAAATTTCTATGCGCTACTGAAAAGTATTGATTCAGGTAACCACTGTGTGGTTGTGATTATGTGGAACAGAAAGAGTGATTCCAGGAAATGTATGGGTGTGTTCTTTTCTTCCTGTTTTCAGTTTCCAAATGTAATCTCCAATGACATACACTGTGGGCTTGGGGAAAAGGGTTCACATCGATTTTTTTTTCCAAAGGAGCATGCCAGTTATGAAAATATTTAGGAAAGGTGATGTTTCTGGATAATTTAATCTTCTTGTTAACAGAAGGTTCATTTATTTGTTCAGCAAACAAATACTGAACGTGTGCTATGTACAAGGTGCTGGAAAAGACCTAGCACAAAGATGGATATGAACCAGGCAGTGTCCTTGCTCTGACCCAGTTCAACCTCAACTCTTATTGCAACTCTTTTTTTCTCAGCTTGATTGAGGTATAATTGGCAAACAAATATTGTATATATTTAAGGTGTACAATTTGATGTTTTGGTACATTTATACATTGTGAAATGATTATCACAATGAATCTAACTAGTGTATCTATCACCTTATAGTTAACATTTTTTTCTTTTTTTTCTTTTATTCTTTTTGTGTGTGTGATGAGAACACTTAAGACCTACCCTCTTAGCTAATTTCAAGTACACAGTACAGTATTGTTAACTATCACCACCATGCTGTACATTCTCCAGAATGTATTCATCTTGCATAACTGAAATTTCATACCCTTTGACCAACACCTCCCCATTTTTCCCTCCCCTTAGCCCTTGGCAACTACCATTCTACTCTCTTCTTCGATGAGTTTGACTATTTGAGATTCTACATATAAGTGAGATCATACAGTATTTGTCTTTCTTTGCCTGCCTTTTTTTATTAGCATACATGTTGTCATACACACACACAAAAGTAGGAAGGAAATCCTTCCATTTGTAACAAATCTTTCTTTAAAAGGCTCTACTCACTTTCCTTAATGGAAACAGTGTATGAAACCTAATTCATCCTTTTTATATTATTCAAGAGATCTTTATGAACAGTTTCAGTTTCAGCCTTTATGAACATTTTAACTTCAGAGTTAAAATGGAGAACATTAGACTGAAGGAATCTGGGAACCTCAAACACACTTGGGAAATTATTTGTTTTTGTTTTTGTTTTTTTAAAGCTAAGTATTTCATGCATCCTGATCTCTTTGCTCATATGTGCAGTGAGTTAACTGAGGATTCAGTCCATGTTTATTTTGGTTAATCTGCAAGGAGGATAATAATGTGCAATGTTTCTGTTGTTATTGTTCAAACAGATGCTCTGGACTGCCTTCATGGCTTTTTCTTTCCCTGTTCAAGGATTCAGCCCCAGATTGAACATTTATATAAAGACTTCTATAATTGTAATCTATTTCTCCCAAGAAGTGACCTTAAAATAAGCTTTCATTTCTGGAGAACATCCTTTGTGCTTCAATTCCAGACATTGGCCAGATGGCACCGGCCACTCTGCTGGCTCTGCAGGGCTTGTACATCTTGAGGGTCCATTCTGAGCCATCTTGCCCCATTGGTTGGCAGATGCCCTACTCAGAACCTCTGTCATCCTGGTGAGTCACTTCTCATCAGTGAAGAGCAGCAGCGTGATGCCAAATACTTCTACGGATGTGTCCTTGAGCAAATAATGTGATAGCTGAAGTTACTATTTATCAGTTCTTTTCCAAGACCTCTTCCCCTGACTCTTCTCCCATTTTTCCTCCCTCTCAACCCATGACTTTATGGCATTTTTAAAAATTCTACTGTATAAAATGTTCCTTACTTGTTTTTATCTTTCCATTTCCCTCACCTCATTTCTTATTGTCTTTATTTTTCCATAATTTTAATTTAAATATTTATACTGAGTTCTTTGCTAGCATCTGTCTTTCTTGCCCAGGGTCTCAACCAATTAAGAATGAATAAAGCAGGTAGGAAACCAAAATATCATCTCTGTTGCTGATAAACACAGGGCTGCAGAACATAGCTTCATGTGAGAGCCAACAGTGGCCTTGTTTGCTCCCTACTCCTCCGTCTAGATCTTGGAACAGCCAGTCTCAGGGATGATTTGGGTCTGCAGAACAGGCTCGTTTCTCAGGTTCTTGCCTTGCACTGTTCCAGGCAAGTGGAAAAAAAGAAAGATTCCAAATCCCCACCAGTTGAGAAACATAGGCTAATGGCTGTTGCTTACCAACCATATCTGCGGGGGAGGATGAAGAGGAAGGGGGAAAGGCTAGGAGTATTTAGAGAAAATCTTTCAGTGGCAGCTCAAAGAATAGGGAAAATGGGTTCCCCCTCTAGCATCTTAGTTTTTCTTTTCTTCAAAAATGGAAACAGATTTTTTTTTCTGATTTTAGAATTAATATTTTTTCTGAGCTATTATGGCATCATTATCCATTTTGTTCCATCAAGATGCAGAACAGAATGTCAAATACAAAGGGTTCCCAAGAGGCCGAGCGCGGTGGCTCACGCCTGTAATCCCCACACTTTGGGAGGCCAAGGAGGGCGGATCGCCTGAGGTCAGGAGATCGAGACCATCCTGGCCAACATGGTGAAACCCAGTCTCTACTAAAAATACAAAAATTAGCCAGGCATGGTGGCGCACGCCTATAATCCCAGCTACTCGGGAGGCTGAGGTAGGAGAATCTCCTGAACCCAGGAGGCAGAGGTTGCAGTAAGCCGAGATGGTGCCACTGCACTCCAGCCTGGGTGACAGAGTGAGACTCTATCTCAAAAAAAAAAAAAAAGAAAAAAGGTTCCCAAGAAACTGCTAGTAATCGTTACTTAAAGGGAGTTAGAGGGGATGAGGAAGAGAATATTACTTTCCATTTTTATTTACTTTTCAGCAGTTGGAATATTTTTACCATATGCATATATTCTTTCAAATGAAATAAAGATTAAAAGTAACATCTTGTTCAAAAATCAATTTTGTATTTATAAACTAGAACTATATATGTTCTTATTTTCAATTAAGAAAATTAAGCTTAATTAATGAATAAAGATTGTTCTTGCCCTCAGAGACTTACCACCTGAGTAGAGAAAAGTTGTTGGCTTGCCAGTCTTCTACCCTTCCTTTTGAGTTCATGTTACCTCAGGTTGAAAACTGTGTCTTTATCATCTACCCTATTAGCAAATATTTTAAATGAAATTAAACTCTTTTGGAGAAGTTATCATTGCCCATGTCCGAAAAAGTTCAGTATAGCTGTATCTTACCCTATATTTCCAATCAAGCTTAGATTTTTTGTAAGTTAAATATATATGGTTTTAGCTATAAATATAGAGAAAAATATTTCAGTAAAATACTGTAATTAGTGCTGGGTGTGGTGGTGTTTACCTATAGTTCCAACTTCATGGAAGGATCTCTTGAGTGCAGGAGATTAGTCTGAGACTGTAGTGAGCCATGATCAGACCGGAGAATAGCCACTGCATTCCAGCCTGGGCCACACAGTGAGACCTCGTCTTTGAAAAAAAAAAAAAACCCAAACAAACAAACAAAAAGATGCTGTACTTTATAAATTGACATTGAAAGAGGAAGCTATCCCCCACAGTTTTAAGTTATTTTGTTCTTTCATATAGAAAAAGAAGCAAAAGAGAAAGAAACACTGATTACTATCATGAAAACACTGATTGACTTTGTGAAGATGATGGTGAAATATGGAACAATATCTCCAGAAGAAGGTGTTTCCTACCTTGGTGAGATTCTATGTGTTTTGTTTCTACTGTGGTGGTTTTCATTGTTCAAAGTAAATTAGGGACTTGGCAATAATGACCTCATTAATTTGATAATTTATGCCAAAGCTTTCCAAATCACCAAGAATCGACCAGTTTGATAATATATACAAATAAAATTAACTTTTTCAACTTGTCTTTATAGAACCAGCTTAAGTACAAATATTTCACATTTATTAATTGTCTCATTAGCATTTTCTAATAATCTTATGGAGACAATTTTATAAAAATTTGACTCTAGGCCAGGTGCGGTGGCTCACACCTGTAATCCCAGCACTTTGGGAAGCTGAGGCAGGCAGATTGCCTGAGGCCAAGAGTTCGAGACCAGCTTGGCCAACATGGTGAAATGCTATCTCTACAAAAAATACAGAAATTAGCTGGGTATGGTGGTGCATCCCTGTAGTTCCAGCTACTCAGGAGGCTGAGGCATGAGAATCACTTTGGGCCCAGGAGGCTGAGGTTGCAGTGAGCCAAGATAGGGCCATGGCACTCCAGCCTGGGCCACAAAGCAAGACCCTGTCTCAGATAAATAAATAGGAAATAAATAAAATAAAAAGGAAAGAAAAGAGGTTTAATTGGCTCACAGTTCTGCAGGCTGTACAGAAAGCATGGCACCAGCATCTGCTCGGTGAAGCAACTACTTGTGGCAGAAGGTGAAGTGGGAGCAGGCATGTCACAGCATAAAAGCAAAGGCAAGGGTGGGGGAGGTGCCACACGCTTTTAAACAATCAGATCTCGTGAGAATTCACTCACTATCGGAGGACAGCACCAAGGAGATGGTGCTAAACCATTGGTGAGAAATCGCCCCCATGATCCAATCACCTCCCACCAGGCCCCACCTCCAACACTGGGGACTGTATTTCAACATTAGTGTTGGGGGAACAAATATCAAAACTATACCAGATAGGGCAATCCAGAATTACTCTGGATGAACCTCATTTTTTTTCTAAATGAAAGTAGTTTTACTGGTTTTTCCTTGACTGTAAAAGAGCATATTTATTTTTAAAAGTCATTCAATGCAAAAAATCCTAAAAAGAAAGTGAAAATCACTCACAACATCAACACTCTGGTAACATTTTGGTTTATATTCTTCCAGATGTTATTCTGTGTGTGTGTGTGTGTGTGTGTGTGTGTGTGTACCTATGTCATTTCTTTCTCTTATATAACAAAAAATAAGCTCATATTACACATAGTGCTTTGGGGTCTACTTTATTGTTTTCACAGTAGACCAAAGACACTGTTTTCATATCAATAACTTTCATATCAACACCCTGTGAGTCAGAAATTCCACACTTAGTCAATTATCCTATGGAAATAAATCAAAAATGCCTCAAAGGCTTATGTGCAAGGCAGATATTCCCACTATCACTTATAGCAGTGCTGCGCAATATGGTAACCACTAACCACAAGTTCGTATTTAAATTAAGAGTAACTTAAGCAGAATTTAAAATCTAGTTTCTCAGTTGCACTAGGCACATTTCAAGTGCCCAGTTGCCACATGTAGCTAGTAGCTACCATATGAACAGTGCAGAAATGAATACACTCATCATTGCAGAAAGTTCTGTTGGACAACATTGGCTTGTAGGAGCAAAGCAGTGAAAATAGGCTAGATACTCCACAAGAGGAGACTAAAGTAAATTATTTATTTATTTTTATGATAGACTATTTAAATTTTATTCTAAGTGTTTGTGTTTTTAAATAATTATATCTGCTCCTTACATATGCAATGTAAATATTGTTTATCAAGACTTACATACATATTAATGTATATGTACATGTTTATATACATATATGTATTATGTGTGTATATGTAACTTTTACAACTAGAGTTTGAGTTATGTCTTTAAGAATTTTTCTGTATAAGCACATTGGCTTTTGACTTCTGCTGCCATGGAGAGCCACCCTTAGATCCCAAGGGGCTCAGGGCAGCATGGGTAGAAGACGATTGACCAGCCTCCTCTCCTCCCATCTGAGCTAGTGACAAGCAGTGATCTGCCTTTCTATTCTGGCCTCAACAGTGTACCATGATTACAAATGTTGCCAGGTATGGCCACTATTTCCAAAAAGAAAGCAATGCATTACACATTAGAATATATTAATTATCTTCTTAAAATAGAGGTAGGGCAAGAGGAGTTTACTTGGGGAGAAAATATACAAAGTAATAATAAGATCCTTACAAACTAACTGCAAAGACATGCTTTTTTGAGAATGGCAGAAAAGGCTCGTCCTAAAATAGTGTAGTGAGATAGCTATGTGGCTGGTTTAATAGCTGAGTACAAAGAGTGTGGTTTCTAATTCATCGTCTACCTTGAGGAAGTCACAGTCTAGACTCCTGTCTAGTAACACTTAATATGATGCTACTCCAAAGAGTAGAATTAGGACAAAGACAAGGATACAGAGTGCAGCTTAATTTAAGTAGGGAAATGCTCCTTAATATAAGTAGGGAAATGACCCCTAAGACTACCTAACAGTAGGACTGGCTTCCTTATGAATTAGTGAAAGCCCTGAAAGACAGAAATCAAACTGTTTGGCTTAAGCAAGAAAGGAATTTATTGCCACGTATAACTGGAGAAGTCCATGGAGGGATGGGATAGTCTGGCTTTGGGTTTGCGAATTCCACCAACAGTGTGAGGAATTGACCTCATCCCATCTCACAGCTCTGACTTTTTGTGTCTTGATTTATTCCAGACAGACTGCTCCCTGTGGGAACAAGATAGCTGGGACAGTCCCAATTTCACCTCCTCACAGCACATCAATCCCAGTGGAAAGAGAGCCTCTTTCTACCAGTGGTCCTACCATTGAGTCTCACTGACCTGGATAGGTCCTAGGCTCCTCCTTGAATTATAGCCCAGGTCATGGAAGACCCTGTTTAGTCATTCTTGAGTTATTCTACCACCAGTGGAGTCAAATGTTCTGAGAGTGAGCCAGGGTTAGGTTCCCTAGGGAAAAATCAAGGTGCAGTTACCACAAGGTGTTGAATAGGTCAAACCCCAAGTATCCACTGTAATTCCCAATCCTGGAAGTGTTCTAGCAGTGGCCACAGAGATGCAGAAGCGACTTCTGCAATTAGCTGAGTAGGAGGCTGAACTTGAGGATCTCAAACTATATGTCTTTCCATCCTGAGAGTCTATGATTCTTAGAAATAAAATCCAGGTCAAAACATCTTACCAGGAGTGTTAATATTTTGGAGTTGCTATTGTGATATTTCTGGTGAGATTTAAACATTTTTCGTAAAAATTTGATGTCATCTCTCAGGGAATAAAATTAAATTTCTTTCCTTCCTCCCTCCAGAAAACTTGGATGAAATGATTGCTCTTCAGACCAAAAACAAGCTAGAAAAAAATGCTACTGACAATATAAGCAAGCTTTTCCCAGGTATGATTATTTAACTATTTTTTTAGCCTTTAGAATAATAACCCTTTTGAGTGGTAAATAATGAACTTTAATAAACATTAATTTAAAAATTACAGATTTTGAAAAGTGTTAAAATCTGAAACGCAGCCATAGGATTAATTAGATGTGACCTTGGCTATTTTGTGGCCAATCACAGCACATAAATCTGACCTCAAAAAACATTGAAAAATAATGTAGGTCTTTACTGAAGATTCCTGGAGGTGGCTAGGAATCTTAGGTGGAAAGGAAAAGGCTACATCACAAAACTGAGCAATCCATCCTAAAATTCTCCTTTAGGTATCTTCTCTCCCTAGATAATCACTTCTCCAGACTACTGTCCCTGGTCATCTGTTCACTCCCCACTGCCCGCCTCCCGCTCTCCCCTCCCAGGTTTTCTCTCTCCCCTGGGATGGTCTGTGCCCCTAGGTAGTGTGCTTTACCCCCGCTCTTGGTTTCGTCAGTTCCATACCTCCACCTATCACCCTACTCAGCCCATCAAACCCCAGGGAACTGAGCTATGGAAAGGAGCCTCCTTTCAAGGAGGAGGGTGGAACAAAAAGAGAAAAGTTTGCAAATGGCAGATTCTTTTTTAAATTTGTTTAGCTATTAATGACAACCAAAAATTGCAAATTGTTATACTTTGACTCTTTGTCACTATCACAGAAATTATATACATATTCTTGATGGCATAGTATACAGCCCTTTAAAATATGTTTTCAAGCAGTTTTTAATTACCTGGAAACATCCTTCCATAATAATGTAATGACACAAGCGAAGAACAAAATTGTACCACAACTGTGAAAAAAAATGCATCTCTCTACATACCGCATCACACTAGCGAATGTTTTATATCAGACACTAACTGATTTCTTTCTTTTCTTCCTATTTTTCTACAATAAAAAAACACTTTATTTTAAAAGTTTACTGTTAGACTGCTTGAGGTTCCAAATATTTTATTGGCTACAGAAATGTATTACAATTGTTTTCAAATGGTTACCTACTTTAAGGTTTATGATTTTTAATTCAACAAAGGATTACTACATGGAAATATGGTTATTTTAAAGTGAGAAGGGAGCAAGAGTTTCTCTCTTTTGATAGCAAGAGTTCAAGTCTCTTCTTCGAATTTAGGGTTCCTAGGGGTAAAGGAGTGTGAAGAAAGGAGCAGAAGGAGAGAAGTCCTGCCATAGCCCCAGATCCTTAGGTGTGATTGAGTAATAGACTGTCTTTCAAAAATGCAATGTCAAGGAGAGATTGGGCAGCTATAGAGTTATTATCATTTGGAATCAAGACCCACCAAATGTACTTCAGAACATGACATATCCTGGCTTGATCACCTACACTGATTAAAGTAAGACAAAGAATATGCCCTCTAATGGCAAGGTGTGGCAGAATGGAAAAAATACCAAATCAGAATTCAGAAAGCTGGGGTGGGGTGGGGTGGGGGGGATATATCTAAAGTCAACTCATGGGATGACTTTAGACATATCTCTCCCCTTTCTGGGCCTCAATTTCCTCTTCTGTGATATGGGGTTAAAGGGTTGGATTAGATAAGCACTAAGATCCCTTTCAACTCAAAATATGATCTGAGCTCAAACTGTACCTTGTCAATAAAGTTGATTTCTACTTTAGGAACCAATTAATAGATAGGAAACAGGGCTATGACAACAATGCTCAATCTGATTACAGCACCATCAGAGAAGAGTCATGAAGAAACAGACAGTACCAAGGAAGAAGCAGCTAAGATGGAAAAGGAATATGGAAGCTTGAAGGATTCCACAAAAGATGATAACTCCAACCCAGGAGGAAAGACAGATGAACCCAAAGGTATGGGATTGACAGCTCTAGGTTAGCAATGAAATTGGGAAAGCAAAAGCTTTCACCACACAAGGGAGGGTGATCCAAAGAGCAAGCTCCATCACATCTGAGAAATTGACACAATCTGTATAGAACAGGCTTGGCATGTGGTATCTTTATTTGAATAGCAATCTTTTTTAATGGTCTTGAGTCTCCTGGGATGGCAAACTGATTTCATCTTTTGATAGTCTTTAGTGTTCAATGGACTTTTGTGTTTGGAGAGGAATATGTATGACCATTAGTGCATTGTTTAACATATAATTTATAATCTTATGAATTTATTGAGCAATATTTTTTAAACTTATTGAATATTCCTCTAAATAATCACATACTGCTTATTCAACAAGATCATCAAAATTTATTATTTGGTCAGGCGCAGTGGCTCATGCCTGCAGTCCCAGCAGTTTGGATTGCTTGAGCTGAGGGTTTGAGACCAGCCTGGGCAACATGGAAAAACCTCATTTCTACAAAAAATGCAAAAATTAGCCAGGCATGGTGGCACATGCCTATAGTTTTAGCTGCTCAGGAGGCTGAGGTGGGAGGATCTCTTGAGTTCAGGACGTGGAGGCTGCCCCACTATACTCCAGCCTAGGTGACACAGCAAGGGCAATGAAAACACTTGGACACAGGAAGGGGAACATCACACACCGGGGCCTGTCGTGGGGTCGGGGGATGGGGGAGGATTAGATTAGGAGATATACCTCATGTAAATGATGAGTTAATGGGTGCAGCACACCAGCATGGCACATGTATACATATGTAACAAACCTGCACATTGTGCACATGTACCCTAGAACTTAAAGTATAATAAAAAAAATTTGAATTTAACAAAGCAAAATTTTAAAATGATTTAACCAGTGATTGTAACTTTTAACACTTTTAAGGACTTGATAAAAATGACAAATTCAATATATCAAATTTCCTTAAATAGCATAAATATATCTATGCAATATATAACACAATTTACATCTTTTTAGGATTTTATTTTATTTTATTTTTTGCAGTGGAGTCTCCCTCTGTTGCCCAGGCTAGAGTACAGTGGCACGATCTCAGCTCACTGCAACCTCCACCTCCTGGGTTCAAGTGATTCTTCTGCCTCAGCCTCCCAAGTAGCTGGGACTACAGGCACGCGCCACCCTGCCCTCTAATTTTTTGTATTTTTCATAGAGATGGGGTTTCATCAAGTTGGCCAGGCTGGTTTTGAACTCCTGACCTCAAGTGATCCCCCCGCCTAGGCCTCCCAAAGTGCTGGGTTTACAGGTGTGAGCCACCGTGCTCGGCCATCTTCCTAGGATTTTAGAAACTTTACCATACCCCCAAAGAAAAAGACTCAATGAGGTTATAAGTTCTAAATTGTTATCCCTTTGATTTCAGGTCCGAATGTGGGATCTAGTTGTACAGTTCAGTGGTTCAAGTCCCCTTATTACAAAGTTGTGCTAGTTACATCATGGAAATTTACATCTCTATGTCTCAGATAGATATTATTTTTCTGAAACTCAATGTCTTTACCAGAAGTTGTGAACAAACGGTTTGAACCTACCTTATTTTTCTGTCATTATGATATATTGGCATCTTTGATATAATTGGAACCTTATTTATGTCTTATCACTTGAGCTCAGGAGGTGGAGGCTGCACCACTGTACTTCAGCCTGGGTGACACAGCAAGATTAATGTCTCATTAGTAGATTCATCTGCAGAGTTTATTCTTTAAGAGCTGAGAGAGTGGGTCAGTGCTCTCTTGGGTGGGGGGTGGTGGAGGAACCCAGCCAATTTATCATCTGAAAACACACCATTGGACTCTCTGAAAAGAGATTTTCATTGGTTATGTATAACCATCAGTGGCAATGAATAGGTAGACTTTTTCTTGTTCCTTGTTATGATGTGATATGAGATCACAAGGACCAATTTTGCCCATGGTATAGCTCTTAATTTTGAAGAAATTGGCCCACTTAAAGGTTCCCCACCCAGTATCTCCTGCTCACACAAATAGAAGCAGGTTCCTATTCACACTTAATAGACGCATGCTTACTGTCTGTGTATGAAGTAGAAGAGAAACAAACTAGCTACGTATTTAATACCTTGAAACTCAAGAATACCAATAAAATTACAAACTATTTCCTTTTTATATTACTATTACCTTTGCTAACACTTTTTCCATTTGTGTAAGTTATTTCAGTTGTCGTTGTTGGTGATGATGATGACTTTATGCCTAAATTGGTGTAGCTTGGGCAGTGGGAGCTCCCTAAATTTCTCTTTAGTCTTTTTAGTACATCATCATTGCTTTCTAGCAACAACGGGATATTCTATACCCACTCTGAATTTTCCTTTCCCAAGACTTGAAGTCAATTCTCCTTCAAGGAGTTCTGGTTCCTTTTTTGTAGAAAAGACTTGTAGAATTAGACACCCAAACCTGGGTTATATAAGTTCAAATGAGTGGTGATAGTGGCAAAAGATGCTGCTTCTATTTCAGCTATTGGGACTTTTTTGAGACAGGGCTGAAAAATATAATTTTTCCTTAATGTATCAAGTTTCTGTTGATTTTTCCTATCTTATACATTTTTATATTTTTGTGCCCTCCTTTTCTCTAGCATGGATTTCATAGACCATCACAATTTTTTCCTACATTTTATATTTTCCTACATTTTACATTTCCTACATTGTACATTTTCCTACATTTTTTCCTACATTGACATAGCTGATGTGTCAACTCCAATTGTTTGGTAGTGGCCCATGTTGTGAAAGTTTATGATATTGCATCTGGGTTCAGGAAGAAAGAAAGCAGTAATGATCAATTAATAATGTTTGTCCTGAGCAAGAGTAGGCAGAACTGGTGATATGTGTGCCATGTTTGGGGACCCTGTAGACCAATCAGGCTGCTTTGACACTTCCATTCAACCCTAGGTCACTCTGGATGGGTGGTAAACTCTTTTTAAAATATATATATATATGTGTGTATACATACATACATACATATATATATATATATATATATATATATATATATAAAATAGCTCTTTTTTGAAATTGTGGTAAAATGTACATAACCTAAAATTTACCATCTTAACTGTTTTTAACTGTACAGTTTTGAGGCCCTAAGTACATTCACATTGTTTCTGTACCGTCACCACCATCCACCTCCAGAGCTCTTTTCATCTTGCAAAACTGAAACTCTGTACCAATTAAACAACACTTTTCCATTCTTGCTGTCCCCACTCCACGGCAATAACCATTCTATTTTCTGTCTCTATGGATTTGACTTCTATAGTGACCTCATATAAGTGGAATCATATAGCATTTTTCCTTCTGTGACCAGCTTACGTAACTTAGCATCATGTCCTCAATGTTCATCCATGTTGTAGCAAGTGTCAGAATTTTCTTCCTTTTTTAAGGCTGAAGAAATACTCCATTGTATGTATAAGCCACATTTTATCTATTTATTTGTCTATGGACGCTTGGGTTGCTTCTACCTTTTGGCTGTTGTGAGTAATACATATATATATATATATATATATATATATATACATCTCTCTTTGAGCTCCTTCTTTCAGTTCTTTTGGGTATATATCCAGAAGTGGAATTGCTGGATCATATGCTAATTCTATTTTTAATTTTTTGAGGAACCACCATACTGTTTTCTGTAGCAGCTGCACCATTTTAAATTTCTACCAATCGTGTGCAAGAGTTCCAGTTTCTCTACATCCTTGCCTAGACTTTTTATTTCTGGATTTTTTTTTATCCTAACAGATGTGAGGTGGAGGATGAATGGTAAATTTTTAAAAATAGCTAACCAGGACAAGAGTGGACTATGATCTGAGACAGAGAACCACGAATTGGGCAGCATAGAGCATTACAGCTCACCTCAACAGAAACCCAGTGTGCCTCAATCATCCCCTCTGGAAGTGACCCATGTATAGCAATCGTATTTCCCTAGAACCCAGTGAGCCATAGGCTACATCCTTTGACTTGCTGGGGTAACATGCTCAGTGCTTTAAACACCACCTTCTATCGCTGTGCACAGGGCTGTAGGAATGGGTGCTGACATTTCTGTTTGGTTTATTTTTAAGAAAACCATGTAAAAAATGAATATAAAAGAGATGATTCTCTGTAGTCCACTATTGCCTATTTAGGATGTGAGTGTTTGGAGACCAATGATAAGAGTGGATTTCCCTCTTCATTAGGATTTCCATCAGATAGTAATGGGGAGAGAGGAAGAGAGTAGACTAAAACTTTATCCATTTAGTGTTATTCTTTTTTTTTTTTTTCCCGAGACAGAGTCTCTATCTATCTCCCAGGTGGGAGTGCAATGGTGTGATATCTGCTCACTGCAACCCTCGCTGTCCAGGTTCAAGCAATTCTCCTGCCTCAGCCTCCCAAGTAGCTGGGATTACAGGCATGTGCCACCACACCCAGCTAATTTTTGTATTTTTAGTAGACATGGGGTTTCACCATGTTGGCCAGGCTGGTCTCAAACTCCCGACATCAGGTGATCCACCCAATCCATCCAGCCTACCAAAGTACTGGGATTGTAGGTGTGAGCCACCACGCCCAGCCTAGTGTTATTCTTTGCAATGGCTCTCCTAAAACATTAAAAAGAAGGCAGGAATTTGGGGTTAAAATTAGTCCCTCTGCTATTGTTCAGAGATGTAATTTATTAATGTTACCACTGAACCCATTACTCTGGGATAAGGACAACTGACTCTAAAACAGTTTAGAAAACACCAGCTAAGTGTAAGCCAAGGACCAGCAATTTCTAGGAAAAAAAAATGTATTAATCCCCAAAAGGACATACCGACATATATCTTTGTGTTCGCAGTTGTTTCATTGCACTTTTCTCAAGGGCTATTTTGCTTCCCTGTTATAAAACCCAGTGAGAAAACACCCATTGTCTCTAGGTAGAAAAAGAAAAGCATCCATGTGAGTGGAGGCAGGGTTGACTGGGTTTTCCGGGACAGTTATTCAGCAAGAAATAAACACTTATTCCAATGGCATGCCTAGCGCTGTGCTTAGGAAGCAGCTACAGAAGGAATATAAGAACCAATTCCTGCGTTTGAGGACTCAAGCAAGCTTTGAAATGGCCCAAGAATAGTCCTTAACTCATATGCTGGCAAGTGCAACACAGGCCACATACATGCACACATATCCCGCTTGTTGATGAGCCAGACATAGATAGAACAGGATCCCTTCAGGACGGAAAGCTGGAGGATGTTACAGAGTAGAATAAGGGATGAGGTAATGGTCCAGCTAAAACCACTTAAGGAAATAATTATAAGCAGAACACATTGGCAGGAATATCTGTGGGGAGTCTGTTTTGGCCTTGCGGTGTGTGAGGTGATAGCCCTATCTAACCACAGCAACTGTTTATTAACCATGCGTAGCATGAACTGGGTCCTGTGAGGAATATAAGTAATAATAATAATAGTAATAATAATAATACTCTATATTTATATCATGCTTCAGTTTACAAAGCACGTTTCTATGAATCTCATTTCAAGCTTAATGTAAAAAACAGCCAACTTCATTACCAATGATGAAAAATGATACATTCACCTTTGAAAATAGTTTGAACTATTTAAACTATGGTTTCCACAGGGACCCACATTAAGTATAATATTTTTAAATGTTGGTCTAGTTGTTTGACTGATTCAATAATTATTCCTAAGTTTATGGATATGCTAATAAATTATAATTTATTCTAACTTCAACCAAATCTATAAAGTTGCTTAACTTTTCAAGTAAATTGCTCTCTGAAAACTACTTTCAAACTTTATTTCATTATCTAAGTGTGGTTCTTTTTGCCATTTGGATGTTTACTCATTCACATCTGTTCTGTGAGTCACTGAAAGTCTTTTTTTTTAATCATCCAAGGGATGAAATAAGCATTCTAACACCCATAAACTCATTCCAGTGCTATCATTTAAGTTTACGGCTGGATAATAAAATTAGGCTGGAAAAGGTGATCTCTAAGATAACTTTCACTTAAATATCCTATCATCCTCATATCTTTTTTACAGGAGCCAGAAAAGTTAGCCTATTTAATAAGTTGATAATAAATTGCCTAATTCCTGTGGATACACTTATTTTTTAAGCAACATAAGAGAATTCACGCCTGCCTTCAAGCCTCCAGAGATTCTGCTAGAAATGTCCAAAAACAATGAGTCCAATATTCTCCCCTGGGAGTCAGCAAGTGGGTCAGGAAGACCCAAGTAGGCTTGGGAGAGCTATATATCAACATGGATTTTTCAAGGACAGAAAAGGGGAATTTCTTTCTTATGTACAAATCATGAATCTCCTTTTTAGAATTCACCCCTTGATTTACAAATCAGTAAAACAAGGCCCAGAAGATGAGCAACTTGCTCAAGATCTCATGGCCAAAGTGGTGGAGCTGGCCTTGAACCCATGTTTTCTGACTCTTCATCCAGTGCTCTTCCAGTCTTCCATGCTGCATCTAATGGGCATGTAAAATGTCATCATTATGCAGAATCTTGAATCTCACAGCTCCGTGGCCTGTGTCAGCACCCATGCGTCAGTATCAGTTGCTTTGCTTCATCCAGTTCAAAAGTGCAATCATGTAATCTTGACATAATTTTAAGTATTATATCAAACTTAGTTTTTATAAACACTCTTTTACAAAACCTAATGTCTTTAGTATATCCAGTATGCAATAGGACAACCCTATTGATTTATACACTTTCCCCAGAGGGAGAGAGTCAGGACAGCATAGTAGAGGAAGGACAAATTCATGTTTAGAAAAGATATTTTTCTCACAGTGTAAAAACCAGAACAGCCAGAAAAGCAAGGCTGCATCTCGACTCTGGCCCTCCTCCCATCTGCTTCAGCCTATGTTTTAAGGCTTGTGCTCTATTACCTCAGCCATGAGCTATTTTTTTTTTCCAAAGGAAGCTGAAATAAATTGAGGGAGAAAATAGTCCAGCTTTCCAAAGTCGACTCTCATAAGGCTTTCAGTGCACACTGCGTAAATAAAAGATTTGCTTTACAGCTCCTGCAAAGAGAAAAGTCAATATGAGCCAGCTGCTTTGCTCCAAGAGCAGAAGAGCACCTGATGTGATTCCCATTGTTGCCAATGCTCTTGTAAGCGTGTGGAGGTCTTAAAACTGGTGGCAGCGGTTCCCAAACTTTGCTGCACATTGGAGCCACCTCAAGATCATTAAAAAGTACAAATGTTTGGTCCCCAGTCCCAGATTCTGATTTAATTGGTCTGAGGAGCAATTTGGACATTGGGCCTTTAAAAGTTTTCGCTAAGTGATTTTAATGTGCATCAAAGTTTGAAAACAACTGCCTTGCCGGGCGCGGAGGCTCACGCCTGTCATCCCAGCACTTTGGGTGGCCGAGGAGGGCAGATCACGAGGTCAGGAGATCGAGACCATCCTGGCTAACATGGTGAAACCCCGTCGCTACTAAAAAATACAAAAAAAATTAGCTGGACAAAGTGGCGGGTGCCAGTAGTCCCAGCTACTCCGGAGGCTTGAGGCAGGAGAATGGCGTAAATCCGGGAGGCGGAGTTTGCGGTGAGCCGAGACTGCACCACTGCACTCCAGCCTGGGTGACAGAACGAGACTCCATCTAAAAAAAAAAAGAAAACCACTGCCTTGTCAGCCAGTTTACCAACAAGAGCAGGCACTCAATTTCTCTAGTCTAAAAGGTGAATTTGACCCAGCCCCAGTCATTAAAGGCTCCATATTTATTTTGGTTCAAAACCAGGCTCTGACCCTGTATTAGTTCTCTCTCACGCTGCTAATAAATACATACCCGAGACTGGGTAATTTATAAAGGAAAACAGTTTAATTGACTCACAATTCCACAGGGCTGAGGAGGCCTCAGGAAACTTATAATCATGGCGGAAGGGGAAACAAACAAGTCCTCCTTCACATGATGGTAGGAAGGAGAAGTGCTGAGCAAATGGGGAAAAGCCCCTTACGTAACCATCTGATCTTGTGAGAACTCACTCACTATCACAAGAACAGCAGCATGGGGGTAACCGCCCCCCTGATTCAATTACCTCCTACTGGGTCCCTCCCATGACACATGGGGATTATGGGAATGACAATTCAAGATGAGACTTGGGTGGGGACACAGCCCAACCATATCAGACCCTTACTTAGCTATGTCGCCTTGGGCATGTCATTTAACCTCTCTGAGCCTTAGTTTCTTCATGAATAAAATGGGAATAATGATATTTAATTAATAGAATTCTATGAAGAATAAATGACATATGGATGTAGTATATCTATCACATTTGTGTTTTAAATTGTTTCTGAAAAAATAGTTTCTGATATAGCTATCATTTAGGTTTAGAATCCATTAAATTTCAAGTCTCTCAAATAAATCATTCATTTTCACTAAAAAAAAAGGCAGAGATAAATCTATGCCATATATATATATATATATATATATATATATATATATATATTTTTTTTTTTTTTTTTTTTTTTTTTTTTTTTTTTTTGAGACAGAGTCTCGCTCTGTCGCCCAGGCTGGAGTGCAGTGGCGTGATCTCTGCTCACTGCAAGCTCCGCCTCCCGGGTTCATGCTATTCTCCTGACTCAGCCTCCCGAGTAGCTGGGACTACAGGTGCCCACCAACACGCCCGGCTAATTTTTTTTTTTTTTTTTTTTTTGTATTTTTAGTAGAGACGGGGTTTCACCATGTTAGCCAGGATGGTCTGGATCTCCTGACCTTGTGATCCGCCCGCCTCGGCCTCCCAAAGTGCTGGGATTACAGGCATGAGCCACCGCGCCCGGCCGGCTTGTAAGTTTTTTTAAGATGTAGTTTCCTAGTTTGGATTCCATGCTGACTGGGCAATCTTCTAATTGCAATTTGGCTTCTGTACAGAAAGATTTCATCCATTTACTCATTGACAAATATTTCTTGAGAGCTTACTCTCTGTCAGTCTTGTTCTAGGCAGAGGGTACATCAGCAAACAACATATTTCTAAGGGAGGAAGACAATAAACTTAACAAATTATATGCTACAGTAGAAGGTAATAAGTAGTCACCTTCTGATGGATAAAAATAAAGCATGAAAGAGGAGGAGAATGACGGGGTGTTCTGTTATAAATTAGGGAGACTGTCCTAATCATGTATGTTATAACCCATAAGATACTAGTCTCTCAATGAATTGCAGTCCAATTTTCTTTAAGCTATAGTAAACTCATTCTCTGTTATGAGTTGATAATGTTGATATAGTGAATAAAATAGCTTTTCATACATTACATACTTTTTAAAATTCCATACCATTTTTATAGGTAATTGGTTCCTGAACAAAAAGCAGCCTAATACAATAATGCTGAGACCTCTACTTTATTTTTCTTTTGAGACAGAATCTGGCTGTGTTGTCCAAGCTGGAGTGCAGTGGTGCAATCTTGGCTCACTGCAACCTCCACCTCCTGGGCTCAAGCAGTCCTCCCACCTCAGCCTCCTAATAGCTGGGACTACAGATGCACACCACCATGCCTGGCTAATTTTTTTTTTTTTTTTTTTTTTTGGTAGACATGGGGTTTTTCCATGTTGCCCAGGCTAGTCTCAAACTCTTAGGTTCAAGCGATCTGCCCACCCTGGCCTCCCAAAGTGCTGGGATCACAGGTGTGAGCCACAGAGCCTGGTCAAGGCCTTTATTTCAAATTGTCTTATGTTGAGTTCCCTCCAAGGCATGCACTAAGAGAAGGATTTGAGGTGAAGTAGCTTCATTGGGAAGTGACCCCAGGAAGCACCACTGCAGGGTAGGTACATGAGCAGGAAGAGAAAAAAGCCAATATAAGGTGTGATAATGAGCAAGCTTCAGCATGGGCGACTAGAGCTCAATCCTATTGAAGACTTCTGGGAAACAGTAGAACATGCCTAAGGAACAAGGAAGCTGATGCATTGATCTACCCATTTCATCCGTCATCAGTTGAAGGCTGCTCTAGTAGCTAGCTATGAAGAGGGAGGCATGAGAGTGGGTAATGTTTGCCCCACGATGGCGAAAACTTCATTTGTTTTTACTCTCCTAATTTGGAATTTTTAATGCAGTGTCTAAACAGACTAAGCTGTGGTTTTCCTTATCCCAAAAAAGCTCTAACATCATGATACGATATCAGAGAAGATAGTAGAAAAAATGCTTAATATTATGTAAAGAACAAGACTATTTTCAGACATACTCAAAAGTTGCAAAAGCCCTAACTACCTAATGAGTGAATGACAAATCATTATTCATTAAAGTGAGCCCTATGGGGATCAGTAATTTGATTTAAACTCTTTAAAATAATGAAGTTGCATTGTTTAGAAATGGTCTGCACTAAGATTTCTCTCTTTGTTCAAAATACCTTATCTAACTGAATTAATTTGAAATAGAAAACACTGTATTTTTAAAATTATTATTTATGTATCTGTTTATTAGTAGAGATAGGGTCTCACAATGTTGTGCAGGCTGGTCTTGAACTCCTGGCCTCAAACAATCCTCCCTCTTTGGCCTCCCAGACTGCTGAAATCAAGGAAGTTTCTACACCAACTATTGAAGTAAATAAGGACTAAAAATTGTGGATCTCTTCTGGTGTCCATTTACCCCTTTTTGTGTAGTAGTCTCTGTGCTTCTTTGGGGACCAGATGACACAGATCTTCGGTGGTAAGGCAAGAGTGGGCTTCAAGATCAGGAAGAAAGATGCTCAGAGAGTCACTTAGGTAAATACAGTGCGGGCAATTGGAACATGGGCAACTCTTAGGGCAGTGTTATTGTACATGGACTGTAGTTGGAGGTACCCAGGTTCAAGCCTGGCTCTGCTACTTGTTAGTCATGTGATTATGACTTTATGTCTCTGTGCTTCAGTGTCTTCATCTGTAAAATGGGGATGATAATAAGACTGCCTCAAAAAGTTGTCGTGAAGAATAAATGAGACAATGCATTTTGGAGCATAAAGCAGTCCCCAGTACATGATAAGCACACAGTACAGGTAGCTCAACCAAGAGGGCTGTGCAGTAGAGTAGAGGTAAGAGGGCTCAGATGGGGCTCAGAATGGGGTGGTCACCACACTGAGCTCTGCAGCTATTGCTTCTGCAGAGGCCCTGGACTTTGAAAGCCTCTTTTTGTAAGCCATCTGGTACTTTCTAGAGCACCTGGTTTCTTGGTGCTGACTCCCTAAGCTTTAGGGCCTCACCTGGTTAAGAGAGTGGCTGATTTTTTTGATATAGAACAAAGCAACATTACTGTCCATGTCTGAAGGTGAGGTCTTATCCTGCAGGGAATGCAGGTAGCGGAAGCTAAGCAGATCAGAGTCCAAATGCCAGCTGTTATTTCCTGTGTAGCCTTAGCCTACTCACTTCGCCTCTCTGAGCCCCAGATTCCTCATCTCTCAGTGGATGGTAATATCCGCTTGCAGACATCAGTACAGGTAAAGGGCATCACAGAGTAGGTGCATGAGTGATGCCTGGTATTCTCATGCCACACTTGAGGCCCATCGAACAGTGTTTACATCCTGGGGAGTTTTATTAGAGCCAGTTCTAAGGTTTGCCATCCAAACCTTGAAGTGAGGCACTGGTCGCCTCTTTGTCTAAGTTTTTGCCCGCCCCCTGCCAGAATTGGGCAGAAGACTTAGAGCTGCTTACACAAAGCCACACATTTGGACTTTTAACTGAAGTGATGGAATCTTTAAGTATCTGCCACTCTCATTCAAGTCCTTGGCTTGATGATGCTCCTCAGTTTGGAAGAACCATC
This sequence comes from Homo sapiens, assembly GCF_000001405.40. Lineage (NCBI taxonomy): Eukaryota > Metazoa > Chordata > Mammalia > Primates > Hominidae > Homo > Homo sapiens. The sequence goes on from NC_000015.10 coordinate 51,712,978, forward strand.
CCTAACCAGAAATGAACTAATCTAAGGACCCATCTATCTAGTAAACTGAATCAAAACTCTTCTCTGCCAGGACATCAAGGTGGATTTATTTGTGTGTGGGAATCATGCCCCTTGACACTTACCAACTTGATTCTTCCTCCTGGAACCTCATCCGCACCTGCTCTCCTTGACCTAAACCCCTCAACACACAAACACACATAGACACATACAAATATGTACATTACCTAGTTAGGGAAACAACCTTGCAAATGCTGCATAAGTCTAATATTTGTGGTTCTGAACATACGTGTGGTCTTTAAAATGAGATGTAGTGATATTTCCTGAGTGTTTGATATAGTTCTCTTACCTCTTCCAGGAAAAACAGAAGCCTATTTGGAAGCCATCAGAAAAAATATTGAATGGTTGAAGAAACATGACAAAAAGGGAAATAAAGAAGGTAGGACCAAGTGTGGTTGTACATTGCAAACTTCACCCATTTGTCAGGGGCTCTTGTTATATAAAAATTCCCACAGTCAAATTGACTGTGCTAAAGTCTCCCCGCAGAGCCCAAAAAAGACTGAAGTCACCTGTCAGATACAGAGGGGAACAGAACCTCCATTTCTCTTATTATTCAAATTAGCCTTTCAAGCAAAGGCGTTTTCTTTTCTTTTACGTTTTATTAGGAAAAATGTCAAGCAAACGTAGAACGAATAGCATAATGGATCCCTGTGTCTCCAGCACCCATCTTCAATAATTATCAAATGTTGCCAGTCTTGTTTTATCTAGCCCCCCTTTCTTGGAGTATTTTAAACAAAGGCATTTTCTGAGCACAAATTTTGTGCACCCTGCAGTCACAAAAGCAGTCACTCGCTTACATAAAGCAAAACACAGAACCAGGCCCTGTTCTAAGTGCCAGAGATGTCCCGCCCAAGGAATGCACAGCGTCATTAGAGCTATGGTTGGCCCTGCTCAGTGATGTCATGGATAGGTGTGTTACTGCCAAGGAGGTGAGAAGATGGGATGGATCTTCATACTAGGACAGAGACAGTTGAGAGAAGGGCCACAAGTCTTCTCTGGAAAGTTAAGGATGAATCTGCCGAGTGAGGAGAGATGGAGGCAGAGCGAACACTAGGTACCAAGACATAAAGGGACAAAACAGAGGGGTGGTTCTGGGAACTGGAGCCATTCATGTCCCCAGGAACAGTGGATGTTTGTGGAGAAGAGCAGCATATAGGGTTGGGAAGTGGGCAGTAGCCATGCCAGGAAGACATTTATGTACTCTTCAGAGAAGGTTGGTTTTAGCCAAGGGAGCCTAAATTGGGGCCTAATTAGGTTAAGAGCTGAGAAATCCATCTGGCAGCAGTGTGACTACAGATTGAAAAAATAAGACCCCAGAAGGCAGCAGAGAGATAAGGAGGTAAGACAGAGAGATCTGGAGCAGAAATATGGGGCTGTAAACCAGGGGACAACAGAGGAGATAAAAAGGAAGGGAGGAACTCAAGAGCCATGTGGAGAAGGAGGATTCTGACACGATTCCCAGGTATCTGGCCAGAGCAGTTGCAAAGTGATGCCTTCCTAAGAAACAAGTAATGCTTCTCAAACTTTAAAGTGCATCCAAATCACCTGGGGAACTTCTTAAATATCCCACTGCCCAGGCTGCACTGCAGCACCACTAAATCAGAAATTCTGGGGACACAGCTCTGGCATCAGTATTTTTTCAACTCCCCAGGTTATTCCAGCGTGCAGCCAAGTTTGCAAACCGCTGAGATACAGCACAGAGGGAGAAAGAGGTATTTTCAGCACCCTGGTAGCTTAGGTCTTCTAAGTTGAGTGATGATGGCAATAATTATCGATGTTCATGCATACTTTATTTGGTTCAAAATGATTTGAATTTCCAGGCTGTCAGTTACATTAAAATCTACATGAACCATATTTCATCGAATCTGTCATTGATTAAAAATGCACCATTGTTTTATGTGCCATTAAATTACAACATGCCATCAATGACTGCAAAGACTTTAAAATTAAAATGTTCATCTTAGAATCACTGTAGTACACTGTGTGCCAAAATACATCCCAAAGCCATGATAAATTGTATGGTACATCAATTTGGAGTATTTGTTACTGTTTTCACTGATTAGCATATGAATCAGACTCCTGGTCATAATCAACAACATCTTGCAATTCAATGTTCCCATTCCAGAAATGACCAACCTGGTGAAGCATAGAACTCTGGTGCTTGCATATGGAAGGCTCTGTTAGCAAACTGGCATTGGGTTCGATGCTCCCTTTTGTCTCTGGGAAATATGCAGTATGCCCTCTTGAAGACAGAAACAGAGCTCTTTCTCCACTGCTCTCATATGCGCTCGGCTTGACTTGGGGTCATCTTCTCAAAGCCTGTGGGGGATCTGGGTCCTAGGGTCATGCAGTGGCTGCAGCTGTATAAGCAGGGAGAATTACTATTAGTTCTGACCTTTCTTAACCATTGTTGCCACCCTTTGTTTGGTAAGGGACTGGGTGACCTGAATCCCCTTCCCAAACCCAGGAAAGGGAGGTCCATGTGATGTGATAGTGAGGATAATGAGAAAATCTTATGTAGCCTTAAAAAAATATGCTTTTAAAAAGCGAATCACAGCCCTTCTCTCCTTTGAGCCTTACAACCTTAAAACTTCTTTTAAGGTTAGCAAGATGGCTACTGGCTTATGTCTCCTAACCCCCAGCTAGGGCAGAGTTGGCATTAGACCAAAGGGCCTTTCCTTTGCACCATGCTGGTTTTCCCACTGCACACAGTAATAGCCGTGTCATAAAGATAACAATTTTTCCTTTTCAAAAGAAAGCAAAATATTTGCCTGTTTGTCCATTCAAATCACTGGACCTCTTCACATCTGTCTTTGGGAGTCTGCACTTTTTTTTTTTTTTGAGACAGAGTCTCGCTCTGTCGCCCAGGCTGGAGTGCAGTGGCACGGTCTCCGCTCACTGCGAGCTCCGCCTCCAGGGTTCACGCCATTCTCCTGCTTCGGCCTCCCAAGTAGTTGGGACTACAGGCACCCGCCACCATGCCTGGCTAATTTTTCTTATTTTTAGTTGACATGGGGTTTCACCGTGTTAGCCTGGATGGCCTCAATCTCGTGACCTCCTGATCCGCCTGCCTCGGCCTCCCAAAGTGTTGGGATTACAGGTGTGAGCCACCGCGCCCAGCAAGGCAGTGGTTTTCAAACTTTGATGCACATTAAAATCACTTAGCGGGAGTCTGCCTTTTATTCCATTAAAGATGTTGACACTGCAGCCTATTCTGCAGAGGCAGTATTAATGAACCAGGAATAAACAAGAAGTGCCCTTTGTGCCTTAGGGGTCAGGAATAAAGGAATCATCGCCTTAGGTGCGGTGCCTGCAAAATGTATGTTCAGCTTCGTTCTCTACTTCGTGCCTGAGAGAATGGGAAAAGTGAAAAACAAAAATAAAAATGAGCATTTATTGAACATTTGCTTTGTACCTGTTAGATGTTTTATAGTCAGTACTACAAGGCTATGGAATGGTCAATCAATGACCAGCATTCAGAACCTGACTCTACCACTACCTGAGCAAGTAACTTACCCCCTTTTCTGTTTCTTCATCTCTGAAATGAGGATACTAATGCTTACCCATGAGTGTGGAAAAAGCAACAATGTGCTTTCTCCTGTTCTCTCACTCAACACAACAATCAACACAGAAGACTTCTGTGACCAAATGCGTGGGGGTTTCTCCCCACCACCAAGCAAGCAATCAATTCTGCAGCCGACACTAGCTGGTTGTCCGCTGATTCAATTCAATTCCAACACTATCTACTTAGAGTCAGCCTCAGACACCACAGGGTGAGGGCGCAGTCCCAAAAGAGTGCCCCTTCCTTTGCACCAGTTGCATGTCCAGGCCTCTGGAACAGCTGGCTGACTGGCTTCAAGTTTCGGTTTCCACAGCCTCCTCTTAGGGTTCAGTTAATTTGCTAGAGTGGGCCTGGTATGGTAGCTCACACCTGTAATCCCAGCACTTTGGGAGGCCAAGGTGGGAGGATCACTTGAGGCCAGGAGTTTGAGACCAGCCTGGTCAACATAGCGAGACCCCATCTCCACAAAAAATTTAAAAATTAGCCAGGTGGGCCAGGCACAGTGGTTCACACCTGTAATCCCAGCACTTTGGGAGGCCGAGGTGGGTGGATCATGAGGTCAGGAGTTCGAGACCATCCTGGCCAATATGGTGAACCTCCATCTCTACTAAAAATACAAAAATTAGCTGGGCGTGGTGGCACGTGCCTGTAGTCCCAGCTGCTCAGGAGGCTGAGGCAGAAGAATGGCGTGAACCCGGGAGGTGGAGCTTGCAGTGAGCTGAGATCACGCCACTGCACTCCAGCCTGGGCAACGGTGCAAGACTCCGTCTCAAAAAAAAAAAAAAAATTAGCCAGGTGTGGTGGTGTGCGCTTGTAGTCCCAAGTTACTCAGGAGGCTGAAGCAGGAGGATCACTTGAGCCCAGAAGTCCAAGGCTACAGTGAGCCATGATCATACGACTGCATCCAGCCTGGGTAAAACAGTGAGACCCTGTCAAAAAAAAAGAAAAAAAGAAAAAAAAAGGATTGCTAGAATTCAGAGAAATGCATTTACTGGTTTATTAAAAGGATATTTTAAAGGATACAAATAAACAACTAGATGAAGAGATACATAGGGTGAAGTCTGGAACAGTCTGAAGTGCAGGAGCTTCCATCCTTGTGGAGCTGGGGTGCAACACCCTTCCAGCATGTGAATCAGTTTTTGTTCACCTTCCTGTCAGCCTCCACGTGTTCACCTATCTGGAAGCTCCTGAACCCTGTCCTCTTGGGCCTTTCATGGAGACTTCATTGGATAGGCATGATTGACAACCATGTAGGAATGTGATTGGACAAAAAGGACATGGTCTAAACCCAGTAAGGCCTATCTCTGCAGATTCTTCTTGGCCTCTCTGTGCAACATTCCTTCCTCCAGGGTACAGGGTAGGACCCTCTATGGATCAAGGGTGTTATGACCCACAATCAGATTAGAGTCCTGCCTTGGCTGGGTGAAAGGAGGGCAGGTCAGAGAGAAAGATTCTGCTTCCTGAGGCCTTCTTCTGAGGCCCAAAGTGCCCTAACATTATGACAAAAGGCTGAAACAAGGGATATGGGAGTTATAAGCCAGGAATCATGGACGAAAACCTATATAGATAGTTAGATGATGGATGGATGGATAGATAGATAGATAGACAGACAGACAGACAGACAGACAGACAGACAGACAGATGTCATAGGGTATAACCTCGTGGGGTTTTGTGGGGGGCAATTAAGGTGATGGCTGTAAAGTGTCCAGTGCTGGGATTTCCCTTTCAATCCTCATGGCTGTGCCCTAACAGGGAGCAGATGTCCTGCTTGCCAGAGAGGATATAAGCCCTGTCTAAGCCTCACTCACTTAGTGATTGTAGAGAGGTCCTTCATGGTTCGTTTTCCTTTCTCATAAGAGCTTAAGGATACCCAAGTGACCCAGGCTCAGATTACATTCAGGCTCGCTAAGGGTGGCTGCTAAACCACCCTTTTATACCCACTCTCTCCTTTCTCTTCTCCTCACCAACTAACAGAAAGCAGCGTTCTGTCTAGTCATTTACAGCTGTTATTGCCTAATACTTAAAGGATCAAGGGAAAATGGGGGTTTTTAAAAGGCTTCAGAAAGGTGTCATAGGCAGCCTCCTTACCTGGAAATCTTTATTTTTGGTGGGTGTTTTGACAATGTATATAGATTTTGTTTGTTTGTTTGTTTAAGGAGGACAGAGGAACCAAAAAGAGTTTACAGTTTGGCTTTTTGCTCCTTGCATACAATTCAAACAGCATGAAATAAAGTAACTCTTAATTTGAAAAAAAAAAGTGGGTTGTCACATCAACATGGACTTAAACCTAGTATAAGTCAGGAAGTCAGGAAGTCAGAACACCCGGTTCTGATCATAACTTTTACTACCTATGTGACCTTGAACAAGGCACTTAACCCCGAAGTGTGGTTCCTAGACCAACAGCATCAGTATCACCTGACAGCCGTTTAAAATGCATAACCTGGATCCTCACCCCAGACCTACTGAATATGAATCTGCCACTTCCCAATAGCCCCAGGTGTTTGGTATAAACATTAAAATTTGCAAAGCCCTGGTCATGAGCCTATTTCCTGTTTGGTCAAATGGGGATGGTATGACCCACCTGAACATCTCACAGGGTTGTGATGAAGCACAGATGAGATAATACATGTAAATATTATTTTATACTGCAAAGTACTACACAAATGCCAAGAATTAAAATGCCTCCCGATGTGAAAGATGGGGAATGGTAATTGTGTTATTGTATAAAATGCTTCTCAGTTAATGGTAATCACTGTAATGGGATTGGCCTTTCCTGATCTTTGCTCATTATGCTCTAATAATATTTTCCAGATTATGACCTTTCAAAGATGAGAGACTTCATCAATAAACAAGCTGATGCTTATGTGGAGAAAGGCATCCTTGACAAGGAAGAAGCCGAGGCCATCAAGCGCATTTATAGCAGCCTGTAAAAATGGCAAAAGATCCAGGAGTCTTTCAACTGTTTCAGAAAACATAATATAGCTTAAAACACTTCTAATTCTGTGATTAAAATTTTTTGACCCAAGGGTTATTAGAAAGTGCTGAATTTACAGTAGTTAACCTTTTACAAGTGGTTAAAACATAGCTTTCTTCCCGTAAAAACTATCTGAAAGTAAAGTTGTATGTAAGCTGAGATTTTGTATACAGAATCCTTATTTCCTCATAGACTTATATTTTATAATCAGAATATGTTGCTTTGAAAAAGCCTCTAATGGACTGACCTTAAAACTCATCCTTCTTCCACTGTCTCATCCACATAAGCACTCCCCGAAGAATTAAGGGGGTTCTGTTTTCAAGGCATGCCAAGTACTAAAGCACCTTGCAGAGCGTGTCTATTACAAGATGTCATTTCCACCAGCAGTTCCCTTAGGGGAGCTGAAATAAATTCACATTTTCTCAAAGTCTCATAGCTTTGGAGGAGCCATCTGCTTTTTTGGCTGCTCTTTTTAGCTGGCTTTTTATTAGGCTCAGTGACATAAAAAGGATCCAGGTAAATGGGTATAGGATTTGCTGGATTTACTAACAATTTCCCCCTGTTCTTAACACTTCCTATTAGTGACTTTTCAGACATTGAGTTTACTTATAAAGAGAGATATTTATGTACTCTCTAAGAAGACAAATGAGGTCATAAACACTGCATAAAGCAAGGCAAAAATGTATGCCACATCTCAGTTATCTAAACTAGATTAGATCCAAGCCAAGTTTTCTCAACAGAGAGCAAAGGGCCAGGCAGTAAGGTAGAAATAGAGATAAAAATCATTCCTTCCTTGTGATCCAAAGCTGGTCGAGCAGCTTTCCTGGAGGAAAAGGTTAATGAACTTCAGGTCCCTGCAACTCAGCCCCCACCACAAACACAGCCCTGGAAACATACAGTGGCGCAAGGTCCTCTTGAAATGTTAATGGTTAATGTTCCCAAACCAGAGAATGCTTTGAAAATGTATCATTCAGTGTAAATTAATTACATACATATTTTTCTATATATTTGTTTCAAACTGTAAAAATAACATAATATGTAATTTGTGTATTAGTGAGAGGTGAAGCCAGCTGGACTTCCTGGGTCGAGTGGGGCCTTGGAGAACTTTTCTGTCTTACAAGAGGATTGTAAAATGCACCCATCAGTGCTCTGTAAAACACACCAATCAGCGCTCTGTAGCTAGCAATAGGTTTGTAAAATGCACCCATCAGCACTCTGTAAAACGCACCAATCAGCACTCTGTAAAATGCACCAATCAGCAGGATTCTAAAAGTAGACAATCACAGGGAGGATTGAAAAAAAGGGCACTCTGATAGGGCAAAAACGGAACATGGGAGGGGACAAATAAGGGAATAAAATCTGGCCACCCCAGCCAGCAGCAGCAACCTGTTCAGGTCGCCTGCCGCTGTGGAAGCTTTGTCCTTTTGCTCTTCATAATAAACCTTGCTACTGTTCACTCTTTGGGTCCGTGCCATCTTTAAGACTATAACACTCACCGCAAAGGTCTGTGGCTCCATTCTTGAAGTCAGCAAGACCACAGACCCACCGGCAGGAACCAACTCTGGACATATTGGCTGTCACTGTTTCAAATGGTCTTTGACACCTGCATTGCTGTCCTGAATGCCCCTACCTGGTATCCCACCTTTTGGTGGGGACTGTGGGGGAAAGGCTGGTTTCTTCTCTCATCCTCTCCAGAGAGCTGCAAAAACAAACAAAAGCCAAAGCCTGACACACACACACGAACTAAACTCAGTATGTTCTAGAGAAGCCAGTACCCATCTGTTGAGTGGGGAGAGGGAACTAAAAACACCTTTGCCCAAATAACACTTGCCAAAACATAGTGAACCAGACTGTTTCCATGAGTCATCTTTGATAACATGACTGACTCTAATTCAGCCATACCCAAACAGGCTACGTGTCCATCAGACAATAAACTGGTGCTGGCTAAAACATTTTATCCATTCACTTTTCTATAATGTATCTAAACATGCAGTATTTTTAAAAATAAGACATGTACTTAGGGAGTTTGTTGTGGTTCTCAAAGCACATTGGCATTCATTAGCTCCTATCCATAATCAAAACAAAAGGAACATCATCAGTCCCGTTTTATGAAACAGGAAACTGGTTCACAAAGGGAACAAAAGCACAGGATACACTCCAGCTTGTGCGGCCAAGAAATGGTAAAGTTGGGATAGAACGTAAGTTTCTTGTCTCAGCCCACTCCAGTGATTCTATGTGCAAGGTAGGGACTAAAGTACTCAGTCCAGAATAGTTTAACTGTGGCCACAAAGAATTCCAAGTTACTAATAACTTGAAGATGACCAATGTTTTGGCTAGAGAATGCTAAGAGAGACCTTAGGCAAAAATAAAATACTCAGAAAAAAATGTTTTTGAGATTGTGGTCTTAATTTCAAATTTGAGCTCATGTTATGTCTTTTGGATTACTCTCAAATTTCAGAACATTTTATGTTAAATAGCATGATAACTCTACATTTTTAATGGTTCCTAGGCCACCACAGATGTTTGTTTGAACCTTTTCTTACATACATACCTGTTTTCCTTCCCTTATTTTTTTTCATTTAGGTCTCTCTTCATCCAACTAACTCCCCACAGTTCAGGTAGTGAATACAAGAAAACAGCAAAGCATGATCAAGAGAGTAACCTATTTCAAAGATGCTATAACATGAGAAAAAAAAGACAAGACACAGGGATTATATATATTAGGAACAAACAAGAAAATCAGCAAGACAGGGGCTGACAGCTACTGTTTCCCATTGATGCAGCAGTTGCTCAGCCTCAGGGCTTAGATATGTGCAGTTCTAACTCTGCAAGCTCTGATGCATTAACACCTAAGGGCACTTGTTTCTTGCTTAATGGATGACCTGGAGAAGCAAGACAGGGGAAAACAAAATGAGGGAAGATAAAAGAAAGAGAGAGAAGAAAAAAATAACAAAAAGAAGAAAGTGAAAGTATTTTTGCTATGCTGGGATGGGGTAGATATGAGGAATTTTTGTGGAAGCCTAAAGATTTATTTAATCTAAGAGTTGAACAGAAATTGAGACCAAAACAATATTTAATTATAAATGATATATTGCTTAAAGTGTCCTACTGTAATCTATACATATAATAAAGACCAATTAAATTATGGGAATAAAAATCAATTCAAATAAGTACAGGACTACCAAACACTTATAAAGTAACTTAGCAATGAAATCTATACTAGAATTCTGCAATATAATGTCAGATTATGGTATTATTTATTTGTTCTTTTGATTTATTCCATGTTTTCACCATATCTGAATCACATTAGGTCAATGAAAATGCCAAGATTACTAGTAATTATACTTGTTTTGCTTTTAGATTATGAATACTTTTTTCAAAATTGCATTTATAATAATAAAAACCATTAAAGTGAAGAAGAAGCTGTCAGCATTTAAATGTATAATTTAAAAGTCAATTTTATTTTCTCATTTGTTAAAAAAAAAAAGGAGACTCAAGTTTGAAAACATAGTTTATTTTCTCATTCAGGCTTTTGTAGTTTATTTTTACAAAATAGCAGACAAAATTTGGTTCTTTATATTAATAGAGAATATGTAAGACATATCGAAATATATATATAGCACTTAAGTTATAAACACACAGCAAATTCAGCATCACTTAAACAGCAACCATATTTTCACATAATCAGGATTGCATAAGGAGATAAACATTATTTTTAGCCTAAATATATAAATAATCTTTGATGCTTTATGTCAATTAGTATTTATAAAAGCTAGTCTAAAAACTAACACCACCTACAAAAGTGATGAGCTTTAGGCTACAACCTTGCCATCATGCCATAATAAAGACTTAAAATTATAGAAAGCCAGAGGGAACTAATCACTTCAGTGCAACTGCAGCAGGTAGAACTACCTAGTTATGATTTTAAGATGGACACTATAGGAATCCAGAAGGGATGTTTTTGAATCTTCAGTTGTTGGATTCTTTATGGTCCAAACATATCTTAATTTTGGTTAGAGTTATGCCCCCAAATCACCTAACTGTGATAGAGGGAAGTTGCATAGGGACTTTCTTCATCTCTGAAAGAAAATAAATACAGCATAAATCAGAGTTTAGAACTGTATGCAGAAAACTAAAACATCAACTTATTATACAATATCCACTTGCCAAAGAAGGAATATATCAACTTAGAATATTGTGCATGCCTAGACAACTGTATGAAATGCCAATACTTAAGACATACCTTACTATCTCCATTTTATTCATATCTCAGTTATTAGAATAAATAATGTCATTCATTTATGTATTTATATTTGCTTATATTTACATATATTTTAAATCTATACTAAATTATATTCATATTTATATTTGTTTATGTTTTCTATATTCTACCTCTTTCCCAAAAGGATTTAAGGTACTAACAACAAAAGGCATATATACAATAAGATTAATAAAATAGAAATAAAAAAATCAGGACTAAGGAAAGGAGAAGGAAACCAATGTATTAATCATAAGAAATATTATAGGAGTTGAACACAGGTATCAATTTTAGTTGCAAGCTTCCCAATAGCCAGAGCAAAAAAGGAAACACAGTAGATTGTACTTTTTTGAAATCAAATCATAAAGAAAAAAGGAAACCAATTCTATAGGAGAGAGAAAGATTTGCCCTAATATCAAATTTAAAAAACAAAGAAAAAAGTTCACATGAGATCTTATGTAGGAAACACCCAGTAACAAATAACAGACAATGTCTTTGACAAGTTTTGCAACTATCAATATTTTACAAGTATTTTCTATGACACTACTTCTCTTGAAAGTGTCAGTGAGAGAGACACTTTTATTTTGCCGCTATCCAGAAGTGCTAGCTGGACAGTGACGCTATTAAAGCAAAGAAGCAAACTTTTTATAGTAAATAACAGATAAAAACACTGCAACAGATAAAGCCTTGTGCATCAGGCAGCAGCTCTGTTTAGAGTTTATATACTAAAAATGCCTTTCTAGAACTAAAATGCAGTTTTTAAAGCAAAAAAAGAAAGAAAGAAAGAAATTAAGAAAGGAAGAAATTAAGAAAGAAAGAAATTAAGAAAAAAAGAAAAAAAATCAGAAAGAAAGAAAAGAAAAGAAAAGGCAAAGAAAAGAGAAAAGAAAGATTTGGCCCAGCAAGGACATCTTAATAGTGATTTATTTAGACTTTGACATTTGTACCAGGGTATTCTTACCTGCTCTCTTCTTTTAGCTTCTTGGCTGCCTGTGTTGATAACTTAATCTGCAAGTCAAGTCTCTGCAGGAAATCTCTGGCTGACACTTCCTCAGGCTGCACAGGCTGAACATCAGATTCTTGAGGACTGGGAGGAGGGAGGTCTTCCCCGGCCACCACTGGCTCCTCTTCCTGAGAAAAACTGTTATCAGCAGTTTCATTTTCTGGAGAATCAATGGAGTTAAGTCCATTAAACAACAAAGGCTTCTCTGATATAACTGGGATGTTCAAAGTTTTCTTCAGAAATATACAATCATTGGTAAACAGTTTATTGGCCCTTTTAATCTGTTCCATCTAAAATATAAAAAAGGAGACACAGAATTACATATAACCAAGTCAAGGAGTAAGATTTATTATACAATACAGAACTACCAATATTCATAAGCAAAATGTACACAATGCTTTCTTGGGATTTGAGACTCTTCATTCAGGTTTGGTAACCTCCCCAGATATCTCTAGTTATTTCAAGAGATGTTGGAGAATTGTTTCCCAATTTTTAAAAAGGACAGACTAATTTTTCCACATTATACTATTTCTACTACAAGGCAGCTTTTAACATCAGTGGACTTAAATCTCTGAAGTTTAAAAATGTAAAATTTTTAGCACTTAATAAATTCCATTCTTGTTTTAACATTTCTATTATCTGATTTTTTTTAAACTTACCATTGCTGCTGTTTTACTTATGAAGTGCTTCCCATGTCTCTAGAACTGTACTTAGTAAATACAGTTACTGTATGAACATGAGCTTGTTACTTATATCATTGATCCTTTCTCCTCATGTGTAAAACAGGTACCATCTACCTTTCACAGGGTTGTTGCAAGGATTAAATGAGAGCTTATATACCCACTCACATCAAGGAAATATATATATATGAGAGAATATATAAAAATATATGTACATTCTATACATATATTCCCATATATATCTATATGGAAAGAGAGAGAGAAAGTAGTGATTAGAGTGTCTGGCAGTGGATGGTACTTACTACTCTCCACTTTGCGATGAAGAAATCAAAACACAAAAGAGATGGTAGATTTGACCAAGTACATATGGCTCTTTAAATGTTTAAAATGGGATTTTTGTCTGACTCCGAAGTCCGTACAACATCTGAATTAAAGTACACAACTAATGAAATCACATTATGGGGAGCCTTTAATGCCAAATGAATTCTGAGTAAAAACAAAAAAATTGTATTTCTACTTCAAAAAGCCTGCAAAAACAACAGTCAACTAAGTGGACCCTGTTCATCCTGCTTTGTTATAAGCTGATTCCATGCAAATAGTACATGTAAAGCTTTCTTTTTTCTTCTAAAGATACTCCATTAAAGGAATGAGATTTTTAAAAAGGATGGTCTTTTGTGTTCTCGTTTCTAGTTTAAGGGGAGAAAGAGAACATAAACATGGGCAGGTGCCTTTTAGAGACAAAATTAAAATCTAAAAACCCCAAGTATCTCTGGTCTAGTTCAGGTTTGAAAGGGTTAATAACTTGGACACTTTGCCCGTAGCAGGTTCAGGTATACCTATTGCTATTTCGCCTTTAGGACCCCTAGATCTTGCCCCCAAGCATCCAGCTGCTCTATCTCTCTTAGTGCATAGGCTTCCAATGACACTAAGCCCTCCCCTGGCTCCAGAGTGAGCATATGACTCATTCCTGCCCTGGGGAGCATCACAGGCTTTTGTGATAGATCACAGACCCATGACAGAATCATTCAGACATGCAAAGAGACTCCTGCAGGACGGTAGTCGAGGGGAGAGTTCTCTACTGCTTTCTGCTGGAAGGAGATAGGCTGGAGATGCTGGCAGTCATCCTGGCACCTTGTGGAATCTGATACTGGAGTCACCTTAGAGGTGAGCATTTGAACTTCTGGATCACAGCCTGAAGACAGAACATGCTCAGTTCCAAGATCCACTAAACTCCACTTGGAGTTTGTTTTTTGTTTAGGCCAATTTGAGTTAGGTTTTCTGTCACTTGTAGCTGAAAGAGCTCTTGCTGATACAGTGCCCTTTGAAATGCTTATCAGAAGGGGACTACGACTGCTAATAGTCATTGCTTCCTGGGAATAATGATGGAAGACAGAAACAGATGGGACCAGGATCCAAACTGCTGAGCAGAGCTAGGAACTGCAAGAGTACACTATTAATTCTTTGAGGGCAAGAACTGGTTATTGCTATAGCCTTCCTGGTCTGACAAAGATCTCATACACACTAAGTGCTTAGGATGGATGGACAGGTGGATGGAAGGATGGATGGATGGATGAATTAACGCAGGTCAGAGGAGTGGGCATGGAAGATGAAGTAATCAGAAATGGGTAGTAAGTTATCTGTCGTGCTGCTTATTCTCCTTTCAAACCCACTCTCCCCTCCCAATCCATTCCTCCACTCTTCTTGGGCTTATTCTAAACCCTAGGAGGCTGACTTTTTAAGAACGGCATTACCCAGGTCCCCTTGTCCTTGGAATTCCAGTTGGTTTTCAAACAGCAGCAGAACGACCTTACCATAACCAGTGGCTGCATTCCTCTCTGGTGAGAGTTCCTATCAGGAGTCCCAGATCCAAGGCTCCAGATCTTGCCAGTGTTCCCTTGGCCCTTCAGGCCTAGGGGTAATGTCTCCCTGCTATTGCTAGTCTCTGGGTGCTTCAACTTCCCTTGTTGGTTCCCTCAACTATGCCCACATTCAGTAAATGTCCCTTTATTAAACTCTCTTCGGCCACATCCTCTGAGAGTGTTATCTGTATTCTGCTGCAATGCTGACAGATACATCTATCATACAGAGCACAATGGGCCATCAAGGCCAGGCAAGGGGCCTACAGAGGACTAGACAAGGTGACAGACTCAGAGGCTGTGTGCAGTCAGGGAGTCCACAGGCAGTGAAGGGCTAGGCTCCCCCTGGCTTCTGTACATACTGCTGCACAAGTGACTCACTATAACTGGTCCACAAGCTTCCTAAAGTCAGGGGCTCCACTGTCTTCATCTCAATGTCATTAGTAAGCATTTAAGATGTATGTGGACCTTTATGGTCTAGACTACAAGATGACACACAAGATGACAGAGTCAAGAACACCAGGGATATTCAGACACAGTTAGCAACAAGGTGGGAACCAATCTAAGGACAGGGGCAGATTTGAGTCTTGAGTTTAATACAGCATAGTACTCAGAAGCATGGGTTCAGGGGCCATACTTTCTGAGTTCACATCCTGGCTTTCCCACTTTCTAACCATTCCCTGTCGGTTTACTTATCAGTAAAGTAAGGATAGTAACAGTTCCTTCCTCTCCATATATCATAATGAATTAATTCATGTAAAGTATTTAGAACAACATATGGGCTGGGCGCAGTGGCTCATGCCTGTAATCCCAGCACTTTGGGAGGCCAAGGTCAGGAGTTTGAGACCAGCCTGACCAACATAGCAAAACCTCATTTCTACTAAAAAAAAGAAATACAAAAATTAGCCAGGCGTGGTGGCGCATGTCTGTAATTCCAGCTACTCGGGAGCCTGAGGCATGAGAATCACTTGAAGGTGGGAGGCAGAGGTTGCACTGAGCCGAGATCACAACATTGTACTCCAGGAGAAAACACACACACACACACACACACACACACACACACACATATGGCACACAAGAAGTACTCAAAGGTGTCAGCAATTATTATCATTAAATTTAATGAAAAGTAAGAAAGCAACAGGTAAGGGCAGATTCTAATGTATAATCAGCAAATGAGAAGGAAGAAGGTAGAAATTTTCTCCCATAAAATATTGTTTCTCAGCGGGACACTGTGGCTCACTCCTGTAATCCCAGCACTTTGGGAGGCCGAGGCAGGTGGATCACCTGAGGTCAGGAGTTCAAGACCAGCCTAGCCAACATGGTGAAACCCCATCTTTACTAAAAATACAAAAATTAGCCAGGCATGATGGCAGGTGCCTGTAATCACAGCTACTAGGGAGGCTGAGGCAGAAGAATCGCTTGAACCTGGGAGGCAGAGGTTGCAGTAAGCCGAGATTGTGCCATTGTACTCCACCCTGGGTGACAGAGTGAGACTCCATCTCAAAAAAAAAAAAAAATTTGTTTCTCCCCCAAAGTAAGAATATATAGGGAAAATCTCACATGGATAAGCCCAGATGAATACCATAATATATCATCACTGCTTTGAGATGTCACAAAAGGCTTTGAATAGGTTTTTCAAAAGGTAATGAAAATCTTAACCTGTTCTTTACAAGCTATGGCTTAGGCCAAATGCATAGGCTCTAAACTCTGTTACCCATGATGAAATATGAAATCAGACATGCAAAGCGCCAGGAATAAAAGCATTCCATCTAGAAAAAGGAGTAGCAAATGCCCTGGGGCAGGAAAAAAATCATGTGGCTAAAGTGTAGGGAGTAATAAGCAAACTTCCAACCAGGCAGGGCCTTGGGTGCCAAGTTAAGGAATTTGGAATTTATTTTAAATGTGATGAGAAGCCACTGGAGAGTGAAGGCAGGGAGTGACATGATCTGATCACAGTTAAAGATTGCTTCAGCAGCTGGGTGCAGAAAATGGATTAGCAAGAAAGAGGCACCTGCCATAGCACAGACAACAAACTGAAAAATACAAAATGGTGAAACGATGTTTTCTTTTGCTTTGGTATGTTTTTATTTATTTATTTTTATTGTTTTTGAGATGCAGTCTCGCTCTGTCACCCAGACTGGAGTGCAGTGGCACGATCTCGGCTCACTGCAACCTCTTCCTCCCGGGTTTAAGCTATTCTACTGCCTCAGCCTCCCAAGTAGCTGGGATTACAGGTGCATGCCACCATGCCTGGCTAATTGTTTGTATTTTTAGTAGAGACGGGCTTTCGCCGTGTTAGCCAGGATGGTCTTGATCTCCTGACCTTGTGATCCACCTGCCTCGGTCTCCCAAAGTATTGGGATTACAGGCATGAGCCACCGCACCTGGCCTCCTTTGGTATGTTTTATACTTCTGTCTGAACGTAGCTGGGTCTACTGTTCTGGCAATTTCACTTCATATAAAGCTAAGAAAAGTCATGATCCAATCCAAGGAAGAGCTGGAAAACTCTATAGCTTTCCCACCTACCCTCTGTTCAACACTTCCTAAGATCCAATTAATGCTGAGACTAGAAAATGTGTCCTTTCAAACTGATGCAGGACTATCCTCTGTTTCTTAGGGATGGATGAATGGGAGTGGGGAGGTACACTGATCAAATGCTTTCATTTCAAAAGTCTCCCTTAACCTAGATTGAATAGTGTAACTCAATGAAATATGAATTTACTGTCTGGTCACTAAGAAACAGTTTATAGAATAAGGAAAGTAACAGCCAAAGGGTGGTCACAAGTTCAAGTATGGTGAAATTAGGTAGAACAACTGCCATCAATAACTTAAAAACAACGTACTGAAAATGACTCCCCAGCCAGGCGTGGTGGCTCATGCCTGTAGTCCCAAAACTTTGGGAGGCCAAGGCAGATGGATTGCTTGAGCCCAAGAGTTTGAGACCAGCCTAGGTAACATGATGAAACTCCATCTCTACCAAAAAGTATCCCCCAAAACATTTAGCTGGGTGTGGTGGTGCACTCCCATAGTTCCAGCTACTTGGGAGGATGAGGCAGGAGAATCGCTTGAGCCTGAGAGGTCAAGGCTGTAGTTAGCCAAGATCTCGCCACTGCGCTCCAGGTCAGGTGACAGAGCAAGACCCTGTCTCAAAAAAAATTTTTTTTAATAAAATAAAATACAATGATTCCCCTGTGAAGGGAATTCACAAAGCATCCCTCCAGAAGATACCTTAAGAGCAGGCTGCTGAGTAAGGTCAAGAACTCTTCCCATCTTGGGCCAGCATCATCAGTCCACCTACCTAATAGTGAATGCAATTCTCAAAACTTCTTTTTCTTCCTCTCCATTCCTTAAAAGATATAAGCTCATCCAAAAATGTTTCAGGATACATAATAACATGTACATAGCACTGTGTGGCTTGCAGAATGTTCTCATATACGCACACAGCTCTCATCTGATTATTAGTTTACAGAAAACAGACTTCAATATTAAATGATTCTCCCAAGATTCACCGCCACATCTGTCTCCTGTTACATTCTAGATGTTGATGGCAATGAGACCAGACCCCTCCATTGCTATGTGTTCATGAGAAAAAGGCTTTTTTTCTTCCCCACACTGTCAGAAAAGTACATGAGATTCTATTTATGGCAAATGTCCAAAAAAGGCAAATCTATAGATTAGAAAGCATATTGGTGGTAGTCTGAGACTGAAGAAGGAAACAAAGAGTGAGAGGAATGGATGGGCATGGGGATCTTTTCGGGGTGATGAAACTGTTCTACCACTGAATTCCAACAATGGCCTCACAACTCTGTAAATTTACTTAAAGTCATCGAATCGTACACTTAAGATGGGTGAATTTTGTGGTGTACAACCTCAATAAAGGTGTTTAAAAAAATAATGAGAATCTACAAACACCCCGAATGACTAAAGGCTACTTTGCCATACCTCTCACTTTTGGTGGCTCTATTTATAGTTATCTTCTCTTTAACTAGCAAGGGTCAGCAATCTCCACCAGCAGCAGGGGTTAAAGTTATGAACACTAAAGATTTACATGCACCTGAGTTTCTAAATCACAATGTTTATTCCCCCAAAAATGACAATCATTTCACCTTTTCTCAGCAAGGTAACTTTCGTTAGCGGAAATGTTAAGCAACAACTTGGCTTAGCAGCTAATTGGCAGAGGAAGAGAAAATCCTGGGAATAAAACTGGCTAGGAAGTAACTGAGGGTACTGCGGGGTGAGGTGGCCTCTGGAGAGGGAAAAAGACAGGCAAGCTGCCTGGAGGAAGCAAAGAGAAAAAAGAAAAAGTTTATGCAAATCATAGGTCCACCTGGCTGCCTCCTTTCCACTTTCAGTTTCTATATGGCTCTCTGGAGGTTTCTCCAGGGTTTCTGCACAAAAATTCACGGTGGCAGCCTAGAGCTGGTCAATTTCCTCCAGAGGCTTGACTCTAACTGAGAGGAGCCAGGATCACTGAAAAAGCAATAGCTAAATCTAGAATACAGGGTTAGGGAAGGAATCTTAATGTCTCAGTGGAGATAAACACACCCAGGGGAATGCCAGGCCAAGCAAGTTTACGTCTGAGGTTTGAACTATATTTAACGGTTACTCAACCCACCCCAAGTAGTTTCAGTTTCCCAGACCCACTTCCTCAAATGCCTCTTCCTCTGGTAGAGCTGCTCAAGCCTAAACTTATATGTCATTCCATGTAAAGACCCACTGCTGGTGGAGGGGAGGAGATGAACACTGAGCACCAGCAAGGGCAGCAGTCTTTTACAGATTTGAGAATGAGCCTCAAACCAAATCTTGCAGTTCAAGTCTTCAGCAGGCCACACCTCTTCACTCAGCCCCTGCCCTGGATCCTGACTTCCAGGGTCCGCTCAGCTCCATGGCTAGCTACTTCATACCAGTCAAGCTTTCCTGTGGCTGAAGTCCACATGTATGCGGAGAACTCACAACATGCCAGGCTCCAGGCTAGCCACAGAAGATACAAACATCAATGAAACAAATTCTCTGGCTTCTCAAGTAGCTAGAAACTACTAGAAAGCAGTAGCTGAAAAACTCACCATGAATAAAAAGAGAACAACATGTATTACCTTCTAGCCCCAGCATCTAGCCCAAGGCCTCAAACCAACCAGACTCAATAGAAGTTGGTTAAGAAAATAATGAATGCCAGTTTTTAATGGCTATTAATGGCTAAAAAGGTGATGGTAGGAAAGAGTCATAATGATCTTTCCTAAGTCACTAGCAGAAGAACTTGGGTCCATCAGGTGTCAGGCCTAGCCAGCTTCTTGAAACTCCAGATTCTTCTTTCCCATCCCCAGGATGCCCAGGCCCATCTCTAGGGGAGAGATATTCAAACTAAACAGTAAACAAACAAGCAGAACATTTACAGCATATCAGCAAATCATCCAGACCCCAGCCACATCTCACCACCTCCTTCCTTCTCTACTGCTTTGGTCCCAGCTGCTATCCTCTCCCACCTGCATTACTGCAAAAGCCACCATCTTATCTGGTTTCCTTGCTTGGTACTAGCTTCCCTACAAACTATTTTTAAAGCAGCAGCCAGAGTGATCGTTTTAATACACAAGTCAGATTATGTCACTCTTCGGCTCAAACCCCTTAAATGCATCCCAACTCAGAGAAAAAGACAAAGCCCTTACAATGGTCTTCAAGGTCCAAAGTGATCTAGTCCAACTATACCCCACTGCATTCTAAGCACCAGCCACAGTACTCCTGGAAGGTGCCAATTATGTTCTCACCTCAAGGCCTTTGCACCACTGGTTATTCCTTCTGCCTGGAATGTTCTTCACCAGATATCTGCACAGCTCCCTCCCTTACCTCCTTCTCAGCAAGGTCTTCCCTGGCCACACCATTTTAAATTCCAGCCATCTCCACGAGCCCTCCCCAACTCCCTCTCCTGCTTGGTTTTTTTTTCATTATGCTTATCAATATAAGATACATTTTCTTTTTCTACTTACTGTCTCCACTAACTAAAATATAAGCTCTATGAGGACATGGATTTTTATTTACTCACTATTGTATCACCAGAAAGGTAGCTCTGAGGGAAAGAAAAAAAATTGGATGAATGATAAATACTGTTAGGAAAACATGGCAGGGAAGTTGGGGAGGAGCGCTGGGGGACTAGGGAGAAAGGCTACAATTTGACATAGAGTGTGCAGAAAAGGCCTTAAGAATGAGATATTTAAGCAAAGACTTGAAGGCAATGAGGGAACAAATCACTCAGCCAGAATCAGCTCCATCATTCGCCCAGGGCCAGTAAAAAAATATGAAAATGTGAGGCCCTTGTTCACAAACTATTAAAAATTTCAAGAGATGACAGTAGAGCATTAAACCAAGTGTGAGGCCCTTCTAAGCATGGGGTCTTCTGTGACTGCGCAGGTCACATGCCCATGAAGCTAGCCCTGTATCCAGCTATTAGAGAAAGACAGATGGAACAGCAAGTGCAAGAACCCCAAGGAAGAACAGTGCTTTGGGAACAAGCAAAGCAGCCATGCTTGTTAAAAATGGAGACTCTGGCCAGATGCGGTGGCTCACGCTTGTAATCCCAACACTTTGGGAGGCCAAGGTGGGCAGATCATGAGGTCAGGAGTTGAACACCAGCCCGGCCAACATAGTGAAACCCTATCTCTACTAAAAATACAAAAATTAGCCGGGCATGGTGGCGTGTGCTTAAAGTCCCAGCTACTCGAGAGGCTGAGGCAGGAGAATAGCTTGAACCCGGGAGGCGGAGGTTGCAGTGAGCCAAGATCAGGCCACTGCACTCCAGCCAGGGTGACAAAGTGAGCCTTTGTCTCAAAAACAAAAACAAACAAACAAACAAAACAGAGACTCCTAGACTCCTTTTCTGGGTATTCCAATCCCATAGATCCAATGTCAGCTAGGATCCTTTATTTTTAGTTTGCCCCAGAGTATTCCTGTCCTGCCCAGGCCAATTTGAGGAACATGGATCTATTCTCACATCCTGAGATATGCCCTGCTGCCAGCCCTTCAGCACCACTTCAGAAAATGGCTCCCAGCTTGTTACCCTTGTAATCCAGGGCTGGCAACCAGGTCTCCATCTTCACCCCCTTGTCGGAGTCTCTGTTCTGGGAACTTCCTTGTACCTAGACTACGACTGGCTCTTAATCAGTCTTCCACCAAAGGACTGAAGTCCTGCCTGACACCCAGCTGGGTGGCTGAGGAGTTGCCATGGAGAGACAGGCTTTCCTGAGAGTTTCTGCTCATCTGTGCAAGATTGACAGACATGGTATGTTAAGGTCAACTGTTTGCTGAACTGACTTAATTTCTAGGTGCACTGCCTTGAGTCTCTAAGCCTCCAATATCTCATTTTCGACCTTTTAAAACAATCATTTAAATATGTTGTAGATGGTCTTGCCAGTCAACAACAGAAACCTAATTTGCTCAACTTCTTTCTGTTCAGTCAGAAGAAAAATATTTTTCTGCCTTTTTAGCTTCCACCTTAAAATCTCACAATGAGTAAACCTAATTAATATCTGCAGATATTAGACCAGTGCAGTGGCTCACACCTGTAGGCCCAGCACTTTGGGAGGCTGAGGTGGGTGGATTGCTTGAGCCCAGGAGTTCCAGACCAGCCTGGGCAACATAATGAGACCCCATTTCTACAAAAAATACAAAAATTAGCTGGGCATGTGGCTTGAGCCTGTAGTCCCAACTCCTCAGGAGGCCGAGGTGGGAAGATCACTTGAGCAGCGGCAGCTGAGGCTGCAGTGAGCCATGTTAGTGCCACTGCACTCCAGCCTGGGTAACAGAGTGAGACCCTGTCTCAAAAAAAAAAAAAATCTGAAGATATTAAAACAAGAATATCACTTCACTGTTATGGTAAGTATTATCACTTTCACTGATTCTATATTACCAGTGGAGGAGTCTCTAAAAATTTTATCAACTATAAGCCAGGGCCCAAAGTAATGAGAAATACATGTAATAAACCAGTGGTCCTCAACCAGGGGTAAATTTGCCTTCTAGAGAACATCCGGCAATGCCTGAATAGGGGTGGGAGAGTGCTACTGGCATCTAGTGGGTAGAGGCCAGAGATGCTGCTAAATATTCTACACTGCACAGGACAACCCCGTGCAACAAAGAGTTATCTGGTCTATAACATCAACAGTGCTGAGGTTGGGAAACCCTGTAATGAACTATGTGTCACTATCAATTATAGTTCCTGATTCATTATCCTTGTGTTTAATATCTTAAAATCAAAAGTCTTTATAAAAGCAACGAAAAATCTGATCTACACTTTAATTTTAAAAAGGGGTAATGAGGTTATGAGTAATAGGATCTATATTAGACATAACAGGGATTAGAAAGCATTTGATCAAAGGTGGAAAACTGCAGTAAACAGATGTATAAGAGTTATCTATAATCAACTCAAGTGAAACCACAGACGGCTGTGGGTCACAGAGAGATTGCACGGGAAGACAGCATGGGAAATAACACTCTTCTGCATGTCATAGATTTTTAGGTGCTGTCACTAGCCTAGTAAGGCAAGATGCCTGAAAACCAGATAGAAAAGACTGTCCTCCTTCAGTAGCCAGGATGCTGAGAGAGCTCCTGATAAGACTAAGATAAAAATAAGGATGGATATCAAAAGTAATATCTAGAGGAAAGCAAATGCTTTATCACTGTTAATTCAAGCTGGTCTCAATGAATGATCATACTTGGAAAATATCCTTACCTCTCATCCATCTTCTCATCTGTAAAAAGATTAATTACACCTACCTCCTGGGCTTATTGTGAAAGTTAAATAAGATAAAGATGAAACAAGACAAACGCAATGCCTGCCACACAGGAGGCATTCAGCAGAGGGTAGCTACTGGTATTTCCCAACTTCGCTTTCCTCTGCCTCTGACTCAAACCAGGCCCCATTAAGGCACATAGAGAATTGTAGCTCTATGTTCACATGTATAGAACTCCCAAGAGGGCAGAATGGGGCTCTCCATGGCATGATAGAGTCAATACATGACTGCACAGCAAGGTCCCTTTCAAAATATTTCAAAGATAGAAGGACCTGATAGGTAAACATATACCGGCTTAAATATGCAAAATACATTCTCCTTCATACTGATGCTCCTTCATTCGGTAAAGGGCCAGAAAGAGTTTCACTTTAAGGGAAAGATATAGATAAGATCCTCTTTCTTCCCATTGCTGTCTAAGGTGCTTCAGGAAAGAACACTGAAAACTGATACAGATCCCAAATGTAAAAAGGCCATCACATAGCTCACAGTTAATTATAAGTAATTTTAATGAAACAATTTGTTCCCTCAGGTTTCCATGTTCTTCCCAGAGGTGTAATGCTATACACCCAAGACACACACACTTATAAATTTGTAATAAACGCAGCCCTCCAGCTCACCACAGTTCTTGGCTGCTGCTTAGCGACAGGTGTCACATTCGCGGTTGCCAGTGAGCCCAGAGGGTGTAATTTCACTTCTACATAAAGAAGCATAATCGATAGAACCAGAACCACCCAGTAGGAACAACTGCACCATTCCTGACTCATCACGGAGCTTGTTTTCACAGACAACAAAATTCACCTCAGTTGGGCTTTGCGTAAATATAGAGTAGTGTGATGGGGCCTGCAAATTGGGTGAAGGTGGTTCACGGGGATGCCAAAGCCCTAGTCCTCTTCGGCCTCCCTCACGCGACAGATCTAGTCTGAGCCTGGGCGGGGCACCGGGAACTCGATGCAGCTACCTAGGGAGGGAGCCCTGGCGGTCCGCCCCTCCCGCTGCAGGACCAGCTTTGGCGACCACTGCGGTGGCCAGCAGCGCGCGCTGAGCGAGCCCTGGGAGCCGAGCCGCCCGGGGACGCACGGCCGTCCCTGCGACTCCCCATCCCCCAAACCCCCACCCGCAGTCCCACCCCCACCCCCACCGCACCCCGAGCCGCACCGCCTCCTGCGCGGTAGCTGCCAGCCCGGGCCGCGGCGGCGCGCCCTGCTCACCGTGACACCGTACTTGAGCGCGATGCCCTGCAGCGTGTCGCCCGCGCGGACCCGGTGCTCCACATGGCGCTCGATGACGCCGGCGCCCAGCGGCGCCCGCACGCTGGCGGTGCTGCCGTACGAGCGGGTCTTGGTGCGGGCCAGGCTCAGCGACAGCTCGGCCTCCTCGGACTCGGAGCCGGAGCGCGAGCGCGGCGGCGGCGAGGGGGCCGAGGGCCGCGGCGCGCGGGGGCCGCCTTCCCGCAGGGACAGTGCGGGCGAGGAATCCGCCATGGGTCCTGCCGAGGCCGCCGGGTCGGGGAGCTTGCCAAGGGGGCGGCGCCTCCTCCTCCTCCGCCGCCGCCGCCGCCTCTTCCTCTTCACAGGGGCTGCAGCAGGCCGTTCCGCGGGGGCGGCGGACGGGAAGCCGAGGCGGGGAGCCGCAGGCCGGGCATGGCGGGCGCCTCCTCCTCTGCGTCCTGCCTGCCCCGGGCGCCCGCGGCACACGCACCTGCAAGGTTAAGAGCGAAAGCAGCTCCCGCCGCGGCCTGCCGGTACCGGGAAGACCCTGCAGAGCGAGGGAGCCGGGGAGCGCTGAAGCCCGCGGCCGTTGGGGCTAAGAGAGGGCTATCTGCAGGCGTCCTAGGCCCCAGGTGGACCCCTGCTCCATTGGCGATAGAGCCCTGGCAGAACCCTGCCCTGGCCACGGCGAAAAAAAAAAAAAGCGTTGCTCTGCCTCCTTTATTGATTCCCCAGCAGGAGCCAGCTTGCACAGACCTTCCAGCTCTGCCAATGCCAAGGGTACTTCCCTCCCCCCACCCCAGTGACCTCAAAGTCCACGTCACAGTAAAACTTAAGATCATCAAACACACACAGACAGCTTCTCCAGGTCCATCTCAACAGCCTCAGAGTCCAGTCCTTTCAACATTGCACTAGGAGGGATAGTGCTTCTAAGGCCTAATGGGTGGCCTCAAAATAACCCCCCTAGTTGTTCGGGTTTCACACTTTGTACACTAGTGCCAATTTAAGTCCTGGCTGCCTCGAAAGGCTGGCCACATACAATTCATTCTCCAGGCTCAGTAGTTGGAATTTACTGTCTGCATTCATCTTCTCTTCGTCAGTTTATTCTTTGACACCCTGAAATCGCATCTCCCTGCCCCGTATTGCTATTAATATTATAACCACCAAAGACCTCTTATCTGTACTCTTCATTTGAACACCGTCTACTCTTGAACACCCTTTCAACACACTGTATTATACACAGAGTGGGTACACATTTACTAGCATCTAGTGCCTGGTTTCTGTGTTATTTTGGACAGCTTTCCAAGAAGAGGTACCTTGTAGGAAGGTCCGGAGCCTGGGGGTTTGATTCGTTGGCTGAAGTTTTGGTATGTTGCTGTGCTGGACAGAGGCAAAGCTAATATTGCTCAGGAGAGAAAGGATGGGAGAGGAGCAAGCTTCCACAACACCATCCCACTCAAAACTCCTACAATGGCTCTCTGGGGACAACAGCATTACTAAAAACCTACATTGGCATTCAAGCTATTATTTCTATTTTTATTATTCATGGTCTGACCATACCCCATCTATAACTCATTCTGTATACTCTACATATTCCTGCCAAACAGAGCCTCTGAAACTGGCCTCCTTGTTCCTACTTTCATACCTTGCATGTTATTCCCTCCAATGGTAACACTCTTCCAGTACCCTCTATTACATTGTTTAAATCTTTAAGGTCTGTCTCAAATGATACATCCTCCATGAGATTTTTCCTAATTCTTCCCAATGGTCCCTTTTTCCCACCTGCCCAACTGTTACTGTTTCTTCTTTGAACTCCAAGAGGTTTGTATTAATACCTCTGGTTTAGTATTTAACTCTCTGTGTTTTGTGTTTGTACTTGCATGTACATGCATGAGCTTGTCTTATCTCCTCCAACAAATACGTGCTCCTGGGAGGCATAACTGGGTCTTACTCATCTTTTTAGCTCCAGCAGTGCCTAGCTCAGTGGAATAAAAAAAAAAATAAATACATAATTACAAGTGGTTGAATTGAGGTGTAGTAAAAAGATCCTGAATGCTAATTTAGATTGTTTAGCATAAGTCTGCCATGCATAAACTTTTGGGTGGTATCCAGTGTGTCCATTTCAGGACCCAAGAGAGAGGCAGAATTTGAGTCTCAGTATATAGACAAGATCTGGTAATGTTTCAAGAAAGAAGTCTCTTCCTTCAAAGAGTTTACAATCTAGGAATGAGACAGCATATAATGTTTTCCACTAAGAAAAAGTTTACTGCATGGCTGGAAGTTTTAATCTGAAGATTAAAGAACTGAGCCAGGCGCAGTGGCCCATTCCAGCACTTTGGGAGTCTAAGGAAGGAGGATAGCTTGAGCCCAGGAGTTCAAGACCAGCCTGGGCAACATAGTGAGACCCATCTCTACAAAAAATACAAAACTTAATCGAGCATGTGGCCTACTCCTGTAGTTCCAGCTACTTGGGAAAGTGAGGTGGGAGGATTGCTTAAGCCCAGTAGGTGATCTCTGCAGTAAGCAGAGATCATGCCACTGCACTCCAGCCTCAGCAACACAGTGAGACCCTGGGGTTTTTTGTTTTGGTTTGGCTTTGGGGTTTTCTTTGTTTGTTTGTTTGTTTTGAGATAGAGTCTTGCTCTGTTGCCTAGGTTGGAGTGCAGTGGTGTGATCTCCGTTCACTGCAAGCTCCGCCTCCCAGGTTCAAGCAGTTTTCCTGCCTCAGCCTCCTGAGTAGCTGGGACTACAGCATGTGCCACTATGCCCGCCTAATTTTTTGTATTTTTAGTAGAGGTGGGGTTTCATCATGTTGGCCAGGCTTCTCTCAAACTTCTGACCTCAAGTGATCCATCAGCCTCAGCCTTCCAAAGTGCTGGGATTACAGGCCTGAGCCACCACGCCTGGCCAGGCCTGTTTTTTTGTTTTTTTGTTTTTAAAAAAAAGAACTGAGTTACATGAGGTGTTATTAGATGTTCATTGTTTTCCTTCTTAAACCAGAACTTCAAAATTGTTTTAATATGTATCTACCTACAACATAGAAGTTCATCACAATTAAAGATGAAACATTAAAAGCATTTCCTTTGAAGGGAATGGTAAGAAAAGGAAGCCTATTACTGCCTCTATTTAACATTGTTTTGAAGGTCTTTGCCAAGGCAATTTTAAAAAGAAGAAAAGGAAATGAAGATTGAAAAG
Source organism: Homo sapiens (assembly GCF_000001405.40). Taxonomy (NCBI): domain Eukaryota; kingdom Metazoa; phylum Chordata; class Mammalia; order Primates; family Hominidae; genus Homo; species Homo sapiens. The sequence goes on from NC_000015.10 coordinate 51,740,545, forward strand.
AAATCAGCTGTTATTTACAGATAGTAGGCAATACTAAAATGTTTATAGGCAACACATAATGAATACATTGGAACTGTTCAAACAATTGAGAGTTCACCAAAGTTAAAAGATACAAGCTCAATATACAAACATCAATTGCATCACTCAATCATATAAGTGTGAAAAAGATGACATTCCACATACCACCAAAAATACCTAGGAATAAATTTAACAAGAGAAAATTGTTCCTGGTGGCGTAGGAGCAGAAAAAAAAATTTAAGGTAATAAATAAAAAGATAAAAAATAAAAGAAAGAAAGAAAAGTGTGTATTGTATGGAAAATATAAAACTTTTTTGAAGTACATAAAAGAAATATAAATAAAAGCAGAGATATACCATGTTTGTGAATGGGAAATGCAAAATAATGAAAATATCATTTTCTTTACAAACTAATGTTAAATTCATTAAAATTGCAAACAAAATCTCTATAGCATTCTTCAAAGGATATGACAGAGTTATGCTGACATTCATATGAAAGATAAAGCACTAACAAGGGCCAAGGCATTCCTGAGGAAGAATTAGGAAGGAGGCTTACCCTTATAGCCATGAAGACTTAAAACTATGAGAACTAAAGCAATGTGGGACTGGTACTGAGGCAGGAAAACATAACAAAGGGACAAGGAAGTAAGCCAGCAAACAGGTTCACATATATTGGATAACTTAATCTATAGCAGACGTAAAGTTACATATTCAATAAATGTTGCTGGAACAGTTAGTTTTCTGTGTGAGAAAAGATGAAATTAGATCCCTGTCTTATACTACACATCAAAATCAATTATAGATTGATTAAAGACATAATTGGGAAAAGCAAACATTAATGCTTTTGCAACAATATTTTTATAACCTTGGGATAGCAAAGGGTTTTTTAAACAAGATACCAAAATCATATAATTCACACATCACATAATTCATCCATTTAAAGTGTATAATTCAATGCTTTTCTGCATATTTATATTACATTACTAATTTCTTGAATTGTGACAAATGTACATAACATAAAATTCACCATTTTAACTATTTTTAAGCTTACAATTCAGTAACATTAAATATATTCACAGCCCGGGTGGTGGTTCTCGCCTGTTATTCCAGCACTTTGGAAGGCCAACGCAGGTGGATCGCTTAAGGCCAGGAGTTTAAGACCAGCCTGGCCAACATGGCGAAACCCCATTTCTACTAAAACTACAAAAATTAGCCTGGTGTGGTGGCAGGTGCCTGTAATCCCAGCCACTTGGGAGGCTGAGGCAGAAGAATCGCTTGAACCTGGGAGGCGGAGGTTACAGTGACCCGAGATAGCAACACTGCACTCCAGCCTGGGCAACAGAAGGAGACTCTATCTCACAAAAATAATAATTAAATATATATATAATGTATATATAAATAATATATATATATTCACAATGTTATGCAACTATCACCACTATCTATTTCCGAAAGTTTGTCATCACTCCAAAAAGAAATTTTTTTTTTTTTGAGACGGAGTCTCGCTCTGTCGCCCTGGCTGGAGTGCAATGGCACAATCTCCACTCACTGCAACCTCCACTTCCTGGGTTCAATCGATTTTCATGCCTCAGCCTCCCAAGTAGCTGCACCAAGATTACAGGCCTGCACCGCCATGCCCAGCTGATTTTTGTATTTTTAGTAGAGATGGGGTTTCGCCATGTTGGCCAGGCTGGTCTTGAACTCCTGACGTCAGGTGATCTACCCACCTCGGCCTCCCAAAGTGCTGGGATTCAAAAATAAATTTTTAACCATTGAGCAATAACCACATTCCAGCCTTCCTCAGTCCCTGATCACTTCTAATCTACTTTCGGTCATATTAATTTGACTCTTCTAGATAGTTCATAAGTGGAAGCATACAATATTTTTCCTTTTGTGTCTGGCTTATTTTACTTAACATAATGTTTTCAAGTTTCATCCATGTTGTAACATGTATCATGTTGAGTTTGGGGGAGCTCTTTGTATATTTTGAATGTAAGTCCTTTAGCAGATACATAGTTTTTAAATAATTGTTTCCCAGTCTGTGGCTTGCCTTTTAAATTTTTTAACAGGGTCTTTCTCAGAGCAGGAGTTTTTAACTTCAATAAAGGCCAACTTGCTGGGTGCAGTGGCTCATGCATGTAATACCAGCACTTTAAGAGGCTGAGGCAGGAGAATCCCTTGAGGTCAGGAGTTTGAGACCAGCCTGGCCAAAATAGTCATATTTTTTGGTCTCTAAAAAAAATAGAAAGACGTAGCCAGTTGTGGTGGCACATGCCTGTAGTCTCAACTACTCACAAGGCAGAGATGGGAAGATTACTTGAGACCAGGAGTTCGAGGCTGCAGTGAGCCATGATCGCCCCACTGCAGTCCAGCCGGGGGGACACAGTGAGACTCTGACTCAAAAATACATACATGCATACATACATACATATGTCTAACTTGAGGACTTCTATTTTGTCTTTCATGGATCATACTTTGGTGTTGTGTATAAAGGTACAACCTAGATATTCTATGTTATTTTCTGGAAGTTTTATAGTTTTGTGTTTTTGTGTTTTACATTTACTTCTGTGATCAATGGATTTCCCCCTCCTTTTTTTGAGATGGGGGTCTCACTATATTGCCCAGTCTGGTCTCAAATTCCTGGAGTCAAACCATCTTCCCACCTCAGTCTTTTGAGTAGCTGGGAGTACAAGCAAGCACCACTGCACCCAGTGGGCTGATTCATCTTGAGTTAATTTTTGTGAACAGTATAAGGTCTGTGTTTAGATTCATTGTTTTACATGTGGATGTCTAGTTATTTCAGCAACATTTGCTGAAAAGACTATTTTTTCTCTATTAAGTTGTCTCTGCTCCTTTGTCAAGAATCAGCTAACTATATTTGTGTGGGTCTATTTCTGGACATTCTATACTGTTCCATTGATCTATTTGTCTATTGTTTCAAGAATACTACAGTGTCTTTATTACTGTAGCTTTATAGTAAGTCTTAAAGTTGGGTAAGTCCTCTGACTTTGTTCTTCTTCAGTATTGCATTGGCATTTCTAAGCCATTTACCTTTCCATACAAACTTTGGAATCAATTTGTCAATATCCACAAAGTAACTTGTGATTTTGACTGGGATTGCATTGAATCAATAGATCAAATTGTGAAGAAGTGACATCCTAGCAATATTGAGCCTTCCTATCTGTGAACATGGAATACCTCCCCATTTATTCATATCTTCTTTTATTTCTCTCATCAGTTTTGTTGTTTTCTTCACATAGATATTGTATGTATACCTAAGTATTTATTTGTTTCTGTCTGTCTCCTTTTTTCTTTTTTGGTGCTAATGTAAGTGACATTGTGCTTTTAATTTCAAATTCCAATTACAGGAAAGCAGTAGTTTTTTCTGTAATAATCTTGTATCCTACAATCTTGTTATAATCATTTCTTTGTTCCAGAGTTTGGATTTTTTTGTTTTAGGAGGGTTTTGAAGTTTTTTGGACAATTCTTTGGGATTTTCTACATAGATAATCATGTTATCTATGAATAAAGACAGTTTTATTTCTTCCTTCTCAATCCGTATATCCCTTTTCCCCCTTATTGTCTTATTGCATCTGCTAGGACTTCCAATACAATGTTGAATAGAGGGTGGCAGGGGATACCCTTACCTTGTTTCCAATCTTGGGGGAAAAGCATCTAGCTTCTCACCATTAAATATAATGTTGACTGTAGAGTTTTTCATAGATGTTCTTTATCAAATTGAGGAAGTACCCCTCTGTTCTCAGTTTGCTGAGGACTTTTTAGTATGAATGGATGTTGAACTATGTCAAAAGTTTTTTCTGCATCTATTGATATAATCATATGACTTTTTTCCTCTTTAGCCTGTTGATGTGATAGATTATATTAATTAATTTTTTTGAATGTTGAACCAGCCTTGTTTACCTGGAATTAATCCTACTTGGTTGTGGTGTATAATTCTTTTTATAAAATGTTGGATTCAATTTTTTAATATTTTGTTGAGGACTTTTACATGTGTATTCATGAGAGATATTGGCCTATAATTTTCTTTTCTTGTAATATTTTTGTCTAGTTTTGATATTGGAGCAAAACTGGCATTATAGAATTAGTTAAGAAGTGTTTCCTCTGCTTCTGTTTTCTGAAAGAGGTTGTGGAGAATTAGTATCATTCTTCCTTAAATGTTTGGTAGAATTCACCAGCTAAACCATCTGAGTTATGATAAATGAAACAGAGACTAGAAAAACAATCAAGGAAGTCAACAAATCCAAAAGTGTATTCTTTGAAAAGATCGACAAAATTGACAAACCTTTACCTAGTCTGACCAAGAAAAAAAAGAGAAGATTCAAATTCTAAAATCAGAAATAAAAAAGGGGATATTACTACTGATCTTAGAGAAATAAAAAGAATAATAAAGAATGTTATGAACAACTGTGTGACAACAAATTAGATAACTTAAATAAAGTGAATGAATTCCTAGAAAGACATGAACTAACAAAACTGACTCAAGAAGAAATACACAATCTGAATAGACATAGGACAAGCAAACACTGAATTTGTCATTTTTAAACCTCCAACAAAGAAAAGCCAAGACCTAGATAGCTTCATTGGTGATTTATACCAAACATTTAAAGAAAAACTAATATTAATCTTTTGCAAACACTTCCAAAAAAATAGAACACTTTCTAACTCATTTTATAGTGCCAGTATTACCTTAGTACCAAAACCAAAGACATAACAAGAAAAAAAAACTACAGACTAATATTTCTTATGAATGTAGACACAAAAATTCTCAACAAAATACTAGCAAGCTAAACCTTGCAACATGTAGAAAGATTATATACCATGACCAACTGGGATTTATCCCAGGAATTAATGGTAAATTTAACACCTGAAAATCAATGTATTACAATATATTAACAGAATAAAGGGAAAAACAACCCACAGGACCCTCTCAACAGACACAGAAAAAGTCTTTGATGAAATCCAGCACCCTTTTGTTATAAGAACATTCAACAAAGTGGGAATAAACAGGAACTCCCTCAAACTAGCAAGGGATGTTTACCAGTGAACACCATCCAGAAAGTTAAAAACACACACCACACACACACACACACAATGGGAGAAAACATTTGCAAATCGCATATCTAATAAGGCACTTGTGTCTAGAACATATAAAGAACTTTTATAAATCAATAGCAATAAAACAAATAGTCCAACTGAAAAATAAAGTAGGCAAAGGATTTGAATAGACATTTCTCCAAAGAAGATATAAAATGGCAAGTAAGCACATGAAAAAATGTTCAACATCATTAGTCATTAGGGAAATCATTAAAATCACAATGAGATACCACTGCATATTAACTAGGATGGCTATAATTTTAAAAAGACATTAACGAGTGTTAGCAAGGATGTGGAGAAATTGGAATTTTCACCCATTGCTGGTTAGAATGTAAAATGGTGCAGATACTTTGGAAAACAGTTTGGTGGTCCCTCAATATGCTTCATATAAAGTTACCATATGACACAGTAATTGCACTCCTAGATATATACCCAAGAGAAATAAAAATATATCTGTACAAAAATTTGTATATGAGTGTGCATAGCAACATTATTCATAACAGCAAAACTGTGGAAGCAGTCTAAATGTCCATCCACTGATGAACAGATAAACAAAATGTGGTCTATCCATGCAATGAATTCTATTTGGCCATAAAAAAGAATAAAGTACTAATGTGTATTACAACATGGATGAACCCTAAAAATATTATAATTAGGGAAAGAAGCCAGTCATAAAAGACAACATGTTGTATGATTCCATTTACGTGAAATATCCAGAATAAGCAAATCTAGAGAAGACAAAAAATAAATTTGTGATTGCCAGAGTCTGGGTGTGTAGGGGGAATGAGGAATGAGTGCTAACATGTCTGTGGTTTCTTCTGAAGTTTTGAAAACGTTCTAAAGTTATAATAGATTGGGAGATAGTTACACAACTCTGTGAATATACTAAAAACCATTGAACTGTGCATTTTAAAAAGGTGAATTTATGATATGTGAAATATGTCTTAACAAAACTGTATTTAGAGAGAGAGAAAGAGAGAGAATGGTTTAATAAAGCTCCAACACTCAGCTTCAACCATTATCAACTCATGGCCAATCATTTCATCTATACCCCACCCCACCACTCTACCCCGTCTCCCACACTCGATAATTTTTAAAGTAAATTCCTGATATTATTTCTTCTGTAAATAATCAGTTTATCGCTCCAAAAAGTAAGGACTCTTCAAAAAAATAATCATGATACTGTTGTCACATCAAAAAATTTTTTAAAATAACACCTTAGTCCAGGCATGGTGGCTCATGCCCGTAATCCCAACACTTCGAGAAGCCAAGGCAGGCAGATCACTTGAGGTCAGGTGTTCGTGACCAGCCTAGCCAACATGGTGAAACCCTGTCTCTACTAAAAAAAAAAAAAAAAAAAAAAAAATACGAAAATTAGCCGGGCTTGGTGGCACACGCCTGTAGTCCCAGCTACTTGGGAGGCTTAGACATGAGAATTGCTTGAACCCGGGAGGCAGAGGTTGCAGTGAGCCGAGATCACGCCATTGCACTCCAGCCTGGGTAACAGAGTAAGACTCTGTCTCAAAACCAACAACAACAACAACAACAACAAAAACTGTAATGCCAGCACTTTGGGAGGCTGAGGCAGGCGGATCACTTGAGGTCAGGAGTTTGAGACTAGCCTGACCAACATGGAGAAACCCCATCTCTACTAAAAATACAAAATTAGCCAGGCGTGGTGGCGCATGCCTGTAATCCCAGCTACCTGGGAGGCTAAGGCAGGAGAATCGCTTGAACCCAGGGGGTGGAGGCTGTGGTGAGCCGAGATCACGCCATTGCACTCCAGCCTGGGCAACAAGAGCAAATCTCTGTCTCAAAATAATAATAATAATTTTAGAAAACAGACCTTAATATAATCAAATATTCTGTGTTCACATTTTCCCTAATTGTCTCATTAATGTGAATTTTTAACAGCTGCTTTCTCAAATTAAGATCACACATTACATTTTGTTATTTGTCTCTTGAATTTCTGTGTATCTATAAGCTTTCTCTCCTTTTATTTTTCTTGCAATTTATTTATTGAAGAATCAGTTGTTTGTCATGTAGAGCTTCCTATATTTTGGATTTTGCTGATTGCATCACTGTGGTATCATTTAACATGATCATGATTACATAGTAATTAGCTTTTAGATGTTTGCTGTCAATTATACTACACATACGATTTAATTCATAATTCATCAACATAGTCACTGCTCCTTTAGTCTTTATCATCCACCATATCCTTTGAAGCATCTTTGACACAAATTATCTCAGTTAGTCTTTCTAATAACCCCATGTGGTAAGTATTATTATCCTCAGTTTAAGAGATGAAGAAGGCCGGGCCCGGTGGCTCACGCCTGTGATCCCAGCACTTTGGGAGGCCGAGGCAGGTGGATCACAAGGTCAGGAGATCGACACCATCCTGGTCAACATGGTGAAACCCCGTCTCTACTAAAATACAAAGAATTAGGCGGGTGTAGTGGCAGCACCTGTAGTCCCAGCTACTCAGGAGGCTGAGGCAGGGGAATCGCTTGAACCCAGAGGTTGCAGTGAGCCAAGATCGCACCACTGCACTCCAGCCTGGTGACAGAACAAGACTCCGTCTCAAAAAAAAAAAAAAAAAAAAAAAAAAAGATGAAGAAAATGAGGCTTAAGGGAGGTTACAGAAACTTGGCCATAGTCATTGTGCCAGTAAATATCTGGGTTCAAACTCTCTGATGTTAAAACCCATGTTGTTATCTGTTATATGATAATATCCCATCACATTGCCTGTGGTTTGTGGTGGTTGTTTTTAATCAACTCTAGGAAGCAGTCTTTCAGTCCATCCAAAGAATGTACTTTCACATTTCATCTTTAACACTTAGGATGCTTTCAGCTTCAAGTAACAGAAAACTCCATCTCAAATTGACTCAACAATAAGGTTATTTATTATCTCATATAACAAGAAATCCAGAAGAAGGGCAGCACTGGGGCTGGTTGATGACTGACTCAACAACAATATGGCCGACCCAGATTCATCGTATCTCTTTACAATGGCCAGAACTGGGTCACATGTCCACTCCTAAACTCTTACAGGCCAGTTAAGAGGATTCTATTCCTCTTGTCTATGATAGATTTGAGAGTGTACCTCTCAGAGGCTAATAGGGTCACCTTTCCTAATGTGTAAACACCCATATAGGCTTCTATAAAGAAGAAGAGGGTGGACTGAATGTTTAATAGACAACCAACAGTGTCTACTACCTGTTCCTAATGAGGTGTGCTACATATTCCACTGTGAATAATTAAAATACTTCATTATAACTGCCACGTTGAACTTTTTTCCTTTCTGCCATTTGACAATTACAGTCAATATATCAGCTTCCTCATTTACAGGAAGAAATGGCTACACAAAATGATATGTAAGGTCCCTTCCAGCTCCAGGAGTTCTGTTTCAATTTTACATTTTCATCTTCTAAAAAGCAAGTAGAAAAGTTAAACTTACAAGATATGGTCCAGAAATGATCATGGGTTTCAACTGATAAGTCATAGGCATATTGACATCCTTTCTTCCTTAAGATAAGACATAGGCAATAGATTTAAAGAGCTAAACAGACTGGAACTGGTAATATCTTTCCATTAAGTTTTAACATTAGGTTAAATGTTCTACTTCCCTCACTCATCCTTTAACACCTTCCAGCTTCCAACACTCATCATACAGACAGAGACTGATCAGAAGTTTCTTTTCACAACTCACTTTATTTTGGTGTCAGCATCCTCCTGGAGCATGGCTCTGGGGCTGTAGGATAGCTCTTGTATCTCTGCTTCGACTGCCGAACATGACTTTAACTTAAATCATTCCCCTGTCTGCTTCCTTTCATGGCTAGTTTCTGAAGGAATACTCTATTCGTTTTATCACATGCAGCCATTTTCCTCGTGCAGAACCACGGGAAACCAAAGAGAAATACTGTACACTACTGAGCACCTTTGCTACTCTTTCTTCCAATATGAATGAAATTGCTTTATTATTTTCAGCATATGCCTACTATCAGCTTTCTCTGGGAAAACTGCTGGCTCGATCCGTAAGCAGCCCTGTTCTTATTTAACAGAAGGCTATGACTGTAACAAATGTACAACATAAAAAAGTCAAAGGCATCCTGTCGGTTACACAGGACATTCGGAATAACAAATGTACAGGAAAACTTGGGAACATGACTTAAAGTAATTTGGTCACACCCCCATTTCATTTAACTCTTTCTGGCTCAGATTTGTCATTCTGACAGGAGGCCCAAGATATAGTCCATTACCACAATTGATCATAGAAACAACACTGGTCTCTCAGTCAGCAGCCACTGCGTGCCAGTGTTCATCATGCTAGTTCCCAGAGTTTTAGAGGATTAACTTTACTTTCTGGTTCAACCCATCTGCTGGGGAAGGTATGGCCCTATTTTGCAATGTGCAAAAGGGAGACAGTGCTGGGGGTGCCCACAGTGGAAGGAGAGAAGACAGGCTTACTGAACACCCCTATGACCTTGAATAAGTCACATCACCTCTCTGTGCCTCTTATTAACTATCATTGGGGAAAAATACCTTCACTCTGCCTGTCTCACAAGGGTTCTTGTAAAAATCAAATGAGAACACAAATAGGAAAGTATTTTCATAAATGCAAACCAGTGTTATCATTTTCAGATGTGGAATTTCCTCTGCAGCACGTTTTTTTGGCCACACGATTACTGCACACCTCGTGCCAGACAGACTATAAAGCTGTTTCACCTCTTTTCACATTTTGCCTAAAATTTCATATAGAGATTACACCAGCCATGCTGCATCCATCCCTTTGGTTCATTTTCCTCCACTACATCTGTGAATGCAAATCCCACCATCATGTGAAACACTGCATAGCAGCAACTTGCAAAACTCAACGAACCTTAGACTGCCAAGATAAGTCCCATAAGCAAAGGTTATGCTCAAAATATGCTGCAAAAGTTCAAGAAGGAGAGAGATATCACATCTAATTAGAAAAGGCCTCTGGAAGTTAAATCTAGATGCCATGTATTTTCATAATGTTGGTCTTTGTCCTATGTCACCCCACTCTGCTGTCATGCTTCAGAAACTTGACTTTATTTTCTCTATCTTTGGAGCTCTCAAGAACCTGGCAGACAGAACATCTCAGGGTATATTCAGGGATGAAGTGAACGGGCTCAACGACTAACAAACCCAGTGGATTTTAACATTTACCCAGCCCAACGAGGTCCAACTATCTTTAGGTTAGCACGACATATAGGACTTTCCCGGCCCAAGAACTCCCTCGGAAACCCCAAGGAAGGAACTTTCACTGAGTATGCACTAAGTGCCAGATCCTAAGTGCTATGGGTCGCTTAATCCTCACAACACTTTTTCAAGCTTGAAGCCTGTTTTACAGATGAGGACGCGAAGGCTCAGACAGGCTAAGTTGTCCGGTCTCACCTCAGTGAAGCCGCCACTGCGCTTGGGCTCTCCAGCCCCTCACGCCATCACCCTAGAGCCTTGCTAACTTCCACCTCGCTTACCTCCTTCCCTCCCTAGGCTGCCAACCCAACTACTCTCTCCTCCCACGCCCACGCCCAGCCAGGAAAACCTGGGGCGGGCGGGGTCTGTACCTGAGACCGCTCTCAACGCGGCTTCCGTGTCAGGATGCTCGCTCACAGGAATGCTCATCACAGGCTTGAAAGCCTTTGCCATCCACGCTCTCCGGAGCCCCGAGCGTCTCCAAAGAGCCTGCCCAGGCTTCTCCCCGACCCAGGTGCTTCCTCCCCTGCAGAGCTGTGGCGGGGTTCAGACCCCGATTCCGGGAGAGGACACCTGTCGGGGAAGGGCGGGGCTGGGGGACTGCGGGGCCGCGGCGAGGCTCAGCCGGGAACTACGCTTCCCAGCCTGCTCCGCTGCAGCCGCGCGCCCCGGCGCCGCGCCCGGCCGGGAGCCGCCTGTTGATCGCCGCGCTCGCCCCGGCCACGGCGCCGCCCCTGTTCTCCCGGCCCCGCTCCACCGGGGCTGACGGACTGACGGCCAGCACAGCCGGCTCCGGGATGAGCGCACGGACGGGTGAGCGCCCCGGGGGGCGGGTGGGGCCTGTTCTGGACAGCCGGTGTCTGCAGCCCCCGGGCCCGCAGCGCGGTGGCCGCCGTGCCCTCCCTGCCCGCGGGAGGATGCTCCGCGACATGGGCGGTCGGCCGGGCGGGCGTGCAGAGCCGGGCCGCCTCTCGCCTCTCGCCTCCCGGCCCGGTCGGCTGCGCCGGGAGACCAGGCGCTGCGCCCGGGCGGGAGGCGCCCGCCGGGGTGTGAGTCCCGCGCCCCGCACTGCGGTGCCGCAGCCTCTGCAGCCCGCTGGGCCGCAGCGGGGAGGGCGCGGTCTCCTGTCCTCCCGGGCTGCGGGGCTGTGTTCTTCCACTCCGGGCTTTGTTCCCCCACTTTTCCCCTTCCTGTGCATGTTTGGTGAGCTCCTGGAGCGGTATGCATCTCCCTGCCTCGTTCAGCAGGCGATGGGGAGGGGTGGACTGGCCGGCGTCTTTCCTGAGATCGCTGGAGCTGTCACTCGCAGGGCGTTTCAGCCTCCCAGTAAGCGGCCTCGTGCGGATCCTCGAGAACCTTATTATTATTGTTATTACTTTTCTGGTTAAAGTAATTGTAGTATGTGCTCCCTTGAGGCTTCCTAAATGTTCCCTGTTGACCTGCGGAAATGAAGGTGGATTTTTAAAACAGTAATAAAAGGCTTCTAATGGGAATTTTTAGAGTATTCAGAGGTAGGAAGGTGATGCCGTCACAATGCAAATTAGCAGTGAAGGAGGCCGTGCTTACTGCAGCTTCGTCTGTGCCCATTACATATCTGAATCACGAGGCATTTAGGACGGGAATGAAAAGAAGATCGGGGGAGGTGTTTTAAAAACCAGGTTCTCCTCTTAGCTTGACCATTCAGGAGCTGAGGGACCTGGGCAAGTCCCTCCACCTCTCTGGGCCTCTGCATGTAAAGGGGCGTTTGGGCTAAATGATTTGTAAACCTCTGTTCTTCCAAGATTCTCCCCTCTCAGGGAACTGAAAAGATGAGAGTGTTTCTGTTTAACAGCACTACAAAAAGCCTAATTGTGACAACAAGCGCCTCTACCCTAGTGAGGAGGAAAGATTTTTCAGAGCTTCAGCAATCTGATTTTTTTTTAAAGATAAAACTGATTTTCTCGATCGACTCTCTTCAGTCTAACCCAATAAATACGCATTGCAATCATTTTAATTTTTGTAAGGTACTGTACATTGGTGGGCAACAAAATGATGGGGTTTGTTTTTGTCTTTAATTTGCTGAAGGTGAAGTGATGGGATCAGCAGATAAAGGATTAGTGGCTCCCTAGGGCTGGGCACGAGTGGTCAAATGTGGTCAGCATGGAGGTCGGGGAGGAAGCCCCAGCAAGAAGTAACCAGAATGTGTATACACAGAAAAGAGAAGTTGCGTACTGATGGATCATTGTTTGAAAAAGAAATATGCAATAGAAGGAATGAGAGAATCAGGAACTCGGCGCTCTGCAAACCTAACATAACAGTTGAATAAGGCAAGGACTTACCAACTGGTCCAAAACCTTTGAGTGAAAGGTGGTTGGGGAATAGGATTTTCATATTATTTCAAAGTATCTCACCACAGTTTACTCTGGGAAAATTTGTCCTTACAATGGAGAAATTAGGAGGTCACCACTGGAACCAAATGACCAAGTTTAGCAGCATCTACTGCGAGTCTCCCGTTGTGAAGCAATAAGGAGGCATAATTTCACCTCTGTAGTGTTCCTGCAAAAAGACTTGGCGATGGGGCAGAGCAAATGGGAGCAACTATTGTAGGTTAAAATACTCAAGTGATACAATAGTGAATTGGGATGTGTGAACTTTGAATCCTAGATGCAAAAAAAAAAGCTATAAAAGACAATTTGGAGATAGTTGGGGATGTTTGAATATGGATTGCATGTTAGATGATATTATGGAATTGGTGTTAATTTTCTTAGGTGCAATAATAGTTCATTCTTGTGGTTACCTAGACCAGACAATCCTTATTCTTTGGAGATGTGGATATTGGAGGTGAAGTGTCATGACATCTGCAACTTTCAGCTGTGTCAGAAAAAAAAAAAAAAGGATAGGGGTAGCAGAACAAGTTCAGGAACGTAGCAAATGTGGCAGAATGATGACGGTTGGTGAATCAAGAAGAAAACAAATGTTTATTGTACTATTCTTTTAACTTTTCTATAGATTTGAACTTTAAGAAATGGGGAAGTCAATAAAATAAATAAGCGAATAAAGAGAAAGTGTTGTAGAAGACGGGGGTGGTTCGTGACAAACAGCTGCAGTGAATCTGTGGGGAATTTCTTGGCTTCACCTTCCCAAAATTGAAATCACCTATTGGAGGTGTGAGTGGGGGGGACGGGGGGTTGGTGTTCCCATTTTTGGTTTATCTTGGCTACTCTCAATCATTTATGCTTAAGTACCCCATCCTCTAGCTTCAACTTCAAAGTATTAGTAATTCTCCATACCTAAGAAATTCTAGCCCTACCCAAGAACCATCCCGAAAGTGCTGTCCCTTTCCTCTCTGTGTCCGAGATCTGTGTCAGTGTGTAAGGAAGTTTGAGAACATAGGCAGTGGTTCATTTTATTTTGGGTTAGGGTAGTGTTGGGGGAAAAATGATTTAGCTTTGTGATAGGATAGAAGTTTTGGGGTTTCCTCTCATTCCCTTGTGTGTAAATCATATACAACCAAATGTTTTCCTTATAGACTTTAAGTGGTTCAAAGAGGTTCATAGAAGGCATGTGCAGAAGAGACTTCCTGTTACCAGACCACGAAAACAGAATCAACTCTTACAACACTTAATCTCTTACACGGAATCCCTTGCTGCAAAGATATTTTTGCTTTACCTGGATTATATGTGTTTATGTATACATGAAAATACTAATTTAAAGTATACATATTTACTTGCATGAATGTCTGTGTGTACTTGTGAATCTCTCAGTCAGTATTCCCCAAAATACATAGAATGTTAATGGGTTACAAGAAAAAGAAATTGCCTAGCCAGATGTGGAAAACACTAAACAAAGCTGGACAAGTTGGTTTATTCTTGACTTTTCAGAGCCTTTCATGGGTTAATGATCATTGTATATGGGGATGTAAATGGGGTGGGAATGTCCATAGGATGTGATATGTAATGTTTCCCAAACTGTGTGCAAAAATAAAAAATGAAAAATATCTTGAGGGGCTATCGTTACATGGAACCACCTTTGAGAAACTGCCTTTAATGCATTTTTGAGTGAAAGGTCAGGACATATGATTAAATGTGTAAGTTGTAAGTATTTGTGCTTCACATTACTTACAGATTAGAATTCAAATTTCAGTTTCTGGTTTTAATGGATCATAACAGTTTGACCCCAGTCTACTTTTTCATCCTAAATTTCCTAACTTTCTTCCTATAAATTCTCCTGCTTAGTCCTTTGTTGTATACTATGAACCATTTTTATTTTCAGCACACCAAAAAGTCAATTCTACGTAACTTTAAGGCTTCGTGGTTGTGTAAAATGAGATGCGCTCTTCTGCTATGGCTCTTCCATGGACTGAAATAGCCACCTTTCCTCCCAAAGCCATTTTGAGTTCCTTGGCCTTGGTCCCATGTTTCAGCACAACCTTCCTTAAAGCTGTGATTTCTTGCTATTTCTGCTTTTATGATTTGCCATCCTGTTTTGGCATCAAGGCTGCCCCACTAATTACCTCTTTCACATGTGTCATCACTATTCCTAGGTTCCCCTGGTGAGAGCTAGGTAGGGTGGGGATGAGAAAGTCAACTCCAGGACTGTGAGTGGCAGGAGCTCACAAAATAGGGCACAAGGCCAGCCATGCCAAGCCTGGACATGAGGAGAAAGGAGACAAGCTGGGGCACAAGCCCTAAGAAAGGACCAGGAGGTCCCTCATCAGAGTGGTTAGAGGAGTGTGGAGTCCAGTGAGCTGGGCTGCTATTCAAGCGGTGTGCATGGGGACAACTGTCCTCATTGTTGATAAACAACCATTCTGACTGGGCAGTGTCCCTTCTATACCAGTTGCTAAATGTTTTGCACATCATCTAGGTAAGCACTCACAAGTCAGGGTGCATACAGCATCCATAAGTCATTACAAAACCTGGATCAAAACCTAGCTGGTATAAAATGCCAAAGAAAGAGACAAGATGAGTGAGTCAAAGACCACATAAGCAAGCAGAAGAAAGGAGGGCACATGAATCAAAGGACAAAAAGCAGGAAACCCGGTGCCAATCAGGAAGTTAGAAGAAGCCCATAAGTTCCCAAAGGCAAGAGGAAGGACATGGTTAAAAGCAACAGGCAGTTAAAACCCAGAAAGGCGCAGATCTCCAAGTGGAAGGCAAGGAGATAAATAGAGGTCAAGCAAGAGGAACTCCTCTAAAAACAGAAAAGAAGGCCAAACACAGGGACAAGACAACAGCGGGAAATAGGACCCGCCATGAGAATTAGAAACCAAGAGGCAGGCTGGGCAGACAGCAAGACTTTTTGGCTTTTTGACTGCTTCCTACCCAGGTGGAAATCTATCTCATAGCTTGGCTAGCTTACACTATGGTGGCTTTCTACACCTGGCAATGCTGACCCGCAGCTCTTACAGGTTTTGCCTCTTTATATTCAGCAGATCTTGATGGGGAAAACAGAGGGAAAGAACACCTAAAACACGAGATTATTCCACAACCAAGGACGAAAGAGAAATAGCTTTGACTGAGGGCTTGCGCTTGCTAGACACTGCGCCTAATATGTACATGGTCACCTTAAGTGTCACCTCAGCCTTCTGAGATAAGTACTGTTCTTTGCATGTTTTACTGAGGAAGGACCAGAAGTTTGGAGAGGTTGTCACTGCACACATATCTGCACCATCAGACCTTGGGTTGGTTAACTCCAAGGCCCGTGCTTTTAGTCTTCTGTGTTCTTCTAACCTTGGACAGGAGCAGTCACTAGTGGGCACCTTGTTTTTCAAGTATGATTTAATCTTTGGCAAGTTTGTGTTGTAAGATTGGGAAATACGAGCTCTGCATTCTAGTAAGATCTGTTCCTCTTTCCTCTTTCAGCTTGTTCCTTCCCATTGCCGTACCATATTTCAGACTGAGACTTCTCCTTATCCCGCCTCATTCTGTCCTTCATCCTCTGCAAGTATTTCCCAGAATATATAGAAGTCTTTTAGTTGTTTAAAATAAAACAAACTTAATTGGCCCATCTTCAAATAGCTACATTACAAAACAGGCGGTTGCTGTGTTATATTTGCCCAGCAGCCAGAAATGAATTAAATATCTAAGATCAATTCATGTTTTGTTGGAGGATACATTGATATGCAGATTCTGTTCTAATTTACTAGTTTTAGAAAATGTGGATTTGGTTCTGGTGCAAATCGGTGCACTAATTGTTTAAAATTATGAAATATTGAAGACATATTAAAAAGAATAAAGAGGGCTGAGCGTGGTGGCTCACGCCTGTAATCCCAGCACTTTGGGATGCCAAGGCAGGTGGATCACCTGTGATCAGGAGCTCGAGACCAGCCTGGCCAACATGGTGAAACCCCGTCTCTACTAAAAATACAAAAATTAGCTGGGCGTGGTGGCGGGCACCTGTAGTCCCAGCTTCTCGGGAGGCTGAGGCAGGAGAATGGCGTGAACCCGGGAGGCAGAGCTTGCAGTGAACGGAGATCGCACCACTGCACTCCAGCCTGGGCGACACAGCCAGACTCCGTCTCAAAAAAAAAAAAAAAAAAAAAAAGCCATACTCCTTATTTTCCTTCCCAAGGCTTGTATATTTGGATAATAGGAAGAGTTATTTAAGGGCCCAAGTCATGCTTCCATCAGCTCAAGTCTTTAATCCTATTTTCTGTTTTCCTAACTGGCTCCTGTACTTGCCCACCAGGACTCCTGGAAGCCTTGTTAGGCATTTGCTTCACTCCAGCATGTACATTAGCATCATATTGCATGTTAAATGCTTGCCATGGGACAGACACACCACTGGAGGGGAGGCTGTAGCAGTGCTTGCTAACTTCCCACGGCAGCATTGCTAACAGGACGGAAGACAAATGGGAGCCCTTGGGCAGCCTTGGTGGGGGCAAAAGCAGACCAGCCATGAGCTGGAAAAGCTTTGATTTGACTTTAAAAGCTATGAGAATACTGCATTCTTCTCCACAGTATTTCTATATTTGCTTTTTAAAAATACAGCCTGGGCAATGTAGCGAGACCCTGTCTCTACAAAAAATTTAAAAACTAGCTGAGTATAGTGGGACATACCTGTAGTCTCAGCTGGGGTCAAAGGAGGTGGGGGGAATACTGAGGCAAGAGGTTCACTTAAGCTCAGGAGTACAAGGCTGCAGTGAGCTATGATCACATCATTGCACTCCAGCCTGGGGAACAGAGTGAGACCCTATTTCTAATAATAATAATAATAATAATAATAACTAGCTTTTCCCCAAATCTTCAGATCAAAGTTGTGCTCCAGGAGGATGCAAGTTTTTTTTTTCTCCTCTGACTTTGAGATCCCCTGGTACATTGACACAACATAGGCAATTTGTTTTAACAGCTACTGTTACATAGTATGAACATGTTATTTTAATTAATTAATGTATTTTCCTACTGAAGTATGACATGGCACTTATTTTCTGGGAGTTTGTAGTGTAGCTGGAGAGAGAACCATACATGCAACATACATGAAAAGATAGCAAGATATGTCAAATTGGTGATGTAGGCATACAAATTTAGAGGAAGGGGCAACTTCTGTGGGCTTAGATGATCTCAGAAAGCTCCATCACAGGGAGAGGAAGCAGTGGATAGAGTGGAATGAGCTCTGGACCTGCGGGTTCATTTGAACTCATTTCTTTCACATGACATTTGTTACACAATATTTATTGGATACCTACTTCAGATCAAGAACTGTGCTGGGAGTCAGGATTTTATCAGTGAATAAAACTCATACAGTCCCCCTCCCTCACAGAGATTAGCAAGGAAAATAGAGATAAAGCAAGTAGTTGTAATAAAGCCAAGAACAGATGTGATTAAAGGGGTAGCATGGAGATGGGGAGTGACCCAGACCTTGTCTCCAGGTCCAAACAAGGCTTCCCTGAAGAAGTGAAGCTTGCATGAGACCAGGGGATGAGTAGGATAGCAGTCAGCCAGAGGGGAGTGGGGTGAGAGTGTTCTGAGCAGAGAGAACAACATAAGGCATGATCCAGGCATTGGAATTGGGCCAGGAGGCTGGAGCCAGGAGGAGATGGGGAGTGCAGCACAGGATGAGGCTGACGAAGATGACAGAAGACAGACTGAATTTGAACCTTATCCTCAAGGCAGCAGAAGCCACTGGAGGATTTTAAGTAACTAGAGAAGAGTTGTTTAACTCTGTGCTCACTTTGGCCATTTGTATGGCGAATGGATCAGGAAGGGATAGGGTTGAATGTGGACAATGCAGATGAGTGAAGTGGGTGGATTCTCAACACGTTTAGGTAAGGACAGGATTTGGTGATTGATGGCTGGAAAAGAGACGAGAGAGAGAAGATGTTAAGGATGGCTCCCTGGTTTTTCGGCCAATTTCCTGAAATGGGAGATTCTGGAGGAGGAAAGATGATGAGAGCACTTCTGACATATTTGAGGTGTCTGAGGCAGCCAAGGAGAGATGTGAATTAGGCAGATGGAAATATAGGGGCCTAACCCTCAGGAAAAAAGTCTAGGATGAAGATACAGATTTTGGAATCTCCTGGATATATATTATAATTAAAATTTTGGAGGCAGATGAGTTCCTCCAGAGAGAATATGTAGTATGGAAATAGAAGAATTTATAAGATGAGACCTTGAAGAATGCCAGTATTTAAGGTGGAGGAAGAAGAATTGCTAAAAGAGACCAAAAAGAAATGGTCAGAGAAATAGAAGAAAAACCATCTATGTTGCTGGATTGAGCAATCTTTAAGGACTCTTTCAGCTCTGACATTCTGTGGTCCTGCAGAACTGGGATCTGAGCCAGGTCTCAAGAGCAGAGCGCATAGATAGGCCATGAGAATAGAGAACAGCATTCCAAGTAATATTAATGTATCAGCCAGCATCCCAACAAGAAACGGGATACACTCGAGTAACTTGAGAAAAATTTAATAAAGAGGCTATTTACAAAGATGGGGGGAGGATTTAGGGAATCCAACAAGGCAGAACTCTGGCACCAGCTGCACAAGGAACCCTTACCACCCAAGGCCTGAGGCCAGCCAGGGGCAGGCAGCTGTATGGAGAGGGCTGCCTCTTGGGAGATGTGACCTTCTGGACCCAATCTCCCCCTCCCCTGCTCTCCAGTTTCCTGCTAGTGCCCCCTGTGGGCCAAACAGAAGCCAGACAGAAAGGGAACCCATTGATACAGTCTAAATAGATCATCTTCCTGGAGCACAGAGCAGCAGGGGAGTGGATGTGGAGGTGCAAACAGAAGACAGCCAGAACAATCATCCTGGAAAATGGAAGTATTTGGGTAAGAGGGTGTGTTCATTCCCTATTGCTGCTGTAACAAATTAGCATAAATCCAGTGGCTTAAAACAATACAAACTTATTCTTACTTTTGTGGAAGTTAGAAGTCTGAAACACATGTCACTGGGCTAAAATCAAGGTGTCACAGGACTGTATTCCTTTCTGAAGGCCCTAGGGGAGAATCCATGTCCTTGCCCTTCCCAGCCTCCAGAGGCTGCCCACATCCCTTGGCTCATGGCCCCTTCCACCATCTTCAAAGCAAAAAAATTGCATGACACTGACTCTTCTGCCTTCCTCTTCCATCTTTTAAGAGTCCTTTGGATTACATTGGCACACCCAGATCATCCAAAATGGTCTTTCTATTTTTAAATCCTTAATCTGGGCTGGGCGTGGTGGCTCACGCCTATAATCTCAGCACTTTGGGAGGCCGAAGTGAGTGGATCACTTGAGATCAGGTGCTCAAGACCAGCCTGGGCAACATGGTGAAACCCCATCTCTACTAAAAATACAAAAAATTAGCTGGGTATGGTGGTGCATGCCTGTAATCGCAGCTACTCTGGAGGCTGAGGCAGGAGAATTGCTTGAACCCGGGAGGTAGAGGTTGCAGTGAGCCGAGGTCGTGCCATTGCACTCCAGCCTGGGCAACAACAGCAAAACTCTGTCTCAAAAAAAGAAAAAAAAATCCTTAATCCTTAATCTAATCACAACTCATTTGTTTTGCCATGTAAAGTAACATATAGATGTGAGGAATAGGAGGAGGACGTATTTAGGTGGCCATGATTCTGCCTACCACAGAGAGCAAATAAGCCATTTTAGCCGAAGTGGGCTCCCCAGGAAAGTAACGAGAGAGAAAACAGGAAGTGCAGGTTAAAGCCAAATCATGGGAGCTTTGGAGCTAGATTGTCTGGATTTCATTCTGTGGACAAGAGGGAGCCATTGTAAGTTCTTAACCAGGGAAGTGGCTTGTTAGCAGTGTTGAGAAAAATGATCCAATTATAGTGTTCTGGGTAGCTTACAGGGAAAAACAGAAATCTTTCAAGATGCAATCAGAGTAGTGCAGGTATGAAGGAACAAAAGGCTGAAACAAGAGTGAAAAGAAGGGGTGGTGTGAAAAATGTTGTGCAATAAGGACCTGCAGGAGGTGCTGACCGGCTGGACTCAGAAAAAAAAGTGGGAGAGTCTGAAGCTGGTCTGAGTGTTGGGAGTGTCTGACTGGTAGATTAATCTAGACGGCAACTCTGTTTAGAGAAAAATTGGGAGTTTAGGTTTAGTTAGAGAATCCAGCAATAGAAATCCAAATAGAGGCTGGGCACTGTGGCTCATGCCTGTAATTCCAGCACTTTGGGAGGCTGAGGCAGGAGGATTGCTTGAGCCCAGGAATTCAAGACCAGCCTGGGCAATATAGTAAGACCTCATCTCTGCAAAAAAGAAAAAAAAATTTAATTAGCTGGGCATGGTGATACACACCTGTAGACCCAGCTACTCGAGGGACTGAAGCAGGAAGATCATTTGAGCCCAGGAATTGGAGGCTGCAGTTAGCTATGATCAAGCCAGCCTGGGCAACAGAATGAGACCCTGTCTTTAAAAAAAAAAAAAAATTCAAATAGAATCTTATAAACTCTAAGATACCATTGATTGTAAAACTCTCCAGTATTTTATGTATCACTAAGAAAAAAAGGCTGGCAATCAAAATATAACATGTTTTCTTAAAAATACAAATTTTTGGCCGGGCACGGTGGCTCATGCCTGTAATCCCAGCACTTTGGGAGGCCGAAACAGGCAGATCACGAGGTCAGGAGATCGAGACCATCCTGGCTAACACTGTGAAACCCTGTCTCTACTAAAAATACAAAAAAAATTATCCGGGCGTGGTGGCGGGCACCTGTAGTCCCAGCTACTCAGGAGGCTGAGGCAGGAGAATGGCATGAACCCGGGAGGTGGAGCTTGCAGTGAGCCGAGATTGCGCCACTGCACTCCAGCCTGGGTGTGAGTGTGAGACTCTGCCTCAAAAAAAAAAAAAAATACAAATTTTTGGCTGGGCACAGTGGCTCATACCTGTAATTCCAGCACTGTGGTAGGCCAGGCTGGGAGGATTGTTTGAAGACTGGAGTTGGAGACCAGCCTGGACAACATAGTGAGATCCTGTATCTTCAAAAAATAAAAAAAAAATAGCCCGGCATGGTGGTGCACACCTGTAGTCCTAGCTACTTAGGAGACTGATGTGGGAGAATCGCTTGAGCCCAAGAGGTCAAGGCTGCAGTGAGTTGTACTGACATACAACTGAACTCAAGCCTGGCAACAGACTGAGACCGTGTCTCAAAAAATAATAATAATTTTTACTTTATTGAAAGAGCTGTTTTCGACTTCCACATAGGTTTTTTGAAATCTTTTTTACTGAAGTGTAAATGACATACAATAAAGTGCACATATTTCAAGTGTACAGTTTGATAAGTTTTGATATATGCATGTATGTGTGAAACCATCACCACAATCAAGGTAGTAAACATATGCAACATCCCCAAAAGGTTCCCCATGCCCCTATGTCATTCCTCTCATCAGCCCCTCCCACCTCTCTCCCATGCCTAAGCAACTGTGATTTCTTTCTGTCATATAAATTAGTTTATGTGTTCTAAAATTTTAGATAAATGGAATCCTGCAGTATACATTCTTTTTGGTCTTCTTTCTCTCATTATAATTATTTTGAGGTTCATCCATGTTTTTGTGTACATCAATAGTTCATTCCCTTTTATTGCTGAGAAGTATTCCATTATGTGGATATACGACAATTTGTTTATTTTTATTTATTTATTTAGGGACAGGGTCTTATTCTGTTGCCCAGGCTGGAGTGCAGTGGTGCAATCATAGCTCACTGCATCCTCGACCTCCTGGCTGAAGCAATTCTCCCACCCCAACCTCCCGAATAACTGGGACTACAGGCATGTGCCACCATGCCCAGCTAATTTTTAAAAAAAAAAATTGTAGAAACGGGGTCTCACTGTGTTGCCCAGGCTGGTCTCAAATTCCTGGGCTCAAGAAATCCTCCTGCCTCAGCCTCCCAAAACATTGGGACTACAGGCGTGAGCCACTGCACCTGGTCACAATTTGTTTTTTATTCATTTACTATCATTCACATTGTTTTCAATTTTTGGCAATTACAAATAAATGTGCTATGAATATACATGGATTTTTAAAATCATATATCTCTCCTGTGCATACATTAAAAGGGGAAATGTAAGTGAAATGCATTCATTAGTTGATATTCTTAAAACTTCTTCACACTCAGAGTCCAACATTTTAGATCACTATTTTACTTATCCATATCTGGTTCTTTTCCACATAATAATTTCCTCTGTGCCATCGAGTGGTAATTTAAAAAATCTGTAAAAAAACAAAACTAAAACTAAAAGCCATTGAACTGGGCACTTAAACTCACTCTGTAATTATGTGGAACTGTCCTAATCTGGGCCTCTCTTCAGGAGTGCTGCTAAACATACCTGCATTGTCACCTCCCCACGATTGTCTGCTTTCTAAATTTTAAAAGAGTATTCCACAGTTGTCCCTGGGATTTCCTTCCAAGACCTTTACATCCACTCTGCTAGTTTTGAAGTTGGTGCTTTTGATATTTAGGTATATACAAGCAATGACAAGTACATTTTTACTGCTGCTGGGACAACAGTAATTGTAGGACACCATGAATTCTAAGACACATCTCAATTTCAGAATGTTAAATGTGGCAAAGTATGCATTTTAGAATCCATTAAGTAGGGTGCTTCAACCAATTCATTTGATGGATAAGGGCCTGGAAGATGCCATCCTTGTCCTGTGTGATGCAGTAAGTTAGTGGTAGCTGGCACCAGAACAAAGTGTATAGGATCCAATTGGTTTCTCTGACTTTAGTAGAATTTTTGTTTGTTTATTTACTAGAATATAGTCATTAAAGATTTAAAAAAAAAAAAGGAGGGCTGGGAGACCTCATCTCTACAAAAAAAAATTAAAAATTAGCTAGGCATCGTGGCACATGCCTGTAGTCCCGGGCTTCGTGTTGCACACTTGTAATCCCAGCTACTCCAGAGGTTGAGGTGGGAGGATCACTTGAGCCCAGGAGCTGGAGGTTGCAGTGAGCCGAGATGGTACCACTGCATTCCAGCCTGGGCAACAGAGGGAGACCCTATCTCTAAATTAATAAATAAGAAGCTGAGCTAATGGAAAAGAGCGTTGCATTGCATGTGAAAGGGGTATCGACACAGAAACCACAAACCTGAACATTGTGAGCCGTTGAATTCACAAAGGAAAGGGAACACTATTCCAATAGCCCTTAAGAGGCCCACCTGCAGCCAGTCTCGTTCCATGCCAACTCATTCTTCATTCTTATGATTTGAACTCATAAAAAAAGATTGGCGTGCTCAGATCACTCCCCTACTTTAAGAAGCTGTGGTGGCTTGCCATTCCCAACAGAATAAAGTTCAGGTCCCTTAGCAAGGCGCAGAAGGAAGGCCCTTCACAGATGTCCCACCCTCGTCTTTAGTTCTTTCCTCTCCCTTCCTCCATGAATCCCCCTCTGTAGCCATGCCGCCTGCTCTACCAGCATATCATTTACTGTCTTATCCTGTACCCCTTTGTGCTGTTCCCTTTTCCTAGAATGACACTTGCCCATTCATGTCCACCTTATGACCTCCTCCTTCAATGTTCAAACACAGCCTCTTTTTCACAGTTTCCCCTCAAACTTCCCCCACTTACTCAGTGATTATTTCCCCATGTGTTTTCAAACCTACTTTTTACATTATGTCTAATACTTACGGCATTATTGCTGTTTGTGTGAGAGTCTCACTAAGCTGTGATCTTGGGGAGAGGGGGCATTTTGATAAATATAATTTTTTTTTTGAGAGAGTCTCACTCTGTCACCCAGGCTGGAGTGCAGTGATGCCATCTCAGCACTGCAACCTCTGCCTCCCGGGTTCAAGCAATTCTCCTGCCTCAGCCTCCCGACTAGCTGGGACTACAGGCACATGCCACCACACCCAGCTAATTTTTGTATTTTTAGTAGAGATGGGGTTTCACCATATTGGTCAGGCTGGTCTCAAACTCCTGACCTCAGGTGATCCACCTGCCTTGGCCTTCCAAAGTGCTGGGATTACAGGCGTGAGCCAACGTTCCTGGCCTCCTCATGTGTTTTTAAACCTACTTTATACGTTACGTCTAATACTTATGACATTATTGCTATTTGTGTGCCTGTCTCACTAAGCTGTGATCTTCTTGGGGAAAGGTGGCATATCTTGTTTATCTTTGTATTTCTGTTTGCTAGAACTATGCCTGGCAAATAGTAGGTATATAACAAATATTTATTGGCCTGAAAGATGTGATTGGTGGTAATACCTCCTAAGGAGAAACACAGTCAGTGAAGTACATTACTGTTTCCTGAATGAGTATTATCTTTCTAAGGAAGATCTGTAGAATCCTCTGCAAGGAGAAAGGGATTGAGTAAAAATTGCATTTTGGGTGAATATTTAGAAGTGAGGTGGTATAAAAAATAAGGGTCGAGAGAAGAACGGTCTGAGGGTATAAAGAATGAATACGTAGAACAAAAAGGAAATGGGACTAGAAATAGAATGGAAAACAAAGCAAGGAGAAAAATAGAGAGAGTGATCATGTGGCCAGGATTTTAGAATCGCACTTAGTTTAATTGCAGGGGAGTTACTGGACAATGCTTTCTCACATAGACGTTCCAAACTCTCGTTCCTGAATGAATCCCATTTTGTATTCTTCACATCACTCTCTCCCTGAAAAGACACAAGTATGCTTCTTACAACTGCCTTACAATTAGTGCATTGTTCTCCCCTGTTTTTCTATGGAGAGCCAGGGAAGGCAGAGTAGTATAAGGGAAAAGCACCCACTATGCTGGGAATCAGAAGGCGGGGCTCACGCATCCCAGCTCTGTGACCTCGAGCAAGGCACTAGGCCACTTTCACCTCAGAATTGTCATCTATAAAATGGGAATGATAATATCGTCACGGGCTTCCTCACAGGATTGTTGTAAAGATCAAAATAAGTGAAATATGTGAAAACACTTTGTAAGCTGTCAGGTTGCTCTGCAAATGAAGGGAATATTACCTTTTTGTTGAATTATTCATTCAATACAGTAGGCTCCATTGGAGGCATACTTCTGTCTCCTGTTAATAAGTCCTGTTTACAGAACGGAGATTCT
This sequence comes from Homo sapiens, assembly GCF_000001405.40. Taxonomy (NCBI): domain Eukaryota; kingdom Metazoa; phylum Chordata; class Mammalia; order Primates; family Hominidae; genus Homo; species Homo sapiens. Next base: position 51,766,344 of record NC_000015.10, read on the forward strand.
TTTTTATTGTGTTTCTTTTTTATTAACAGTATTCTGAAGTCTCAGGAAACTGGACCATTTAAATGTGCATGGCCCATGAGAAAGGCTTATAAGAAGCCATGGCACTCCCCTTTCAAAAAGAGCTGGAGAAATACAAGAACATTGATGAAGATGAGCTTCTTGGCAAACTCTCAGAAGAGGAACTGAAACAGTTGGAAAATGTTCTAGATGACCTAGATCCTGAGGTTAGTGACATGGAACTGAAGCAGAGTGGTTAATGATAGTATGGATAAATGGCATGGCTTGGTCCTTAAACAATGGTAGAAATCCCTTAGCTCGGAATGCACATTTTCTTTTCTTCCTCTGATTGGTTCTGGGTCACCTGTGTTTACAAATTCATAGAGAACCTCATAGCCACTACAGTGTGATACAGCAAATGTATTTCTCAAAAACCAGCCCAATGTAAATGGGGGGAAATATTTTCCGTTGGTTGAGAAAGGACTAGTCTTGTTTAGGGGAAAAAGAAGGAAAGAGGAAAAGAGAGCAAATCTTACTGAGTTTTTTCTGAGTCATATATTTCTCTGGGCACAGAAGCCCTTGAGGTAAACTTTATTAACCCCTAGACATGGAGAGGTAATTTATATAAGATTCCACACTGGTAAGTGTCAGAGATGGTATTTAAACCAGGTTTTTAGGCCCAAATGCAGAATTTTTTTTTTTTTTGAGACAGTCTCACTCTGTCACCCAGGCTGGAGTGCCGTGGCAAGATCTCGGCTCACTGCAACCTCTGCCTCCCAGATTCAAGCGATTCTCCTACCTCAGCCTCCCAGGTAGCTGAAATTATAGACACATGCCACCATGCCTGGCTGATTTTTATATTTTTAGTAGAGACGGGGTTTCGCCAGGTTGGCCATGTTGGTCTCGAATTCCTGACCTCAGGTGATCTGCCCACCTCAGCCTCCCAAAGTACTGGGATTATAGGCCTAAGCCACCACACCCGGCCCCAAACGCAGATTTTTAAAAATATCTCATTTCTTTCAAATGCACAAATAATGTGAACTCTTTGATGAACTTATAACAAAGAATAGATTAGACTGACTATAATCATGATACCAAGTTCATTTCAATGGAGTTTCTAATGTTTTTATAAGTTCTTGAAAAGCTAAGTCGCTTGTTATATTGTTTGATTAGCAAGCACTTTCTTCAGACCTGCTGGTATGATCTTAAACTTAGAATTAGCAGTACTTTTATAAAAAAAGATATGCTGGAAATTGCTCCGTGTAATTTTTTAAATAAAAAGTCAATTACGGTTAAAAAAAAAAAATCGGAGCCATCCAAAATAGTGATTTTACCATAAATAAAAATATAACTAAAACAAAATTATGTATATGGTATTCTGATATGTCAGATACTTTGGATATGGTATTTACTTTTAAAAATACAGATATTCTGTTGTTGTTTTTTTAAATTAAGGAAGGAATCTGAAAGCTTTATCAAGCAGGCATTAACATCATCATAGTGTTTACTTATCAGCTTTACTGCTTCTGCAGGAGAGGGGTTCCCCATGTCAGCTCCTTGTTAGAGTCTCATGTTTCTGCCTGGGAGCACCTTGGGTGCAGCCCTAGCCAAACCTAAGCATGATCTACAAGGAAAGAGGTCTTTTGCCTCCATGTTTTAGGAGGCAGCTTCAGAAACTCAGAGGCTGCTCTAGCCATCTATGCGCTGCTTGAGCTCATTGGGAGCCCCCTCTCAGCACTGAACATTATAACAAATAGGGCCTCAGAGGCGTCCCAGAGCCCCCAGCCCTCAGCTCACACGCACATTCTGCGTAGGTATCCTTCCTGCTTCCCCAGCACATAGTGAGTGGGGGTGGAAGAGGAAGTAGCAAAGTACAGGCCGGCAGACATCTTCCTTCCTGCTCACACCTCTTTCTTGTCAGAGTGCCATGCTGCCAGCTGGATTTCGACAGAAAGACCAGACACAGAAGGCAGCCACCGGCCCCTTTGACCGCGAGCACCTCCTCATGTACCTGGAGAAGGAGGCTTTGGAACAGAAAGACAGAGAGGACTTTGTGCCCTTCACTGGAGAAAAGAAAGGTAAGGACCACAGGCAGAGCATCTTGGAACAGAGGTTCTCTCTTTTTTTTTTTTGGAACGGAGGCACTCTTAATTAAGATTACCTCTTTTTATTTTATTGTCGTGGAGGATCAAGCAAGGGAACTGTCCCAGACATGGGAAATAAGCCCATGAATTGGATTCAGTATTTATTTTATTGTCGTGGAGGGTCAAGCAAGGGAACTGTCCGGGAAATGGGAAATAAGCCCATGAACTGGATTCAGTATTTATTTTATTGTCGTGGAGGGTCAAGCAAGGGAACTGTCTGGGAAATGGGAAATAAGCCCATGAACTAGATTCAGTATTTATTTTATTGTCGTGGAGGGTCAAGCAAGGGAACTGTCCCGGAAATGGGAAATAAGCCCATGAACTGGATTCAGTATTTATTTTATTGTCGTGGAGGGTCAAGCAAGGGAACTGTCCCGGAAATGGGAAATAAGCCCATGAACTGGAGTCGGTGTTAAAAAGAATCATGGCTGCTAGCTAGACATATGTCATTCTACATTGGGCCAAACCCATAAGATGTGTAACACCAAGAGTGAACCCTAATGGAAACTGTGGACATTGGGTGATAATGATGTGTCCATGATGGTTCATCAGTTGTAGTATAAGTATCGCTATGGTATAGGATGCCATTAGTCAGGGGAGGATGAGTTGGGGAGAGTACATTGAAAGAAAAAAGAAACACGATCAAATATGTAGGCTAACTGCTTATGGTGTGATGGTTCTCAAATTAGTTTAGTGAAAACATCTCGAACCCCAAAGAAAGTTTTGAAAATGTGAGGTGGTGTCATGCCTGAGAGTTTCCTAGGCACTGGTGTATTTCTCTTAGCCTGGTGCTTTACCAACTTCAGAAGTCCCTCAAGGCCTTCTGCTCCATGTCCAGGATGGCTCTAGCACTGCATCCCTAACCTTAGAGGCTACCATTAAAGTCTAGTGCAGTCATTCATGCATCCATCATCTACTGAGTGCCTCCTCTGTGCAGAGGCTTGTGGCCAGATGCTAGAACCACAGGCAAATAAGACCCTGCCCTGCCCTCAAGGAGCTTGTAGTGAGAGAAACAGGATGACAGAGCTAGGAAGGCTGTGAGAAGCAAGGAGTTGTTTTTCCATGCCAGGATTGAGCTCTGAGCCAAGAATAGGAAACCCTCCTCCTTAGCTCCCGACCCTGTGCTCCCCTTGGGAGGAAGAGTGACTATCAATAGCCTGTCCAGCTTCCCCAGCTATAGACAGTGACTTGAGCTCAAAGATTCTAATGGAATTATTGATAACCTCACAGCAACTACAATCTTTTTATAATACAAATCAGATCATGTCGGCTGGGCGCAGTGGCTCACACCTGTAATTTCTGCACTTTGGGAGGCTGAGGCAGGAGGATCACTTGAGCCAAGGAGTTCAAGACCAGCCTGGGAAACATGGCAAAACCCCATCTCTAAAAAAATACAAAAATTAGCCAAGCATGATGGTGCACCCGTGTTCCCAGTTACTTAGGAGCTGATATGGGAGGATTGCTTGAACCCAGGAGGTCAAAGCTGCAGTGAGCCGTGATCATGCCACTGCACTACAGCTTGGGCAACAGAGTGGAACCCTGTCTCAAAATAAATAAACAAACAAACCAAATCTTGGCATTTCCCTTCTTAAAGTCTCAAATCCTTACTGTGGTCTTTAAAGTAGATATAGCCTCCATCCAGCTCTCTACCTGCATCTGGCCTTCCCTTGCTAATCCTCAGCCCCCACTGTCTTCATTCACTCCCCTGAACCTGCTGAGTTCTTTTCCTCTCTCAGGCTGGTCTTCTCATGTACTCTTCCTTCTGACGCATGTCCCCATTTTTCACATCCTAAGGGTCTCAGCTTAAATTTCAGGGCCTCGGGCTTTCTCTGACCTCTCTTCTCTCTATCATGACAGCTGCTTATTGCTTTCACAGCACTGTAACAATGTTCATCACTTTACTTACTTTGGTTTTTGCATGTTTTCATGTGATAGGGTCTTTTTTTTATCCTGGCACAGCAACTGGCATGGGAGGCACTTGATAAACATGGGTTCCAGTGAATGGCATCTCAGAAATCTGTACTGCAGCAGTAGGAGCAGGAGCATCCAGCTCCTAGTTGGCATGAGGCAGAGTGCTACTGCCTTGTCTCACATAATGCCGAGGCTGCCCTCTGTATTGTGCACATTCAGTGGATCACACATCATTGAGAATGTCATTAAGAAAGTAAAATTGGGCCACATGCAATGGCTCACACCTGTAATCCCAGCACTTTGGGAGGCTGAGGTGGAAGGATCCCATGAACCCAGGAGTTCAGGATTGCCATGAGCTATGATCCTGCCACTGCACTCCAGCCTGGGTGATAAAGTGGATCCTGTCTCCAAAAAAATAATAAATAAATAAATAATAGTGAACAGTGACAAACCAGGCAAATAATCAAGGATTGCTGTGAAAATATGGATCTGTTTCTATAGCAACATAGTTGCTGTTGGACTAATTTAATTGTGAAAAAAATTATAATGTCAAATCTTCAATGAAGTCCCAATTAACATCAAGTAGTGACAGCATAATAAGTTGAAAGCTGTTATCTTTTGTTCTTAGTGTAGAGGTCTGAGGAGTGGCTATGGTAAATTATCTCATGATCAAGATTAATCTCCAGATGGTTGGTGGGGGAGTTAGGAACGTAGGAGCTGTCTGAGTAATAGTGATATAAAAGGGGTATACAGTTGCATAGTGTAGCTTAGGAGAAGGTTGAGAAGTAGCACAACTGAATAAAGTGAGCAGGGAGCAAGTTTTCTAATCAGAGCAGCAGAGCAGAGCGAAGAGTATGCAGGGGCCCCAGAAGGACCAGTGAACCATCCAGGAGCAGCGGGAGGCTACTATGAGGTCCTCAAGAGAGGCTGCACAACCACAGTTCTGAACACTATGTGCTGGCACACCTCAGGTTCCTGGGCTACATTTTACTCTGGTGCAGAGTTTTGCTTAGAACTTGTTATTTGGTTGGACCTCCAGGAATGGATCTGCATCAGCAGTTCTCCTGAATACCAATAGTTGTGTACTTCGTGTTTAGTACCAGGAAAGAGGAACTTAGAAAATCCTATATTAGGTTGGGCATGCCTCTAATCCCAGCACTTTGGGAGGCCAAGGCAGGAGGATTACTTGAGCCCAGAAGGTCAAGGTTACAGTGAGTTATGATTGCACCACTGCACTCCAGCCTGGGTGACGGAGTGAGACCCTGTCTTTAAAAACAAAGAAAGAAAGAAAGAAATCTTATTTTGACTCTAGACCTAAGATCATCTTGGCCAGAAAGAAAATGTTTCAGGCCATAGACGCTAGGAATGTTAAGTCTGAGATGAGCCCCAGTATTTGAGATGTTATTGATTAGTTGATTTCTTTTTCCATTTTCTATCTTCTGGCCATCCTCCTAATTTGTTTCCCAGTGTATTTTCCTTCTTTCTGAGAAATGTGGCAGCTAAAGTGATTCCAAGGCAGGAAGTAGGATGCATGTCAGTGATAATGACCTTGTTGCCAGGATGCCCCAGACTGACGACAAGCAGTGCCTTTCTTTCCTGTGTTTGGAGTGCCCAGCTCTGACACACTCCTGTTTGCTTATCCAGCCATTTAACAATATGGTAAAACAGGAAATACACAGACCTTGTAATCAGGGAAGTCTCCTGGAGAGTTCTCATGCAGGAGGGTTATTGACTTTGGGTTGGACCCTTTCCTTTCCCATAGGAGTGGGATAAACCAGGCTAGCGAAGGAGACCTGGAGAGAACTTGGGTCCCAATGGGCGGAAACTGGAGTGAGATGAGCCTTTAGGGAACTCTACAGATCAAAATGGAAGAGAACAATTTCAAAGACTGTGCCCCAAAAGTCAGAGCAGCTTCAAAAAAGAGAGAAACAAAGAGTCAAAAGCTGGGAATAATTAGAAAGGAATATGAATGCTCTGGGGTGTTTTGATCATGGCTCTAGAATGTCCCTGGTGCACGTGTGGGATGTGGATGTGTTGGCCTGGCTCGAAGTTAGGAGCAGGAACTGTGCCATCCTCCTGGGTATGGCAATGTTATTTCATCAGTCCAGAAGTTTGAGCTGGGAGTTAGGGAATAGATATCAGCATTTTCAGAAGTGAGCAGGGGACAAAATAAATGGAATCTTGCTGATAGGATGAAATGGGAGATGGTGGCAGAGGATGCATCTGTGGGAAGCACAGAATGCCTTGCTGCTCACAGAACCCCACTAGCTCCGAGTATAGTGACCCTGATTTTTCCTTACAATCATGCCTGCTTTGGAGACTCTAGAGAGGTGGCTATGTCCCCAGGTCACTACACTAGCCCACCTGGCCCCAGATATGGCATGCTAGTTGTCTGCATTCCCAATTTAGAGGGAGCGCTCCAGGGGATCACCAGTTTGTTACTCAGGAACCCCTAGTGCTGTTTAGATGAACCTGCTCCTAATATTTGCAGGGTCCAAGGCAAGTATACAAATAGAAGCCCACATGCCACATTTTCCAAATATTTAAAAGCTAACAAATCATTAAAATATGTTGTATCCTCCTTTAGATATACCTAGGAGGCCAGTATTCTTGGACTTCCAAGAGTTCCATGCAGGGATATTGATCTGTCCCACACTGCCAGGGCCTCAAACACACATGTTGGACACCCAAGCCCACATATCCAAGCTTCATCCAGGCTCCCCCACAAATAGCCTCCCCTTGACCTGAGGGTACACACCCAGCAGCATGACCTGCCTTCTGGAGGATAGACATGGGAAGGGGCTTGTGGAGGCTCTAGAGGCAGGCTCAGGGCTCTTTGGGCAAGGCATTCCAGGGTCCTAGGTACCTGAAGTGTGGTATAGAAAGTGGCCTATATGCTGGATGGGCATATCCCTTTGGCCTCATGGTTCCTCCCCTGGAGGGGAGAGGTACAGCCACAGGAAGACTAGTATGGGGTTCTCTAAAGTGCACGACTCAGGGCAGGGCCTCTCCTGCCCAGACCCAAGGGCAGTACTGCCAATAAGAGGGGTAGAAGCCACCATTTCCCTCTGTGTTTAAGGACTGTAGTCTCAGATCTCTGTGTGGCAGAATGCAGGATTCCTCCTCCAGTGTTCCTTCCCTCTGACAGTGACTTATTGATGTTGGTACCATCCTGGCAATCCAGGAATCTCGGTTGGATATGAACTGGCTTAATTATATGGGTCTCAATGGCCAGAACTGCATTCTCTGCTCAGTCTACTTACCCTACCAATAAGGCAGTAGTACTCAATATTTTTGTTTTTCTTCTGATTTAAAGGGAGAGTCTTTATCCCTAAAGAAAAGCCTATAGAAACTCGTAAAGAAGAAAAAGTGACCCTTGACCCAGAACTGGAAGAAGCTTTGGCCAGTGCCTCTGACACCGAACTCTATGATCTTGCAGGTTAGTCCTGAACTCTGGGAACTTTCCTGTCTGGCTCTATGACCTCCGAGCATGCACTGGCACCCATGGCAGCAGGCTTTGAGCTTCTCTTAGGTAGGAGAATGACAGGTTGACACAAGGCATTATGGAGCTGTAAGTCTTGATGCAGGTGACTTAAACTCTCTGAGCAAATGTTATTTTGCTCTATTTCAGCAGCAAATAATACCCATCTCACAAAACTCAAGAGTTACTGTGAGAAATTAAAGCAAACAAGTATGAAGGAGTGTTGAGAATTTAGAGAATAAAACAACAGCTCTTTTGCTTTCTAAGGAGCTTTCACATTTGGCATTTTATCATCACAACATTTCTATAAAGTTCTTGTTCTTCCCACAGTCATTGTTCCATTTTGATTCAGAAAACGCTAAGAAGTCCATTAGCCTTCTAGTCTTAACAATAGCAACATGATAATAATTATTATTATTTAAAATGCAGATAGAAAAAGGTCAAAGAGTACAAAAGAATGTGTAATGAAAAGTAAGTCTCTCGACCTGAATTACCTAGGCCCACTCCCATGTCTTGTACAGCCTTCAAGAAAGATTTTCTGCATCTACCAGTAGATTTATATATTAGATCTTCCTTCTACATACACAGGGTTATTAGATGACCACAGGATAGAGGTGCTTTAAAAACCAGTCCACAGCTTTAGCAAGAATTTTTATTCCATTGGAAGACATAGAATAATAACCTCTTTCCTCCCAGGAGAACCAGCCTTATTCTAAAATGTACCAGCCACCCCAACTGCATTTTCATTCCTTCTGTGATGATGTCAGGAAGTTCCCATGTTTGTGAACTTAATATTGACCATATTGACCACTGCAGGAGTTGAGGCGATGGCGTCACCTGGTAAAGAAGGTGTTTTGCACCCACTGGTCTTAGCCCTGGGGTTGCTGTGGAGGGATCCTGTTATGGCTACTGCTCCTCCCAGGGGTTGCCTCATGGTCTCTACCAGAATTGCCCAGAGGGAGAATGCAGGGCTGAACTTGAATTCCCAGGTAATGCCTTGAGAAAGGAAAAAGAGAAAAACACCAATTATTTGGAAGATACTAGATCCTGAAATTCATACAGTAAAACCAGAGAGAGAATCCAAATAGAAAACTGTCCTCGTTCATCCTTACTCAGCTTCCCTCCCTCGTCCTGTGTTCCCTAGGAATTCAGAAGGAAGCCTGGCTGGGGCTGTTGGCAGCATCTTTAGGGTGGGCCCTTCTGGAAGATTGAAGGCAGCCCCATGGGCAGATGAGCTGGCAGCCATTGAGTTTTAGATAAGAAAGAGTGTCGGCATATTGCCCATGTTATTGTGGCAGATAGAGAGCAGACAGAAAGTTCTTCAAGGGAGTGGTAGTTGACCTGCAAAACAGCACCTCTTACACTGGCTGGGTGTCAGTGTGGTCACCATCCAGAGTCTAGTTCCCAGCCCTAAACTGTGGGAGCTCTGGACTGGAAATTTGATCTTATCAGTATATATAGAAGCAGTCAGATTGGAGCAAAGTGGTGGGAACTGATCCATTAGCCCATTTCACAGATAACAGATAAAAATGAAAACCTGGCAATGGGAGCCAAATTATAATTAGAAGTTACTTGGTGAGCATAGGGCCAGAGCAAGAAGATATGTTTGTTGTATGGCCTCAGTGTTTATCAAATGGGACACCTTCTCCTTCTCCTGTCCCCTTCACAGAGACACAGTGACAAATTCTTTTTCCTTTTTTTTTTTTTTTTTTTTTTTTTGAGACGGAGTCTCACTCTGTCACCCAGGCTGGAGTACAGTGGCACAATCTCGGCTCACTGCAACCTCCACCTCCGGAGTTCAAGCGATTCTTCTGCCTCAGCCTCCCAAGTAGCTGGGATTACAGGTGCCCGCCACCACGCCCAGCTAATTTTTCTATTTTTTGTAGAGACGGGGCTTCGCCATGTTGGCCAGGATGGTCTCGATTTCTTGACCTCGTGATCCGCCCACCTCTGCCTCCCAAAGTGCTGAAATTACAGGCATGAGCCATCGCACCCGGCCCACAGTGGCAAATTCTTATTTATTTAACAAGAATTTGTAAAGCATTTAGAATAGTGCCTGACACATAGAAAGTCATTTAATCTTGGTAATAAAGTATAATTATTATCCCTGTTTTACAGATGAGGAAACGGAGACTCGGGCATTTAACAACTTCCCAAGTCACACAGTTTAACGTGGTCAGAGTCAGGATTCTTGACTGCTCCCAAGTCCCCCTCTTCACCGGGTCCTTGCTAGCTCTGACCATTTGCCCTTTCTTGTGCTGTGCCAGCTGCCTCCCTCCTTCAATATGTAGCTTACAGTAGAGCTGATAAGCATCTCAGAGGCACTCCTCTGCCACCTGTCAACAGATTATTATCCCTTCTGGGATCCTTCTTCAGGTGGCCAGTATCACCTGGAATTTCATTAGCAAAGGGAAATCTGCGTAGCAGTTGCAGGTTCAGTCAGCCCCGCATTCATTCTTCCCCAGTGTTGTTTCCTGCATTCTGTGCTGCCTCCTGGTGCAAGTTCTGTGTAATACAGGAAGCCGAAAATCAGTACGCTTAGCTGACCTTTTCTTTGCTGATGTTGCTTTTTTTTCCCCACCCTGGCATGCTCTAGAGACAATTATATTTGGTACTAAGAGATGAGGAGGCTGACATTGAAAGAGGCCTCTGGAAAAATATATGCAGTAATCTATATAATGTTAGATCTTAAAAACCCTTAGTCTCAGTCCCACCTTCTCATTTTACAGATGAGAAAACTGAAAGGTTTTCCTATTTAACTAGGAGGTCTAGGCAGATTTTCGGTAAATTGTGGCCATAATTAGCCACTGTTCCTCAGATCCTAAATGATTCTACATGTGGAGACGTAGAAAGACAGGAAGATTTCTGGTGGTCTTGAAAGGAGGTTTTTGTAAGTGTATTTAACGCTATACATGTACCACACACTGTGCAAGGAAAGAGGACTCAGGGACTTATCTTTATGATGTAAAGAATTGTTCTTCAAGGGACAAATTAACAATGTGGACATCCTAATGTGCTTCTCCAAACTTAATGCTCATTTGTTGACTGTTTTTAGCTGTCCTTGGAGTACACAATTTGCTCAACAATCCAAAGTTCGATGAAGAAACAGCCAACAATAAAGGTGGCAAAGGACCTGTCAGAAGTAAGTTGATGTGCAATCTGTGGTTTTGTAAAGCTTTGGAGCCTCCAGAGTTGCTGGTAGGAGAGAGGCCTGTTGAGTCTTGCAGGCTTTACACTCTGTCATTTTGCTAGGATCACTTGGGCTTTGAGCAATCAAACCAGAACAGAGCAGCTGACAATGAGAGCTCCATCTGGCGGTGAAACTAGTACAAATCAGTGTGTGTTGCCCAGAACACTTTCTTGGTAGGTCTGTTTAGTCAGAAGATGAAATTGTTGATATATGGGTCTGCATTAAATGGTATAATCCATATTCATGAAAAAAAATTGCTGATATAAGACTGCTTGGTCATCACAAAATGCAGCGTTTCATGTTCCTGAGGATGTTTTAATCAACTATAGTAGCTTAAATAAGTTCCCTTCTCTATTTGAGTGTCTTTTTGTCTCAATAATAGATGCTTGTCATTAGAATTTGAATGTCCACTTCCCTCAGAGGGCATGAAAGACACGCTGGCATGGACTTACGTGCACAGGACATTCCACACCACTATCTTCTATGTCAACGTTTCCTATAGACGTGTACAATTAATTAGACTTTTTTATTCATTCATTCATCAGTCATCCACTAAATACCTACTATGTGTCAGGAATGTTCTAGGCTTAGGTACAAAGATGAAAATGGTCCCTGCCCCACAACCAAAAAAGAGAATTTTAGACCAATATCCTTGATGAACATTGATGCAAAAATCCTCAATAAAATACTGGCAAACCGAATCCAGCAGCACATCAAAAAGCTTATCCACCATGATCAAGTGGGCTTCATCCCTTGGATGCAAGGAAACAACAGGTGCTGGAGAGGATGTGGAGAAATAGGAACACTTTTACACTGTTGGTGGGACTATAAACTAGTTCAACCATTGTGGAAGTCAGTGTGGCGATTCCTCAGGGATCTAGAACTAGAAATACCATTTGACCCAGCCATCCCATTACTGGGTATATACCCAAAGGACTATAAATCATGCTGCTATAAAGACACATGCACACGTATGTTTATTGCGGCACTATTCACAATAGCAAAGACTTGGAACCAAGCCAAATGTCCAACAATGATAGACTGGATTAAGAAAATGTGGCACATATACACCATGGAATACTATGCAGCCATAAAAAATGATGAGTTAATGTCCTTTGTAGGGACATGGATGAAACTGGAAATCATCATTCTCAGTAAACTATCTCAAGGACAAAAAACCAACACCGCATCTTCTCACTCATAGATGGGAATTGAACAATGAGAACACATGGACACAGGAAGGGGAACATCACACTCTGGGGACTGTTGTGGGGTGGGGGGAGGGGGGAGGGATAGCATTAGGCGATATACCTAATGCTAAATGACGAGTTAATGGGTGCAGCACACCAGCATGACACATGTATACATATGTAACTAACTTGCACAATGTGCACATGTACCCTAAAACTTAAAGTATAATAATAATAAAAAATTAAAAATTAAAAAAAAAAAAAGAAAGAAAGAAAATGGTCCCTGCCCAAGGGAATTTATCTGTCCAGGGTAAGGAAGGACCAATAACCAGATCATGTCAGTACAGTGTGATCCATGTGCTTTGAAAACTCATAGAAAATTACAGCTTTTTTTTTTTTTTTTTTTTTTTTTTCTTGAGACAGAGTCTTGCTCTGTCACCCAGGCTGGAGTGCAGTGGCACAATCTCGGCTCACTGCAACCTCCACCTCCTGGGTTCAAGCGATTCTCCTGCCTCAGCCTCTTGAGTAGCTGGGACTACAGGCATGTGCCACCACACCCAACTAATTTTTAGGATTACAGCTTTTCTTAGGTTAATTTTATTTTATTCACTTTAATAGAGACTTGGGAGATGCTTTCTAATCTCAGTAGCATATATATGAAATATTATTTATAGTGGTAATTTAGACACACAATGAGCAATATTCCTTTTATTTTTTTGAGATAGAGGCTTGCTCTGTTGCCCAGGCTGGAGTGCAATGGTGCAATCATAACTTATTGCAGCCTCCAGCTCCTGGACTCAAGCAATCCTTCCACTCAGCCTTCTGAGTAGCTGGGACTACAGGTGCATGCCACCACACTCAGTTAATTATTTTTATTTTTATTTTGTAGAGACAGGATCTTGCTATGTTGCTTAGTCTGGCCTTTCTTGTTATGCATATGGATAAAAAATGCTCATCCTTTTTAGCTTCAGCATCAAAGGGTAACGTTCTGACAATGTTTCCTATTAACAATCTGGTGCATAACCTTCTGGACGTTTATACGTACACATACAAATATTAACTTGTCTTCTAATTGTGGCCTCTTATCAGTACTTACAGGTTTCCTTCATTCTTTTAATGAGTAGATAACTTTTTTTTTTTTTGAGACAGAGTCTCGCTCTGTTGCCCAGGCTGGAGTGCAGTGGCACGATCTCAGCTCACTGCAAGCTCTGCCTCCCGGGTTCATGCCATTCTTCTGCCTCAGCCTCCCCAGCAGCTGGGACTACAGGCACCCACCACCACGCCCGGCTAATTTTTTTGTGTGTTTTTAGTAGAGACGGGATTTCATCCTGTTAGCCAGGATGGTCTCGATCTCCTGACCTTGTGATCTGCCCACCTCGGCCTCCCAAAATGAGTAGATAACTTTTTTAATGGATAGATAATGAAGATACTTTTTTTTTTTTGAGACAGGGTCTCATTCTGTTGCCCAGGCTGAAATCCAGTGTCACTACCAAGGCTCACTGCAGCCTCAAACTCCTGGGATCAAGGGATTCTCCCACCTCAGTCCCCTGAGCAGCTAGGACTACAGGCATGAACCATTACACCTGGCTAATTTTTAAAATTTATTGTAGAGGCTGGGTCTCACTGTGTTGCCCAGCCTGGTCTCAAACTCCCTGCCTCAAGAAACTCTCTTGCTTCAGTCCCCCAAAGTGCTGGGATTATAGGTGTGAGCCACCATGCCTGGCTCCTGAATAGATTCTTTTAACGAATAGACAATAAGTTGTTACGTGATGATGCTATACTTTATTTACCCATTTTCATATTGGTGGACATTTTGTTTATCATGTTTTGCTGTCACAAGTAATATTTCAGGGAACAGGGAACACCCTTGAATATATATCTTTATGTATCTGTGCTATTTTTGTAGGTAAGACTTCTAGATATAGAATTGCTGGGTCATAGAACATGCACATCTTAAATTGCAATAGATAATGCCAAATTACTCTCCCAAAACATTTGCATCAGATCACATTCCCACTTATAGAGGAGTACGAAGATGCTTTTTTCTCCACATTGTTGCCAACTCCAAATGTTACCTCGTTTCACACTTGTTTGCTAATGAAATGGTATCTCATTTCTTTATTTTGGAGCTTAGTTACTTTTTATATTTTTTGGTTGAGTGACAGATTCTTCTGAGCGTATTATTGGTTCATTTTTAATTGGGTCACCTTATTGATTTGTAGGAGCTCTGTGTATATTGGGATATTAATCCTTTGTATCTCTGTTAACTATTTTTGAGAATTCTTCCATTCTTCTTTTTTATCCCTTTCTCTCCCCATACCTTCCTTAAAACTAAAGCTCCAGAATAGAACTCAGAGGAGGGTAGGGTATAATCAAGAGGCCAGAGGGGTATTAAAGTTTGGGAAATGAAGACTTATTGTGGTGTCTGATTTGTATCTCAGATCCTGTAGTCTAGTTAGTATAGTCTGACAGATGTCCATATGGAGCAGCAATAACGGCCCATGGATATTTTGAAAGTTGGAGTTTGCTGCAGGGTCTCCTGAACTTTGGGTCCATGCAGTGTTAGCCCCAGGGAATTCTCATTGCAGTTGAGAAACACCAGCCTTCCAAGCTGTGACTCATAGCTATACCACTCCCATGCTTGCTTAGCTGAGAATACACCTACTGTCATTGCTATTAAAGTGTTATTGGAATCAGCATATGAAAGAAATGTCATTTTTTGGGAAGTCACCACTGATTTTGATAGGAGAGACTTTGCATTTTTTAAAATGAAAACTTGTGTTTTAGATGTTGTCAAAGGTGAAAAAGTAAAGCCAGTATTTGAGGAACCACCAAATCCCACAAATGTGGAAATAAGCCTGCAGCAGATGAAAGCCAATGATCCTAGCTTGCAAGAAGTCAACCTCAACAACATTAAGGTATTTCATTGTGATTATCATCAGTCAGTTAATTTATCATGAGGTCAGAAAACTTACCAGAGATGACCTATTGCTTGTTTTCACACCTGTTTGCAGTTCTTTGTAGTCACTGAGTTGGAGTCAAGGTATCCTATTCAAAAGAAGTGGGTTTTGGAAAACAGTGATTTCTATAATTATTTGAAAAGAATCACCATACCTGAGTTAAGCATAGTACATTAGTTATATCTATTGCTGAGTAACAAATTACTCCAAAACTTAGAGGCTTCAAACAACAGACATTTATTATTTCACACACAATTTTTCAGTGTCAGGAATCTGGTAGTGGCTAGCTGGATAGTGTGGCTCAGGGTCTCAAATGAGATGGTAGTGAAGTTGTCATCCAGGGCTGCAGTACCAGGCTTGCCTGGGGCAGGAGGATCCAGTTCCAAGATGGCAGATTCATGCGGCTGTTGGCAGGAGGCCTCCATTTCTCACCATGTGGCTCCCCAGAGCGAGTGATCCAAGACAGAGAGATGAGAAAGCAGGAAGCCACAATACCTGTTATGACCTGGTTTCTGAAGTCACATGTTGTCACTTCCACTTTATTCAATTTGATAATAAGTCATGCCACTCTCAAAGGGAAAGAGTAGGAGAGAGAGAGAGAGAGAGAGTGTGTGTGTGTGTGTGTGTAAACATTACCTGAAGTCTCTTTTGTTTATTCTTTTGGGGCCAATTCTTAGCATTTAATAATAACCAACTTTTATTGAGTACTTACTATGTGCCATGTCCTTTACTAAATACTTGGAATTTATTATCTCATTTAATTATTAGTTGGACTTAAAGAGTTGTTAACGTCATAGAGTTAGTCTGTAGTGCAGCCAGGACTCTTCTCCACTTCTAACTGCACCCCACATTGTCTCCTTCCCCAGTGGTCATTACTGTGCTAAATGATCTAGAAAAAGGACTACAAAGATAAATAAGATTTATTCAGTCTTTACTCTGAAAACAATTATATTAGGAGAAAAACACTAAACAGATAATTATAACATGATGTGGTGAGCCACCAAATATCATTGAATTGCAAGAAAGAAAAATTTTAATGCTACCTAGGAGATCCAGTAAACAAAGGAGATGATATTACATCTGAGTCTTGAAAGAGAAAAGGACAAAAGGAATTTCCAGGCTAAGGGGAAAGCATATATAAAGGTCTGAAAAAGAGAACGACTTTGGTATATTAAAACAGTGGCAAATACGTCAGTCTGGCTAGAATACAGAGTGAAAAATAAAAAGAGGGAAGTATAGTATCTGCATACTTTCTTGGTTAGGGAAAACAGAAAGACGACACTCAGAGGTACCATAGTGGTAGTTTAGATTCCCCTATTGGACACTAAGTGGTGCTGTTAGCTCAGGATAGCTTGGTTGCTGAAGGCTAGGTAATGACCCTCATTTAGAAGGGATATCGTGTATTTATCTACACATACCTGGTATTTAAAGGTTGTGGGTTCTTACCTTGGCAAGAGTGTGCCATACAATGGTTCATCAACTAGCCATGTCCTCTCTGTCTTAGAACATTCCAATTCCAACCCTGAGGGAATTTGCAAAGGCTCTGGAGACCAACACTCACGTGAAGAAGTTCAGCCTGGCCGCAACTCGCAGCAATGACCCTGTGGCCATTGTGAGTAAAATTCTTAGAAATATAACATGAAGTTATTTAATTCACTGGAAACTCTATTTACTTTGTTTCATTAGCTAACAATTTTTTAGATCTGGAAAACTTACCTTCTACACAGTTAGTGAGCAAAATTATAGTTACAATGCAATAGTTAAACTTCAGAACTGAACTGTCAGATGCTTTAAGTTATCTGGAATTTTGTCAGCATTACAGTTTTCAGAGAAAGAAACAAGATAAGTTTGGCATTTAACTAACTGAATATTTAGAGTTTGCTCTGTGCTTAGGATACATTTTCTAAAACTTTCACATCTACAGTCATTGGATATCATGACCCTAAAGCCCTTCAGGAATTAGGCATCTATAGAAATATTGAAGTAGCTGGGCGCGGTAGCTCATGCCTGTAATCCCAGCACTTTGAGAGGCTGAGGTGGGTGGATCATGAGGTCGGGAGTTCGAGACCAGCCTGGCCAATATGGTGAAACCCCATCTCTACTAAAAATACAAGAACTAGCTGGGCATGGTGGCACGCGCCTGTAGTCCCAGCTACTTAGGAGACTGAGGCAGAAGAATCACTTGAACCCGGGAGGCGGAGGTTGCAGTGAGCCGAGATCATGCCACTGCACTGTAGCCTGGGCGACAGGGAGACTCTGTCTCAAAAAAAAAAAAGAAAAATTAAAGTATATTTTAATCTTTGAAATGGATTAATATGTGTCTAAAATATCTTAGACAACAAAATCAGGAAACATTCTGTGTTTGACACCAGAATGTGAAAAAAATAGCCAGCCAGGTGTGGTAACGTACACCTCTGGTCCCAGCGACTTAGGAGGCTGAGGTGAGACAATTGCATGAGCCCAGGAGTTCTAGGCTGCAGTGAGCTATGATTGCACCTCTGCACTCCAGTCTGGGCAATAGAACGAGATGATAGATAGATAGATAGATAGATAGATAGATAGATAGATAGATAGATAAAAGAAAAATAGCCAACTAAAAGTTCTATTCTTCCTATGCATTTTAGATAATTTAGCCAAATAAGGAAGCCCCTTGTCCCAGGTAAATACTTATACCATCACTATCATGATTTTTATTCTTCCTATCAATAGCCAATTAGTAACTCCTCCTATTTATAGCTACTTTATTGAGGAATTAGTAAATGCCAGCACTGATCTTCGTGCTTTCCATGCAGCATCTCATCCATTTGTCACTGTAATACTATGAGGTATATACTATTATTAGTTCCAACTTTAACAAATGAGAAAACAGCTTCAGAGAGGTTAAGTAAGCTATCCAAGGTAATACAACCAGTAAATGGCAAAGCCAGAATTCACTACCAAGTCTTTCTGGTTCTACAGCCAGGAAGCTTAACCATCAAGCTATGCTAGATTTACACACAATGCCTGGCTGTCATACATTTGCTAAAATATGTCACTTATCAAAAGCCTGGGCATCAGCCTGTTGTTCTATGGCATTTAATGCTCAGCCCTTGAATCGAGTTAGAAAAACGCAAGTTGTCTGGACTTGATGGTTTGATTTAAAGTAACATGTCTTTTGGAAGATCTAAAATAGCATTTAAAACAGATGACATGAAAGTAATGACTACCTATCATGGTCCTGGCACAGAATAGATGTTTGACAAGTACTTGTTAAATAAATGAATGATCATAACCTCCAACCTCTAGCAATAGAGAATATTTCTATGGTGATCACAGCAAACTTGAAATAAGCACTCATGTAAAAGAGGAACCAGGCTACAAAAATCAATGTTTTTACCAGCAGTTATTACATTTCTAAATTCGTAGCTTGAAAGCAGTTTTGAATTTGAAACCTATCATTAAAATAGAAAGATGGCAGAACTAGATAATTGGTAAGGTGAAATGAGCAGTTTAAGGATTCTTATCTCTGTATGATTTTGTACTATTTCTGCCTTTTAGTAGATTTTTTTCAGTAAAGCAAAAATATTCACAATATACTTTGTATGTAAATGAATAAAGGGATAAAGAAATGATTTGTCACTTCTGTTTCATATATTATTTCGAGTAAAATTGCAGGGCTGGGGTTAGTTCACAATCAACTCTCAACACTACTGGTAAATAATCTAACTCCTATTCTAGACCAAATAAATAACTTACTAAGTGGATTAAATAAATTCCAAATATAATAATCACTTTGATGCTGTTTTTAATGCAACAACTATGTGTTGAATGCTTGTCATGTGAAAAGCACTACACTAGGAGCTGGATTTTTTGGGTAACACTTTTCAGGCAAATTTGACCTTTTGTAACTTGCTTTTTAAAGAATACTTTATTTGGGCCGGGCGCGGTGGCTCACGCCTGTAATCCCAGCACTTTGGGAGGCCGAGGCGGGTGGATCATGAGGTCAGGAGATCGAGACCATCCTGGCTAACAAGGTGAAACCCCGTCTCTACTAAAAATACAAAAAATTAGCCGGGCGCGGTGGCGGGCGCCTGTAGTCCCAGCTACTCGGGAGACTGAGGCAGGAGAATGGCGTGAACCCAGGAGGTGGAGCTTGCAGTGAGCAGAGATGGCGCCACTGCACTCCAGCCTGGGCAACAGAGTGAGACTCTGTCTCAAAAAAAAAAAAAAAAAAAAAAGATGAATGGATGAAGAAAATGTGGTATATATATGCACACTGAAATATTATTCAGCCATAAAAAAGAATGAAATCCTGTCATTTTCAGCACCATGGATGGGACTGGAGGTCATTGTGTTAAGTGAAACAAGCCAAGCAAAAAAAAATAAATATAGCATGTTCTCACTTACATGTAGGAGCTAAAAAAAAAGTGGTTCTCATGGAGGTAAAGAGTAGAATGGTGGTTACTAAAGCCTGGGAAGGGAAGGGAGTAGGGACAAAGAGAAGTTGGTTAAGAGGTACAAAAATACAGTTAGTTAGAAGGAATAAGTTCTTGTATTCAATAATTTATTATAAATTTCAAAATAGCTAGAAGAGAAGAATTGTAATGTTCCCAACACAAAGATAAGCCTTTGAGGTGATGGCTATTCCAATTACTCCAATTTGATCACTGCAAACACATTGTATAAAGGTATCAAAATATTACATACACCCCCAAAAATATGTACAACTATTATTTATCACTAAAACATTTTAAATTTAACATTTAATTTAAACATTTTTAATTTATTTGGTATAGTCATAGTATAGTCTATAAAAAATAGAGGGACCACAGGAAGATATACGTATATATACATATATATATTCATTTATATGGATAGAGTTTTCAAAATATGATTTTGCTACTGTTTTCTGAAGAGCATCACTC
This sequence comes from Homo sapiens, assembly GCF_000001405.40. Lineage (NCBI taxonomy): Eukaryota > Metazoa > Chordata > Mammalia > Primates > Hominidae > Homo > Homo sapiens. The sequence goes on from NC_000015.10 coordinate 51,786,121, forward strand.
CTAATAGAAATTTTTCCCTTGTCCTTCATTCCAATTCTAAGATGTGGTACACCACCCTCCTCCCCTCCTCACTCCCCGAATCCCCCCTTCTCAAGGGTAAGCTGAGAAGAGAGAGGCAGAACCAAGGGAAAGAAGTGATGATTTTAGGAAAGGTTTTCTTCGTTGTCACTGTGCCTGGGTGATGTTTTATTGGGAGTCCTGGCAGAAAGTCTCCATTTTTAGCATTCAAACATGAGATGAAAAGGCGTTTCTTGGTGGATGACATTTGTGGACCTCAAACCTTATTCTGCTTTCATGTTATAAATTATTATTCTGATATATTTTTAGAATCAGTGAAGCCCTGTGCAATTGGCATCCGTTTAGACATGTCCCCATTTAAGGCTGTTTGGCATTCAATCAGAAAACATATTTTGGGGTTTGTGGTGAACACAAGCCATTTTACAGATGAGGCAACTGAGACTCAAAGAAGTTGAATGCTGAACTAAGATTACACCGCATGTGGCCAAGCCAGGATGCAAATGTAAGTCACCTGTGATTGAGTTTAGTTTACTGTGCCCCAAGCACTTTCATATAACCACATCTATAGCAACTGAGCATTCAAATGGAATTTGTCCCCACTGAATGCCAATGAGAGGGCCCAAATATATTTAAAATGCTACTGTTATTTACAATGATGCCACATAAAAATCAAGAGTTTAGGACAGCACTGTTTATTGGAAATAAAACGTGAGAGGTCACTTCCAAGATGGCCAAATAGGAACAGCTCTAGTCTACAGCTCCCAGTGAGATCGACGCAGAAGATGGGTGTTTCTGCATTTCCAACTGAGGTATCTGGTTCATCTCACTGGGACTGGTTGGACAGTGGGTGCAGCCCATGGAGGGTGAGCTGAAGCAGGGCGGGGCATCACCTCACCCGGGAAGGGGTTGGGGTTGGGGGATTTCCCTTTCCTAGCCAAGAGAAGCCATGAGTGACTGTATCTGGAGGAGCAGTAAACTCCTGCCCAAATACCGCGCTTTTTCCACAGTCTTCACAACCAGCGGACCAGGAGATTCCCTCCTGTGCCTGGCTTGGCAGGTCCCACGCCCACAGAGCCTTCCTTGCTCACTGCTAGCACAGCAGTCTGAGATCCACCTGGGATGCTAGAGCTTGGCGGGGGGAGGGGCATCTGCCATTGCTGAGGCTTGAGTTGGCATTTCTATGCTCACAGTGTAAACAAAGCGGCATGGAAGCTCGAACTGGGCGGGGCCCACCACAGCTCAGGAAGGCCTACTGCCTCTCTAGATTCCACCTCTGGGGGCAGGGCATATCTGAACAAAAGGCAGCAGACAGCTTCTCCAGACTTAAATGTCCCTGCCTGACAGCTCTGAAGAGAGCAGTGCTTCTCCCAGCATGGCGTTCGAGCTCCGATAACGGACAGACTGCCTCTGCAAGTGGGTCCCTGACCCCCGTGTAGCCTGACTGGGAGACACCTCCCAGTAGGGGCCGACAGACACCTCATACAGGTGGGTGTCCCTCTGGGACAAAGCTTCCAGAGGAGGGATCAGACAGCAATATTTGCTCTTCTGCAGCCTCTGCTGGTGATACCCAGGAAAACAGGGTCTGGAGTGGACCTCCAGCAAACTCCAGCAGACGTGCAGCTGAGAGGCCTGTCTGTTAGAAGGAAAACTAACAGAACGGAATAGCATCAACATCAACAGTAAGCACATCCACACCAAAACCCCATCCATAGGTCACCAACATCAAAGACCAAAGGTAGCTAAAACCACAAAGACGGGGAGAAACCAGAGCAGAAAGGCGGAAAATTCCCAAAACCAGAACGCCTCTTCTCCAAAGGAACACAACTGCTCACCAGCAAGGGAACAAAACTGGACAGAGAATGAGTTTGACGAGTTGACAGAAGTAAGCTTCAGAAGGTCGGTAATAACAAACTTCTCTGAGCAAAAGGAGCATGTTCTAATCCATTGCAAGGAAGCTAAAAAGGTTAGACGAATGGCTAAATAGAATAACCAGTGTAGAGAAGAGCTTAAATAACCTGATGGAGCTGAAAACCACAGTACAAGAACTTTGTAACTGAAAACCACAGTACAAGAACTTCGTAAAGCATACACAAGCTTCAATAGCCGATTTGATCAAGTGGAAGAAAGGATATCAGTGATTGAAGTTCAAATTAATGGAGTACAGTCAGAGGACAAGATTAGAGAAAGAAAAGTGAAAAGAAACGAACAAAGCCTCCAAGAAATATGGGAGTATGTGAAAAGACCAAATCTACGTTTGATTGGTGTACCTGAAAGTGACAGGAAGAATGGAACCAAGTTAGAAAATACTCTTCAGGATATTATCCAAGAGAACTTCTGTAACCTAGCAAGGCAGGCCAATTTTCAAATTCAGGAAATACAGAGAACACCACAAAGATACTCCTCGAGAAGAGCAACCCCAAGACACATAATTGTCAGATTCACCAAGGTTGAAATGAAGGAAAAAATGTTAAGGGCAGCCAGAGAGAAAGGTTGGGTTAAGCACAAAGGGAAGTCCATCAGACTAACAGCGGATCTCTCAAGCCAGAAGAGTGGGGGCCAATATTCAACATTCTTAAAGAAAAGAATTTTCAACCCAGAATTTCATATCCAGCCAAACTAAGCTTCATAAGTGGAGGAGAAATAAAATCCTTTACAGACAAGCAAATGCTAAGATATTTTGTCACCACCAGACCTGCCTTACAAGAGCTCCTGAAGGAAGCACTAAACATGGATAGGAACAACCAGTACCAGCCACTGCAAAAACATGCCAAATTGTAAAGACCGTCAACGCTATGAAGAAACTACATCAATTAATGGCAGCAAAATAACCAGCTAGCATCATAATGACAGGATCAAATTCACATATAACAATATTAGCCTTAAATGTAAATGGGCTAAATGCCCCAGTTAAAAGACACAGACTGGCAAATTGGATAAAGAGTCAAGACCCATCAGTGTGCTGTACCCAGGAGACCCATCTCATGTACAAAGACACACATAGGCTCAAAATAAAGGGATGGAGGAAGATCTACCAAGCAAATGGAAAGTAAAAAAAAGCAGGGGTTGCAATCCTGGTCTCTGATAAAACAGACTTTAAACTAACAAAGATCAAAAGAGACAAAGAAGGGCATTACATAATGGTAAAGGGATCAATTCAACAAGAAGAGCTAACTATGCTAAATATATATGCACCCAATACAGGAGCACCCAGATTCATAAAGCAAGTTCTTAGAGACCTACAAAGAGACTTAGACTCCCACACGATAATAATGGGAGACTTTAACACCCCACTGTCAATATTAGACAGATCAATGAGACAGAAAATTAACAAGGATATCCAGGACTTGAACTCAGCTCTGGACCAAGTGGACCTAATAGACATCTGCAGAACTCTCCACCCGAAATCAACAGAATGTACGTTCTTCTCAGCACCACATCGCACTTACTCTAAAACTGACCACATAATTGGAAGTGAAACACTCCTCAGCAAATGTAAAAGAACAGAAATCACAACAAACTGTCTCTCAGACCACAGTGCAACCAAATTAGAACTCAGGATTAAGAACTCACTCAAAACTGCACAACTACGTGGAAACTGAACAACCTGCTCCTAAATGACTACTGGGTAAATAACGAAATGAAGGCAGAAATAAAGATGTCCTTTGAAACCAATGAGAACAAAGACACAGCGTACCAGAATCTCTGGGACACATTTAAAGCAGTGTTTAGAGGGAAATTTATAGCACTAAATGCTCACAAGAGAAAGCAGGAGAAATCTAAAATCGACACCCTAACATCACAATTAAAAGAACTAGAGAAGCAAGAGCAAACATATTCAAAAGCTAGCAGAAAACAAGAAATAACTAAGATCAGAGAAGAACTGAAGGAGATAGAGACACAAAAAACTCTTCAAAAAATCAATGAATCCAGGAGCTGGTTTTTTGAAAAGATCAACAAAATAGACCACTAGCAAGACTAACAAAGAAGAAAAGAGAGAAGAATCAAATAGATGCAATAAAAAATGATAAAGGGGATATCACCACTGATCCCACAGAAATACAAACTATCATCAGAGAATATTATAAACACCTCTACGCAAATTAACTAGAAAATCTAGACAAAATGGATAAATTCCTGGACACATACACCCTCCCAAGACTAAACCAGGAAGAAGTTGAATCTCTGAATAGACCAATAACAGGTCCTGAAATTGAGGTAATAATTAATAGCCTACCAATCAAAAAGAGTCCAGGACCAGACCGATTTACAGCCGAATTCTACCAGAGGTACAAAAAGGAGCTGGTATCATTCCTTCTGAAACTATTCCAAGCAATAGAAAAAGATGGAATTCTCCCTAACTCATTTTATGAGGCTAGCATCATCCTGATACCAAAACCTGGCAGAGACACAACAAAAAAAGAGGATGTTTAAGCCAGTAATGATGAACATTGATGTGAAAATCCTCAATAAAATACTGGCAAACCGAATCCAGCAGCACATCAAAAAGCTTATCCACTATGATCAAGTCGCCTTCATCCCTGGGATGCAAGGGTGGTTCAACATACGCAAATCAATAAACATAATCCATCACATAAACAAAACCAACTACAAAAACCACATGATTATCTCAATAGATGCAGAAAAGGCTTTCAACAAAATTCAACAGCCTTTCATGCTAAAAACTCTCAATCAACTAGGTATTGACGGAACGTATCTCAACATAATAAGAGCTGTTCATGACAAACCCACAGCCAATATTATACTGAATGGGCAAAAACTGGAAGCATTCCCTTTGAAAACCGGCACAAGACAAGGATGCCCTCTCTCACCACTCCTATTCAACATAGTATTAGAAGTTCTGGCCAGGACAATCAGGCAACAGAAAGCAATAAAGGGTATTCAAATAGGAATAGAGGAAGTCAAATTGTCTCTGTTTGCAGATAACATGATTGTATATTTAGAAAACCCCATAGTCTCAGCCCAAAATCTCCTTAAGCTGATAAGCAACTTCAGCAAAGTCTCAGGATATAAAATCAATGTGCAAAAATCACAAACATTTCTATACACCAAGAACAAACAGAGAGCCAAATCATGAGTGAACTCTCATTCACAATTGCTACAAAGAGAATAAAATACCTAGGAATAGAACTTACAAGGGATGTGAAGGACCTCTTTAAGGAGAGCTACAAAACACTGCTCAAGGAAATAAGAGAGAGAGTACACAAACAAATGAAAAAACATTCCATGCTCATGGATAGGAAGAATCAATATCATGAAAATGGCCACACTGCCCAAAGTAATTTGTAGATTCAACACTATCCCCATCCAGCTACTGCTGACTTTCTTCACAGAATTGGAAAAAACTACTTTAAACTTCATATGGAACCAAAAAAGAGCCTGCATAGCCAAGACAATCCTGGGCAAGAAGAACAAAGCTGGAGGCATCACGCTACCTGACTTCAAACTTTACTATAAGGCTACAGTAACCAAAACAGCATGGTACTGGTACCAAAACAGATACATAGACCAATGGAACAGAACGGATGCCTCAGAAATAACACCACACATCTACAACCATCTGATCTTTGACAAACCTGACACACACAAGCAATGGGGAAAAGATTCCCTATTTAATAAATGCTCTTGGGAAAACTGGCTAGCCATATGCAGAAAACTGAAACTGGACCCTTTCCTTACAGCTTATACAAAAATAAACTCAAGATGGATCAGAGACTTAAATGTAAGACCTAGGACCACAAAAATCCTAGAAGAAAACCTGGGCAATACCATTCAGGACATAGGCATGGGCAAAGACTTCATATCTAAAACACCAAAAGCAATGGCAACGCAACAAAAGCCAAAATTGACAAGTGGGATCTAATTAAACTGAAGAGGTTCTGCACAGCAAAAGAAATTATCATCAGAGTGAACAGGCAACCTACAGAATGGGAGAAAAAAATTTGCAATCTATCCATCTGACAAAGGGCTAATATCCAGAATTGACAAGGAACTTAAACAAATTTACAAGAAAAAAGCAAACAATCCCATCAAAAAATGGGCAAAGGATATGAATAGACACTTCTCAAAAGAAGACATTTATGCAGCCAACAGACATATGAAAAAATGCTCATCATCACTGGTCATCAGAGAAATGCAAATCAAAACCACAATGAGATACCATCTCATGCCGGTTAGAATGGCAATCATTAAAAAGTCAGGAAACAACAGATGCTGGAGAGGTTGTGGAAAAATAGGAATGCTTTTACACTGTTGGTGGGAGTATAAATTAGTTCAACCATTGTGGAAGACAGTGTGGCAATTCCTGAAGGATCTAGAACTAGAAATACCATTTGACCTAGCAATCTTAATAACTGGACATATACCCAAAGGATTATAAATCATTCTACTATAAAGACACATGCACACATATGTTTATCGCGGCACTATTCACAATAGTAAAGACTTGGAACCAAGCCAAATGCCCATCAATGATAGACTGGATAAAGAAAATGTAGCACATATACACCATGGAATACTATGCAGCCATAAAAAAGGATTAGTTCATATCCTTTGCAGGGACATGAATGAAGCTGGAAACTATCATTCTCAGCAAACCATCACAAGATCAGAAAACCAAACACCGCATGTTCTCACTCATAAGTGGGAGTTGAACAATGAGAACACATGGACACAGGGAGGGGAATATCACACACCGGGGCCTGTGGAGGGTGGGGTGCTAGGGGAGGGATAACATTAGGAGAAATACCTAATGTAGGTGACAGGTTGATGGGTGCAGCAAACCACCATGGCACGTGTATACCTATGTAACACAACTGCGCATTCTGCACATGTAACCCAGAACTTAAAGTATAAAAAATAAAAAGAAATAAAACATGAGCCACAAATGGAAGCCCCATGTATAAATTTAAATTATTTAGTAGCCACATTAAAAAAAATACATAGTAGACAAAATTAATTTTAGTAGTAAATAGATGCTCCTTGACTTACAATGGGGTTATGTCCAGATAAAACTACTGTAAATTGAAAATCTTTATCTGAACATAGCCTCATCATAAGTCAAGGAGCATACTGAATAAGTATCACTTTCACATCATGGTAAATTCCAAAAATGGAAAGTGGAACCATCGTAAGTCAGGGACTCTCTGTATTGTATTTAAACCAATATATCCAAAATGTAATTTGAAAATATAATGAGGTATTTTGCATTCTTTTTTTCATACTACATCTTTGAAATCCAGTGTGTTTTATGTTTGCAGCACATTTCAAATCAGACTAACCAGTTTTCAAGGGCTCAGTAGCCACATTTCTCATGGCTACCATTTGGCCAGTGCAGAAATTTGCATTTCCATACAATCCTATAAAGTACAGACAGCAAACCCTTCTCTTTAAAGATGTATTTCTACTCTACTTCAATTACATTTAAAACATCTAGTCTTTGTTTTACTAATGTTATTATTCCCAGCACATGTAATATGCTCAAATATTTGCTGAACTGAAGTGAACCTGGGCCTACAGCCCAGTATTGTGTTTGGCTGGCTCGCCCCTGTTTTGTTCAGCACAAGAAAGTGTTTTCTCAAGTTTAAAAGAAATTGGCAAGATCCTGGCAACTCGCCAGGAGGTCCTGCAACTTTCTGTAAAGGCCTAATTGCTCTGACATTTTGTTATTCTAATAATGATAGTAAATCCCAAAGCTTGTAGAGTCCAAAAGGAAAGTCCTGATGCATCCCTCTCTGATGATCAGATTAAAATGTATAGATTTAATTTTAATCAAGGACCTAGCACAGAATAAATGCACTTTAATTTACATGGTATGCGATAGTGTAAATCCAAATTGTTGAGCTTTCTTTGCAGTGCAAGCAACTGCCTGACCAAGATACAGGATTATTCTTCTAGTCCAGTGGTTCTCAACCTAGGGCAATTTTGCCCTCCAGGGGACAATAGGCAGCATCTGGAGATATTTCTGGTTGTCATGATGGGGAGGAGTGCTATTGACATCTAGTGAGTCTCAGAGGCCAGAGATACTACTAAATATCCTTCAATACACAGGACAGCCTCCCACAACAAAGAATTCTTTGGCCCCAAGTGTCAGTCATGCTGAGGTTAAATAACCCTGTTCTCATCCAATATTGGGACTTCTCGTCTTCCTTCTTCCTGTCTTTTCCACTGTAAAAACAATTAAAATAGTTCAGAACTTTTTTGTTCTACTCCCCAGAAGCAATCACTATTAGCAGTTTGTTTTTCATTCTTCTGGTTGTTGTCTTTATGACTTTAATTAAAGTGGTTACTGGCTCATGCCTGTAATCCCAGCACTTTGGGAGGCCGAGGCAGGAGGATCACTTAAAGCCAGGAGTTCGAGACCAGCCTGGGCAACATAGAGAGACCTGTTTCTACACCAAAAAAGAAAAAAGTGGTTGTCAATCCTAACTGCACATTATTCACCTGGAGAGCTCTTCAGAAATGCAGATGGCCATTCCACAGCCTCAGAGATTCCGATTTAATTCATCTGGGGTAAATTTTTTAAAGCTCCCAGACCATTCTAATGTGTGGTCAATGTAGAAAACCAGTAATATACAGAAATTTATATTTTTCATTTATCATCTTAGAAAATTTTTTATTCTCTATTATAAAAGATGAGGGTAGTTCTATACTTAATTTTCCATTCCTCCTTTCTCTTCCACTTCCAAATTGTAGATATTCCATTATTTTCACACATTTGAGCTTTATACATTTTCTGTAATTATATTCTGTGTTTGTATATAGATTGATTCCAAAAATTAACCTATTAGCAGCATTTACAATTATATGACTTATATAAATATAAATCTCCATTCTCATGGGCCTTACAATGTAGTGACTAGTGCTGACCTGATTTTTGATCCTTTGCAGGTAACTTGTTTTTCCTTGCTAGAAATTTTTAGTACTCTCTTTCCTCTTGGAATTCTGAAATTTCACTTGTCTGTTCACTTAAGAGTCATTTTGGTCCGGGTGCGGTGGCTCACACCTGTAATCCCAGCACTTTGGGAGGCCAGGGCTAGTGGATCACCTGAGGTCAGGAGTTCGAGACCAGCCTGGCCAACATGGTGAAACCCCGTCTCTACTACAAGTATATAAAAAAAATTAGCCAGGCGTGGTGGCCCATGCCTGTAGTCCCAGCAACTTGGGAGGCTGGGGCAGGAGAATTGCTTGAACCAGGAGATGGAGGTTACAGTGAGCCGACACAGTGCCACTGCACTCCAGCCTGGGCAACATGTCAAGTGAGACTTTGTCTCAAAAAAAAAAAAAAAAGTTTTTTTTATTCATTCTGCTGAGTGTCTAGTTATTTCCTTCAGATAAAGATCCGTAACTTTCTTCATCTCTGGGAAATTTATTTTTTCTCCTTAATTATTTGATAACTTCTTCTCTTCTGCTTGCTTGCTTGCTTTCTTTCTTTCTTTCTTTCTTTCTTTCTTTCTTTCTTTCTTTCTTTCTTTCTTTCTTTCTCCTTCTGGAACTCTTCTTAGATGAATGTTGAATCTCTGCATCTTTCATCCACATCTCTTAAGGTTTTCTCATAATTTCTATCTTCATCTTTTTGCTGTATATCCTTGGAAATATCCTCAGTGTTATCTTCTAGATCACCAACTTGGTCTTCAGCCATGCTTATTTTGTAATTCTAGATGTCTATTATTTTCTTTTATTTCAATGTAGTTTTTTTAAATGTTCAAAATGTTTTTCTTTTCTCTGTCTCTCTCCGCCGCCCCCCACCCCCCACCCGACTTTTTCTCTCTTTCTTTCTTTTTCTTTTTCTTGTGGGGCAGGGAGGAAAATAATACATAATCAGAATTTTTAAATTTGTGTCTGTTTCTTCTATGGCATATTGACCTGCTTGGTCAACTTTATTCTTTCATGATGTTGGTTTTCTTAAAATGTCTGGCAATTATTGGTTCCCTGTTTATAATGGAGAGCAAGGTTGGTTTGTATAATCCAGGATCATTTCTCCTGCAGTTGTATCTATCTGTTTTACCAACAGACCTCTCCCTTAAAAAGGAGGCCCCTTTATTTTTCTCCATTTGTCACCATCTGATAAGCTATATATTTTATTTATTAATTTATTGACTCTGCCCTCTTGCTCAAATATAAGCCTCTCTGAGGACAAGGATTTTTGTTTTCTCTTACTGCTAGAGCACAGTAGAAGCCTGACAAATAGTCTTTTTTGAATGTATGAGTGAGAGCTTTTTTTCAGCAGCAGGTGTGCTGACCTGCCACCTTCTCTGCAGTGTGTGTATAAGGAGCTCACAGGCAGCCTGAGAGTCCCCTGCAATCGCTACAGTTAGGAGGACTTCATTCTGGGAGGGGCACCTTTCAATGTATAGTAGTCCCCTTATCTGCAGAGGTTTCAGTGGATACCTGAAACCACAGATAGTACCAAACCCGATATGTGCTATGTCTTTTCCTATACTACACACCTATAATAATGTTTAATTTTTAAACTAGGCACAGTAAGAGATTAACAGCAATAACTAATAATAGAACAATTATAATAACAATATGCTGTTATAGAAGTTGTGTGAATATGGTCTCTCTCAAATATCTTACTGTACTATCCTCCTCCCTCTTGTGATGATGACATGAGATGGTAAAATGCCTGTATGATGAGATGAAGTGAGGTGAATGACATAGGCAAGGGGACTGCGTTAGGCTACTGTTGCCCTTCTGACCATTTGTCAGAAGGAGGATCATCTACCTCCGGTGATCCTGGCTCATCCAGCCATGACGATGTCAATGGTTGGATGTCAAAAGCAGACAGTGTCATTGGTTCATAGGCAGGGACAGCACGGAGATGCTGGACAAACAGATGATTCACCTCCTGGGCGACATAGACCATAAGATTTCATCATACCACTCAGAACAGCATGCAATTTAAAACTTATGAATTGTTTATTTCTGGGGTTGTCCATTTAACGTTTTCCCACTGAGGTTGACAGCAGGTAACTGAAACCGCAGATTGCAGGGAATACTGTACTTCATTCCTGGCAGAGCTGCCTTTCCCATTTTCCCCCCACACTGTACTGGTGTGAAGGTCTGGAGGCGCCTCTGTTTCCGCACTGCTTCTGTCACAGGTCGCAGCACCTTCACCAGAGGCTCTTCCTGGGAGACTTCATTGATTGTGCTGGCAGCTGCTCTTTTTCCTGGAAGGTGCTGGGAGGGATAGTGTACTCTCCATCTGCCCTAGCTGTTCCATCTGTTCCTAAGGCGGTTCTTTAAGGAATTGCCCCAAATGGGACCTATCTCTAGCAGCTCAGGCAACAACTTGCTTGTGCTAATTTATCTGTGAATCTTTCTATTTTCTGTATTTCAGCAATTCCTCAAGATAATGGCCTTTTGTTTTGTTTTGTTTTCTTGCACTGTGAGAATTCCAGTCTCTTAAAAATTATATTATTTCTTCCTGGTGGTGGGAAACTCTGGGAGTAAAGAGAGCCGGCAGGTGCCCGTGTGCAGTCCGCTGTCTCAAACTGGAGTCTCCCATGGGTTTGCCACCCTCAGTGGTGATTTTGTTCCAAAAGTTATTTTTTAAAAATTCTGATTTATACATGATCTGAAATAATATAACTAAATCACTAGTTTCCAAGTGCTAGTCAATGGTAAAGTTTTTTTTTAATTAATTCATAGTAAAGGAAAAAAACTGGGTTTTCTGGGATTATGTCCTTTCTACCTTTTTTCTAATGTTAAAATGTGTTTTCTCAAAAAAAAAAAAACAGTAGTGGTTTTTTTTTAATGTCTCTACTTAACAAAAAAAATCTGTAATCCTATGTCAGTATCTTTTTTAAAAATAGTTTTTGCAAGTATGTGAAATTTATGTCTAGACTGCTGGACTGAAATATTTTAATTGTGGTTTTAAATTGTATCTTTGTTACTTGGAGGTGAAAGTATGATTTGATGAAGGTTTTCTTTAAGTGCTAGAAAACATCTGTATTTAATTTGGGAGTGAGGGGTTTAGTAAATTAATCTTTAGAAATTCTAACTTAATTCTAAGTTTTTTTTCTTTTTGCATCATAAGGCTTTTGCAGACATGCTGAAAGTAAACAAGACCTTGACAAGTCTAAACATAGAATCCAATTTTATCACTGGAACTGGGATCCTGGCCCTGGTAGAGGCACTGAAAGAAAATGACACCTTGACAGAAATCAAGATTGACAACCAGGTAAGGAAGGCCAGAGAATAGGCAAAGTCAACTCACAGGGTGTGCAGTGAGCGGGGGAAATGCCACAAGGAATGAGTTAAAAGACACAGTTCTGTGTGTGACTCAATTTGATGTACTGGATTTCCTGTAAGTTTTAGAACCATTTCTGGCCCATGGAGGATGTGCAGAAGAGCATGTTACTAATCAAACAATGTACAGTGGGGCAGCCTGGGACATAAAGAGCCATCTATCCCACAACCCTAGGCTAGTCAGGCTCCAGAAGAGAAAGCAAGGAGGTGGTGGCAGAGGTGTTGATAGCTGCTTTATTCAGTCTCATCATTGTTGCCTTTTGGCATGTATCTCTTCCCTGTACTATCCCAGCCTTACTTTTGCTTCTCACTGGGACTGTTGCTAACAGAGAAAGCAGGGTAGCCGTGTCCAAAGATTCAGATTTCTTTTCCTTGGCTGAAGACTTCTAGAACCAAAAGAGCAGATGCAGGCTCCTGCAGTCTGATGCTGGCTGCAGAGAGCCTATTTAAAGGAATCAGGGTTCTAGAAGATGGTCTGGCTTAGAGTAGCAGGCCACACCCATGAGATTGTGGTCTGATCACAGTCTCATTGATCATGACCACAGCATTTCTCAGGTTCCCGTCTGCAGCCAAAGCAAGGTGCTTTTCCCTAGAGCCACCTCTTCCTGCCTGGCGACCTCTTTTTCCCAGCGTCAGCCTGCAGTGCCTTCCGAGTTGCTCTGCTGGCTTCAGCTGACTCCTGCCCACAGACAGCAACTCTCAGTGATCAGCCATGATGTAGAGCCCTGCTCCTCTGGCCATGGGGAAGGGTCTGTGATGGGGTTCCAGACACTATATCTTGAAAAGAAAGGGCCTTGGAAAGGAGAGACCAAGGAGACTTGTGGTATGAGCATTCGTTCCCCTGTGGGATGGTGGGAGAGACAGTTGGGGAAGTGACTGCTCAGAGCATCCTTTGCATGTCTGGGGGCCATCTCTGGGAAAGTTCCTGGTGCAGACCCTCCAAGATCTGATAAAGCCGCAGAGTGCCATCCAGGACTGTTGCCTAACCCTGGAAACCCTCAACAGTTCCTATGGAGGCTCTATTCTCTGTCTTTGCTAACCAGGACAAGCAGACTGTTTTCAGTGCAGGCCCTCTGGCCCTGGACTAATGATGTTTGTTGCCAGGGGAACACAGAAAGCCCACTAGGAGAGAGGAACTTTTACATTCGCATCCTGCCAGAAGGAATGTGCCACCAAAACGGCTTTCCTAGACACAGAGATGTGGAGGCAGCACCCCAGGGGATGTGCCACACAGGGCCCCGCACACTCAGGAAGTTCGATGCTGTGTATCCTAGCATATGTCCAGCTGCTAGTAAATTAGAAAGTGGCATCAGGGTGTGGGGGAGTAAGGAAACAAGCCAGAGAGAAATATGAAGGGAGAGAACAGAAGTGATCACTCAGGGATATTTGTTGAATAGACTCATATCAGGAAGAAGCTAAGTGGGCACTTAGTAAATATTTCCAGGGAAACTAACACAGAAGTGGATACCCTGTTCCAAAGTATATTTAACTTTGTTTACGGATTTAGGCCATTGTGAAACCCCATATCTGAAATAATATCACACACTCTGTCCCTAGTTCCTTACAAGATACCACCTAGCTAAGGTTGCCACATAAAATACAGTTAAATTTGGCTTTCAGATAAATGATGTATAAATTTTAGCATGTGTCATCAAATATATGGGATACCTTATACTATACTAAAAAAATTATTTGTTGTTTATCAGAAAGTCAAACTTAACTGGGTGTCCTGTATTTTTATTTGCTAAACCTGGCAACTCTATGCCTAGTATTGAGTTAGAATTAGCCTAGAATGAGCTAGAATTGTGAAAATTTAGAACAGAGCAGCTTTTGACAATGCATATAAAGAAGACCCTGAAGTACAGCCTGTAATCCCAGCACTTTGGGAGGCCGAGGCGAGCAGATCACCTGAGGTCAGGAATTTGAGACCAGCCTGGCCAACATGATGAAATCCCATATCTGCCAAAAAATCCAGAAATTACCCAGGTGTGGTGGCACATGCCTATAATCCCAGCTACTGGGGAGGCTGAGGCGTGAGAATCACTTGAACCCAGGAGGCAGAGATTGCAGTCAGCCAAGATCATGCCACTGCACTCCAGCCTGGGTGACAGAGCAAGACCGTGTCTCAAAAAAAAAACAAAACCCTGAAGTACAAAGAATTTGCTCCCTAAAATCCCCTCTAAATCAACCTCATCACCCCTCCTCAGCCATCTAGGAATGGATTTGTGTAGTTTTTCAACTTTAGTATTTCATTTTGCTTCTGAAATGGCTTCTCTTTATTTCTTTTTTTTGTTTGTTTTTTGTTTGTTTGTTTTGAGACAAGGTCTCACTCTATGGCCCAGGCTAGAGTACAATGATGCAGTGTGGCCTCACTGCAATCTCCACCTCTCTGGCTCAAGTGATCCTCCCACTTCAGCCTTCTGAGTAACTGGGACTACAGGCACACACTACCATGCCCAGCTAATTTTTAAATTTTTGTAGAGACAGGGTCTCACTATATTTCCCAGGTTGTTCTCAAACTCCTGGGTTCAAGCCATCCTCCTGCCTCAGCCTCTCAAAGTGCTGGGATTACAGACATGAGCCCCACCGCGCCTAGCCTGGCGTCTCTTTATTTGTATACGACAAGGAGGATTAAGATTTTCTAGAGAGGCTGGGTGTGGTGGCTCACACCTGTAATCCCAATGCATTGCAAGAATGAGACAGGAGGATCACCTGAGCCCAGGAATTCCAGGTTGCAGTCAGTTATGGATGTGTCACTGCATTCCACCTTGGACAACAGACCTAGACCCTGTATATTCATTCTCTCTCCCTCTCTCTCTCTCTCTCTCTCACACACACACACACACACACACACACACACACACACACACACACACCCTGTCTCTCTCTCTCTCTCTCTCTCTCTCTAAGAAAAGATTTTCTAGAGGAATTGGAAAAAATTGTTTGCTTTACTTGAGAAATGAGGGAATTCGGGGTCAAAACTTGTCTTGCATCCAAATTGTGTTCATTGACTCATAGACTGTTAGAAGTAACCTCAGTTTCCTTATCTATCTAATGAGGGGTTTGAAATAAAATAATCTGTAAGACAGTTTCCTCAGGCAGAACCAGAAGCCAAGACCAATTTAACAGCACAGCAATGGGCAGCTGCACCAAAGCGAAGGCCTGCTGAGAATCCACCACTGGGGGCAGGCTGCTGTGGCTAGGCTCCAGGTCAATGTGCAGTGATTTAATCAGGTGCCCCCATGGGAAGAACAATCGGTGATGCATATTAAAGAAACAGATGGGGAACTGCTAAATAAATTTGAGTAGATAAAAGAGGTCACTTAGAAAAACACAGAAGGCGATTTGAAGATATGCTTAAACATTTGTTTCTATTTTTCCCCCTTTGTGTTTGGTGACTTAAAATATAAAAAGAGCCTGGGCCTCTAGTCCCAGCTACTTAGGAGGCTGAGGCAGGAGAATCCCTTGAGCCCAGGAGTTCGAGTCCAGCCTGGGCAACATAGCAAGACCTCATCTTTAAAATATATATATAATATAATATAACATAATAAAAGTTATATAATTTAATACACTACATACTTAGATAATTTAAGTATATATAAAGACTGTATATCCAAATTATAAGAAATTTTGATGCCCATCTATTGTCCTGGGTTTATGTAAGACCTCAAATCCAAAAAAAGATGCAGGCTGAGGAAGAAACATAGTGTATGTTACATTAATTCCTCCCCTTTTTTATATGCCCCCCAATTTAATTTTCTTCAGCTTCTAAGTCTTTTATATAGCTATTAGCATCTCCTTCCTCCCCCTCAAAAAAAAATAAAGCTATTATTCTATTATTAATATTTCCTATTTTTGATTCCAGATTATATTAATGGTTTAAGTTAACATAAAAGCAGAGTTGGTGTTTCTGTTTCACTACTTTGCCAGAATGTCATCCAAGGTTCATTACAAAATAGAGAAAACCCTAAAGAAATTACAGTTGACGTCTATATAAATAGAACATTCAAATCAAGGATGAATAAGTGTGGATTTGTCTTTTATTGCAAAACAAAGCAGCTGTAAGGATGCTGAGCAGAATTTAAACTACTAGGAAAATAGCCAGCTACTTGGAGAGGAGGGACTCAGATACTTGGGAATATAGGTGATTTGGGGTAACTTTGGACCACTGCATTAACACTGCAAGTTATCCAAGTCCAGGACTCAAATGCTCCAGGGGCACAAGCCGTAGTAGTGGCAGCCCTAACCTTAGCTCAGGGCTCATCCCTTGATACGGTCCCACTCTTCTAAACTATGTCATTTGCTAAAGTTGCTCATGAAACTCTGAGGTCAGCATCTCTTACTTTTTTGCTGCCACTCCCTCCCATTTACTCAAAATGCTTAGAGCGTTAATCTCTACCATAATTATTATTGTCTAACTGGAAATACCACATTGTGTTAAGTTCTTGAGGAGAGACTCGTTTGAGGGGTTGCTGGATGACAAGAAAGAGAGAAGCAAAGAGATAAGCCTTAAACTTGCTTGGGACGCAAGAGTTCCTCCATAAACTTTTCTTCTTCATCCACTCCATACTTAAATTTTCCAAATTTAAAAGGTATATATTTTTAACTTATTACAAAGTAATCAAGATTGTATGGTACTGGCACAAAAATATACTAGCAGAGCAATAAAGCAGATTCAAATCAGGGAAGAATGAAATAAAAGATGGTGGGATAATTTGCTAGCATTTTGGAACAAAATTAAATTGGGTCTCTATATCTTCTTTTTTTTTTTTTTTTTTTTTTTCTTTTTGAGGTGGAGTTTCACTCCTGTCACCCAGGCTGGAGTGCAGTGGCGCCATCTCGGCTCACTGCAACCTCCGCCTCCCAGGTTCAAGCGATTCTCCTGCCTCAGCCTCCTGAGCAGCTGGGATTACAGGCGCATGCCACCATCCCCTGCTAATTTGTGTATTTTTAGTAGAGACAGAATTTCACCATGTTCACCAGGTTGGTCTCGAACTCCTGACCTCAAGTGATCTGCCTGCCTCTGCCTCCCAAAGTGCTGGGATTATAGGTGTGAGCCACCATGCCTGGCCCTATCTTCATTCTTATGTTAAAATTCATTCCAGATGAAATGAAGATTTAAACATTAAAATATATTAAATCATAAACCAAATGGAAGAAATCAGGAAGAGTAGAGAGGCTTCCTAAACATGATATCTAGAAGATTGATAAATTTGACCATATGAAAATGAAGAAAAGTCCTGATAGTGATAAAAAGAAAGTCAAAAGACAAACATAGCAAAATGTTTTCAGCACATTTGACAAAGGGCTAATTTCCTAACATACCAGAAACCTACAAATCAAGTTAAAAAACTCAAAATACAGGAACTGTAAGCTAATAGAAAAATGGGCAAATGGCATGGATTGGTAGTTCCTGAGAAAAAAGAAATATAAACCTGTAAGAAAATTCATTGTTCTTATTCATCATTTGACAAATGCAAATTAAGGCAGTAAATAAATATGAAAGAAATATAAATTTTCACCAACTGTATAGACAAAGATTAAAAAGGTTAGTAGTATCTTATTTGGCTAGGGTAGGGAAAGAAGTAACACTCGTACAGTTAGCAAGAATAAAAGCTGTCATAACCTTTGACAATAAGTCAATAATATATCAGAATTCGAAACATGCTTGCCATCTGACCCAGCTATAATTTGTCCTACAGGCATACTTGCAGAAATGCCCCAAGATGCACTGGGGGAGGGAAGCTCACTGCAGTTTTGTTTGGGATAGTGGAAATAGAATGTGATGTAACAGTAAGTCACTAAGGCCTGGCTAAATACACTATGATCCATCACTGCAATGGGATTTGGCATAGTTCTTTATATGGATGAGGTAAATGTATATTTACCAACATGAAAAGATATCCTTAATGTTAGATGAAAAATAAAAACACACTTCAAAACAATATGCTAGTATAATCCATTAATGTGAAAAAAAGCATAGATATACAAGTGATTGTGTAGATACGTGAATGCATAGAAAATGTTTAGAACACTACATACTGCATGCCAATCTGGCTTTCTCTGTGGGGAATGGGGATGTTGGAGTAAGGAGACTTGCATATTTTATATACATTTTAATTTGTGTTTTCTAAACAAGCCTGTACGTTTTGTTTTGTTTTGTTTTGTTTTGTTTTTTTTTTTGAGATGGAGCCTACTCTGTCACCCAGGCTGGAGTGCAGTGGCACAATCTCAGCTCACTGCAACCTCCGCCTCCCGGGTTCAAGCAATTCTCCTGCCTCAGCCTCCTGAGTAGCTGGGACTACAGGTGCCTGCCACCGCACCCAGCTAGTTTTTGTACTTTTAGTAGAGACAGAGTTTTGCCATATTGGCCAGGCTGGTTTCGAACACCTGACCTCATGATCCGCCCGTCTCAGCCTTCCAAAGTGCTGGGATTACAGGCATGTGAGCCACTGCGCCTAGCCTTATTTTTTAAAATGTGATGACTGTGTTATGAAAAAATATACTTTGTCCCTTAAATTAAATTGTAAATTCCCATATTTACATGCCCCATTTGTTTTTGTTTTTTGAGACAGGGTCTCACTCTGTCACCCAGGCTGGAGTGCAGTGGCGCGATCTTGGCCCACTGCAACCTCCGCCTCCTAGATTCTAGTGATTCTCCTGCCTCAGCCTCCCAAGTAGCTGGGACTACATTTGCATGCCACCATGCCCAGCAAATTTTTTGTATTTTTAGTAGAAACGGCGTTTCACCATGTTGCCCGGGCTGGTCTCAAACTCCTGACCTCAAGTGATCCATCTGCCTCGGCCTCCCAAAGTGCTGGGATTACAGGCAGGAGCCACGGTGCCCGGCCTCCGTCTTAAAAAAAAAGAAAAAAAAACCCTCTATTTTTTATTTTTTCATTAGTTTATGTCTCAAACAAAAAAACCTCTTCCCACCAACTTAAACAAGTTGGAGATTTTTTTGTAGTCCAGGAACCCCCTTCAGAGTTTGCTGATTTCATCCAAACGTGTACATGGTTCAAACCACAATAAAGCTGCTCAGAATCACCTAGCAAGATTCTGCTGAGAGACAACAGCCCATAGGTTGAGATGTTTAATTATCATTGGATATGGATCCCAGAATTAAAAAATTATATTTGATAGCACAAATATAACATGTGCACAACACAGTGACAATAGAGTTACTATAGTCAACAATAACATTGTGCATTTTAAAATAAAAAAGTAGAATTTGATTGATTGTAACACAAAGAAAGGATAAATGCTTGAAGTGATGGATACCCCATTTACCCTGATGTGATTATTATGCATTGTATGCCTGGGTCATAATATCTCATGTACCCCATAAATATTATATACCTATGTATCCACAAAAGTCAAAATTAAAAACATTTTATAAAAAAGAAGAAAAAGTATTGGAAATGAATAAAGGTAATGGTTGTACAATATTGTGATTGTACTATATGCCACTGAATTGTGCACTTTAAAATGGCAAAATTTTATGTGTATTTTACCACAATAAGTAAGTAAGAATTCCCAAAGTAAAAAGTAAAAAATAAAATAAAAATTTAGTAATTGGATTGGCTGCTACAAAATAGTTTCATTATTTTTAAAACACCCTTTGTTTAAACCACAGATACTGGGATGAATTCAAAACACCAAATATTAGTTTTGCTTTCATTTTAATTCTGGAATTATCCTTTCCTTCATAAACAATTTGCTTAGTTTTTTTCAGCTGCAGGACACCAGCAAACTCAGCTATCTGTCTGTTGGATTTTGCTTCTAGACAAGGAGCAGGACTCAAATGACTGTGAGAGAAAACTTCTCAAGTGACGCTGTCCCTTTCAGTTTGAGACCTTTGCCTCTTTGCCTTTTTGTCCAGCAAGTAGCCTTGTCTTTTTCCTGTGCAAGTAACTGTTTCCTCTTCCTTCTTGGTCATCCTGTGCATGTGTCTGCACCTGCAACCAGAGGCAGCAGTTGGGAACAGCTGTAGAGATGGAAATTGCCCAGATGCTGGAGGAGAATTCAAGGATCCTCAAGTTTGGATACCAGTTTACCAAGCAAGGGCCACGAACAAGGGTGGCAGCTGCCATCACAAAGAATAATGACCTGGGTAATTCAGCCATAATATTTGCTGTTAACAATTAGAAGAGCATGAGCATTCACTTCTCCACTTCAGACGCAGCATCTCACAGATACCATTCCACTGGCCTCTGATGTCACTCACTTCTTCATATAAGACGCATTATTATAATACATGGTCATAGGAGTCTTTGTGGTCCTCGCAGTGTTAAGTTTCATCATAGCATTTTCTCAAAAAAGAAGTTTGTTCTATTTTCCAGGCAGTCTTTGATTTTTGCTTGATTTCTTTTGTGTATTTGTTTCTCTTTTACTTACATGTAATCTCCTTCTGTTTTTATCTGCACCAGAAAATGGGCACAAGGACACTGAGATTCCAAATTATGTTTGACTTCTGACTGCTTTGGTACTTAGTTCTAAATATGGATATGTCTGATACTTTGGCACTTTACATGTGATATAAACATGGAGCTACATTATGAAGTTTAAACTCACAGGTCGCCTTTTCAGTTAGCCCCTTCAGTTTTTCGTGTGGCCACTTGTTGCTGAGGATCCCTGGCATTTCTTCTGTTAGGATGAGGTGGGGCATGTCCTGATCAACCATAGCAAAGAAGAAAGGAACTGGGAAAGCTTGGTCTGAGGATATCCCAGCCACCTGGAGCAGCCTGGCAAAAGGACACCCAGGAGCAGACATCCATTTGGCAAGTGGTCAGTCAGTCAATAGCAGGCTTCAATCCCCAGTTTGAGGTTCAGGGACAGAATGCCAGATCTTGGATGGAGGAACTGGGCAAGGCGTTCCACCAGGTACAGTGCTGGCCTCAAGGAGGACTCAGATAGTGGGCAAGATAGAAGCTAAAGGTTAGAACGGGAAGGGGCAAATAAAGGTTAGCCTCCAATTCCTTGTCCAGACAGGCTTTGCCAAGACCCTGAGGCGTAGGAAAGGTGCAGTGTGTGGCATCAGGAAGCTGGCTGGACACGTGACAGTGCTTACCTGGGGGGTGCACAGGGTGAGGCCAAGGGACAGACAGGCAAATAGGGATTTGGGGAAGAGTGGAAGCAGCAATCAGAAGGCACCTAGGAAAAGCACATTGGGTCCACAACCAAACAATATAGAGACCAAAGGAAAACAGGCAAAATGAGAGGTCTGAAGAAAATGGACAGGGCAGCCTACGTCCAAGAAGCAGCAACTGTGGGCAAGAGCCTAGGTAGGAGCTAGGCTATTTAAAGTGGAGAGTTAGAGCAAGACCACAGCCAGGGCACCTTTTTGCCAAATCCAAGAAAGTTCAAATAGCCCTCTTCCCAGTGACCAGGAGAGCCTGCAGTTGGGAGAGTGAAAGGTGGAAGAAGAGGGTTGCAGGAACTGGGAAACGGCAGTCTCGGCAACTTCTTCGGTTCTAAACATCAGGTTAAAAGAACATTAATCTCTGAGTTTGCTTGCCAAGTGAATCACACCTTCCTGTAGGTTGATACTTAGAAGTTTTTATTTAGAAGAGTTTCAGAAACTTTGAACTATTTGCAGCTCCTTCCAGACTTCATCCCATAATCAGAATTAAAAGATTGTGATTGTGTTAACCTGAAGAGTTAGTTAAAGCCAGTTGGTGACAGAATTGCAAGTGCCGTGGATAAACGGCCATGAAAATAGTCAAAGTGCACTGTTTCACGGGTCTCTTCTGGAATTTCTATCCCATAGAAATTCGAAGGTTCTAACACTCGAGTACCCAACTATCAGACATATATGTATTTAAATGTAAATTCCACCAGACACTGGATGAATTTATCATTTCCATTGATTGTCATGGTTAAGTATTAAAATTTAAGATAACTGTATCCTCAAGTGTGTGAGATTGTCATCTTATGTGATTAATGTTGTTTATCTGGAATTTAAGGAATATCCCTTCAATTTGTCTTTTTGTTCCTTTCTTTCTTACCTAGTTCGTAAGAAGAGAGTTGAAGCAGACCGAAGGTAAACTTCCTTGAGGAGAAGTGAAGTTTCACTGTGGTATGGCCATTGAAAAACAAAAACTCTTCTTCTTCCCCATCAGGACCATTTTATCAAAGTTCGTTCATTTCCGTTAACCACATAACTAATAATTTAATTGTTATTCTTTTTTAGCACTACTTATTTATCTTGGATTTTGTAATATATGCAATTGTTTTATTTGCTCATGGGCACTTCTGGCAACTTGACAAATGGACCGATGCAGATTTTAGAGAGTGACGACATGGAAAATGAATTTAACCACTTTCTTATTGGGTTGTCTTGCTTTCTTACATGAACTTGTTTTTTTAATCACTGAAAGGAATTTAGTGTATAATATGTGTTTGTAACTGTGATTATGATAGAGGCCTATCTCTGTTTACATGCATAGCTTTGAGTTAGGCTAAATACATCAGAAGTGTTCTACTGACCACATAAGAAGTTAGTATTGCCAATCTTTCACTGCATGTGAAAATGTGACCAATTTAGCACAAATTCTCTCTTAGTTCCAGAAAAATCAGTAAATGCACATGCCCTGTTGATTGGAGATCAGTAGTGTCATCTTCATAAAGCAAGACAACATTATGACACTTTAAAACAGTAGCAAAGAAGTCTATTTATTAACCCACAAATGTAGCATCAAGCCAGACTCACAGGTAGCAAAATGAATTACACACCTACTTTTACTGACTATTCAACATAAATTGAATCTTTAACATGACTTTAAAGGCTATTTACAAAGCTGTTTTAAAGTTTTTCAAACATGATAGAAATTTTCTAAATTTTAGTAAGAGAGAAGCTTTTAAAACAGTACATTCCTGAATAAAACAACAATATTGTATCTTAATCAAGGCTGTCTGATGCAGATGATTGCATTTTTTGGCAAATTTTAGAAGCATTTATTGCTTTGTCTTTAGTGTAACAAGATCACTGGATTAAATATAAACATTCAGGTTAATTATCTAGATTTTTGTCCACAGTATATGATCCATCCAGACATTTGCAAACGTCAGGAGAAAAATGTGAATTATTTATCCAGATGCATGTCATCTCAAGGACAAAGCCTGTGAAAGTACAAGTGAGATGGTTGCATTGTAGTATGCATTAATCTTTCAATGTAGTGGTGTAAAAATGCAGTGCTAAACTAATGAAGCAGGTGACTGCAGCCTTTGGCTCAAGCTCACAACTCTGATAACTGTCAGTGCCTGAGGTTGTGATTGGTGACATTCTGACACTGCCCAAGGCAACTCACCCTCTATTCCTCCTTTCTCCCCTCCCTTTCTTCCAATTCATTGTCTTTTTTTTCCTCTTTTCTCTGTAATTTGTTACTAAACAAATTCCAGAATTTGTTTAGTAGCTGAGTGTTCCTGAGTTGCCTAGTAGCAATAAAACAAGTGAATAGGAAAATAATTAATATATTATTCTATTTAGCTTGTAAAACACATGGAATCTGTTTAAGATAGCCCTTGTAAAATTGAACATTTACCTGTATTGTAAGTACCCACATCTGTGTCTCTGAAGTCCTTTGAAACATCTCATTATCTTGAAATTTTTTTAATGTTTGAGAACACCATAAGCAGAATATTCTAACACCTTTGGCCCCTGAAAATCCTTTAATTAGTTTATGGCTTCATCTCCTTATCTATTTAAAAAACATAGTAAATAATGTTTATGGTTTTCAGTCTGATTTTTCCTTCCCTTTCACCCATTTAGGTGTGATGTGTTGGAGTCAACTTGTACAGGCTTGCCAACTGTTATATTTTCAAGAATTTTGCAAACTGGTTGTTCAATACAGCCATTATTTAAAATTAAATGATGTGCACTTACAACTGAATGAATTATATTAAGGACAGAAGTAACAAATACTGTACTCAAAAATCTTACATTTTACTATTTTCTAACCTCTTAGATTATTTACATCTAGTAGGTATGTATGTAGAAATATTACCAAACAGTATGCTACTGAACGTATCCTCTCAACTCCATGTTCACTACCTTCTTGTTACTACAGTGGCTTGAAATTGGCCATGGTAGAAATATTTACACCACAGAAATTAGCAATATGTAAGAAATTGGGGTTTTCTCCCTCTCCAGATTGCTGGTTGATAAACATTCATCAGCACACCACTGGGTGAAATTATACATTTTTTTATACATATGTTTCGCTTATCATGTTGCCGAAGGGAAGAACATTTCTCTTAGATGTCTTTTCTCCTCTTTGGATTTGTTACAAACCTGTTTAAGTGCTGAGTCCCTGACCTGCCTCTCCAAGTAAGCCTTTTTCCTTTTTTTTTTTTTTTTTCTTACTCTCATTCTTGCCTTGACTCTTAAAATCCTGGACCCTATAGAGCATTCCTTGCAGCCCCACAGTGCTGTGGGCTGGGGGCTAAAGCAGTTCTTGGCAAACTCTGGCAGAAAGCAAGAAAAAAAGAATCAGAATTCAATCATGGCTGTTTCTTTTGTACAAGCAGTTGTTGATAGTATTAAAGCAAGATAATGGGACATTATCAAAAATATAGCACTGTTTTTACCTTATGAAATAGTTGGGTTGCATGCAACAGAGTCTATGAAATCAAATGTTTTTTACTAATCAGTTTGTTTTCTTATTACCTGTGTTTTTAAAGTGGCTTGAAAGGTGGCATTTCCATGAGTGTGCACATATTGATGATAACCCTTAGAAAAACATACACTTGAGGAGCCTATCCATCATTTAATTAGCCTAGGACTTCATCTCCCTCTCTGCCCAAAGTGTGGAAGTGGTAGCTCTTTCATGATCATGGGCACAGTTAATCCTTTGCTATCCATTGTGATGGGGCATAATGTATATAAAATATTTTTCTATGTATTTGTTCTGCCAGATACTGTGTTGAGATATTTGGCAATATCTGGATAACTGACTGAAGGGAGATAACTTCTCCCCAGGCCTATCTCCCTCCCCCTTTTAGAGTTGTGCAGGTCCACTTTAAGTGTAAAATCACTCACCTGGACTTGTGGGCTTGTATCACCAACATCTATTATGGCACATGTAGATGACATTTAGGAGAAAAACCTTAGAAGTCTAGAAATCATATGATTAGTTCAGCACTGCAGCTCCCCATCTGCTTATAGTGTATAACTGGAAGCTCTTTCATCCTCATCAGCATGATTAAATGACTTCGTTTCTTTCATCTTTGGAGGGTATAATGTAAATAAGTGTCGTGTGTGTATGTGTGTGTGTACTGTCAGATATCTAACTAGGTATTTGGCTACATCTGGACAACTGATTGAAGGGAGATGCTCTCTCCCCAGTCCTCTTCCCTTGTCCTTTTTAGAATTGCTGCAGGCCCAGGTTAAATATGAAATTACTCCCTAGGCTTTGCAGTTTATGTTACCAACCACCACATTTTATAGCTATGTAGAGGATGACTCTTAGGAAATAAATATTAGAAGCCTAGAAATCATTTAGTTGTTCTAGCACCAAATCTATCCATTTGCCTAATGTATTTAACATTCCATCCTCATCAACATGATGAAGCCCCTTTCTTCCATCTTTGTAGGGCACATTGTATATAAATATTTTGTACATAAAGATCATCAAATACCATAATGGGGTATTTGGCTTCATCTGGAAAATTGACTGGAGGGAGATGCTGTCTCCCAGCCCTGCTTCCCTCGTCCCTGTCCAAGTTGCTGCAGGCCCAGGTTAGAAGATTACCAACCTGGAGGGGCATGCAGTTCATCTTACAATAAAAGCCCATTCATTTAAAAACTCAGAAATCATCCCAGTGCCTGTACTCCTCAAACCAATTTCCCTAAGGGAAGACTGGCACACCAGCCCAAAGAGCAGGTGCTTCTCTTCCAACAGAAACATGGCCCCTGACAGGGCACCAGCATTAGGGAAACCAATGTCCTCCGAATAGCTGCCATGAGAACATTTCAGATGCTCAAACTGAAAATTCTTAAAACCAATATTAAGCATCAGCATGCTTTAAGTGTAAGATAGCCCTTTGGAATTTACAAACACATGTGCAGCTATTTCCTTCTTCACAGATATGATGTACTCAGCCCCCTCCTAGGCACTACGAAGAAGACAGAGGAAGCATAAAAATTCTGGACTAATATAATTTTATATGTGTTTCTGAGATTGGGGAGTAGACTGAGTGCCTTTTTTACAAAGAAGATCCCATATTTAATTCAAGTATTTATAGCATCAGCAAAAATGGGCAGAGGGCGGGAAGTTGAGAACACTAGGTTCTGTGCTATGTTACCTGTATTCAGTAGAAGTGTTTCTGGAGTCAGGTTTTAAGTCATGATCCTGAAGCTTCCTTCCCCTCTTCCACTAATGATGCAATAATAGCTGTTTTCATTTTAACGAGCAGAGAACTAAGAGGAAAGGTCCTAGCTCTGCCTTCCACTTGCAGCTTCCCTTTACCTCCTCTTATTGCTTTCATCTCAAATATCCCTGCTACTCAACCAATCCTAAAGCTAAAGTACTGAGATGCACACAAAGGAAAGGTGTGAGAGTGCTTGGAAGCATCCAGCTGAGCCCACTGGATGAAAATCAGACGATAGGGCCTCCTGTTGTAATATACTAGCCAGAGAAAAGCGCCAAGAACTTCAGGGATATTATTCACTGCTTTATTGCTCCCTAACCCTAGATCAGATTGGATTTTACTTTGTAGTTCAGGAGTTAAGAAGTCAAATTGCTGACCGAGGTGGGGAAGGATGATGGAAATTAAAGGTTTACATTTGTTTAATGGCAGAACTGAGATTTGCTCAGCTTATCTCTTTCCCATCTGTCTGTAATAGCAATGACTGAATAATCAGTAGACCAATGGAAGAGGAGTTGCAAGTTTAAATTTGTAACCTGACTCTGGGTTCTGTTCTAGGAATAGTGCATGTTTTAGAGGCTTTGCCAGTTGGGATACATTGTTGACTTGGGGGAGGATGAAGGAGAGAACTGATGACCTAGACATAGAAAAGAGTAGTTAACTAACTAGATGTTCTTCTGATCTCTTCCATGGTAGACATTCTGAGCACATTGGCCCAGTTAGTTGGTATGGTGAAGGGGCACCGTACTAACAGATTTGGAGACTGAAACCTAATCCCATCACCAACACTTAGCAGGTATATGATCATGGGCAATTCATTCAATTGCCTGCCAATTATAGACTATATAGGGGGAAGAGCACTGGATTTGGAGTCAAGAAACCTGGACACTTGGCTCCACACTTCCTTAGCTGGGTAACTTTGGGCAAACCGCTTGGTCTCTCAAGCCTAAGGTTCTTCAGCTATAAAATGGGAATAATACTTCACTAACTACCTCACAGAGTTGTGGTAAGAATATAATCAGATAACTGGATAAAAACACTATATAAACTGGAAAGCGCCGTACAAATGTGAGAGATCAGTTTTATTATCAAATCACTGTTTTCCACTGCCTCTTGAATCGGCTTTATTCTAACCAACCATTACATCTTTCTCATCTTTTGGAGTATGGGTAATTGAGGCTTGGGTGTGTCATCAGGGACTGGAGTTATTTCAGCTCCCATGTAGAGGTGGGAGAGGTGGTTGATGGGGCAGTGGAAGTTAGATACCAGCGATGTATATGGTAGGACATTTTCCTGGGTCACTTTGACAGTACCTTGGGAAATTGTCAGTCCTTGCAGAGGGCCTAGGCTGGGCACAAGGGAGAAAGCGAACAGTTGACTAAGAATTGAGGGGAGGGTCTGGAGCGCTACTGCCCTCCTGTCATTGCTGTGGGTGGGAGAGGCTAAGACTTCAGGTTTGACTGGAGGCCTAGGAGAGAAGAGTGTCCTTAGGGTTTCAAGAATTTTAATGCCTAGCAGCTGAGTAACAGGCATTAGTTCTGATAGATAGTGAAGGGGAGAAAGTGCCACCTGTTGTGAGATCACCTCTCCAGGGCAGCAGCTGCCTTGTTATCACCAGCAACCTTAGCCCTGGTCAGTAATATTTCTGCTAAGAAAGGTTTTGAAGCATGGCCTCCAATGACTTTCATAAGCCCTTGGAGGCAGGACTGTGTCTCATCCATCTTTGTATCTTCAGTACCATCTTGTAAGGTGCCTTGTACATAGTAGGTGCTTAATGAACAAATGTTGCTTGAATTTAGCTGTCGTCCAGCCCCACAGAGTTATGCTCCATTTGCCACCATGTGATATTTTTGAGAAACAATAGTGATTTGGATGCCAGCTCTATGTGACTTTGGGCAAGACTCTCCATCTATCTTGTCTTCATTTCATCTGTAAAATGAAGTGAGTAGATTCAATGCTCCCTAAGGTCCCTTCCAGCTCCAATACTTGACAAGCTTGTGATTCTAAATCGTTTCCGTTGCCTCTGAACATGGGTGAGTAATGCCTCCACTGCAGCTGTTTCTCTCCAGGAGGCTTTGTTCAGAGGAGGTCTGACTATTGCACAGCCAGTTTTTTCTTCCTCTTCAGCAGTTCTTTACTGTCTTCAGAATGGTTCTGGATAAGCGGCCTTTTCTGAAAGGATATTTAAAAATATATACTATTTAGGCTGGGCCCAGTGGCTCATGCCTGTAATCCCAGCACTTTGGGAGGTGAAGGTGGGTGGATCACCTGAGGTCAGGAGTTCAAGACCAGCCTGGCCAACATGGTGAAACCCCGTCTCTACTAAAAATACAGAAATTAGCTGGGCCCTGTGGCAAGAGCCTGTTATCCCAGCTACTGGGGAGGCTGAGGCAGGAAAATCGCTTGAACCCAGGAGGTGGAGGTTGTAGTGAGCCGAGATCACACCACTGCACTCCAGCCTGGGTGACAAGAACGAAACTCCATCTCAAAAAATAAAATAAAATATATACTATCTTGCTCCTCAGAACCAGTGGGGAAGAAGAGGGAAGGCAAAGAAAGAAACTGAGCATAGTAAACACAGCATTTTTTTGTAGGCTCTTATTTAAAATGTGTGTGTGTGTGTGTATGTGTGTGTTTCTGAGTAAGTATTGACTGGGAAAAAGAGAGAAGTCAATCAAAAGTATACTGTGCAATTGAGAGAGGCTGGCCCAAGATTTAAAACTTCCTGTGGGTAATCTAACTGTGAGTAGATAGGAATCGGCCATATGACGAAATGAGATCAATAGGAAATGTGCTTTTTGAGGAAATTTTATTTTAGTACCAAATGTTGCCAGTGACAATCTTCAGTTAAGAAGTAAGTTATTCTGACCTAAAATTCTTATCTCTGCCACTTTGGTTTAAAAACAAAAACCCTTATATACATGGAATAGTTATATTTTAATTAAGCATTTATTTTAGTTGTTTTCATCCATTCAAGCAAAATGAATAAGCAGCATTTTTCATTGCACTTAAAAATGTAAAATACCTGCATGCCACTAATCTGTAACATTTTACCAGTTCAGATGCCTGTAATGTGTGACTTTATGTGTGTCTGTGTTGTTTTGAAGAGAATAAAGGAAATAATACTTTGCAAACTGTTTAAACAAGTGTTTAAACTTCTATTGGCAACATTTATTGGGCTAAGCAGTTATTGAAAACTCCGCATAGTTTTATTTTCCATTTGAAACTTCAATCAAATCAAGACTATTATATTCATTAGGGAATTAAAGACTAATTTGCTTTTTAAATGTGAAGTTGAACACTGTGTGGAAAGTAAATGTGTGATGAAGCAAAATGTATAAAGTATGAAATATTATACTTTTACCCTGGATAATTATTCAGGACCCCAGTTGGCCCAAATAGGTGCAATTTTTAATCCTTTGAAATTAGCCAGCCAGACCTAATGCTAAGGTAAATGTAAACTGTTTTAATTAATTAAGATCTTTCTGCTTTCGAAGGTATAATGTATCTATTTCTGTCAGGAATGATATTTCCAAATGAAAATGTAAAGAACATTGGGAAATAATAAACTTTCCTTTCAAAGTAAAAGTAAAGACTGGTTTTATATGGCTAATTTTTAGACAGTGTTTCTTTAAAACAAATGGTTGGCATCATGTTCTTAGATGAGCACATTTGCAGAAAACTATTAAATGCCCTTATGATGAAGAAACAAGACAACTGCAAGTAGCCATAACAGAGAGAAATAACTTGTTATCAAACAAAAATGAACACATTTGGCTAAATAGTTAAAAATTTGTTAGAATGAATGGGAACAGGAGTACAGAAAGCCCAAACAGGTTGACTATTTTACCCTGAATTTTTTACACTAATTTTGGATTTACATTATTATTCTCTTTAAAGCTCTTCTGATAATTTGTAATACTGAACACTAAAAATGATGAAGTTATGTTGTAAAGGTTTGACCCTGGAAAAACAGGAAAAACTGTTCTTCCTGCCCTTCTGCTGAACTCTGTCCCAACTCTTTGACCCTTGGATTTCAGTTTAGACTGATAAGGTTCAACTGAGAAACATAAAGGGCCAGTGTCTAATTTCTATATTTGCTGTTTCACACCTTCTCTTGGACAAGAAAGTATAGTAATTATTTTGTTTAAAAGATTCTCCCTTTCAGCCTATTGGATTATAATGAATAGAGTGGTTACAAGTGTGCACCCTGGGGTCACACCTGCCTGGTTCAGATCTCACTTCCATTAGTTACACGAATTTGTGCAAATTACCAAGCCCCAGCTTCATCTGTAAAGTAGTAACAATTATAGCATTTTTCACGGTAGTACTATTATGCAGATTAATGTGTAAAAACATTTAGAACAGTGTCCGATATAGAAGGCACTTAGAATTTTTAATTCTAACCTAAATAAATATCTATGTGAAACAGGAAATGTTCCCTTGTCCCCCTTGCAGGGCATGCGACAGGGCGAGTTGCTCGCTTCTTCAGTGCCCCGCTGCTCAAATGTCTAGGGGAGCATACAGACAGGCAGGCTGTGGAGCTCTGACCCCACGGCAGCGTCTAGGGGTGAATGTTTACAGCTGAAGCCCCAGTGGGCGTGTTGCAGGGTGCTTTCTTAGTTTGCCGTCTATAGGCGGCTTGTGTTAACCACTCAATTAGAACTTATTACCTTGCCTCAAGGACAGAGGGCTTTCTGTATCCTGGGTTCTTGCCTTGGTGTGCCGGAAGAATTGGATCACAAGTGGGCTTGGAGAATGAGTGCAAACTTTTATTAAGTGGAAGTAGCTCTCCACAGATGGGTGAGCCAGAGGGAGATGGTTTTCCCTTGGAGTTCTGGCCGCTCGGCCGGCTCTCCTCCGACTGCCCTGGCCAAACTCCACCTCATCCCACTGGTGGATGGCCGCATGGCCTGCCTGATGCATGTCAGTGTATTCTTCCACCGATGTGCTCTCCTCAGTGGCCTATCTACAGCCCAGCCACTTGTATCTTCTTCCACCAACCGTCTCCTAAGTTCAGCCACCGTGTCTCAGCCTTGCCAGTGTCTCAGGTTTTTATAGGCCCAGGATGGGGGCGTGGCGGGCCAGGGTGGTCTTGGGAAATGCAACATTTGGGCGGGAAGGCAGGAGTGCCTGTCCTCACCTAGGTCCGTGGGGGTGGACCCCTAGCCAGAGACCACACCGACCTCTGCCCAGCGCTTCCCTAACCCCGTTCCGTATCATTTAAAGGGACTACACTCTTCCCTTCCCAGCACTCCTGTATCACATGGATATTAACGCCAACAAAGCTCTCCATTTTATGCCAACAATGTCAAGAATTTAAACAGGATCTAGTGAATCTTACTCATTTTTAAATTTCTACTGACCATTCCCCTCTAGCACACAGGCCCTCCCCCATCACTCCAAGAACTGAATACAAATAAGAGAACTGATGCAGGCGTTACTCCTGACCCACCTTCTCATTAGCTCAGCCCTGGTGATTTCCCTCATGTTTCCCTTGTTTAGGCTTGCTCTGCCTTGTGGGTATCCTCTTTTGGATTTGCCCATTTGGCTTCTGGAGTGACTCCTTGAATTTCACATCTGTTTTGTGTTAGACTTGACTTTGTTATGGACCAACGTCTCTCAGCTTGATAACTCAGCCTTTTTTTATGGCTTTCAGAAGTAGTGCTCTGTGTCCCCTCTTCTCTGGTTACCAACCCACTGCCTGCCTACTCCCAGCAGTCGGGGAACACAATCAGATACCATGGCCTCTGACAAATGTCCCACACATCCAAGGACCTCACTAGAACTAGACGTATGTGTGCTTGCATGAGATTGGGCTATGCTTCCAGCCCCACCAATCTAAGAAGGGAGATTATGTAGGAAAGTCAGACAGGCGTATGACTCAAAATGTGTGGTGGTGGGGAGGAGATTCTACAAACTGTTGACCACTGGCTATATAAATCCAGAGCAAAATTTTAGAAAAGTGTATTCTCCACTTTAGTGGTTTGTAAGCAGTTGGAAGTGAAGCAGTGACCTCTAAAAGCCAGCACAGATTCACTTAAAATAATTGATATGAAATCTTGAGAGCAAAGTCAAAAAACGCACTGTGTTTGGATTACAGCAAGACATTTGACAAAGCCTCACAGCATCCTTGAGAAATACGGGCTACGTAACAGAGAGTGGCTAACTAGTTTTGTTCTTTTGTTTGTTTTTTTGTTTTTGTTTTTGTTTTTTTAGATGGAGTCTGGTTTACACCTGTTTTATTGGCATCTCTTCTGGTTTACTGGGTATCTTGAATTTTTTTTTTTTTTTTTGGGGGGGTGGAGTTTCACTCTGGCACCCAGGCTGGAGTGCAGTGGCGCCATCTCGGCTCACTGCAACCTCCGCCTCCTGGGTTCAAGAGATTCTCCCGCCTCAGCCTCCTGAGTAGCTAGGATTACAGGCGCCTGTCACCATGCCCGTCTAATTTTTGTATTTTTAGTAGAGATGAGGTTTCACCATGTAGGCCAGGCTGGTCTCAAACTCCTGACTTTAGGTGATCCGCCCATCTTGGCATCCCAAGGTGCTGGGATTACAGGCGTGAGCCGCTGCACCTGGCCCAATGTGGCTAACTAGTTAAATGACTGGTTTAGACAATTGATCATAAGTAAATGCTAATGGATGGATTAATTTTGACCAGGTCTTAGTAGCCACCACAAGGCTCTTTCCTAGACATGTCTTGTTTAGCAGTTGATTGGTGTGTGATACTGATAGAACGCTGATGAGGTATTCAGCTGATAGGCACTGGGAGGGACAAGGAATACTTTGATAGGTTCAAAAATATATGGATAGGCCAAAGTACAAGTCTGTATCTAATTGGATAAAATTTAATAGATGTAATAGTACACTTTTTTACTTTTAATTTTAAAAATCAACTTAAAAAGTAGCATGAGGAGAATATAACTCAACTGCCATCTGTGTGGAGAAAGACTTTGATGTTTTAGTTTATTAAAAGCTTAATGTGGATACACACAAAAACACACACACATGGAGCAATAAGTTAAATCATGCCACCAGAGAAAATCACCTTCACTAAAAGGAAGACAGGAAGGAAGGAAAGAAGGAAGAGAAGACCATAAAGTAACTAGAAAACAACAAAATGGCAGGAGTAAGTCCTTACTTAGCAGTAATAACATTGAATATAAATGGACTAAACTCCCCAATAAAAAGACATACTATCTTTTTATTGGGCTGAATAACATTTTTAAAAAAGACTGACTGATCTGTTGCATACAGGTAATGCTTTACCTTTAAAGATATACATAGGCTGAAAATGAAGGGATGGAAAAAGATATTTCATGCTAATGGAAACCAAAAAAGAACAGAAGTCACTATACTTATGTCAGACAAAATAGAGTTCATGACAAAACTGTAAGAAGAGACAAAGAAGGTCATTATATAATGATAAAGGGGTCAATTCAGCAAGAGGATATAACAATTTTAAATACATGTGCCCCCAGTACTGGAGCACCCAGATATACAAAGCAAATATTATTAGAACTAAAGAGAAAGAGAGAGAGAGAGACCTCAATGCAATAATAGCTGGGGACTTCAACACCCCACTTTCAGCATTGGACCCATCTTCCAGAGAGAAAATCAACAAAGAAACATTGGACTTAATCTGCTCTATAGGCCAAATGGACCTAAGAGATATTTACAGAACATTTTATCCAAGAACTGCAGAATACACATTCTTCGCAGCATATGGATCATTCTCAGATATAGATGCTTTGTCACAAAACAAGTCTTAATATACTTTTAAAAATTGTGATAATATCAGGCATCTTCTCTGACCACAATGGAATAAAACTAAAAATCAATAGCAAGAGGAATTTTAGAAACTATACAAATACACGGAAATTAAACAATATGCTCCTGAATGACCAGTGGGTCAATAAAGAAATCAGAAAGAAAATTGAAAAATTTTCTTGAAACAAATGATGATGGAAACAGAACATACAAAACCTGTGGGATACAGTGAAAGCATTACCAAGAAGGAAGTTTATAGTGTCTACATCAAAAGAAGAAGAAAAACTTCAAATAAATAATGAGGCATCTTAAGGGACTAGAAAAACAAGAGCAAGCCAAACCCAAAATTAGTAGAAGAAAAGAAATAATAAAGATCAGAGCACAAATAAATGAAACTGAAATGAAGAAAATAACATAAAAGATCAATGAAACAAAAAGTTGGTGTTTTGAAAAGATTAGGAAAATTGACAAACCATTACCCAGACTAAGAAAAAAAAAAAAAAAGAAGACCCAAATAAATAAAATCAGAAATGGAAAGGGAGACACTACAACTTATACTACAAAAATTCAAAGGATCATTAGTAGCTACTATGAGCAACTATGTGCAAATAAATTGGGAACCTAGAGGAAATGAATAAATTCCTAGACACATAAACCTATCAAGATTGTACCATGAAGAAATCCAAAGTGTGACCAGACCAATAACAAGTAACGAGATTGAAGACATAATAAAAAGTCTCCCAGTAAAGAAAAGCTCAAGACCTGATGGCTTCACTGCTGAATTCCACCAAACATTTAAAGAAGAACTAATACCAATTCTACTCAAACTGCTCCAAAATAATAGAAGAGAAGGGAATACAAACTCATTCTACAAGTCCAGTATTACCCTGAGACCAAAACTAGACGAAGACACATCAAAAAAAGAAAATTACAGACCAGTGTCTCTGATGAGTATTGATGCAAAAATCCTCAACAAAATACTAGCAAACTGCATTCAACAAGACATTTAAAAGATCATTCTTCATGACCAAGTAGAATTTATCCCTGGAATGCAAGGATGGTTCAACATACACAAATCAGGCCAGGAGTGGTGGCTCACGCCTGTAATCCCAGCACTTTGGGAGCCTGGACAACAAGGTGGAACCCTGTCTCTACCAAAAAACAAAAAATTAGCCAGGCATGGTGGTGTGCACCCATGGTCTCAGCTATTAAGGAGGCTGAGGTGAAAGAATCGCTTGAGCCTAGGAGGTAGAAGTTCCAATGAGCCAAGATTGTGGTACTGCATTCCAACCTGGGTGACTGAGCAAGAATCTCACTCAAACAAAAACAAAAAACAAAAAAAAACCCACCAGAAATCAATCAATGTGACACACCATATCAACAGAGTGAAGGACATAAACCATATGATCATTTCAATTGATGCTAAAAAAAAAATTGATAAAATTCAATGTCCCTCCATAATAAAAACCCTAAAAAAACTGAGTATACTTTGGGAGGCCGAGGTGGGTGGATTACGAGGTCAGGAGATTGAGACCATCCTGGCTAACACAGTGAAACCCCATCTCTACTAAAAAATACAAAAAAATTAGCCAGGTGTGGTGGTAGGCACCTGTAGTCCCAGCTACTCGGGAGGCTGAGGCAGGAGAATGGTGTGAACCTGGGAGGCAGAGCTTGCAGTGAGCTGAGATCACACCACTGTACTCCAGCCTGGGCAACAGAGCGAGACTCCATCTCAAAAAAAAAAACTGGGTATAAAAGGAACATACCTCAACATAATAGAAACCATATGTGACAGACCCACAGATAGTTTCATACTGAATGGGAAAAAATTAACTCTTTCCTCTAAGATCTGGAACAAGACAAGGATGCCCACTTTCACCACTGTTATTCAACATAATACTGGAAGTTCTAGCTAGAGCAATCAGACAAGAGAAATAAATAAAGAGCATCCAAATTAGAATAGAAGAAATCAAATTATCCTAGTTTGCAGATGACATAATCTTACATTTGGAAACACCTAAAGATGCCATCAAACAACTATTAGAACTGATTAAAAAAATTCCGTAAAGTTGCAGGAAACAAAGTCGACATATAAAAATCAGTAGCATTTCTATATGCCAACAATGAACAACCTGAAAAAGAAATTTAAAAAGTAATCCCCTGATGGTGCTTTTCATGTTCTAGTAATGCACACATTTTGGCCCAGCCTCCTGATACCACAAGTTTCTTTTATGTACTTAGGCTCACTTATGGATGCATCACTTTAAAAGCCAGGAATTTAGGAAAGGTTCATAACATTTTTATAGAACCTTAAGCTTTTTGAAGGGTAAACACTTGTAAAACTTCTCTAAAGAACTGGTTGGGTGCGATGGCTCAAACATGTAATCCTAGCACTTTGGGAGGTCATGGTGGGTGGGTCACTTGAAGTCAGTAGTTTGAGATCAGCCTGACCAACATGGTGAAACCCTGTGTCTACTAAAAATACAAAAAAATTAGCTGGGTGTGGTGGTGCACGCCTGAAGTCCCAGCTACTCGGGAGGCTGAGGCAGGAGAATCACTTGAACCCGGGAGGCAGAGGTTGCAGTGAGCCAAGGTCGCACCACTGCACTCCAGCCTGGGCAACAGAGCGAGATTTCATCTAAAAACAAACAAACAAACAAACAAATTAAAAACTTAAGGAGGATAAAAATGAAGACAGTTTAGTTAATGGGTACAAAAATACACTTGGAATAAGTTTTAGTGGTTCAACAGCACAGTAGGGTGACTGTAGTTGTCAATAATGTATTGCATATTTCAAAATAGCTGGAAGATTTGAAATGTTCTCAACACAAAGAAATAATCAATGTTTGAGATGATGACCAATTACCCTGGTTTGATTATTACACATTGTATCATGTAGCAAAATATCACATGTACTCCCATGCATATGTACAATTATAATGTATCAATAAGAATTTAGTAAAAGACAAAAAGAAACAATTATTTAAGACTTTTAAGCAAATAGGAAAATAAGCTGACAATCACTACAAATATCAAGAAGGAATCCATTGGCTAGATAACCTAGAAAAAACAATACATTGTTTTCAAGCCAATAAATGTTTATAAAAAATTCAAATAATACAAGGAGGCCAGGCGCGGTGGCTCACACCTGTAATCCCAGCACTTTGGGAGGCCGAGGTTGGAGGATCACTTGAGGTCAGGAGTTTAAGATCAGCCTGGCCAACATGGCAAAACCCTGTCTCTACTAAAAATACAAAAATAAGTCAGGTGTGGTGGTGCACGTCTGTAGTCCCAGCTACTCAGGAGGCTGAGGCAGGAGAATCGCTTGAACCCAGGAGGTGGAGGTTGCAGTGAGCCAAGATCGTGCCATTGCACTCCAGCCTGGGCGACAGAGTGAGACTCTGTCTCAAAAACAAATAATAATAATAAATAAAAATAAATAAAGACAAGGAAAAGTAAGCAGAAGTTAAATCATATCACAACTCTGGTCTTGGTAGAAGGGTTTGGGGCATCTAGCATTTATCATTTAAAGACCTGAATTTAATTCTTATTTAATTCCATTTATGACAGGGATCATATTCATTCACTCACCTGAGCTGAAATTTGGCTTTCTGCAGTGACTGTAGGAGAGTCTAACAATGGACAGCACTGGGAATTTATTGCTTCTATAGTAAATGTTAAACTGAACAGTTTTAGCACTAACATTTTTAATATTATTAAAATAGTATTAAAATTTGGGGATAATATTTTAGGTTTATGTGCATATCCCAGAAGTTTATTCTTTAATAGTGATGTTTGTCATCAACTTTGGCTTCAGCTGAAGAGTGACTTATTTTTTGGCCCTTTTGGCATTTGGCTGAAATGTGTATTCAGTGCACTTCTAATGGAGGCATAATGGGGTATGAAAATATGGGAAAGGCAAAATTAATTCCAGCTGATGGCATTAGTGAAGGTTGAGTGGGGAACAGACATTTGAGATGGACAATGAAACATGAGGAGGCTTCTAACAGGCAGAGATGGGTTATAGAAAAAGGGGCACTTGAGGCCAAAAAGTGTGCTTGAATCTTTCCTGTAAAACTGTATGCACACAGGCGTGGTGGCTCATGCCTGTAATCCCAGCACTTTGGGAGGTCAAGGAAGGCAGATCACCTGAGGTCACGAGTTTGAGACCAGCCTGGCCAACATGGTGAAACCCCGTCTCTACTAAAAATACAAAAATTAGCCAGGCATGGTTGTGCACACCTGGAATCCCAGCTACTTGGGAGGCTGAGGCAGGAGAATGGTGTGAACCCGGGAGGTGGAGCTTGCAGTGAGCCAAGATCACGCCACTGCACTCCAGCCTGGGTGACAGAGAGAGACTCCATCTCAAAAAAAAAAAAAAAAAAAAAACCGGTATGTACCCAGCCATGATGTTTGTCTTCTGTGATTGCTACCTCCCACTGCTTCCATAGGATTCCTACCTCCAAGCTTCCATAATGAAATCCTTCCCTTTTCATTTCAAATTTTTGTCTTTAGTTTTTCTCAGCTCTCCTATAAATACACGTTTTTACATACACACAAAATATGCTTACATATACCAAAGTAACTATTTCCTAAAGGAACTCTTTGATAACAAGAAAAGTGCTGCTGTTATTAATTAGCATACGATGATTCAGTGTGACATGCTTTCTGAGTTATTCTGGCTGGAAGTTTAGAGATAACACTAATTAGAGCTTGTAATATTAACACATAAAGTAGAGTTGAAGTGTCATTTTATCAATCACTTTCACTCTAACCAAACCCTGAACACTAATGGGAACCATACTCTGTCCCTTGTTCAAATATTTTACCTGAAGGCCTCAGATTTGTTCTCTGTAGTGTGTTAGCCTGTTGAACTTCAACAGTTTTCCATTACTTGAAGTGGGTTAAATGCAGACGGTTGGGGGTGCCATACCACTTCTAGTTCAGATCATCATGTTTCTTTGATTAGGCACTATAGTAGTCAGCTTTTGCTAAGTAAGTCTATAGTAACAAACGAACCTAAACCTCAGTTTCCCCTTCGCTCACATTATATATTATGTCAGCTAGTGGCTGAGGCTCTGATCCATGTAATTTCTTATTCTAGAACCCAGGCAGAAGGACCAGCCTCTATTCAGAACTTGTCTCTCTTGGTGGAGGGAAAGAGCAGGCACACTAGTAGAGAAAGGCAGTGACTCTTAAAGCTTCCACCCAGAACTGTCGGATTGTCCCTTCCACTTATATTTTATTGACCAAAGCAAGATTCATGTTTCTAAACTTTGTGATTACAATATGACATTTAACCGAAGAGAGGAGGAAAATCCCATCATGGGATCATAGCCAAGCCTGGAATGCCTGCGGGGCAGCACTGGAAGTCACATAGTAGTGGGCAAGCCTGTCTATTCCTCTAAAGGAGAGCAAATATGTGGGAACAATATTTCAATCTACCACAGGTATTTAGTGGACTTACCTTTTCACTTATTTATGTAAATCTAATTTCCATGTTTTTCCTGTTTGTTTTCCTCCAAGAATTATGTTTCCAACTCTAAGGGAATAGTGGCAACCCTAAATTATAGCCTTTTTAAAAGAGAGCTCTGTCTCTATTTCAGGACTTTCACAGGATCTTATTCTCCTGTGTAGTCAACCCTCTTGCAGCTGGTGTTTACATCCAAATCAGGTCACTGGCTGGCATTTACAGGTGAACCTTCTGGGTCTGTGTCCCAAGAGGAGAGTAGGAGAGAGAGGGAAGAACCCAACATTCATTTATTTACAAATATTTATTGAATACTTTCTGTGTGCAGGCAGTATTGTAGATGCTAGGGATGGAGGAGTAAACAAAGCAAAGCTTGTTGAGCTTCCACTAAGGAAACAAGCAATATGAAGCTATGTGGTAAAAGTGCTATGACGACAAGTAAAGAAAGGAGAGAATGGCAGGGTAAGGTGGTAAGAGGAAGACTTTCAGAGGTAACATGTGAGCAGAACCTTCATTAAAATGAGGGCATGAGCTAGAAGCATCTGGGAGGAAAATCATTCTCCTGCACAGCATAAAGACTCTGAGATGGGGAGAAACTTGGCAGGATTAAGAAACCTCAGGGAGGCCAGTATGACTAGAGCAGTATCAGAGAGAATATGTGGTAGGAAACAAAACAATCATATACAGATTTGTAGAGGTGTTAATTATGGATTTTATTCTAAATGTGATGGAAGCCATGAACGGTTTGGAGCAAGATGGTGATATGATCTGATTTGTTTTTAAAAGATCATTCTGGGCTGGGAGTGGTAGCTCACGCGTGTAATCCCAGCACTTTGGGAGACCAAAGTGGGCAGATCACCTGAGGTCAGGAGTTCAAGACCAGCCTAGTCAACATGGCGAAACCCCGTCTCTACTAAAAAAATACAAAAATTAGCTGGGTGTGGTGGGGTGGGGGGCCTGTAATCTCAGCTACTAGGGAGGCTGAGGCAGGCAGAATTGCTTGAACCCCGGAGGCAGAGGTTGCAGTGAGCAGAGATCACGCCACTGCACTCCAGCCTGGGCGACAGACAGAGACTCCGTCTCAAAAAAAAAAAAGTCATTCTGGCTGCTAATATAGCGAATGTGTTATAGCAAAGGAGTGGAAGAAGTGAGGAAGGTTCTACCTCTTCAGTGCTATCCAATACTAAGGTATTACTCTTAACATCTCTGGCCCCATATGTGGTATTTAATGTACACGGATTTAAGAGATTCATGTTTATAAGCTTTGTGATAAAAATATGATAATGTATGCCTGAAGAAAGGAAAAAATCCACCATCAAACTGCATTATTTTAGAAAAAGGAACTAAAATAAGATGTATACATTCGTTAGGAAAAATTTGAAATGAATAGCGAAAATATATTTAATATATGCCTAACAGCCCATATTGGAAGGTGAGAGAGGAAAAGTGTAATAGATTAAGTCAGTCAGACACTGAATTAAAAAGTCTCTCTGACCAAAGCAAAAGAAGCCATATTGCAGAGGAAAGTCCTTCTTAAAATAAACCATATCAGCTGGGTATGGTGTTGCATGTCTATAATTTCAGTACTTTGGGAGGCCACGGTGGGAGGGTCCCTTGAGCCCAGGAGTTCAAGACCAGCCTGGGCAACATAGGGAGACCCTGTCTCTACAAAAAAAAAAAAATTAAAAAAATTAGTTGGGTGTGGTGGCATATGCTTGTAGTCCCAGCTGCTCAGGCTACTCAGGAGGCTGAGGTTGGAGGATTGCTTGAGCCCAGGAGGTCACGGCTGCAGCGAGCCATGATAGCACCACTTCACTACAGCCTGGGTGACAGAATGAGATTGTCTCAAAAAAAAAAAAATTGATGAGATTTAGGAGACACATCAGTCTGATCAGCAGTGGAAATCACATTAGAATTTGACTCAAGAGAACTGTGTCTCATCTCTGGATCTCCAATTACTGGCTCTGGGACCTTATACAAATTACTTAACTTTTCTGAGTCTTCATTTTCTTATCTATAGAAATGGAGGATACCAGTTTATTCTTTATAGAGTTTTGAGGACTAGATTAGTTTTGAGGATTAGATGAGATATTACAAATGAAGTGCTGGCCCAGTGGTTGGTATGTATTATAAGTATAAACATTCTTATGAACCTGAATTCTGTAGGAAATTGCTCTCAGAAAGCTGTTATCTCCAAGAGATTGACCCAAAGATGGTATAGAAAATAAAATGCAATGGCCACAAGATTGAGTGTTGACTGTCCTCTAAGTATTTGCAATTGAGAAGGGTTTTTTCCTGGCCAAGCACGGTGGCTCACGCCTGTAATCCCAGCACTTTGGGAGGCCAAGGTGGGCAGATCATGAGGTCAAGAGTTCAAGACCAGAATGGCCAACATGGTGAAAACCCATCTCTACTAGGACTACAAAAATTAGCTGGGTGTGGTGGCACGTGCCTGTAATCCCAGCTACTTGGGAGGCTGAGACAAGAGAATCACTTAAACCTGGGAGGCAGAGGTTGCAGTGAGCCGAGATCACACCACTGCACTTTAGCCTGGGCGGCAGAACAAGACTCTGTCTTGGAAAAAAAAAAAGAAGGGTTTTTTTCCCTTAAAAACCTAAACCATCAGTGATCTCCATTGCTGAAATTAGTGGGTGCCAGTTGCATGAAATTCCAGGATGTTTATCTAACCTAGGGTCCTCCCTCCTCTGAGGGGAAGAAGTAGATGCCAGGAGAGGTTTAAACCATGAAGTGGCTCGCACACTGGGTGTAGCTGGAATGTACCTCAAGCAGGCACGTCAGTCCACTTCTTTGGCTGCATTTTTGAAAGGTGTGTCAAAGTTTAGCATTATTCCTGGGGATGGTCTACTCCTGAAGAGCAGGCCAGGAAAATTCCCAGTAAGTGACTAAATGAATAAATGGAAAAATGTCGCAGTTCCCTCTCCTCAGAGCCTCGCACAAAAGGTAGCCATTACATAGGCCACTGTCAAACAGTCCTCTGAGAGATTCCCACACTCTTCCTCTTCCCTCTAGACTACCCATCTGCCCCAATCCCCCCCTTGAGCAGCCTATTCTGTTTTTTCTCCCACTACAGCAGCCAGCCCCACCGCCTGGTGTAGAGCTTGAAGATGGAAAGGGAAGATAGGATGGGCAGAAACTGCCCTGCAATAGCTACATCATCCCCGAAACGCATACCTAAGAAAACCACTAAGGTCACCACACCCTGGAGGTGACATTCGCATGATTTATGCCTCTCTTGGGCTTTAGATTTTATTCCTTTACTTTTCTATAACTCTGTCATGACCAGTTTAAAGGCCCCAATGTCATGTCCTCGCATTAACAACCAAGGCTACAATGCAAGCCCTGCCATGTGCGCTTCTTTACAAAAGGTCAAAGTAAAAAGGAAATCTATACCAAAGAGCCTCTAGATACTATTTCCAGCTTCGGGGAAGTCCATAGTAGGTACTTCCACGGGTAGAGAACATTATCTTAGACTGGGATAAGGGTTGGTATTCGCAGTCCCCTTCCTACGTTCTGCCCATTGTAAAGACCAGGGTCAGCGTTGAGCCTCGCCCTTCTTGCTAGAACTACAACTCCCAGGATGCCCCGCGGCACGGGAGTGCGCACGCGCGTCGGAGGCGAAGGAGGAACCCACCGCACCTACAGGGCGGTCGAGTGAGGGAGCTG
The DNA here is from genome assembly GCF_000001405.40 of Homo sapiens. Taxonomy (NCBI): domain Eukaryota; kingdom Metazoa; phylum Chordata; class Mammalia; order Primates; family Hominidae; genus Homo; species Homo sapiens. The sequence goes on from NC_000015.10 coordinate 51,829,700, forward strand.
CTGGCGGGTGGGTCTGGCAACTCTTTGGGAGGCCGACGCGGGCGGACCGGCGGGTGCTGGGAACCGAGCCTCGGCTTGCGGCCGGCAGTTTCCGTGGGTCTGTGAAGAGGTCGGCGGCCCCTGCGGGCGCCAGTCAGGTAAGCCCAGCCCGGTGCTTTCCAGGAAGTCCGTCTGCGGGCGCGGGTAGGGAGTCGCACCGGCCATGGTGGCTGAGGAGGGAGAGGTTGCTGCCCGCCGGCCGCCCGACTCCAGGCTCCTTCCCGACGGGTCCGTCTCGGGGAGCAGGGGTGCGCGGGGGCTGCTTCTGCGCGAACGGCCCGGGCGGGGGACGTGGGGCGCGCTGGGCGTCGCCCGCCGGTCTAGGCGCGCGAACCTGGCGTTCCCAGTGAATCACCCGCGGCCCGGGCGCCCGGGTTCGGGACCGGCCCCCTCCCCTCCCGCTGAGCCGCGGCCGAGCTGGCTCCCTGCACCCTACCCAGCGTCGCCGGGACGCGATCACACCGAGATGGCACCGAGCCTCCTTCAAAGGCTTCGGCTTGTTGAAAGTGGGGCGGCGGAGTGGGGGAGCCAAAACTTAGGGCACACCCTTTTTGTGATTGAAATGTGGCTGCCCTTGCATTCACCGGTTTGATCTGTCTGCTCTTAGAATTAAGTTCCTAGCTCCCAGGCAGCACAGCTGGATCCGGCTGGGAAGTTTGTGTGTTAGTTTGTTTTGAGGACGTGACTGTGTCGTTATATTTTTGCTTGCGGGGGATGGTGTGTTTCCTCCGCAAGCCTGCATTCTGATTACAAACAGAAATGGGAAACAGCCACAGTTTCTTTTTTTCTTTTTAATGTTTAGTTAAGAATCGCATTTCCAACTTGCCCTTGGCCTCTGTTAAAACCAAAAGTCATCTGGCAATGAACACTGCAGTAAAACTTACCCCAGGAGGCCATACTTCAACAGGAAATAAGCCTGTGGAGATTTAAGTTAGTTATGTGCAGCCTCCCTTGGTTTGTAACATTTTCATGCAGCTCATGTCTCCTCTCCTTTTCTGAGAAACCTTCAGATTAATTTTTTTGGCAGATTAAATTGATTAATTGGCCCGTCAAAAATATATTAGGCTTGGAAAAATAGCTTTGCCAAGTCTCATTTACTCTTGCTAGTTTCTTCTTCCTAGGCACCTTTTCACCTTTAAGAGTCAGCAATCATAATAGTTACAGTCCCCTTTCTTACACATTCCTACGAAAGGAACAAAACGAATTAAAATGTCCCAATATATTTTAATTCTTTGAGCTTTCTTTGCTTTTGCAACTCTCAGAAATTGTAGTTTGCTGATCTTTAAAATTAGGTTGTTGGACCAGATGACCCCCAAGATTATTCTGCCCCTAAATATCTCTCGTTTTTAAAAGTTCATTTATTTTGCTCATTCAGGAAACACTGGCGATATGCATTCCAAGTCCTATGATAGACATGAGAAAGAGCAAACATGAGTTCTTGAGAATGCTGTAGACCTACTGCTCAATTTTATTTAATCATATTTTTTATGATTAATTCCTAAATTTTGTGGTATATCCAATATGCCAACCTACATTGTAATTAATAACTTCATCTGAAATTAAATAGGTACAGGTCAAATCCCATTCAAAGATTTTTCGTGTCTTAATTACTGGCCCATTGAAACAAAACAGGTTTGGTACAACAGAAAGGCCCTGAATGGTGGAGGGCAGTCTTTTCAAACACTTTAGCATGCATAATTCATTCAGGATATTCTAGGTTTGAAGTAGAGTCCAAAGTCTGTATGTCTGATGGGTGATGCTGTCAGAGACCATACTTTGAATGTCAAGTGTGGGGAGGTAATTTTAGAGGTATTTTCAGGTGTTTTTAATAGCAATTTAAATACTGGTACTGATAACTGATATTAGATACATAATTGATGGCTTTTTCAACTCTCAGTTTTTTAAAATACTGTAGTCCTATGAACTCTAACAAGAACAATTGTCATCATAAGTTTTTCTCCTTCTTTCCTTTTCCTTTCTCTTTGCTAGTTTTTCTTTTTTCTCTTTGCTTTTTTTTTCTCTCCTCCTCTTCCTTCCTTAATTGTTTTCATTCACATTAATTTGGCAATTCATGAATTCAAGTATGTGTCTTGCCCCATTCTGTATTCTGTACAAAGCAATGTTTCAGGCTCCTGGTGAATATGTATAAGACATGAGGCCAGGGCCGGGCCTGGTGGCTCACACCTGTAATCCCAGCACTTTGGGAGGCCAAGGTAGGAGGATTGCTTGAACCCAGGTGTTTGAAATCAGCCTGGGCAACATAGCAAGACCCTGTCTCTACAAAATAAAATAGATTAGCCAGGTGTAGTGGTGATGCCTGTAGTCCTAGCTACTCAGGAGGCTGAGGCAGGAGGATTGCTTGAGCCCAGGAGTTTGAGGTTACAGTGAGAGACAATGATTGTGCCACTGCACTCCAGCCTGCGTGACAGAGTAAGACCCTGTCTCTCTAAAAAAAGAAAAAAAATTATATATATATATATATATATATATATATGAATGACATGGTTCCTGTCTAGGACCTTATTCTCTTTGGGATTAGGCAGATATACTTATGTATAGTCCACAGCACTTGTAAGAGCCACCTGTAGGGAATAAAAACGTGGTAGATATTCAGGAGAGATATTTTCCAGTTGCAGGAGTGGGGAACAACTAAAGTCAATATTTTTTTCCATTCACTGGTCATCTCTTTCCCCAGGCTATACTGTCTATACTGTTTGAATGTATGTGACATATCTACATAGAGTATAGTGGAATTCTGTAAATTTATTTTATTTGGAACCTGAGATGAGCCAGATACATGAACATAATTAGAACCGGATGTGGTGGCACGCTTCTGTGGTACCAGCCACTTGGGAGACTGAGGCAGGAGTACCACTTGAGCCCAAAAGTTCCAGGACAGCCTGGGCAACATAGCAAGACCCTGTCTCAAAAACTAAAACAAAAGAGAAAATCAATTATATCTGAGCAATATCACAGGGAGGATGAGAGGCTTTGCGGATAAAAGTATACCTGGATAGAGGGAGGGAGAAAGATAAAGAGGAGGATCCAGTAAACAGTAGAGGAAAAAAAGGCTTTTAGTAAGGTTTTCTGGTGTCAGTCTGATGTATACTGATATTTAGGCTGTGTTGTAGCTGGCAAACTACTCTTCACACTTTTCAGTTGCTCTTTAATATGCATGAGCTCTCTCGATTAGAGTAGATGAGGAGGGCATTATTCTCTAGGCCGTGTGGCTAAAGCGCTATCATCCCTTGGTCATTGATAGTCCTTGCTGACATTTGATTTACATGCAGTTTTATGTCAGATCCTTTAAAATCACAAATATATGGAGAGAAAAATGGTATAGACAATAGAATATTCTACTGGGCCTATAACTGGTCCATTAAGTGCTTATTTAAATTGTAAACAATCAAATTTAATTTGGTGTTTATAAAAAATTATGTATGTGAACATACATTCTGTTATCTATATGTGTCTGTAATCCATTAGCTTATTTACAATGATCAAAGAATAGAAGTGTGAATAAATCAGAATGGCACATGATTGAAAATGCTGTGTAACTGAAGATGCATTTGTGTAGTCTTGAATTTCATTTGAAACAAAATTGTTAGTCTGTATCTTGAAGCACATTGCTACTTTGTATTTTTATTGATGTATAATTAACATTCAATAAAATGCACATAATATCCAGTTCAAGGAGTTCTGACAATTGTATACACTGTAACTTCTACCAAAATCAGATAGAAAACATTTTTTTTAAGTCACCCTAGAAAGTTCCCTCACCCACCTTCCTCCAAAGGCAATCACTTCCTGACTCCATAGATTTCTGACACTACAGAGATTTTTTGACTGGTCTTGGACTTCACATAAATGGAATCATACAGCATGTGCTTTTTTTGTGTTTGGCTTCTTTCATGTAAGAAAGATTCATCTATGTTGTTGGCAAGTATCAGTGGTTTGTCCTTTTAAGTTGTTGAATAGTATTCCATTGTATGAATGTACCCCAATTTATATTTTCTCCTTGATGGATATTTGGAATAAGATTGTTATGAACATACTTTTACAAGTTTCTTGATAAATACCTAGGAGCAGAGTTACTGAGTCATAGGGTATGTGTATGTTTAACTTTATTAAAAATCTGCCAAACAGTTCTCCAAAGTGGTTTATACTGAGTTCTACTTGCTCCGTATTTTTAGTGTTGCCAATGTTTAGTATTGTCAGCCTTTTCAATTTTAGTCACACTACAGGATGTATGGTTGTACCTCATTATGGTTTTAATTTACATTTTTCTGATGATTAAGAATGTTGAGTGCTTTATCATATGTTAATTGGCTATGCAGTATCTTTTTTTGTGAATTGTTTGTTCAAGTCTTACCTAGTCTTTCATTGGGTCATTCATCTTTTTATTGTTTGTAGGAGCTCTTTATATATTCAAGGTACAAGTTCTTTGTCACATATAGAGATAGATGTGTTGACAGTTTTTTTTTATACAGTCTGTCCCTTGTCTACTTTCTCAATGATATTGTGATGAGCAGAAATTTTTAATTTTTATAAAGTCTGTTTTATCAATTTTTTGTATTATGGCTAGTGTTTTTTGTCCTGACCAATAAATTTTTACCAGTGCCCAGGATTGCAAAGAAAGCTTTTTCTTCTAGAAACTTTATTTTTCTAAGTTTTTCATTTGAGTCTGTGATTGATCTCAAAGTAATTATTATTGTGTTATGATATAAGATAGGAGTTTGGGTTCATTTTCCACCTATATAGATATCTAGTTGTTCCAGCAACATAGGTTTAAGAAAAACTTCCCTTTCTCGGCCAGGCACAGTGGCTCACACCTGTAATCCCAGCGCTTTGGGAGACCAAGGCAGGCAGATCATTTGAGCCCAGGAGTTTGAGACCAGTCTGGGCAACATGACAAAACCACATTTCTACTAAAAATACAAAAATTAGCCGGAAGTACTGGCATGCACCTATAATCCCAGCTACTTGGGGGGCTGAGGCAGGAGGATCATCTGAGGGAGGTGGAGGCTACAGTGAGTTGTTATCATGCCACTGCACTCCAGCCTGAGGGCCAGAGTAAGACCCTGTCTCAAGACAAAACAGAACACATCTCTTTTTTGTTTGTTTTTCTCCATTAGATTGACTTGGCATCTTAGCGTGTCAGCTGAGCTACTTTGCATTTTAGTTGTGCTTATATTGTCAGTTTCTTAAGCACGGACCCTGACCTTAAAAATTAAATGTTTATGCTCCTCTTCCAGATTGGGACTTGACTGAGATTGATCCAGGGCTAGTTACCATGTATTTCCTGATGGAAGAATGTTAAGTATGAATTTGAATTTTAAATGGCTTTTCTGTGGGTCGAGTTAATGGAGACAACCTCATTTTAGAAGCAATTGCATCTTCCTTATAAAATAGGCAGATGTTTAGAATGAAGGAGATGTAAGCAAGGAAAGATCACCTAGGACTCCAACATAGCAAGCTATAGGGAGCTTAATATTTCTTGTTTATTGGCTTGATCTAAATAGATGCAATTATATATAAGCCATGTGTTTTAGTTTCCATCTTTTTCTGTTTTGTTTTGTTTTGAGACAAGGTCTCAATTTGTCACCCAGTTTGGAGTGCAGTAGTGTGATCTTGGCTCACTGCAGCCTCGACCTCCTGGGCTCAAGCAGTCCGTCAGCCTCAGCCTCTCAAGTATTAATAGCTGGGACTACAGGCATGCACCACCATAACTGGCTAATTTTTGTATGTTTAGTAGAGATGGAGTTTCATCATGTTTCCCAGGCTGTCCTTGAACTCCTGAGCTCAAGCAAACTGCTCACCTTGGCATCCCAAAGTGCTGGGATTACAGGCGTGAGCCACCACACCCAGCCTTAGTTTCCATGTTTCTACTCCATTGTCTATTCCAATCCTTTGTGATGCAATTTCTGAATTTGCCTTGGAACAATTTTTAGGGAGACAGTTTGGTTATTTTTTTCTTCTAAGTTTATTTGCTGATAATACACTAAGTTTTAAAAAGAATGTCACCCCAACCTCATTATTCTTATGTAGCTATTTTTACTTTTCCTCATTTCTTTCCAGGCCTGATTCATTCTCATACGTATTTTTATATGATTGTAATCATAGTGTGCATATTGTTTTTTGTTCAGAGATTGAGTTGTAACTAGTGAATGCTGTCTCCCTTAGGTAGATCACCCTTGTTAGTAAAGACAAAGATTAGAGATGGAGAAAAGACAACTGGGGACTTACCAGTGAGGAGTCTTGAATCCTAAAGCTTAACTAAAATAGAAGCAGAAAAAAGCTAAGATTTTCAAAGACAGGATTACCTTTCTGTGGAAATGCAGGACAACTTTGGTTTCCTTATTCATTCCTTCCCCCTTTCTCTAACATATAACAGCTTTAGTGAGATATAATTCGCACACCATACAATTCACCCATTTAAAGTGTACAGTTCAGTGGATTTTGCTACATTCAGAACTGTAGAACCATCACCACCATTTTAGAACATTTTCATCACACCAGAAATAAACCCCTTACCATTAGCAGTTACTACCTAATTCCTCCCAATTCCCCCCTGGTCTCCCCCACCCAGCCCTAGGCAACCACTAATCTACTCTCTCTTAAGATTTGCCTCTTCTGGACATCTCATATAAATGGAATCATATAATATGTCATATTTTGTGCCTGGCTTCTTTCACCCTTATACTACTCTTAAGAATTCGTTTTCACGCCTATAATCCCAGCACCTTGGGAGGCTGAGGCGGGTGGATCACGAGGTCAGGAGATCGAGACCATCCTGGCCAACATGGTGAAACCCCGTCTCTACTAAAAATACAAAAATTAGCCAGGCATGTTGGCACACACCTGTAGTCCCAGCTACCCGGGAGGCTGAGGCAGGAGAATCGCTTGAACCTGGGAGGTGGAGGTTGCAGTGAGCCGAGATCATGTCACTGCACTCCAGCCTGGTGACAGAGTGATGCTCCGTCTCAAAAAAAAAAAAAGAAAAAAGAAAAAAGAAAAATACTGAAATACAGTCAAGGTTCCTCCTGAGATGTGCACCCTTTTTGAGCTATAAAGATATCCACTGCCTCGGGTATATATGTTCAACACCTGCACCCACTCACTAAGGAAGGAACACAAACACACTAAGACAAACTTACAAACTAAGGTAACATATACAGTGATGATAACCCCCTACAAATAAACAGTTTCATATCTGGGCATAACTAAGCATGAACATCATGATAAGTACATACAAGTGAACACAGTTCCTGAAGTGTCTGTGAGAAAGTGAATAAAAACATGGTAAACTAGAAGAAAATGAGGGCTGGGTTTGATATATATATATATAGACTTGTAGGTAAGAAGATTGTTGTATTTCCTTAACCATAGCATAGCAATTCTTTTGAGCAGGATATTATTAGTGATACTTATACAGTAGGGGATTTCCATCCATGTGGAAAATTACAGCCAACAAAATATTTTCATTCCCTGGGTGTGGTGGTAAAACTTTGATGAGGAGTTAAGGAATATTCAGAAGAAGCCCCTCAAATGTATATGAGTCTGGCTTATATTCAGGCAGCCCTTACCCTGAGGCAAACGTGACAAGATATGATACAACCCCCAAGATTTATTTTCATTCATGGTGGGCTATAATTAACCCAGGTTAATACTCTTAGGGAACTATTCTTTTTTTTTTTTTTCCTCTTTAATGTGCCCACTTGAGTGCTAGACCAGCTGAGGAGTTGGGGGTCTAATTTCACTGGAAATAGCAATAAATATGTGATGATTTCAAAGTCATGCCCACCCCACTTTTGTTTTTCTCCTGTTGTCCCTAAGATTTACAGTTTCTTGGTGAAAAATTACAGAACCCTACACAGAAATGGACCAAGGCAGATGTGTAGGATTTCACCTCTGCAAGGCCTTCGGGGCAGGTGGGCTCTTCTGTTAGTCCTCAGCACACCCTCTGTGCTTGCCTTTCCTCTGCCACTTTTCTTGAACCCCCATTATTATTCCTTGTCAAGTCATCTCACTTCCTGCTTTCCTTAGACATTGGCCAGCATTCCAAGTGATATAGTGTGCCCTCCACCAGAGAATAGCTGGCACTGCTTTAAGCCCCTTAGCCTTCCCTCCTACCTCAGAAGAAACTGTTTCCTCTTTTCTTCTCCCACTGCCTGAATCTGGTATAGCACACAAGGGGAGCCTCTGCAGAAATGTTACTTGAACTGGTCCCTGAAAGATGTGAAAGGATTTGAACATGAGAAAGAGTGCAAAAGGACATTTCCTGTGTAATGAACCGTGTGATGTAAGGGCTGCAGGCGGAAGAGCATGGAGGCGTACTTACTTCTGTGTAACACAGGGTGTGTGAAGATCGCTCCTTTCCCTTTACTTTTCTTCTTCTTGCCCTGGATTCCCTCCCAGCTCCAACCTTTTTCAGCCTGTGCTTTGATCTCTTTGTTTAGTATATACTTCTCCACTCCTCTCTGTGTAGCTAATTCTGTCCCTCCCTGACCACCCACAGTGATCTCTGAATTTCTGTACACTAATAGCCAGTACCATTCTTTTGGCAGTTAATTATATATTTTCTTGAAAAAAACAAAAAGCACTTTATGTGCATGTCTCATTTTCCCAAATAGAGTATGTTAGTCAAGGTGTTTAGGTCTCCGGGAACACAAACCCACTTAAGCTATCTTGCTAGATGGTATGGTGGCAGAGCTGGGAGTTGTACTGCATTACTATTGTAAGGCTGCTGAGGTCCGTGAAATGACCTACCACTGGTACCCAGAGCAGACACTTTGAAAGTCTCTGTCCTCTCTCTGCTTGTAGGGCTCTCTTTGGCTTCTTTCTGTGCCTCTGCTCCATTTTAGGACATTAATTTTAATTTTTAAAAAATAGTATGCATTACTGTGTAATTTATCTTGATTGCTGAGCTTTTTTGCACCCTATTAAATACTGAGACACCCTGAGGCAGGTGCCTCCTTTACTTTTTCCCTGTAGCCCCAGCCCTGCTTCATTCTCTTCCCTGCAGACTGACCTTCTGTGCTTTCCCCTTAGCTTCAGCTTCAAGGTGACTAGCTTGTTATGGTAGTGCCTCCAGACTTGGTGATACCTTATGTCTCAACTTGAGTTTTGTCTCCCAGCTTTCCAGATTTCTGGAGAAGAATTGAATTTGATCCGTCCTGGTTAGATTGAGAGTGGTGACCCCTGTACCAAACAGCTGTGAAAGATGTGGCTTTGTTATGTTGTTTCTTTGGCTGTATATTTCACAGGGACTGGAATAAGGGGTGGGTCCCCCCACACAAGGAGGTTTGGGGTTGTTCATCTCAAAACATGCTTATTTTGATGTCAGAAGGAAGTGACCATGCCTTCTCTTTTTTGGTATGTTCCCTGCATCTGGCAGATTGACAGCTAAGAAATAGGTGTATCTCTCTTTTTTTTTTTTTCCATTTTGTTTGAGACTGGGTCTCACTCTGTTGCCTAGGCTGGAGTGCAGGTGTGATCATAGGTCCCTGCAACCTCCGCCTCCCAGGCTCAAGCAATCCTCCCACCTTAGCTGCCCAAGTAGCTGGAACTAAAGGCACGTGCCACCATGCCTGGCTAATTTTTTGTAATTTTTATAGAGATGGGGTCTCTTTATGTTACCCAGGCTAGTCTCAAACTCCTGGGCTCAAGCAGTCCTCCTGCCTTGGCCTCCCAAATTGCTGGGATTACAGAGGTGAGCCACCACACTCAGTCTTCTCTTATTTGGTGTCTATTTATTCCTATGACTTGCCATTTGACCATTAGGATTAACTTTTAGGTATAATAGTCAATTCAGAGCAATTTTTTTTTTCGAGACAGGCTTTCGCTGTCATCCAGGCTGGCGTGCAGGTGTGATCATAGCTCACTGCAGCCTTGAACTCCTGAGCTCAAACAATCCTCCTGCCTCAGTCTCCCAAGTAGCTGGGACTACAATTTGTACACCACCACACCTGGCTAATTTTTCTAGTGAGCAATATTTTTAATACTTAAAATGAATTACTAAAATTTGTGTTATCATTTGGAAATTTTCTAATTTTATAGCAGATTAAATATTTTTTAAACATTTCTTTTTGGAATTTGTTTCTCAGTTCAGAAAGAATAGGGGAGTAGAATATTGATAATCAAAGAGTGACAATACAGTACAACTTTACTGACTCCGCTCCCAGCCCCATTAGGATATGATAAAACCAAGTTCTCACATCATTGACCTCAATGCTTACTGAGTCCCCTTATATTACTTTATTTTATGTTAATTTAGTGTCTACCATGTTGCAGGCACTATATTAGGGGCTGATAATGTAAAAATAGGTCCTTGCCCTCAAAGTGCTCACAATCTATGGTGGAAATAGATTGTGGTCTCTCTGTCAGAGACATGGAGACTGATTATGGTCTGGTGAGATAAATATTGATAGAAGTGTGGGCAAAGTGGTGGGCTAGCACCTCTCTTCTATTGTTTTCTTTGTGTACATCGATCTCTCACTCTTCTGTATTCTCTTTAGTTTCCAACTCTCTCAGTCTCTGCGCTTAATTGCTTATGTTATGTGGATCAGAGTATAGTATGAATAATATCTCATTTACTTAATGTGAACTAATGAAGTGTTCCTTAAAAATGAAGATAATATTTAATGAAGATAATGACTATTAGCTAACATTGATCACATGCTCTGTGTTAGGTACTGTTCTAAGTGATGTATATATGTTATCCTCATTTAACAAATTAACATATCAATCCCATGAGATGGTTACTCTTATTATTCTTATTTTACGGATGAGAAAACAGAGGGACAAAACAATAGTTCAATATCTTGCCCAAGGTTATAAAGTTAGCAAGAAGTTGAAATCTTTTTTGTAAGTTATTTTAAATGTCATTTTTAAAATAAGATGTATTATAATAATTTCTCCTGCCCTTCTTAAATGGAGTCCCTGATGCTTAATTTAGCCAAAATGATGTGGGAAATATCGACTTTAGAATTCATTTTTTTGCATCATTTATTGTACCGTGCTATTGAATTGCCTTCTGAGATTGTTGACGTTTATAGGCTCTTAGAAACTGCATTAAATTGTCCCACACTTTTGTGTTTTGGTTACTTGGTAGCTTTTCCTTTTCTTTTATCTCCAGCTGTGGCTTCTTGCTATCACCTAATATCACTTAATTTACTTCTGTTAATGTGTAGTGTCTAGTATCATAAAACTAAAAACATGGCAAAAATTGAGTATTTTTTAGAGGAAGTGTGATATTGTGTAAAACGTATGGCTTTTAGGGTCAGGTTCAAATCTCACATCCACTACTGAAAAGTACATATCCTTGAGCAGGCTCTTAGCCTTTCTGAGCTTCAGTTTCTTCATCTGTAAATTGGAGATAGAACTATTTTGCAAGGTTATTATGAGGAGATGTGTATGATAAAGTGCCTGGCATATAACAGGTATACAAACAAAAATTGATTCCTTTCTTTTTCACTTCATTATAATATGATATGGGACATGATCCCTTTATTCTGAGAGACTAAAGTAAAAAATGAAAGAAATGTTTTCCTATGATGTAATTAAGATATAACCAGTTTTATTCTATCACTAAAGGTAATAATTGATAGTTGTTGTCATAAGTGTTAATTTCAGATATATTATCCTGAACTCCTGTTTTGGGTCCTTCTAAGCTCTCAGCAACCTCCTCTCTTTTCCTGCATTATTTTCTTTTACTTGTATGTGGCTCCCTTGATTTCCCTCATTTGATATTAAAGGAAAAATGTCCTTTAGCCCCCTTCTAAAGAACCTATCCCAAAGCAGACCTTATGTCCTGGAGACTGTGAACCAAGCTTCTTGGCCAATAGCAATGATTTCTAAGACTTCCCTTCTTTCATCAGTTCTGCTTTCTTCAGTTATCACCAGTCTTAAGTATTAATTTGTTTTTCTTTCTGCCTCCACCCACTCCCATTTCTTCTTTCTCTGAAACTATCCCCAATTGCCACTAGCTGTATGGTTCTCATTATTTCAGTAGTTTTTTATGGTTTGGAGTTTTTTTAATTATTATTTTGAGATGGAGTCTCATTCTGTCACACAGGCTGGAGTGCGGTGGCACGATCTTGGCTCACTGCAACCTCCGCTTCCTGTGTTCAAGCGATTCTCCTACCCCAGCTTCCTGAGTTGCTGGGATTACAGGCATGGGCCACCACGCCTGGCTAATTTTTTTTTATGTACTTGTAGTAGAGATGGGGTTTCACCATGTTGGCCAGGCTGGTCTCAAACTCCTGACCTCAAGTGATCCACCCACCTTGGCCTCCCAAAGTGCTGGGATTACAGGCGTGAGCCACTGTGCCTGGCCTGGTTTGACTTTTTATTATATGTTTGTGTGTATTTTTCAAAGGCTATATTGTGGTAGTTCTTATCATTTATAGTGAACTCTCCTGTCTTAACATCATGAGGCATTTCTGCTTCTGTGCCAGAGGTTTTGTGCCTGCTATCTTGAAACTGCCAATTAAAACCTAGTGAATACCCCTCTCCCCTTACTTTACTGGACTGCATGCTGCTTCTCCATAGGCGAATACCCTAGCTCATGTCACCAGATTACTTTTTTAAAAAACAATTTTATCAAGGCATAATTTATATACCGTCAACTTTACGTATACAGCTTGATGATACCAAATTACTTTTCCTAGCAAGCCCTCTTCAGTGCTGTCTGTGGTGTGTAAGTCATCTTGCCCTTTCTCTTTGTGTTCCAAAAATTGCTTATGGTGGGTTGTGTGGATGTTGATTGTGGCTGCTGTGTGGTTACTTACAAGTGCCCTGTCTGTTGGTTATTTTTCAGCTATTCATTCTGAATATCATAGTACTTCATTAGGCATGAGGTTTTCTACATTTAGGGCCTAAGGTCAAGGTAGTGGGGCAGTGTCATTTTCTTGAAGAATTGACTCTCTTTTGCCCTACTATTGACTGAGTTCGTGCTTTTATCCCACCTCATGAGAATTATACCCTAACTCCAGGAGTTACCAAATCTCTTTTTGAGTGGTATTACATTCCCCACCTCCCTCATGAAGTACAAAATACATTATGCAAATTTTAGGCCTTGTGCCTCTTGAAAAACCTATTGTAACTACTACTCCCTTTCAATCTGAAAATTAATCATGATAATAAAGCTTGATGTATCTCCAGGCCCCTGACGTTGATTAGAGTAATACCAGTGGTATCTCTAAGTCAGAAGTGTGCTGTGTCTCTGAAGGTGCATATAAATGCCTTCACCATGTAAGAGTGAGGCATGGTCCATTGAGGAGCATTCATTCTTACCAGCTGGGGCACCGTACTCATGACTCAGTGGTGAGCAATGGGGCTAGATGGTATGCCATACCTGGAGCACTGCTGATCTTGAGAGGAGGAAAAAGAGTAGTCAGAGTTGGAAGAGCTAGAAAGGCTTTGGAGAGGACAGACTTCAGCTAGTCTTTGAATTGTGCAGCGTGTGGATAAGATAGAGAGGTGAAATTCGGGCCTGGGGTAAAAAGGATTGTTTAAGAAGAGTGACATCATTGTGGGAAACAAATGAGGCGGCCAGCTGAAGATGAACTTTGGATATCTGTGAGGCCCTGAGGAATCTAGCCTGATTAAAGCAGAGGATTCCTAGTGATTCTTAGAGCAAGTAGGAAGGGGAGTTTTATCAAAATCACCCGAGAAACTGTCAAACTACAAACACCTAACAAGAAACATTTCTAAGTAAAGGAGTAAAATGTTAAAAGCAGTGTTTTAGGTGACTGTAGGCAAGATACAGATGTTAGAGCAGGAAAACAGGAGCTTAGAGTCAGTTTGCTTGTCTAGAGCCTGGTCTGACAGAGGGCTTAGTAAAGCAGTATTTTTTACTTCCTCTTTTTATGAGGTTCCAGAAGTTTCTCTAGGTCTTAGAACCTTTCCTGGGAAGGGGCAGGGCTCAGAGACATAGGGCTTTGAAGAGCCTGCATAGGACTTTAGAAAGTTGTTTCTCTTGATGTTTCCTTAGGGAAAAGGTTTTGAGAAAACATACCCCAAAACTGCCCTCAATCCCAGTTTCAGGATTTCAATTAAATAGGGCCTTTGGTCCAAAGCTGTGGAACTTGGGAGAATATATAATTACATATTTCTTAAAATGAGCTTTGCTATTGGTTTCGCAGATTGCTAGTTTTTTTTTTTTAATAGCATTCTGAAATTCTAATATGACTGTATGATGGCCGATGGTTCTTATTTTGTTTTTTCTACCAAAGCACTTCTTGCTGTTACCTGAGTGTGGCATGCATAATTCTAAAGTCAGGGATAATATTTGTTATTTTTTCATATGCAGCATCAAACTGCAACAAATGATTGAATTGTCCTTTAAATTAAAAAAAATCAATAAATGCACATGGTACAAAACTCCTGGGGTCCTCCTGGATATATAGCAAACACTGAGTGAACCCTCTCCCTTGTATTCTCAGCTAACTAGTTTATCTCTGGTTCTTGTGGATCCTTCCAGAGTTATTCTCAAGCACTTATTTTTAAAAGTTGATTGTTTAGATTTGGAAGGACCTTGGAGGTCTTTTGTTAACCAGTAGACTTTCTTGAGGTACTAGAAAAAAGTGGGTCACAGTTGAGGAATAGATGTAAATGAATGATGGGGGGAGGAAAACCCTCCGAAACTCCTTAAAATATCACCTTCTGCGGTTAAAGCCTTTATGAAACCTGTTTCCCAAAGGCCTCTTTCCTAAATTCCAAGTCAATTTTTCTAACCTATTTTTTCTTATTCTGAAGTCTTTTTTCTAATATCTTTCAGTACTGTTCTCCTCTTGAGAGTCTTGGTTATAAAATTTAATTAAAGAGAGGCAGTAGTTAAATACTGTTAAATTTATTTTAATAAGAGGAAAGGAAATAAAGACCAAGGCAGAAATGAATGTGCTACTTTAGTATTCTTACTACATTGACAGAATTTATATTTAATTTTGTGATTGAATCTTTTTTGCATTAATTCCTATGATTTATGATTTGTAGGGAATTCATGTTTTCATGGAAACATGTCTAACTTTATTATGGAAATCAATGTGAAAATAGAAAATTAGCTGTATAAGTTTGCTTTATTTGGTGAGTTTTCAGGAAAGCATTTATTAATACGGTCATACTACTGTTAACTTTTTTTTCCCCTCTACTACTTAACAACATTGGCTCATGCTTGACTTCATTATTTACTTTGTTCATTTTTTAAGTCTATCTGGTTCTTGTTTTTCAAGTCACTTTCCTGCAGTATTTCAGCTTTTGTATGTACATATCTAGCATGATTCAGCTTTCATATTTTTCCTTTTTACTTATACATTGTTCACCTTGGCAGTGATGAGGGCAAGTCAGTATTTTTTTCCCCCAAGATTGGGTTAAATGGTGTTTCCTTAAAATCATAGACAATTAGAATTAGAAGAGACCTGAGTCCATCAGGCTCAGGGATGAAATGACTAGGTTTCAACCTTTGCCAAGTCTCATCTACTGGTAGTAGCTGCCTAAGGACTGAGGGAGGATCTGTGCTCAGTGAAAAAAAGGCTGTTTGATTTGCCGTGTTTGTCATGGACGTGGAAGAGCCACCTGTCAGAACCAGGACTATATTTTAGCTATTCTTCATCTAGCCCAGGAAACTAAGAAGAGATTAAAGTCAGAACCCCTAAGTCCATAGATCCGCTCACCCTCAGTCTGATGCTGGGAGCTAACTAAGTGCTAGACTTTTTCTCCTGAAGAATTTTGGTTCCAGCCAGGCACAGTGGCTCACATGTGTAATTCCGTACTTTGGGAGGCTGAGGTGGGAACATCGCTTGAGCTCAGGATTTTAGACCAGCCTGGGCAACATAGTGAGACCTCATCTCTACAAAAAATTTAAAAATTAGCTGGGCATGGTTGGCACACACTTGTTGTCCCAGCTACTCAGTAAGCTGAGGTGGGAGAATCGCTTGAGCCCAGAAGGTCGAGGCTGCAGTGAGCTGTCATCACTCCAGCCTGGGTGATAGTGGGAGACTCTGTCTCAAAAAATAAAACAAGGAAAGAATTTTGGTTTCCTCTGGGTTTTGTTTGTTTTTCCTCCTCTGGTGATAATTGAATCCTATTAATTACATAGGTTTGTCACAGTTTGTTATAGAGCTTGGAGAAGGACTTCGGAGTAATCAATCAAGGAGTCAGAAGGTACAGAAAATTCTCCTTATTCTAGCAAAGAAAGGGAGCTTCAGTTATATAATCTAGCTAAAATTAAAAACTTTTAAAAATCTATTTTTAAGACTGAAGATTTTTCCATTAAAATTTAAAAGTACACTACTGACTGAGCGCAGTGGCTCACACCTGTTATCCCAGCACTTTGGGAGGCAGAGGCAGATGGATTACTTGAGCCCAGGAGTTTGAGACCAGCCTGGGCAACATGGTAAAACCCCATTTCTACCAAAAAAAAAAAAAATACAAAAATAAAAATTAGCCAGACATAGTGGCACGCACCTATTGTCCCAGCTACTTGAGAGGCTGAAGTGGGAGGATTGCTTGAGCCCGGGAGTTTGAGGCTGCCATGAGCCATGTTCATGCCACTACACTTTAGCCTGGGTAACAGGCTCAAAACAAAACAAAACAAAACAAAACAAAAAACAAATCTAGTTTGAAGCCCAGGAAATTTGGAAGGATTGAAACTGAGGAAAAATAATACCTTTTGTTCACTGCGTAACATTCAACTTGCTCTCAGCATGATTTCTTTTAGACCTGGCCTAGTTTATTTTAGGTTTTATGTGTTCTTCAATGCTTACTAACTTGGTGGATTAAGAAAATTCTTGCAAGAGGAAAAATGAGTCATGGTGATACTTCCCTTTGGGGGAGAGAAAGAAAACTCTCAGATTAATCTCACCATTATGCACTTGGCATGGATTCAGCATTTTGATTGATGGCTGAGCATTGATAAATCTTTCCCTGTAAGCCACTTCATATCATATTTGGTTTTGTTCACAGTAGGACTGGTAGAAGTCTCTTTTTCAGTTAACCAGCAGAGATAAAGAACTCTGTAACCTTATTACCATCAGAGACTTGTTCGTATGATGTCATTTCTTTTTTTTAAAGATATTTTGAGTTTGCAACAACTGGGAAAAAACATTTCCCAGTCTACCCAGTCTATTAAACAAACAAACCAAAAAATTAAAAACTGAAAAACATTTGGTGCTGAGAAACTGGGTATGCTAAGGGTGTGGCTATTTTGGCATCCATCTTTGGTATGCACAGAGTGGGTTCCTCTTTGACCTTGCCCTGTGTCTCTGATGCTGCAGCTCCACTAAGAAGAAGAAAAAGGGGAGGTGGGACAGAACTGGGAGCTGGTTTGCTACTATTCGTCAGAAAAGGAAGTGGGGCACCTACAAGAGAGCCACGAAGTCTCTCAGCAGGGTCTTGTTGAAAGATTGTTTTTGAAGTGGTATGAATAACCTGTCAAGTATTTTCTTGTAATAATCACAGAACTAATCTGGCTACTTTCTACTTTAAGGTAGTCCTCCGTGATCTGCTTCTAATTACATCTCTTCTTTATTCTAGCCCTAACAAGTTTTTCTGCACTGCCTTCAGATTTCAAACTATTTTCTCTGCAATCTATAAATTTCATTTTTTAAAATGCAAGATGGCATTGGTAGCAATGGCAGGAAAGACAGGGCTACTTAGGTTGATTAGTTTCCATGGGACTTTTACACAGAATAATCAACCACTATTTTTTCAACTACTGTGTGCAAAGCAGCTATCTCACTGAGCTGTGCTAATATCTGAGTCAACAAACCGTAGCATCCCCAAAACGCCACAAAAATTATTAAAATACTGTCTTTTAAGCTTCATTATATAGAAGAATCAGTGAACCAAACAAAAGGATAAATTTAGCATCCAGTATATTTCCTTTAAAAAAGTCTTAGACAGGCATGGTGGCTCACGTTTATAATTCCAGCACTTTGAGGGTCTGAAGCAGGAGGATCACTTGAAGCCAAGAGACCAGTCTGGGCAAAGCAAGACCCCATCTCTATCCTCCTCCATTTGCTATCAAAGTAATATACGTTATATACAACTAAAATAAAATGGGCATTTTTTAGAAGGTAAATATGTGTGCCAATACAGTGCTTTGAGCGTGGTGGGTATTGCTACGGTTTGAATGTCTGTACCTTCCTAAAATTCATATGCTGAAACCTAATCACCAATATGATGGTATTAGGAGGTGGGGCCTTTGAGAGGTGAGTAGGTCGTGAGGATAGAGCCTTCATGAGTAGGATTCATGCCATTATAAAAGAGGCCCTAGAGAGCTGCCTTGCATTTCTATCATTTCAGGACACAGCTCCATCTGTGAATCAGAAAGTGGGCTCGCACCTGACTCTGAATCTGCTGGTGTCTTATTGGACTTCTCAGCCTCTGGAAATTGTGAGAAATAAATTGCTGTGGTTTACAAGCTACCTAGTTTATGGTATTTTGTTATAGCAGCCTAAATGGGCTAAGACAGACACTGAATATATTCTTTGTTTATAATTAGTGTTATTTAGAATTATAAGCTTATAAAAAGGAAATGACCTTATGAGAGTCTTGAAACTCCCTTGCCTTTGAGGAATCTGCCACATTGTCCCTGACAGATATTCATACTCAGCCTCAACAATCCCAAGAATACATAGATGACTGTCTTTACCTTAGCCTTCTCCATCAAAGAGAATGTTCTTCAAACCAGCAGAGATGAAACTCAACCTTAACATTAAATAGAAGAGTATTTTGATGTTTTGAATGTTAAAATCTCCAGCCGGAGATAACTTATTGTTACATTATTTCCAGATTAATTTTGAACCATGCCAAACAGAAAAGGGAATGTCAATTTGAATTTTTTTAATTGAAGTAAATTGAAGCAGATACTTGGGAAATTGTTGGCTAGTGAACCGTATCTACTTCAAAAGTTTACATGGATATTCATCCAAAGGGAATATTTTGATCCTAACTACTATTAATATGTGTCAACACTGAAATAGTTTTATTTAAAAGTAAACATATATAATCACCAGAAGTTTTCTTCAGCATGAAAGGATATGACTGCCAGTCAATATCTGAAACAAAGGCAAAGCTGAATTTAATGCTTACTGTAATAAGGGAGAGCAATGCTGGCTAGACACAGTTTCTCTAAGAAGAGCAGGCCAATTTCTAATTTTGGGGAATTGTGGAATTCAGGGATTGGCAAACTTTCTGAGGCTGTAGTGGGTTAACATAATCTGTAGAAGTATGACTATGATTGGCTGGCACTCAGAGGAGTGTTTATTGGAGTATGTTCCCGATCAGCTTCTTTCGGAAGTTGGGAAGCTATTGCAATAGCCCAGATAAGAGGAGATAATGGCTTGGACCAGAGTGGAAGGAAGCAGTGGAGATGGTAAAGAGATGACTTTTAAAGGTAAAACCAGCAAGATTTGCTGGGTGGATCATGTGTGGAGTGCGAGAGAAATCAAAGTTGACTCCAAGATTTTTGGCCTGAGAGACTAAAGAATGGTGTTGCTGTTTATTACATGGGAAAAACATGGCAAGAGCAGGTATGGGGGAGAAAATTAGGAGTCTGTTTTGTATGTTTACATTTGAGAAACCTGTTAGCCATCCAAGTGGAGATTTTACATGGATAGTTATTTGCAAGTATGGAATTCAGGAGAGAGGTCCAGATTGGAGATATCAATTTAAAAGTTATCAGTGTATGAAATCACCAAGGCAGTGAGTATAGAAAGAGAAGCTGTCCAAGGAACTAAGTACTGGGGGCACTCCAACATTTGAAGATGAGGAAGATGAGGAGGAACCAGCAGAGGAGAATGAGATGGGGCAGTCAGGGAGGAAGGACCAAGAAAAAATGATGTCCCCAAAGCCAAGTGAGGAAAGTGTTTTATGGCCAGACACTGTGTCTAATAGGTCTCTTAAGATGTGGACTAAGGTGGCTCCTGCCTGTAATCCCAGCACTTTGGGAGGCCAAGGCAGGTGGATCACCTGAGGTCAGGAGTTCAAGGCCAGCCTGGCCAACATGGTGAAACCTCATCTCTTCCAAAAATACAAAAAAAATTAGCCAGGCATGGTGGCTCACACCTGTAATCCCAGCTACTCGGGAGGCTGAAGAAGGAAAATTGCTTGAACTCAGGAGGTGGAGGTTGCAGTCAGCCGAGATCACACCACTGCATGTCAGCCTGGGTGACAGAACGAGACTCTGTCTCAATAAAAAAAAAAAAAAAGATGAGGACTGAAAATTGACAGTTGGATTTAGCACTGTGCTGGCAAGATCAGTTTGGGTGGAGTGAGTGGTGGGGATGAAAGCCAGATGGGAGAATATTTGAGACAATAAGAGGGAGAGGACTCGGGTTACCAAATATAGACAATTCTTTTAAGTTTGGCTGTAAAGTGGAGCCAAGAAGTAGGGTAGTGTCTGGAGAGGGATGTGAAGTAGAAGGAGAGTTTATATGTTTTTTATTTGAGGTATGTATTACAGTCTGTGTGCTAATGGGCATGGTCCAGTAGAAAAAGAGCACAATTACTGGATAATTGTGCTCTTGTATAAATGTATACTGGAACCCTTGTATAAATGAGCAGGGATGGGATCTGGTTCCAAGAGGCAGGATTGGCCTTAGGTAAGAGACTGGACAGTTTATCCATAATAGCAAGAGGGAAGGTAGAGTGTATGGGTACAGGTGTGGCAGGTTTGTTGATATGATGGGAACTCAGATGTCATTTTATGATTGCTTCTATATTCTCAGTGAAATATTAAGGTAAGGTCATCAGAGAGTGAGGGGTAGGCAGTATTGAAGGTCTGAGAAAAAAGAAGTAGAAAAAAGTCATCTAAGAGAGTAGGAGAGTGACTGGACTAGGATTTGAAATACTAGAATATTAGAATTATTAGGCAGTACTCTTTGACATTAGTGGTGATACATTTTAAATGTAGCCAGTCAGTTCATGTATTTTTTCTCCAGCTTCATCTGCCACCCTGGTGCTGGTGAGGAGTAGGAAGAGTTAGGTTTTTTGTTTGTTTGTTTGTTTGTTTGAGACGGAGTATTGCTCTGTCACCCAGGCTGGAGTGCAGTGGCGCGATCTCGGCTCACTGTAACCTCTGCCTCCTGGGTTCAAGCGATTCTCCTGCCTCAGCCTCCTCAGCTGGGATTATAGGCACGCGCCACCACGCTCAGTTAATTTTTGTATTTTTAGGAGAGACAGGGGTTTCACCATGTTGGTGAAGCTGGTCTCAAACTCTTGACCTCGTAATTCGCCAACCTTGGCCTCCCAAAGTGTACAGGCATGAGCCACCGCACTCGGCCGGAAGAGTTAGTTTTAACCAGATGTGGGGTTTTGCCAGAGGAGTTCCAGAGAGACACAGTCAAAGATGTTGAGAGTTATGGAGGGGCACACTTATTGGTAAGGATAAGGACTGCTGGGGGGTGATAACCATGGGGATGTGGAGCTGAGGTAAGCTGAGGACTGGGCTGTGAGAAGAAAGAAGGTCAGGGAACTCAGAGTAAGGGGATCATCACTACGGTTCCTGGGTGCCAGATTCATGACTCTTCAGCAGTTTGACCAGTAAGCATTGAAAATCTTGTAAAGAAAATAAGAAACAGCAATTGTGTAAAAATTTTTTAAGGCGTGACAAGTTATTTGCTTGTTTCACTTTTTAGACTCAATCTTTTGCAAAAAATGATACCAGAAATGGCATTAACAAAAATACATGTTCTTTGGTTTAGACTGTGAATATGTTTAAGGACAGCCAGCAAATGTTTTATTTAGTAACTTTTGATTGGTTGATTTTGTTTAGTTAGTTGATTATCATTATTATGGGTTTGTTCATAAACTGTCATATTAGGACCATTCACAATGTGGATCTCAAAACAGATTACGATGAAAATATCAACCAAGAAACTCTTTTTAAAGCAGGCTGAGAAATACAGGTAGCATAGGGCAATGTTCAGCTCCTCAGGATAAAAATAGGTGTGGAATAAGAAATATTATTAAATACTAACTGAAATTGACTTAGAAGTCATCCTTCGTGCAGCTCGTGTTTTTATCCCCTACAGCCAACCGCTGTGTTTCCAAAACATATCACGTTTATCTACTTCTCTCCATCTCCACAGCCACAACTCTAGGCAAAGCTGCCATCATTTCTCACCTAGATTGCAGCTATTAGCGTAGTCCTAGGCTGAGAGAGCTGCTTGGAGACCTCAGGTCCTAGCTCAAAAGTCATCTTTCAGAACAGTCCTTCTGAACCATTTCAGTTAGCCTTCCTGATCCTCCCCACCTCCTTTGCTTTAAGTTTTCTTCCTTATAGTACTTATTGCTGTCTCGTATTACCTTCTTCCTTTATTAATTGGTTTTTGTCTGTATGCCACTTTTAAAATAGGGCAGGGAGCTTGTCTGTCTTGTATACTGCTTATGCCTG
Source organism: Homo sapiens (assembly GCF_000001405.40). Taxonomy (NCBI): domain Eukaryota; kingdom Metazoa; phylum Chordata; class Mammalia; order Primates; family Hominidae; genus Homo; species Homo sapiens. The sequence goes on from NC_000015.10 coordinate 51,852,138, forward strand.
TTGTCTAGAACAAGTAATTCATGGCGTAGGAAATGTTCAAAAATATATGTCAAAAGAACAGTAAGTATATTGAAAAACAAATATTCATCTGGGAATCTTGAGATCAAAAAAATTCTCTGATCTGGTGGGTTGTGGAGATTGAGCACCCAGGGATCCTAGGAGAAGCCAGTGAGGAAAAGACAGCATAACAGTCTTAAGCCTAGCGCAACTGAAGAGAAGGCCTCCAGCACCTGAAGTGGAGTTAACCTGAGGCCTGGTGTCTCCTGAAGAGGAAACTCATTTGGTTACCTAAAAAAAAAAAAAATCAAATTTTCATTTAATTTCAGAGATGACTGATGAGCAGATTTTTTGTTTTGTTTTTAGCTGGGGGAGATTAGACAGCAGAGAACTCTGAATACTAAGCTCAAATGAGTTGATAGGGAAGAAAAGGTGAAGAAGGGGCTGCAAAGGATCAACGGAAGTATCAAAAATTCATTTTCAGCCCCCCCTTTAGTTGTGATAAGGGGATTAGAGTTTGGGAGCAAGAGGATACTAGGTAGCTGGAGGAGAAAGAGGGAACTACCAAAGAAGGGAAAGCAGAGATTGATGTGTGATCCAAGTATATCAAATTTGTGTTAGCTATGTACTGTACCTGGCAATGGCAGCCCAGTGGGGAATGAGATCTGGGAGAGATTCTCTGCTCTTCAAGAGCTTTACAGTGTCTAGTGAGAGAGACAGGTGAAAGACTAACTCCAATACAGCATAATTGTTGGTTTGAAGTAAGTTTGAGGGGTGTCTTTATGGAGTAGCTGGCCAGCCAGCTCTGGGATAGGATTTCAGGTGATGGCCCACAGCTTTATCTTTACAGAGACACAATTTCAATCAACTGGTAGGTGTCTAATCTCTTAAAAACTGGCATGTAGCAACCATACTCATAAAAAAGACTTATACGTAAGCCAAAATATCAATTTATTAATATCTAGTGAGGAAAGCTACATGAATAGCTGAATTTTAATTAGAAGATATCTTGGTGAACATTGAGAAGAATAAGAGGAAATAATTGGATGATGAAATATTGCCTTCTTTATTGTTTGTTTATTTTTAAGACAGAGTCTCACTCTGTCACCCAGGCTGGAGTGCAATGGTGCAATCATGGCTGACTGCAGCCTGGACCTCTTGGGTTCAAGTGATCCTCCCACCTCGGCCTCCTACTAGCTGGGCCTACAGACGTGGGCCATCATGCCTGGCTAGTTTTTTGTATTTTGTAGAGATGGGGGTCTCACTATGTTGCCCAGGCTCGTCTCAAACTCCTGGACTTAAGCGATCCTCCCTCCTTGGCTTCCCAAAGTGCTGGGATGACAGGCGTGAGCCACTGCACCTGGACTTTCTTTAGTTATGGTACTGTCATTTTATATATCTGATTTTCTAGGAAACACTCTTACCATTTTATGTCAGTATTTTCAGTTACACCCTTAAGTTTTGAAGTTACCGATGTACATACAACCTGTGGTTATAATGGATGTATATATAAAGATAATAACAACAGTTTGGGCATGATGTCTTATGCTGGTAGTCCTACCTACTCAGGAGGCTGAGGAGGAGGGATCACTTGAACCTAAGAGTTTGAGGCTGCGCCACTGCACTCTGGCCTGACAGAGCGAGTCACTGTCTCTTAAAAAAAAAAAAAAAAAAAAGATAATGGCAACATCATTAAGGAAATCATTAATTTTGCCTGGGTGTGAGAATGGAGACCAGGGAAATTTTCAGGGAAGATAGGACATTTTCAGCTAGGTCTTGAAGAATATGTGAGGTTCAGTTGAGGATAGAGGTAGATGGGAATGAATGCATTTTTTCTAGAGAGAGGGAACATAATAAGCAAAGGAATAGAGAGGCCTAAAGTTTGTGGCCTGTTTGGAGTATAGGCTATGTGATGGGGAGCAGTCCGAGATAATATAGGAAAACTAGCTAGTAAGGACCAGCTTCTCTGAACTGTGTATCTTATGCTGAGGAGATTGGACTTTCTCTTGTAGGTCAGGGATGGGCAAACTTTTTCTGTAAAGGGCCAAATAGTAAATATTTTAGCTTTGCAAGCCATCTGGTCTCTGTTGCAATCACTCAGCTCTGTCATTGTAGCACAAAAGCAGCCATAGGCAATACATAAATGAATGAATGTGAATGTGTTCAAATAAAACATTTACAAAGACAGGCAGCAGGCCGAATTTGGCCCCCTGTAGTTTGCCTAACCCTGTTGTGGGTAATATGAGTTATATAAGGCTTTTGGGCCAGAGAGCAATATGATCACATGTATGTATTAAAGAGAGAATGGATAAGAATCTGAAAACTCTGAGCCCACCCTATGGAAATGGTGGTGAAATGGAGGTTAACAACTCATAGACTATCTCTCTGAATCATATGATTCTACATTTTAACAAATATAGTCAGTGTCGATACCTTACTCCCTACACAAATATAAAGCTTGAAGAAAATAAGTGGAAATTGGTTGAACAGAGTAGAACATTGGCTTCTCAAACTTATATATAGATCCCTTTTAAAGGAAAAAAGCTGTCGGGCCTCCTAGTGTTAATTGACAATCAAAACAAAGCAGTTCTCCCAGGTGCTGGTGCAATGATAAATATAAATGTAAATATGGCAACTGAAATCCCACAGCATTGCTTCTTTTTAAGTGATCCAGAGGATCTAGAATATGGCTATTAATTTTTAGAAATTATTCTTATAGAAAGCTAAAATTTAAAACTCTTAGCAAAATGAGATTGCTGAGATTCCATTAAAAAATTAGCATGGTCCTGGAAGTCCAGTGTGAAAAATAAGGATTCTAGAAATAAGTGATAAATGAAAAGGAAGATGGTAAATGGAAGAAGACTTGGCCAAAAATATACCAGGAGTTTCTTGATGTCCTTAAGTATAGCCTCCACTAGCTGAAGTTCAGTGAAGCAGTGGGTGAGTGGAAAGAAGAAAAGCAACAGCACCCATAGACTTTGGGGAATATTTAAACAAATTTCTTCAGCCTTCGAAGACTTTTGAGTTAAACAGAATACACTCTGCCACACAGTATGAGATGTAGTTGTCAGAACTGATGAGGGGAGCACCTCTAGAGCAGTAGATCTCAAAGTATAGTTCCTGACCAGCAGCATCAGCACCACCTGGCAGCTTATTAGAAATGCAGATTATCTGCCCACCCCAGACCTACTCAATCAAGAAACACTGGGGGTGGGCCCAGGAATCTGTGTTTTAGCAAGCCCACCAGGAGATTATGATGCACTCAAAAGCAGGAGAAACACTGCTGTAAAAAGTGAGTTAAGAAGGAAAATAGTCTGAACATATCAGAATTCCAAATTAAAAATTCTTAAGCTTTGCCTAACTTACCTGGCAGAACTTGCTTATTTACAAAAAGTTGTGTTTTTCTTAAATGATCGTGAGAATGTTATGCTTTGAAAACCAATTCCCATATTCTTGTACAATGCAAATTGTTTTTTACTTTTATATGAAATACATTTTACATTAGCTTAGAGATTAAAAGTTTCTGTAGACAAAGTGTAGATTTAAAGTACTTTTCTAGCACACTGGTTTCACCTCTTCATCATTCAGAATTTGTTCCTCTTCTAGAAGGCAGATGTCAAAGGACAAGCAAGAGAGACATGTCATCCCAGAACAGAAAGAAAAGCAAAGCAAAGCACTCCTTCCAGAACTTCCCTTCCTAAGCAGTTTCTGAGCTCCTGCTGGCACTTGGAACATTGTCAGTATACAAATGTTCCTCAATAAAGGATGAGAGTTGAGAGGGAAGGTAAAATCAAGTTAGAGAATCTGATAATGGGAACATCTGAGGAAAGAATGCTAGTAGTGGCCAGGTGTGGTGGGTAGCTCACGCCTGTAATCCCAGCACTTTAGGAGGTCGAGGCAGACAGATCACTTGATTCTAGGAGTTTAAGACCAGCCTGGGCAACATGGTGAAACACTGTCTCTACAAAAAATACAAAAATTAGTTGGGTGTGGTGGCACATGCCTGCATTCCCAGCTACCTGGTAGGCTGAGGTGGGAGGATAGCTTGAGCCCAGGAAGCAGAGGCTGCAGTGAGCCGTCATTGCACCACTGTACTCCAGCCTGGGTAACAGAATGAGACCTTGTCTTAAAAAACAAAAACAAACAAACAAAAAGTGATAACTTTTGAGCATCATTAGATAGGATGAGCAACAGTTATTTGCTTTTTATTGAAGCAGAATTGAAACTTTGAACTTTGGTGTATTACCCAGAAGTTCTTGCCTCATGGCAAAATTCTATAATCTGAATCTGAAGGAAATTCATTTTTCATTGCTTTGGAAAGGAAAACCTAGCTAAAGAAGTAAACTTTTTTAAAAATGAAAAATACTTAGAAACGTTTTCCCCTAGGATATACCATGATAAACTTGATAAGACTTGAAAAAAAAATGGAAGAGATTTGTTACATATAACCAACAAAGAATATATTAAGGGCATTTTTTTTTTTTAACGGGCAAAAGATTCTTCACACAATAAGGAACACATTTGCCAATGAACATATGAAAAGATGCTCAAGCTCATCATAATTCAGCAAAATGCAAATTAAAACCACAGTGAAATACCACCAGAATGGCCAAAAATAAATACTCTGATAATACCAACAATGAGCAAGGATGAGGAGCAATGTGAATTGTCATGTGCCGAATCTGCTGGGAATGTTAATTCAAGCAATCACTTTGAAAATAGTTTGGGATTACCTAATCAAGTTCAGTATAAGCATACCCTTTTCCCAGCAATTCCATTCCTAGATTTGAAGGTCAGAGAAACTCTCTCACGCATGTGTACCAGGAAATAGGTAACAAGATTGTTTATAGCAGAGAAATAGAGGGGAGAGACTATAAGCAACTTAAATGTTCATTTATACGATAGAATAGTATATAGAAATGAAAAGAAAGTAGTATAGCTCTAAGCATCAACTCAAAACAATGAACAACATTAAATGAAAAAAGCAAGTCACAGAAGGGTGCATACTCTGCGAGTCTGTTTACGTAACATGCAAGAAAAGGGGCAGATCTAAAACTGTTGAGGGTATGTACAAATAAGGCAAAACTGAAGGAAAGCAAGAGAATGATTAATTCAAAATCTGGTAGAGTGGCTACTTTTGGAAGAGGAGATGCAACTAGAGAAGTGAATATGAGGGTATTAGTAATGTTTTCTCTTTTATGCTGGGCAGGGTGTTCATGGTTTTTCATTTTATTCTTTAAGCAATACTGTAAACAAGCTTTGTGTAGTAGATTTTACTTTGGGATTAGGAGAAGCAATGTATTGGAGTAAGCTATTTAGTCTCTCTGTGGAATGTAGAATGTCATGTTCCAACTTTACAGAACCTGGGTGGCATATAGCATTGCCTGCCTTTGCCCCTAATATCTCATTCCTATCGTATTGCCTATTAGAGTGCCCTGTTAGAATGATCATTGAATTTATGACCCATACTAGGACATTCTTGAAAGTAAAGTAAGGGATGCATAAAATAATTAAACTTATATCTATGTATATTTTAAAATATTCATTGAGAAAATTGGCTTATGTACTGAAAATTTCAAAAATGTATTAAAGCACATTAAAAACTTTTAAAACAGTAATTATCCAAACATTAAAAAAAAAGCATGAATTAAATTATTCTTGGTACATATTTATATACTTTTATCAGTTTCTTACCCTTATCTGTCTGAAATATCACATCATTGATATTTTTATAAAGGGAAAATTTTTTTAAGTGGTGTTATTTTTAATTTTTGTCCCTTAAATTTTTACCTTCTTCAGAATTACATTTTATGGCTAATATATTGGAAAGTGATGATATCTTCCATTGAATCTTATCTGAAGACTGTATTATTTTTAATGGAGAAAATATACTGTAAATATACTTGTAAGCTTGCTTATTTATTTATTTATTTTTAGAGACAGGATCTCACCTTGTTGCCCAGGCTGGAGTGCAGTGACACGACCGTAGCTCACTGCAGCCTCAAACTTCTGGGCTCAAGCGATCCTTCTACCTCACCCTCCCAAGTAGCTAGGACTACAGGTGTGTGCTGCCATGCCCAGCTATTTTTTTAAAGTTTGTATAGAGATGAGGTCTCACTGTGTTGCCCAGGCTAGTTTCAAACTCCTGGGCTCAAGTGATCCTCCTACCTCAGCCTCCCAAAGTGTTGGGATTACAGGCATGAGCCACTGTGCCTGGCCAAACTTGCTATCTTAAAGTTGGAGGTACAAAATGGACGCTTAACAAACAGTAATGACAATGATAATAATTTGCTAAAAAAAAAAAAAAAATTCAAGATAACCAGTAAACCAGAAGAGGTGCCAATAAAACAGGTATACACCAGACCTGTTTTGGGCAGTTACACAAGTTGCCTGCAATGTAGTATCTGCATAAGCAAATTCTGTTCATTTGCTTGTGTTTTTTTTCCCCTGTGATTACAGGATGTTTTTACTTTTTTCAACACACAATTCTATTTCCTCTATATTTTCCAGAACAAATGCATACCATGTATCTTTTACAATGAGAATAAACCAACAAAACTGTACTTTCTCCTTCATTTTAACTGGCTCCTAGCTAGATTAGAGATACTCATACTTGAACTGGGATAATAAGTAAAACCCAGTCGTATGCTTTCCATGTATTCTGGAAAACATTTAGGACTTATGGTAGGTCTGGCCTCAGCATCTCAACATTAAATCAGCAGTTCTCTTTCCTGGAATTAGAGATTCGTGCATCAAGCTGAGCATGGTGTCCTGCGCCTATAATCCCAGCTACTCGGGAGTCTGAGGCAGGAAGGTCACTTGAATCCAGGAGTTCAAGACCAGCCAGGACAAGACCCTGTCTCAATCATAAAATCTTTTTTTAAATTTTTTAAAAAATTAACAAGTTAATATAAAATTAAAGTGTGTCTTGAAATCAGACAGCCATCTTGTCTGCCATCGATGAACAAATTACAAAAATGGACTCATAATACATATTTGCCCACAGGGCTTGCAATACTGTTTCACAAAGATGGCTGTATTCTTCCTCTTCACAAACGGCCAGTCTGATACATAGCATGTTTAGCTACAGATGCCTCTGCTGACTCTCCCTGCAACATTTTCATTGCTCGCCAGTAGATCTGTCTGCAGTTTTCAGGTCTACCAAGGGGGTGGTTCAATGGTTCCTTGATACAATCCACCCAAAGATCAGAATCTACAGATCCAAACTCTCTCAAAGCCCTCTCATAATATTCTCTTAATGTTCACCATCTTGCAGGATTCTTGCTGTTTTCAAACTGAATCATTTTCCTGAAAAAGTCAACTGAAAATGGATGGCTGTTCTGTAAACTTTTATACACAGCTCTGGCTTTTTTGTAGCCACCATGTTGATAAGCCCAATCCAGGTACTTATCCTTCAGGGTTACTGAGTTGGCACCTGTGACAGCTAAGAGAGCTTTCTTAAAGATTGCCTCGGTGTCTTCTTGGCTTTTGGCACCTTCACTCCACTCTGCCAAGAAGTCCACAATGGTAGACAAACCTGGAGTTTCAGGTGCACAGAGTCTTCCTCAAAAAGCATGGCTATGTCAGGGCTCTTTGAGTCAATCAGCACATGCACCTTCATCTGCCACATTGTCCCAGAGTCTCTATAAACAGTTCAGTCCCAGCTACTGCCACCTCTAGAGCTTTCCTCAGGAAGTTATGGCACAGCAACAACTCAAGTCAACTGCTTGTATTGGAATTCTGGCAGAAGCTTGAGTTCATGTGCCCTTCTGAATGCAGTCATGGTTCTTTCCAACCTCTTCCCTCTGAGGAACCCACTATTTGTCTTCTTAGTAAATCTTTCCAAGCAAAAGGTGATATAACACTTCCACATGGCCTCCCTTGGCAGAGTCTTCACTGCCTCTTCATATACGGCACAGCATCTGTCCTCCTTCTGGCCCTCCTCTGCTTTGTCTTATTTCGTTGTAGGCTGTACGCTGCTCTTCTCCCGTTTGTGACTCGATCTCTAATTGTCACCTTGCCGCATAATCCCAAGTGAGAAGATCATCTGTGTGTAGAGCCTGAGGGTCATCATAAATTTCTATTTGTAGACCTTTGGCAAAGTCAAATCGCTGTGCAGTTGAAAGCAGTGACACATGAAATTCTGCACCTTAAATTATGCTTACAGAATTTTCATAGATGATCCGTGCCAATTTGCCCTTAAGGATTTCTTCAGAATAATCAGGATTCTCCACATCCATGTTGGCTTTTTGAAATTCTTGCTTTTCCTTCCTCAGTTTTTCAGCATGCATCAGCTCCATCCTAAAGTAGTCTTGATAAAGTTTTGGGCCCTCTGGATGAAAGTGCAGTGCCCAAAGAAATAGTTGCCTTGCACTTTCTGAAGACAAGCAGTCTTCCATTTCCCATTTGGCTGCCATAATCCACAAAGCTGGCTTGTTGGAATGAATGGCCAACATGGCAGAGAATACCTTGCTAAGTTGAGTTTTAGTAGCCCATTTCTTACAAAAAACTACATAGGAGGCCAGGCACGGTGGCTCATGCCTGTAGTCCCAGCACTTTGGGAGGCCGAGGCGGGTGGATCACCTGAGGTCAGGAGTTGGAGACCAGCCTGACCAACAAGGTGAAACCCCGTCTCTACTAAAAATACAAAAATTAGCCGGGCCTGGTGGCAGGCGCCTGTGGTCCCAGCCACTCAGGAGGCTGAGACAGGAGAATTGCTTGAACCCAGGAGGCAGAGGTTGCAGTGAGCCGAGGTCATGCCACTGCACTCCAGCCTAGGCGACAGAGCAAGACTCCATCTCAAAAAACAAACAAAAACCTACATAGGAGAGCCAAAGTTGAACATCGTCTTTCCTCTTTGCTGAGGCACTTCGGAAAACACCTTGTACCTGGTGTACAATAGAATTCTCAATCTCATCCTTCTTAAATGAATATCCAATGCGTGTTCTTCTCTGGATCTGTTCGAAAAGATTAATTTCATGTTGAACATAATTGATAAAGTCGTCCTTGAAAAGGGCTCTTTCCTGGATTCTGTACTGTAGATCAGAAGCCTTCTTAATGATAGCGTTAATCTCTGCATGACTGAACAGTCCAATGTGCTCTAGCTGTTCCAATTCAGGGAGCTGATCTTCTTTGTGTTCCTGAATTATCTCTGCCATGAGGTCCGAACTCTACAACCCCATGGGAGCTTCTCAACCGCGAACACGTGCAGGAAGCTCCCCCATTTGCTTGTTGTTGGACCCAAGGTGGTTGCTAGTCAAATTGCTGTCAGACTCCAGTGGTGAGCCTGCCTTTCTAAACAGTTTGAACATTTCCATTCATGGGAGATGGAAACACATCAAAGGAGCCTTAAAATGTTACTGGTTTGCAGAAAAAACATACTAAAATATTAAGCTGAGAAAACTTGAGGGAAGGGGTAGTAAAGGAAATGTATCAAACTGAAGTACTGAGCATTTTGCAGTCAAGAAAAACGTAACCAAATCACTAAGTCTAAAGTGTATTTATTTCCATAGGTACTAGGTACTTTTTTTTTTTTTTTTTTGAGACAAGGTCTTGCTATGTCACCCAGGCTAGAGTGTAAAGGCACGATCTTGGCTCACTGCAACCTCTGCCTCCTGGGCTGAAGCCATCCTCCCATCTCAGCCTCCTGAGTAGCTGGGACCGCAGGTGTATACCACCACACCTGGCTGATGTTTTGTATTTTTCACCATGTTGCCCAGGCTGCTCTTAAACTCCTGAGCTCAAGCGATTCACCTGCCTCGGACTCCCAACGTTCTGGGATTACAGATGTGAGTCACTGCGTCTGGCCCAGTACTAGGTATATTTTATGAGACAGACAGTTCATACATATGGCTGGAATATGCAGAAATCCTTGGTTTCGCCTTTCCTATAGAACAGTCCTGCCGAATCAGCAGATGATTAGCTCTTTGATATATGCCAACTTCTGTGTCTCTAGAGCTACTATTAACCTGCTTGTTGATTAACCTCATGGCTGCCTGGGAGAGACCGCACAGGAAGGAAATGATGATGGTCCCTTCCCACAGTCAGACCCTCCCACCAACCTTGTCAGTCAGTGGATGACATATCCCAGCATGATTTTGAGTATTTTACTCAATCATCTTCAGAATGCTGTATTTTTTTCCTTTAAAAACACCTCAGAAAAATATTTTCAAATGCATCTTTTCAAAAGAATATTTTTCCTAGTGGCAAGAGACCACTCCTGTCATGTGGAATGTATTGCTATCCCCCCATATTAATACTGAGTCATATTGTTCTCCTAAACAATATATAGTAAAACAAATGTGCCTTAAACATATTGTGCTGAAGCAAAGTACTCTGGTAAAATAATTTGAAAGCTATTGATGGAAAATCTTTTATTTTGACACATAATTTCTTTCCCCCTAAAATTTAATTATTAGAAATTCTAAATTCTATCAAGTGGCTGCCTTAATGGATTTGAATTTTGTTTTATCTTTTCCCTCTTTTTTCCTGGTTGATTTTTTTTTTCTCAACACAAGGCAAAAGGCATTGAATGATTCATAAACAAGAATAGTATGTGATATGTGATCAAAGAATATATGACACATGGAAATTACATTTCACTTAACCTGAGAATTAGATCTAAGTAGGTGGAGATGACTTACTATTTAAAATGTATTTGTTTCTTCTCTCCATAGCTTTAAGAAAAAGTAGAGATCACTTCTGACTGTACTGAACAGCAAAAATTAAGTGACTTGCTGCCCTGCACATCATGGCACTGCCATTCCGTAAGGACTTAGAAAAGTACAAAGACCTTGATGAAGATGAGCTCCTTGGGAATCTGTCAGAAACAGAACTGAAACAACTGGAAACTGTTTTGGATGATCTTGACCCCGAGGTAGGTGCTAGGTGATGAAGAGAAATGAAATAACTTTTCGAATTCTTTGAAACTCAGTAGCTGCCTTTGAGCTTTTCCATGACTTTTCTCTGGCACCTTCCACCCTTTCCTCCACTTTATCCAAATCAAGTTGCTTTTGGCTCTCTCTCCAGTTCCCCACTTCTGCCTCCATATGTTTAATGACATGACTGTCCTAAACTACTTCAGTATCCTTGTTTTCAAACATCTCCTGAAATTTTTTCCTCCTCTAAGAAATTTTTCTCCTCTGTGCAGGAAGGGATATTTTTAGTACAATGCAGCAGATGGTTACCTTTTTGATACACGCCAACCTCTGTCTCTTCAGAGCTTCTATGCCAGGTGGCTCCAGTGTAGAATGCCTCTAAAAGATTCTTCATGACCCTAAATCTAATTGTTCCCTTTCTGAAAGAGGCTGACCGAATTGATTACATTTCCAGACATTGGTAGAATAGATCTAAGTAACTTCTTGGCAATACAGCAGTCCACTGTGGAGCAGACATGAATATATGTATGTAAGCTTTAACTTGCAAGGTGGATGTTGTTTGTCTTATAAATTACACAAGGCTAAGATAGACACCCATGACCCTTGAATTGTTATTCCCTGATATGTTGGAGGACGGGCAGTGAAGGAAGAGCCTGAAGGTCGTGAAGGTAATGGTTGTTTGCTAGGCTTCTTTTCTTTACCACATTTCTTTATGCCAAGACGTTGATTTTAAGTATCCTCTAAGGACTGAGATGGAGTTCATTTTATAACGTTGTTGTTACTGGATGATGTATCTATACCATAGATCAAATCCCTTAACCATAATTACTATTATAAGGAAAAGTTCCCAGTACATCTGATTGGAGGGGGATTACTCAGGATAATGATGCTGTTTTTATCACATCACAACAGTATCTTCTGTAGGCAGTTCAATCTATTAGACCTATTTGAATCAAATGTTTTAGAACTGGAAAAAGTGGCTGGGTGCTCACGCCTATAATCGCAGCACTTTGGGAGGCCGAGGCGGGTGGATCACTTGAGGCCAGGAGTTCGAGACCAGCCTGGCCAACATAGTGAACCCCGTCTCTACTAAATATACAAAAATTAGCTGGGCATGGTGGTGCACGCATGTAGCCCCAGGCTACTTGGGAAGTGGAGGTATGAGAATTGCTTGAGCCAGAGAGGTGGAAGTTGCAGTGAGCCGAAATTGCACCACTGTACTCCAGCTTGGGTGACAGAGCAAGACTTATCTCAAAAAAAAAAAAAAAAAAACTGGAAAAAGCATAAGACTTTATCTAGTCCCTAGGCCAGGTTCCTCAATCTTGACAGTATTTACTTTTGAGGTTGGATAATTTGTTGTAGGGGGGCCGTTCTGTGCCTTGGAGGGATGTTTAACAACATCCCTGACCAGTAGCACACTCCTCCTGTTTTAAAATGTTCCTAGGATGTTGTTTTAATCAGGTTTGGTAATGGATGACACACACTGAAACTACTGCCTTGAAAGAAGAGTTTATTACTTACAGTTCCAAGAGTAGGAGGCACAGCATGCCACACAGAGGCACAGGGGGAAGCACCTAGATTGGTCAGGAGGCAAAAGGATCAAGGAACAAGCATGGTCCAGAGCCTTTATTGTGGTTCAATGGGAATGAATGGGTGAGTCAGGATAGGCAAGTTTGAACAAGTTTAGGACTAGATGGTTTGAATAATTTGAACAGGCTCAGGGCTATGTAACTAGTCTCTAGTTGTCCAGTATCTGGTTCTGGGTGATTTAGGGGGAGGGGAAATACTGGCTTGGTAAGTGAGCGTTAGATAAAAAAGAGGTGGTTAGGAGAATTGGTTGGTTTGCGTATGAAAGGTGTGCTCCGGGGGAGGTTGGTGGGGATAGTGCGCTCTCTAGCCAGCCCTGGAAGGAGTGGTCTCTCCAGGATTAGCAAGGCCCCAAGATGTCAAAGCATCATAAAACTCAGAAAATAAAAAACATGACTTTTTTTTAGAGCCCAATTCTCACTCTGTTCCTCAGGCAAGAGTGAAGTGGTGCAGTGATAGCTCACTGCAGCCTCGAACTTCTGGGCTCAAGCGATCCTCCCACCTCAGCCTCCTATGTAGCTAGGACTACAGGCAAGCACCACTATACCCAGCTAATTACTTTTTAAAATTTTTTGTAGAGACAGGGTCTCGTTATGTTACCCAGACTGAAAAACATAATACCCTCCCCCTGAGTTGACAACCAAAAATGTCTCCAGGCATTGTCAAATGTCCTCTAGGGGACAAAAACACTACTGGTTCAGAAACATTGATCTAGTTCATGCCCTCTGTTTTACAGATGGAAAACAGAAATTAGGTAACTTGCCTCAGTTATTACAATTAGGGAAAGAGCTGGGACTAGATCCCTCACTGCCTGATTGATACCTGGCAGTCTAGCAGTCTTTTTCTGTTAAACCACATTGAGTCTCCTCCCAACTCATGCACTATGGTATCAGTCTGAAATCTGTTGGCTAATTTTTTATTTGTAAATCCATGGCCTGCTTCTTGTGTGGGGAGGCTTGAGTAACCTCTGAATGTATTTTGCAAACTCCCCAACCCCAGTCATAATTCCTCTAACCTCAATACTGTTAGTTGAGGCTAGGAGAACAGTGATGTTTATTGACAGCATCTGTTTGTTGGGTGACATGTTTTTGGAAAGCGTTCTGGTAAAGAACCAGGTAAGAAAAGAGGTCAAGGGTAGTAGCAGCTACTTCAGCCAAAGAAACACCACTGTAACTTACAAAGTCTCAGGAAGTAGGTCGAAGGTGTGTGTGGTACCTTATTATATTTTGGAGGACTGTTTTACTGTCCTTCTGCTGTATTCAGTGTACGTGTTTGCTAACTCACTGAGTTTTTGCCAAAAAAAAAATATATATATATGTCTCCAGAAGACAGCCAGCCTAGGAAGAGCTTTTTTTCCCCCCCAAGGCTAGGAATATATTTTACAGCAAAATTGCACTGCAAGAGAGAAACGTGTCATTTTTAGTGACAATCATATTAAAGAAAATTTTTATATGAAAAGTAATTATGATCTATTAGCTTACTTGATTAGAACATATTTCTAATGAAGCTTGGTTCATGGGTTTATAGTCTCTAAAACCAGCTAGCTTCATTTAGATTGTGGTTAGACTGTTTTTGGCCGGGTATAGTGGCTCACACCTGTAATCCTAGCATTTTGGGAGGCCAAGGAGGGAGATTTGCTTAAGAGCAGGAGTTCCAGACCATCCTGGGCAACATAGCAAGACCTTGCCTCGACAAAAAATTTTAAAAATTAGCCGGGGGCATGGTGGTGCACACCTGTAGTTCCAGTTACTCCAGAGGCCTAGGCAGGAAGATTGCTTAAGCCCAGGAGTTCAAGGTTGCAGCAAGCTGTGATCGCACCACTGTACTCCAGCCTGAGCAGTAGAGCAAGACCCTGTCTCCCCCCTACCCAAAAAAAAGAAAGAAAAAAAAGGCTTTCTAAGGAGCCAGACCAAAAAGAAAGAAAGAAAAAAAAGGCTTTCTAGGGAGCCAGGATTTCAGCTATCATATTTAAGACTGTGTGTGTCACATGGGCTTGAGCAGGCAGGTAGAGTAGTGCAAATTCCATTACCACCACCATGAAATAGCAATATATACATCTATGCATTAATGATGGAGAAGGAAAGTAACTTTTTATTAATTTGCCTTAATGAGAATCTTTCTTTAAAAGCATTCTAACACCTTTATTCAGTAAATATTTGGGGGCAACTTGTAGACCCCAGGTACTATGCTAGGCTTAGGAATACAAGAATGAGCAAAACAAATGTGGTCTTTGCCCTCATGACGCAGGCTGGTAGGAATAGGAGCAGTTTGACATTAACCAAATAATCATACCATATTAAAAGAATGGTAAGTGCTACACACTGTAAGAGCTTGTGATGAGAGGTTAAGAAAAGCTTCCCTGGGGGAATGGAGCTACAATCTGAAAAATGAGTTGCAAAAAGGGATAGGCAGAGCATTCCAGGGAAGGGAGACCACACACATAGAGGCCTGGTGGTAGAAGGAAGTATATGGCAAGTACAAGAGAGAAAAAAAAGTCCAGTGTGACTGGAATGGAGAGGGTGTGTGAGATGAGGCTAGGGTGACAGACTGAGGGGCTGGTGGTGAAGGATAAAAAATATCAGGCAGCTGATCCAGGTGGGAAGCTAATGTAACAGTCTCAGCAAGCTTAGATCATAGTTTCGACCAAAGTAATAATGTTGGAGATGGGAAAAAGATGAATGAGTTCTTCAGGAAGTAAAAATGAGTAGGACTTGCAGGTCAATTGGAAATGGATTCTTCATGTGTAATTCCTCTCATGATTTCTAAGTCTAAAGGTAGAAATCTTATGTTTCTTTTTTATGTTTCCATAAACAATTTTGTATTACAGAAACATACTTGGTACAAAGTTAGGAATGTTTCGTCTTTACAGTTCAGCTTTCTGTGTAGTAGGTACCATTACATAAAGGGTAACACAGAAGTGAATTTTATGAAAATTATTATGTGTCTCAACAAATGACCACAGTTGAAGTGCTGTATTTCCTAGTTACAAATTGAATATTTTCTATTACTATTGCCCATATAAGATTACCCTTTATAATGAAAAATTGTCTTATACCACCCATGAAATTCAGCGTCACTGCCAATATTGGGAGGTTTTGCAAAAGAGAGCTGGCCCTTTTGTGTGATTTCTCTGGCTGCCTCCCATTTTCAAAGCAAAGATATACCCAGAAATATGAGACAAGGCAGTATCACCTCTTTGGCTTTTGACAAGTGAAAGGACGGTACTCACTTTGTCTAGTCAGCCCTTGTGTTTACTGGGCTTAGTGAAAATTAAGGGACTACAGGAGACAACTTTAATCCATCACCTTCCACTGCACCTCCCTCATCTCTAAGTCAGTCCATGCGCTCAAAAAGGCTGTACCCGTGTGGAAACCCAGGAACATAGCTCTTGCTGTGAGTATGTCAGGGGTCCCTTGGGGCATGTGAAACAATGATAGTGATTGTAGCAAGTACATCCTAGTGGTCATGTATATATGTACGCATACACACACAAGTGGAACATCTCACGTTGTGTTTAAACTGAAGTAAACATTAATCTGATATCCTACTGTATGGTATATATGTTGTAATCATGAAGAAGTCTGTACAATGAAATGGAAGTCATGAAGGAATATAATGTACAGAGTCATTTAAAACTCTTTTGTAATAGAATTATTCTCTGTACATATATATACACTGAGCAGTTATTAAGCATTAATAAAACTTTTTAAAAAAAACGTTTTAAGTTCAGGGATACCTGTGCAGGTTTCATTACGTAGGTAAACTTGTGTCATGGGGGTTTGTTGTACAGATTATTTCATCACTAATACCTGTTAGTTATTTTTCCTGATCCTCTACCTCCTCCCACCCTCCACCCTCCTCTATGCTCCAATATGTGTGCTTTATATGTCCTTGTGTTCTCATCACTTAGCTCTATATGTGTGCTCTATATGTCCGTGTGTTCTCATCATTGACTCCCACTTATGTAAGTAAGAAGATGTGGTATGTGGTTAATAAAACTTTTTTATTAGTATCCCAGAACACTTAAAAACTAAAGATTGTTTTCTGCTAGTAGAATCCTCTCTGAAGAAAATGTTCTATTAGAAAACGTATGCTGGGCGCGGTGGCTCACACCTGTAATCCCAACACTTTGGGCAGCCGAGGAGGGCAGATCATCTGAAGTCAGGAATTCTAGACTAGTCTGGCCAACATGGCAAAACCCCATCTCTACCCAAAACGCAAAAATTAGCTGGGCGTGGTGGCAGGCGCCTGTAATCCCAGCTACTTGGGAGTCTGAGGCATGATAATCACTTGAACCCAGGAGGCAGAGGTTGCAGTGAGCTGAGATCATGCCACTGCACTCCAGCTTTGGGGATAGAAGGAGACTGTCTCCAAAAAGAAAAGAAACTGTACTAATGTATGTGCCTATTTTAATAATAATGTAAGTGAATTCTACCTAATAAAAAAGAAGTTTAATGTTTGGAGCAATTGTACATTGCTGTCCTAAAATCCTGCAATGAAGTGTTTAGTGCCTGTATCACATTCCAGTCTGTAATTCTTTTTTATATGGGTAATCTTCGGAAGCATATAGCATTAGCATTCTTATTGGTCATATTGGCTGATTCATTCTCTCTGGCAGAATGCCCTTCTGCCTGCAGGGTTCCGGCAGAAGAACCAGACATCAAAGTCCACCACAGGGCCATTTGATAGAGAGCATCTCCTTTCATATCTGGAGAAAGAAGCATTGGAGCATAAAGACAGGGAAGACTATGTGCCCTACACTGGAGAAAAAAAAGGTAAGCCCCAGAATTTTAAAGTCATTATGTGGTAACACTTGATTTTTCTTTTTATAGGTGGGTGTGGAGAAAATCATATTTTTAGAGGTACATCATTGGTAGCCTTAAATATATGATACTGTTGACTTAGACATTTATTGGTTTAGATACTTTATTTACATTTTTCATCAACTTGGTCAATAAGTTTCTTCTTAATGATGTTAGTGAGGTTTTATTACACAATGATTTTGAATAACATTCTTTAATTCTCTACTATAACAGATCTAAAAGTATATTGAAGGAAACTTAAAATTCAGTGGTAGATTACAGAGTACAAATGATGTTAAGGCATCTATTCTAACTGCATTCTTTAAAGTGGAATGCCATAAAACAATTCATGCCATATTTTCAAAGACCCTTTTAAAAAGCTATTCTATACCCATCATTATTAATTCATGGTTATGATTGCTAATGCTTCATAATCAGTAGTTTTAGGAAATTTTTCTAGTCCAAGTCTCCCCCATTTAAGTGTTTGAGCTTATGTATTCTCAGTGGAGCCTGAGTACGGCTGTGGTTGTTTTTTTGTTTGTTTGTTTGTTTGTTTGAGATGGAGTCTTGCTCTGTTGCCCAGGCCGGAGTGCAATGGTGCACCCTCGCCTCACTGCAACCTCCGCCTCCCGGGTTTAAGCGATTCTCCTGTCTCAGCCTCCTTAGTAGCTGGGATTACAGGTGCACACCAGCACGTCTGGCTAATTTTTGTATTTTTAGTAGAGATGGGGTTTCACAGTGTTGGCCAGGCTGGTCTCGAACTCCTGACCTCAAGTGATCCACCCACCTAGGCCTCCTAAAGTGCTGGGATTACAGGCATGAGCCACTGCACCCAGCCACAGCTGTGTTTTTAAAAGTTCTATATATAATAATACTTAAATGAAACAGGATAAGTTTTTCAGCTTTCCAAACAGGTCAGAATACAGGTTGGCCTAAAAAGCCAAATTCTACGTTCACTCTTACTTGGAATACTGTGTATAGAATACTGGGGAATGGTGGCAGCAGTAGCAGAGCTGAAGATCAGCTCTTGCAGGCACCATTTTTATGTCTGAATTCATATTAGTCCAGGCAGGAAGAATGGGACTTGGGCTTTTTATTTGAGAAAGAGGCCCTTCTCAATCATTTTGGCCAGAACTGTGTCACATGGCTACCCCTTAGCTGCAAGGGAAGCAAGAAAGTTCATTTTAGCACTCCAGCTTCTATAGTAGAGGAAGGCTTGTGAATGGCTATTGAGTAGGTAAGCCGTAAGCTCTGCACCTGACTTTTCTAAAATTATCCATCACCCCAGCCCCTGTGCTTTTTCTTTAGAGTCCTCTTCCTCTTCATCTCTTGTTAAGGATCACTATCTTTGTTATTTAAGTTAGTCAGGGTTCTCCAGAGAGACAGAACCAACAGGATGTGAGGGGAGAGAAAAGTTTATTTTAAGGAGGCTTTTTAAATTCAAAATCTAGCAGCCTGGAGACCCAGGGAAGATTTACTATTCTTGTCCAAAGGCAGTCTAGTGGCAGAATTTCTTCCTACTTTGGGGAGATAAATCTTTGTTCTTTTAAGGCCTTCAACTGATTAAATGAGGCCCACCCACATTATGGAGGTTAATTGGCTTTACTTAGAGTCTGCTGATTTAAATTTTAATCTCATCCAAAAAAAAAGCAAAAAACAAAAAACCTTCATGAAAACGTTTAGAACAATGTTTGAGAAAATAGCTGGGCACCACAGCCCAGCCAAATTGACACATAAAACTAACCATCACGCTACTGTTACAGGTGGGAATGTCATGTCCCTCAGGTGTTTGGGGCCAGAAAAAGAGTTCAAAACCAATGCAGAGTTTTGAAGTGTGGAGAATCATAAAGACAGGCAGAGGCATCTCTTCCTTTTTATTTGTCAAAGAAAACTACTGGTTATATTTTCTCTGTGCAGCCATACGTATGTCAGTGTTTATGGCTTTAATCCTGCTTAAATAGAAGAACATAATTTTATGAGAAAAAATACTGGTTGATCACCTTCTGTTATTCTGCGTGTTTCAGGTGGACCCTGGGGGTATAATTTGGAAAGGAATGGAGGTAGAAACAAAGCGAGAGATGTGAGAAAAAGAGATGTCAGAAAAAAACTATGGAATTTGAGGATAAGAAGGAGAAAAAATAAGAGACCTGAAAGAAAGCTGCATTTGTCCCAGGCTAACCCCGGAAGCTTCCTAATATGCCCTTGTTTCATAATCTCCAGTTACCTAGGAAAATATCTTGGAGGATTAGAGGAAATAGGAAAGAAAGCAGAGAAGAATTACGGAAAATAAGAAAATACAAGAGGGGGAAAAGGATAGAGGTGAGGAATATGGGTGACATAGGAAAAAGTGCTGTATCCTCAACTATGGTAGAATATCTTTGTCCTCCTATGTATCTTTTAAAATTTTTACTTCTTACTTTAGGTTTTAGATGGGTAAGAATAAATGGAAGTAGTTGAACAAGTAATTTTACATTCACAATCAGTGGTTTCTCTTTATAATACATTCGGTATTTTTACTGCCTCTTTTAGCTACATATGTCTATTAAATATTGTTTATGGGCAGCTCTGATGCAGTGATTAAGATGATAGCTTTTTTTTAATAATGAACTTTTTGTTACTCAAAGAAAATGCACAGGTCATCTGTATGTAGCTCAGTGAATTATAAAATAAACACACCATGTAATTACCATTCAGGTAACGATAACATCAGCAGCCGGACGCGGTAGCTCAACGCCTGTAATCCCAGCATTTTGGGAGGCCGAGGCAGGCGGATCTCTTGAGGTCAGGAGCTCGAGACCAGCCTGGCCAACATGGTGAAACCCCGTCTCTACTAAAAATACAAAATAGCTGGGCATGGTGGCATGCACCTGTAATCCTAGCTACTCAGGAGGCTGAGGTAGGGGAATCCCTTGAACTCAGGAGGCGGAGATTGCAGTGAGCCGAGGTTGCTCTACTGTACTCCAGCCTGGGCGACAGAGTCGAGACCCTGTCTCAAAAAAAAAAAGGTAACATCAGCACCCACTGAAGGCCCTATCATGCTCCTTCCCAGTCACTTTTCCCTTTCTTGTGAAAGGTAATTACCAACATAGTGTCTAATACAATAGTTAGTTCTGTCTGTTTTGAACTTTATATCGATGGAAACATACATTCCGGGCATCTGGCATGCCTATGTCATATATTTTTTGTGAGGACCAAATTTGTTTTTTTTTTTTTTGGTTTGGTTTTTAGAGATGAGGACTCACTCTCTTGTTGCCCAGGCTGGAATGCAGTGGCACTGCAACCTGGGACTCCTGGGCTCAAACGATTCTTCCACCTTAGCCTCTAGAGTAGCTAGGACTACAGGCACATGCCCCCACACCCACCTGAGGACCAGATTTATTAATGGGTACACTGAAATCACTGTAAAGGATCATATGGGAGATGATTACCGAACAAGAGATTTTCATTCTCTGTCATGGAGGAGCGGTCCAGAACAACCATGGGATGAATTTGTGAGTTTCATTAATCTATCTGATGGAAGCACATACTATCAGATGTGGTAGAATCAAGCCTTATAAGCCATGTCACAGTACCATGGACCTGAAGGAGGGCAAATTCCTCTTCAACAATCAAGCAACTTTGGCTGTAAAGCTCTGCTTTGAAATATAGCAAAAAGCCACCTCTAATGTTCTGAAATCCACCCTAGACTCTCATCTTTAAAGCAGTTAGCCTTAGTTATCCTTAGTCACGAATATGCCTTCCTCTCTCTTCATCTCATCTCCAGGATCCTGATCACGTTCCAGAAGGTCCTCAGAGTAATTCATCTATGTCTTATTAGAATACTTCCCATCAACCTAAATGTTAATCTCTGTAGCTCCAAAAATCCAGAAGCTTGTTTTTTAAAGATAGCTCTCCTATGACTCTGCCCTGAACACCTGGGTTGAGTCTCAGATTTTTTACTTAATAGCTTATTTTAGTGGAGATAGACTTTCAGATTGAGGATGCTTTCCCAGGCAATAGAGGTTTTCCTGGCTCTTCATAAAAGTTTGCAAACCTACCTCTATTGAGAAACAAAGGCATTTTACTTTTTTGGTACATTTAGATTAGTTAGAATCCATAAGATGTTCTCTTGGTCTCTAAATGATTTTTTCATTCAAAGATGACTGGCCTCAGGGTGCAGTACCTAATGGCAATATTAGCCTTCTGACCAGGGAATGTTGTAGCAGTGTCATTCAGTTCCTTGAACTCTTTCCAAATTATATGCCAAAATCACATAGTGAGCTCTCATCGTAAATTAATTATTTTAAAGGATCTATCAGATGACTGCTTAATTTTTTTTTTTTTTGGAGATGGAATCTCACTCTGTTACCCAGGCCGGAGTGCAGTGGCCTGCCACCACACCTGGCTAATTTTTGTATTTTTAGTAGAGACGGGGTTTCACCATGTTGGTCAGGCTGGTCTCGAACTCCTGACCTCAGGTGATCTGTCTGCCTTGGCCTCCCAAAGTGCTGGGATTACAGGTGGAGCCACTGCACCTGGCCGACTGCTTAATTTTTTCAAAAGCAAAAACTTGGGAACCACTAAAAGGATTACTTACCTAGTCATTAGACTATTTTCTTATATTCTGAGACTGACAATTAATTATACTTCTTATTTTTTCACTTAAAGGCAGACTCTGTTTCTGGAGCCAGAATTACACATAACTGGCCAGGACAGGAGGGAATCCTCATAAAACCAAAAATTTCACATTTAGTTTTTCCTTTTGACCAATATAAAAGTAAATATTCATGCCAAATTTTATTTTCTAGATTGCTAAAAAATGTTTTTTAGAAACCTGATAGACTGAGGACACTTAAGAGTTATTATATGTAAATCCATTAATAATTTCACCTCATGATTTGTGAAATGATTATATGTTTTACAGAATTGAAAGCATATGTCAATATATGAAAAGAAGAAAGTAATCCTAATTAAGTGAAGCTCAAGGCCTTATGTCTTACATGCATTTAGGGGAGTATTTTGTCCTATACTGGTGAATATTTTACTTTTTACCTCTTCCTCCTTAAAATTTTGCAGAATGTATAACTGAGACATAGGCCAGCACAGGAGTGAAAGAGAGTATTCATCCAGCTTGTTCTCGTTTGGAGAATGGTGAAAATTCTCAGTGCTGATTATTAGTTCCCATCATATTTTTACATAGCATGCATATTCTGTCTCAAAGATAGATAAGGCATAGAACCTTGTCATGAATTTATCACTTGAAGAAATACTGTGTCCCAGTCTTCAGTATTTTTTACTACCTGTCATTTTGTTTTGTTTTGCTGGGGACTCCTCCTCTCTATTGCTGGTATCATGCTCCGCCCTTACCTAGACTAAGAATTTTTTTTCCCTGTGTTATTTCACGGATGGACCAGAGCCATGGCTGCACCTTATATCCTATACAGAGATGTGCATTCTGATTCTGTTTGAGCTGCTGACTCACCCGGTATGGGCTCCTCCCTGCCTTGCACCGCACTCCTTTTCTTCCTGCTGGGCCTTGGGGTACAGCCATTTATGCTTTTTGGTTGTTTTCTCTTTTCCTATCCTGAGAATGGAATGCCCTTTTGTTCTTTCCCAAGAATTCCACATGCCCCTCCCTGCTTTTTTAAAGGTAAATTTAACCCAGTTGCCTTAAACTAAGGACTTCCCATATGCTGTCCAAGTTATTTATTCACAGTTATGTTAGCTTTCCAGAAAACCTCCTCTTTCTCACCTTTCTGAGTATGTGATTTCTTTGGAGGAAAGACAGACCTGATCCCTTAGTAAACCAGAAAGATCATGATTATAAACCTGCCTACATCAAGAGGATTACATAACCACCACTGGGCAATTGGTTTCCGCTAAGTCCAAAGGTAAAAACTGGCTCTTATTTTTGTAATCATATTGTATGAACCCTAAATGTCCCTTGTAGACCTCTGAAAAGTGGTCTTCCCAGGCACTGAAGCTGATATTTGAAATGGGCTATTTACATTAGTCATGCAGATGCTGGCATCTCCTTTTCAGACCGGTCATGCAATATCATTTGAATGATTCACTGTTAACTCCCTTGGGGTGAGGAGTTAGCCAGATGGACGGCTTGTTACTCATGTTAACCGGTTTCATGGGGAACATTTCCTGGATAACTACACCCACTCTGGATAGTTCCTTTCCTCCAGCATTTCTCCATATGATTTACATACCGTAAAGTACTGCCTTTTTTTTTTTTTTTTTTTCCTGAGACAGAGTCTTGCTCTGTCGCCCAGGCTGGAGTGCAGTGGCGCGATCTCGGTTCACTGCAAGTTCCACCTCCTGGGTTCATGCCATTCACCTGCCTCAGCCTCCCAAGTAACTGGGACTACAGGCAGCCGCCACCATGCCCAGCTAATTTTTTTTTGTATTTTTAGTAGAGACAGGGTTTCACTGTGTTAGCCAGGATGTTCGCCATCTCCTGACCTCGTGATCCACCCACCTTGGCCTCCCAAAGTGCTGGGATTACAGGTGTGAGCCACCGTGCCCGGCCTAAAGTACTGCTTTTAGTTGTTTCAGAATCTTGTACTCTGAGGCTTTGTTGCTACTTGTTTTTAGGATTGTTATGTCCCCTTGATGAATTGTCCCTTTTGTTATAATGAAATGACCTTTATCTCTGGTAATATTCTTTGCTATAAAACCTACTTTGCCTGATGTTAATAGAGCCTATCTTTCTTTATTTTGATTAGATGTCATGGTATATCTTTTCTATTTGTCCTGTCTGTTCTTTGATGTTGTTGTTGTTGTTGTTGTTGTTTGTAAGAGACAGGGTCTTGCTCTGTTGTCCAGACTGGAGAGCGGTGGCATGATCACAGCTCACTGCAGCCTCAAACTCTTGGGCTCAGGTGATTCTTCTGCCTCACCCTCCTAAGTAGTTGAGACTACAGGCATGTGCTACCACACCTGGCTAATTTTTAAAATTCTTTTTAGAGGCGGGTCTTGCTATGTTGTTCTCAAATGCTTGGCCTCAAGCAATCCTTCCACCCACCTCAGCCCCCTGAGTACCTGGGATTACAGGTGTGAGACAGTGCACCCAGCGCTTTTTTTTTTTTTTTGAGATGGAGTCTCGCTCTGTTTCCCAGGCTGGAGTGCAGTGGTGTGATCTCGGCTCACTGCAGGCTCCACCCCCTGGGTTCATGCCATTCTCCTGCCTCAGCCTCCCGAGTAGCTGGGACTACAGGCACCTGCCACCTCGCCCGGCTAATTTTTTGTATTTTTAGTAGAGACGGGGTTTCACCGTGTTAGCCAGGATGGTCTCAATCTCCTGACCTCGTGATCCACCTGCCTCAGCCTCCCAAAGTGCTGGGATTACAGGCATGAGCCACCGCACCCGGCCCCAGCGCTTTTTTTAAAAAAAAAAATCTTCCGTCCAGGCATGATGGCTCACACCTGTAATTGCGGCACTGCGGGAGGATCACTTGAGGTCAGGAGTTGCAGACCAGCTTGGGCAACACAGTGAGACCGTGCCTCTACTAAAAATGAAAAAAAGTTAGCTGGATGCGGTGGTGTGTGCCTGTAGTTCCAGTTACTCCGGAGGCTGAGGTGGGAGGATGGCTTGAGCCTACGAGTTCATTGCTGCAGTGATCCATGCTCATGCCACTGCACTCCACCCTTGGCATCAGAGCGAGACTCTGTCTCAAAAAAAATAAAGAAAAAGTCTTCTATGCCTCTACTTCACTTTTTGAACATATGTAATATAATTATAGTAATTTTTAATGTCCTTACTTGCCAATTTTATCATCTATCATTGTTAAGTCAATTTTGATAGACCGATTTTTTTTCTTCTTCTGGATCAAATTTTCCTGTTTCTTTGCATGTTTGTAATTGTTTATTGGGTATCAAACATATTAACTTTCCAGTGCTGGATGTATTGATATACCTATAAATATTCTTGAGTTTCATTCTGGGGTGCAGTTAAGTTACTTGGAAACAGTTTGATTCTTTGGAGTCTTGCTTTTAAGATTTGTTAGGTGGGCCAGGCACGGTGGCTCACGCCTGTAATCCCAACATTTTGGGAGGCCGAGGCAGGTGGATCACGAGGTCAGCAGTTCGATACCAGCCTGACCAACATGGTGAAACCCCATCTCTACTAAAAATACAAAAAAATTAGCTGGGTGTGGTGGCGGGCGCCTGTAATCCCAGCTACTAGGGAGGCTGAGACAGGAGAATCTCTTGAAACCGGAAGACGGAGGTTGCAGTGAGCCGAGATTGCACCACTGCACTCTAGCCTGGGCAACGAGAGCAAAACTCTGTCTTAAAAAAAAAAAAAAAAGATGTGTTAGGTGGGACTAGAGCAGTGTTCAGTCTAGGGCTAATTATTTCCCCAATACTGAGGCAAGACCCTTCTGAGTTCCCTACCCAATTGTGAGCCTTGTGAATTGTGAGCTTTTCCAGTCTGGCTGGTGGGAACAGGTTCTATTCCCAGCTCTGCATGAACATGGGCATTATTACCTCTAAGCTTTCAGAAGTTTTTTTTTTTCCCTTGGCTCAAGGTAGTTCCTCACATACATGTACCAGTCGGTGCTATGCTGAACACTCAGTGTGACCCTCTGCACAACTCCTGGGCTCCCTCTCTGTGCAGTTCCCTCCTTTCTGGTTCCCTATCCTTCAAACACTGGCTGCCTTGGTTTTTCTGGACCTCAGCTGTGTCTGCAGCTCAGCATTCACCAGGCTCTGCCTGAATTTCTGCTCCCTGATCTGCAGCCTGGAACCTTTCTCCAGACAATAAGCTAGGTAATCACAGGGCTCACCTCTGTTTTTCCCATATCATAGGGATCACTGTCCTTTGTTGCCTGATGGCCAGTGTCTTGAAAACTGTTGTTTCTGGCCAGGTATGGTAACTCATGCCTGTAATCCAAGCCCTTTGGGAGGCTGAGGCAGGAGGATTGCTTGAGGCCAAAGAGTTCAAGACCAACCTGGCCAACATAACAAGAACCATCTCTTTAAAATATATGTGTGTGTGTGTGTGTGTGTGTGTGTGTGTAAAACTTGTTTCATATATTTTGTCCATTTTAATTGTTTCAGGCATGTGGGTAAATTCTGTCCTTATTACCCCATCTTGACATAGGAACCTCCAGAATAGGATTCAGTTGCTGTTCTATTTCCCTGTTAAAGTATTAACTCCCAAAAGTGAAGGATCTCTTGTTTTGTTTTCCTTATGGTGTCTTTCTAGTTCATTGTCTAGTATATACAAACTCACTAAACATTTGTTAACTAAGCATTTATTGGTGACCATGTTGCAGCATCAAGCAGGTGTTGTGTGTATCATTGGATCAAAACAAAAATGTCTTTCTAGGCTGTGTCCCCTCATTCTTTAGTTTGATTGGTTTGAGGTTTTTGTGCTGCTTGTCAAACAACATATCACAAAGCCTCTTGGAGATTATAGTGGAGTAGTGTCCTTCAATCTTTTCTGGAACAAGGCAGTTTATAAACAAACAGTAAAGTTAGCTAGGGCCTTTCAACTCTGTAGGAATGAAGTAACCAAGAGCCACCTCTGTTTCTTGTTATTATATTTTTTATATACTCAGCAAGGGTGGGAGCTATGACTAAGATAATTCTTAACATTTGTTGCAGCTGTAACTTGGTATCAGAGCAAAAGAGATAAGGACTAGTAAAGAAAGGTCCTGGCAATGGAATTGTTAACATGGATCACAGTATTTCTTACTGATTTTGTGACAATAACAAGGATCTTGGCACAGGATATTTCTTTTTTCTTGGAACACACATGAGTTTGGATAAGTGCCATACATTTAAATTACTGTTATATGAATTCTTATCTCAATGTCTTCCATTTCCTTAG
This sequence comes from Homo sapiens, assembly GCF_000001405.40. NCBI lineage: Eukaryota > Metazoa > Chordata > Mammalia > Primates > Hominidae > Homo > Homo sapiens. The sequence continues at coordinate 51,879,224 of NC_000015.10, forward strand.
CTGCTGTTTTGTAGTTGCAGAAACATTGCTAAACTGTTTCAACGCTCTTAGCAACCAAGGTTCAGCCTTATTTTTGTTTGTTTTGTGTAACTTGGGGGTGGGGGATGTATCATTTCATACTTATCTGAGAGTTTTTTTTTTCTGATCTCATCATTGTTTATTTTTATAGTTTCCTACTAGGTAAAGAATTATAATTTCAGTTTTTAAAAATTTGAGTTTTGGATTTTGCTATCTTAAATAAGGAAATTACAGTCATTTAGATAGAATGCTATCTACTGAAAGGTAAAAATGTTTTCTTAGACATTATGTTATTTTAAAAAATGGAAGTAGTAAAAGTCATAAATCTGGATTTTTTTATTTTTGACCATATTTCAAGCAGAAGAAAAAATTAGATCAACTCAGGATAACTCATCTTCATCTTTTAGGGACTGATATTATACAGATTAGTGGTTACCAACCTAAATGAGTAAGAATTAGAATCACCTTTGGAGCTTTTTCAAAAATACTCATGACTAACCAGTCTTCATTTTCTGAGTTTAAGGAACACTGACAGAGATACTTGGGACTATGTGGTCTTTAGTCTTCCTAGGTTGCTAGTTTGTTTTGGCAATCTCTTTCTCTCTCTCTGTCTTTCACACACACACACACACACACACACACACACACGAAGAAGAAATTCTAGGAGCAACAAGAATAAGGAATTAATGTGTGTCTATTATGTTTCTCATCCTGCAAGACATTGAGAGCACAAACCAAACTAACCATTATAAGGGAGATCTATTGAATTTATCAACATCTCATAGTCACTAAGATTTTAAAATCTAATTGATATTGATATAAGACTAATTTAAATTAATACATGTTTAGAAAGGTATTTTATGTCATATGAAATTATTCCAGCAGTTTGCTAGTTAGATGTTTCTCGGGAAACAGCTGATTTTGATTAAGAAGTACAAATATACTGTATCTGGCTCAATTTGTCTCAGAAAATTATCTTTTTTTAATCTTCACATTTCAGGGAACCAAATATAAATTTACTGAAGACCAAAAAACCCATACTAATAAGTCAGCTCCTTAGTGGTTTTTGTAAACATCTTTATTAGTAAAGGTGATATAATTCCCATATCATAAAATTTATCAATTTAAGGCATATAATTCAATATTCATTACTACATTGATAGAATTATGCAACCATCACCACAGTCTTAAGTTTAGAACATTTTTGGAACCCCAGAAAGAAACCCTGTGCACGTTAGCAGTAAGCCTTCATCCCCATTCCATTCCCTAGCCCTTGACAACCACTAAGCAACTTTCTTTCTGGATTTGCCTAGTCTGGATATTTCTTATAAACAGAATCATACAATATGTATTTATGGCTGACTTCTTTCACTTAGCATAAGGTTTTGGAGTTTCATCTTGTTACAGTGTGTGTCAATACTTCATTCTTTTTTATGGCTGAATAATATTTTATTGTGGATACCACGTTTTGTTTATCTGTTTCTCAGTTAATGGACATGGGTTGTTGCCACTTTTTAGCTGTTGTGAATATGCTGCTATGAACATTTTTATACAAGTTGTTATATAGACATATGTTTTTATTTCTCTTGGGTATGTGCCTGATAGAATTGCTGGATCATAAGGTAACTATTTTTTAACAAATTGAGAAACTGCCAAACTTTTCCAAAGTGGCTGCGGTATTGTACCTTCTCACCAGTAATGTACCAGGGTTGAAATTTCTCCACATGCTTGCCAACACTTGTCTGTTTTATTGTAGCCATCTTAGTGGGTGTGAAGTAATATCACATTGTGGTTTTGATTTGCATTTCCCTAATAACTAATGATACTGAGTATTTTTTCATGTATTGTTAGACTCGTGTATATTTGTTTGCTTTTTGGAAATGGAGTCTTGCTATGCAGCCCAGGCTGGACTCGAACTTCTGGGCTCAAACAATCCTCCTATGTCAACCGACCGAGTAGCTGAGATTACAAATGTGCACCACCATGCCCAGCTATACATATTCTTTGTAGAAATGTCTCTTCAAATCTTCGCTTACTTTTAAACTGGGTTGTCCTTTTATTATTGATTGGCAAGCATTCCTTATATATTCTGGATAAAAATTTCTTGCCAGATATATGGCTCAAAAATGTTTCTCCTATTCAGCAGATTATCTTTTCACTTTCTTGATGGTATAATTTGCCCCACAAAAGTTTTTAATTTTGATGTAGTACAATTTATCTGTGTTTCTTTTGTTACTTATACTTTTGGTGGCATATCTAAAAACCATTGCCTAATTCAAGGTCACGGAGATACAATCTTTCTTTATTTCTTTTTTTTTTTTTTTTTTTTTTTTTTTTGAGACAGAGTTTTGCTCTTGTTGCCGGGGCTGGAGTGCAATGGCACAATCTCGGCTCACTGCAACCTCCGCCTCCTGGGTTCAAGCGATTCTCCTGCCTCAGCCTCCTGAGTAGCTGGGATTACAGGCATGCACCACCATGCCCAGCTAATTTTTTTGTATTTCTGGTAGAGACAGGGTTTCTCCATGTTGGTCAGGCTGGCCTTGAACTCCTGACCTTAGGTGATCTGCCCACCTTGGCCTCCCAAGAAGATATAATCTTATGTTTTTTCCTAAGAGTTTTATAGTTTAGCCCGTACATTTAGGGTTTTGTTTTTATTTTATTTATTTATTTTGAGATGGAGTCTTGCTCTGTCGCCCAGGCTGGAGTACAGTGGCGCAATCTCAGCTCACTGCAACCTCCGCCTCCCAGGTTCAAGCGATTCTCCTGCCTCAGCCTCCCGAGTAGCTGGGATTACAGGCATGTGCCACCACACCTGGCTAATTTTTGTATTTTTAGTAGAGGCGTGGTGTCACCTTGTTGGCCAGGCTGGTCTCGATCTCCTAACCTCAGGTGATCCATCCGCCTCCGCCTCCCAACGTGCTGGGATTACAGGCGTGAGTCACCATGCCCAGCCTATTTAGGTTTATAATCTATTTTGAGTATGATGTGAGGTAAGGATTCAGCTTTGCATATGAGGGCCAGGAGTGGTGGCTCACACCTGTAATCCCAGCACTTTGGGAGGCCGAGGCAGGTGGATCACTTGAGGTCAGGAGTTTAAGACCAGCCTGACCAACATGGCAAAACCCCATCTACTAGTAGTCCCAGCTACTTGGGAGGCTGAGGTACGAGAATCGCTTGAACCCAGGAGGCAGAGGTTGCATGGAGCTGAGATTGTACCACTGCACTCCAGCCTGGGTGACCGAGTGAGAGACTGTCTCAAAAGAAAAAAACCAAAAACAAAAAACTTTGCATGTGATTGTGCAGTTGTCGTAGTACCATTTGTTGAAACACTGTTCTTTCTCCATTGAATTGTTTTGGTATTCCTGTAGAAAATCAGTTGACCATAAGTATAAGGGTTTATTTCTGGATTTTTGGTTATATTCTATTGATCTAAATGTCTTTCTAGTCCACCAACACTGTTTTGATTATAGTAGCTTTGCATTAAATTTTAACATTGGGAAGTGTAAGTCTTACAACTGTGTTCTTGGCTATTCTGGGTTTCCATGTGAATTTTAGGATCAGCTTGTCACTTTCTATAAAAAAAAAACAACTGAGATTTTGAAAGGGATTGTGTAAATCTATAAATCAATTTGCTGAGAGCCCCTTAAGTTCTGTATTCGTAATGCTAAACTTAGGTCCTTCCTAGTTTATCCTTTCTTACAAAATTAATTTCTTTACTTCCACTTTTCTATAACTAAGCTTTGTATATATGCATTAAAAGATAACTTATTACAGTGTATTAGTGTTCAACTAACCTGGAAGAAAATATGAAGTAATTACTTTTTGTATTTTAAAAAACACAATATTGTACAAGCTAAATACCTCTATGGCAAAAATCTCTACATACAGAAAAATTATATAAAGAGGAGTGCCAGAAGAGGTGCCATGCTATGTCAGAACTCTATGAAATCAAGCAAAATTCTATATGACAGAAAAATTTTTCTAGGTCCTTGGGAGTTTTGTTTTGCCTTATTGATTTTTCTGCTGAGATTCATTTTGTATTTGTAAGCATTAGCAAAAATTTATATATGGGGGGAAATTAGGTACGAATAATGCCTTTTAAGGAATGTGGATAAGGATTATAAAAAAAATAAGCATCTTAGATTTTTATGATGCTTTAGATTCCATCGGTCCCTCAAATAAGACATGGGCAGCTATTTGATAGCTTGTTTAGTTTTTTTTTAGTTAGCAAGTAAAAATTGTGTTGTTTATAGTGTGTAACTTTTTTTTACATGTACACATTGTGGAATAGCTAAATTAAATTTGACATACATATTAGCTCACATACTGATCATTTTTTTGTGGCAAGTAGCTTGTATAGTTTTGTTTAGTCAGTGAATACCATAATCCAGTTGCTGTCAACCTTGGCTGCTATGCATCAGAATCCCTGGAGAGCTTTAAAAAATTCAGCTGCCCATGCAGCATACAAGATTAACTAAACCAGCATCTCTAGAGTGGGGCTTGGACATGAGAATTTTCTAAAGCTCTCACAGTGAAGCCACTGTGCATATAACATTTAGAACTACTGCCATACACAGTTGAAAATACTGGTAGATTGAGCTCAGGAAAATGTAATTATCCTGAAATGGCAATTAAAATTATGCCCCCCTGAAATGTATACCACTTTAATTGTAATCTCAACCACTATGAAAAGTATGGAATTATCAGGACATAATGATTTGGATTTCTCTTTACCTGTGAACCAATAATAAAAGATTAATCACCAGAATTCCAAAATTTGATACTAAGATCGATGGGCATTTGTTTGGGGGAAGAAGTCTGTTGCTAAAATAAATCAAGTTTGTAAGCCACCAGTTAACTGGAAAAAACACTGAAGCCCTGGCCTTAAGAGTTTGGCAACCTGTGTTCTAGTATTAGCTGTGCTGTGTGACTTTGAGCCCATGTATTTAAATTACACTTTATGAAATGGGGCCATTGGACTGAAGGTGATCACCAAATTGTTTATTCAGCAAATTGGATTACCTGTTGTGTTCTAGGCAAGGATGCAGGGATGAACAGAACATAGAGCATCCCCTTGAAAAGCATGCAAAAGGCAAACACATGTGCAGAATGTCTAAGTGTAGCTATAGTGAAATGTTCGGGGGATTAAGGGAATACAGAAGTACTTTATTTGATTTCAGTTTGGGACAGACACTATAGTTGCCCATTGAACAACCATTCACAGATGCTTGCTTTCCTAGCCACCCTTGCCGCTGGGCCATAGACCAGAGGAAAAATCTGCAGGGCAGAATTTCTTGTAAAAGTTGACAATTGAGGCTGGTCCAAGTGCAGTGGTGTTTACAGCTAATTGATCACAGTTACAGATTTCTTTGTTCCATCTCTACTCCCACTGCTTCACTTGACTAGCCTTAAAAAAAAAAAAGTTGGCAATTGAGAAAGTACTCCTTCCTGTTCTGGCTTTATTGTGTGGGGATATAATACTTGGTGCTATAAAGGTCATCTTGAGACTGTGAAGGCCTAAGAACAAAGGCCTCCACACTGAGAATGGCCAAAGAGAAAAACAAAGGAACCTGGATCCTTGATGTCAACAGTGAGCTGCTAAACCAACCCTAGAACCACCTTCCTGTGGGCTTATTAAGTGAGATAATAAAACTTCATGTTGTTTGAACTCTTATTGCTTTAAGAGTGGTCTGTGGATCAGCATCATCTGGAAGTCTGGTTAGAAATGCAGAAACTCAGACCCCAGTCAGACCTGCTGCATCAGCATCTACACTTTAATTAGATCCCCTGGTGACTAACATGCACATCAGAGCTTTTGAAGCACCAGTTTAAACCAACTTTAATTGGGTATTCTGTTCTATGCAAGCTTAGTAACCCAAGTTGTGTGAGTACATCTTGTTTGGTCAGCTAGTGCTGCAGTTTATAATTATTATCATTTTTCCATTCCTTTCATATTTTCAATCTTGCATGGAACATATGGTCATAAACATGATTTTCATATGATAAAGTCTTTAGGTTTCTAGAGTAACTAGTTTCTTTTTTCTTTTTTTTTTTTTTTTTTAGTATTTATTGATCATTCTTGGGTGTCTCTCGGAGAGGGGGACTTGGCAGGGTCATAGGACAATAGTGGAGGGAAGGTCAGCAGACAAACATGTGAACAAGGGTCTCTGGTTTTCCTAGGCAGAGGACCCTGCGGCCTTCCGCAGTGTTTGTGTCCCTGGGTACTTGAGATTCGGGAGTGGTGATGACTCTCAACGAGCATGCTGCCTTTAAGCATCTGTTTAACAAAGCACATCTTGCACCGCCCTTAATCCATTTAACCCTGAGTGGACACAGCACATGTTTCAGAGAACACGGGGTTGGGGGCAAGGCTATAGATTAACAGCATCCCAAGGCAGAAGAATTTCTCCCAGTACAGAACAAAATGGAGTCTCCTATGTCCACCTCTTTCTACACAGACACAGCAACAATCCGATTTCTCCTTCTTTTCCCCACATTTCCCCCTTTTGTATTCGACAAAACCGCCATCGTCATCATGGCCCGTTCTCAATGAGCTGCTGGGTACACCTCCCAGACGGGGTGGCGGCCGGACAGAGGGGCTCCCCACTTCCCAGACGGGGCGGCCGGGCAGAGGCGCCCCCCACCTCCCAGACGGGGTGGCTGCCGGGCGGGGGCTGCCCCCCACCTCCCTCCCGGACAGGGTGGCTGGCCGGGCAGGGGCTGCCCCCTACCTCCCTCCCGGACGGGGCGGCTGGCCAGGCGGAGACGCTCCTCACTTCCCAGACGGGGTGGCTGCCGGGCGGAGGGGCTCCTCACTTCTCAGACGGGGCGGCCGGGCAGAGACTCTCCTCACCTCCCAGACGGGGTGGCGGTCGGGCAGAGACGCTCCTCAGTTCCCAGACGGGATGGCGGCCAGGAAGAGGCGCTCCTCACTTCCCAGACTGGGCAGCCAGGCTGAGGGGCTCCTCACATCCCAGACGATGGGCAGCCAGGCCGAGACGCTCCTCACTTCCCAGACGGGGTGGCGGCCGGGCAGAGGCTGCAATCTGGGCACTTTGGGAGGCCAAGGCAGGCGGCTGGGAGGTGGAGGCTGTAGCGAGCCGAGATCACGCCACTGCACTCCAGCCTGGGCAACATTGAGCACTGAGTGAGCGAGACTCCGTCTGCAATCCCGGCACCTCGGGAGGCCGAGGCGGGCAGATCACTCACGGCCAGGAGCTGGAGACCAGCCTGGCCAACACGGCGAAACCCCGTCTCCACCAAAGAATACAAAAACCAGTCAGGCGTGGCGGTGCGCGCCCGCATTCCCAGGCACTGGGCAGGCTGAGGCAGGAGAATCAGGCAGGGAGGTTGCAGTGAGCCGAGATGGCAGCAGTACAGTCCAGCCTCGGCTGGGCATCAGAGGGAGACCGTGGAGAGAGAGGGAGAGGGAGAGGGAGACCTTGGGAGAGAGAGGGAGAGGGAGACCGTGGAGAGAGGGAGAGGGAGAGGGAGAGGGCTAGAGTAACTAGTTTCTTAATAGCTAACCTTGTTCGTGTACGTTGAGGCTTAGAGGAATAATGACCAAAAATTTCAGAATACCACTCAGGACATAGAAATTTGTTTGCAATCAGAATTTGAATTTATAGAATCATAATTGTCTCTGCTATCCCCCATGTGACAATAACAGTTTGTTGCTTAATAATAAGAAATTGGGGCCAGGTGCGGTAGCTTACATCTGTAATCCTAGCACTTTGGGAGGCCAAGGCGAGTGGATCACCTTAGGTCAGTAGTTTGAGACCAGCCTGGCCAACATGGCAAAACCCTGTCTCTACTAAAAATACAAAAATTAGCTGGGTGTGGTGGTGCACGCCTGTAGTCCCAGCTACTCAGGAGGCTGAGAGGCAGAAGAATCACTTGAACCCGGGAGGTGGAGGTTGCAGTGAGCCAAGATCACGCCACTACACTCCAGCCTGGGCGACAGAGTGAGACTCCATCTCAAAAAAAAAAAAAGGAAATTGGATTCTGTTTTTTTTTTTTTTAATCTCTTTAAAGTTTTATAGGTTTTTTGTTTATTCCTTCATTTATTGATTGATTCAGTATTTGTAAAGCAACTCGCAATTACTCTAAAAAGAGCCCATTTTTATTTCCACAGATGAAAAATTTCTCAGTTGACCTTTTCTTTCCAACTTTTACAGCCAAAATATTACGCTGGAAACTTAAAAATCTATGTCAGAGATAAAACAAAATTACTGTCGATGTTAATCTTTTCCTTCAGGTTCAGTTGTACATGCTTTGGTTACAAGGATAAAATGGTAATGAGTTGATAGCAGTAGTAATGGAATTAACAAAATGCTTTATTTTACAGGGAAAATATTTATCCCCAAACAGAAACCTGTACAGACTTTTACAGAAGAAAAAGTGTCTCTTGATCCAGAATTAGAAGAAGCTTTGACAAGTGCTTCTGATACAGAATTGTGTGACCTCGCAGGTATCACCTAAAACAAGTTAATTTGTGAATAAGTGTGGGGTGGAGTGGGAAATACCAGCACATACCTATATACATTATACAAACGTTTGCTTTACCTAGCAAGTACTGTTAAATCAGTAACCACATATTTGGCTTTATATTTTACACGGTAAAGCTGACGTAAAGAGTTTCATTTCTCTAAATACTCTCAATAGCAAAATGTTTATATTAAGAAAATGTATTGTATTGTTCGACATCTTTTCCCATGTTGTCATATTTGAAAGTCTTTCTAAAAATCTTTCATCACCTGGTGCTCAGCTAGAAGCTGTCCTATCTGAACACCGAAAAAGAGTCTTCAGGGTCAACCGCTGACCTACTTTATCAGAAGACCGAGAGATGAGTAACTAGAAAGTAGATTGAAACAGTCAGTCCTGAGCTATACTCACCACCTTCCCAACTTTTCTGAAGTGTATATGAAACACTCCAAACGTCTCTATTATTTTCATTATTGTCAATTTCTTATCTAGACCAGTATCTTCCCCTCCCTACCCATGTACAATCTACTTTCCTAGATAGAAAAGTGTGATGCATGGGGAGTTCTTCAAACCAAATAACCCCAGGAACTAATAAATTTGAATGTAGCACTGATGGTTCTTTGGAAAGGACCTTGGAAAGGGACAAGTCTAGGTGTGACGCCACAGCCACAGCAGGAGTCTTACGGGTTGAGGGACTGAAGACTGACAGATCTGTAAACAGTACATTCACCAGAGTGGAATGAGCCAAGGACATCCTCTGACTTCTGCCTTATTTGTGCACAAGGGCATCAAAAACTAAAACCAAATTTATTTTTCCTCCTAAGTGTCATTTTTGAAGGGTGTTCGTATTCTTACATACGAGAACCTAATACTTTAGTATTCTACTCTTAACTACAGTCCAAGTGTAAATTAATGACATGAGATTAACACACATTAAAATATGAAGGTTAAGTTAAAAATCTGCTTTTTGTCATATTATGTTCCTAGAAACCTTGTGAAATTAATGAACGGCAAAAATAGATCATTTCCATTTTCTCTCTTAGCCACTAGATGGAGCTAAGCATAGATTTATGTTCAGGATTAGGCTGCCTCCAACTCTGAATTTGGAAATGTGGGGAAATGTAAATTTAGAAATGTGGGGGAAAATAATAAGAGTATTGAGGAGAATGAGATTATAGGTGATTTTTAATCATTTTGTTTTCTGTGTGGGTGTGTGATCTGTAATTTATAGGAAAAGGTCCAGAGGATATTAAAATTATTGATAGAAATTTTTAGTTGTAAAACTCTTCATGTTTAAAACAATAAAAACTTTCTTTTTCTGTATTTATAGCAATTCTTGGGATGCACAATTTGATAACGAATACAAAGTTCTGTAATATAATGGGAAGTAGTAATGGTGTTGACCAAGAACATTTTTCAAGTGAGTACTTAAAATGCTTTGTGAATTCTAATCCTTTATTAAATATATTTTGTTTTCGCCTTGTGTCAGCTTAAGTGTTCACATACTAGATGTTATATATATGTACTTGAAACCTGACATTTCAGTTTGGTGGTATTAACCAAGAAAGCCATTGAAAATAGAGTATTAAATATTTTGTGTTTAATGGGTCAGCAAATGTAATAAGAACCACTCTACCTCACTAAATAATGCTAAACAGTATAAAAGCTAGTCCAACTTGGTTTTGTTGACATTTTATTATCACTACTACTAATTTTCAAGAAATACATAACAGTACTTACAAAGAAATTACATTATAAAATCAGATTCAGGAGATACCACAAAACTATTCAGCCCCTAAACCTTTCAGTCTGATGTGAAGTATTATATAGCCTAAAGCAAAGCTTTTCAGAAACTCATTTATAGGGGCCAGGTGTGGTGGATCATGACTGTAATTTCATTTTCTGAGGCTGAGGCAGGAGGATTGCTTGAGTCCAGGAGTTCAGGACCAGCATTGGAAACGTAGACCCCCATCTCTAAAAAATTTTAAAAATTAGCTGGGCATGGTGGCACATGTCTCTAGTCTCAGCTACTTGGGAGGCTGAGGGGAGGATGGCTTGAGCCCAGGAGCTTGAGGCTGCAGTGAGCTGTGATCACACTACTGCACTCGAGCCTGGGCAACAGTGCAAGACCCTATCTCAAAAAATAAATTCATGTATAGGGTGTTCTTAAATTAGCAAGGTGATACATGCCTTTGTAGCACATTTAAACAGTACATAAGTATTTATGGGAAGAGGTAAAAGTGTCTCTGTCTCCAGCCATCATGCCCTCTACTTCCCCAAACACCACCTACCCTGTTAACAATTTTGTATATACCCTTCCAGGCTTTGCACTGTTTATACTAATGTATACATATTATACATAGTCTCTTATTTTTTACAAAAAATCGATTATACTGTAAATATTTATTGCAACTTAATTTTTCAATAATAATTCTATTAGCTAATTTTTTTTTTTTTTTTGGAAACGGAGTCTTGCTCTGTCACCCAGGCTGGAGTGCAGTGGTACCATCTTGGCTTACTGCAACCTCCGCCTCTCAGGTTCAAGCGCTTCTCTTGCCTTAGCCACCTGAGTATCTAGGATTTGACAGGTGCACGCCACCTTGTCCAGCTAATTTTTTTTTTTTTTTTTTTAGTAGAGATGGGGTTTTGCGATGTTGGCCAGGCTGGTCTCGAACTCCTGACCTCAGGTGATCTGCCCACCTCAGCCTCCCAAAGTGCTGGGATTACAGGCATGAGCCACTGTGCCTGGCCAACTGTTTTTGAATGCTTACTGTGGGCCATGTTGTGTGCACAGCTCTTGGACGTGAAGTACTCTTATTAGCCCTGACAACAGTTCTATGAAATAGATATTATTATTTTTAATTTGCATGTGAGAAAGCTGACATTTTAAAATAATTGGGTAACCTCAATATTTTACACAAAGTCAGTGGTAAGGATTTTAACCCGTGTTATATAGTGTATCACTTAGCAGTCGACCGTGTTTTCTAGTTAATATGTATACATCTACATCATTCAGACATGTGTATAACATTCCTTTCTACGATGTTTTGTAATTTGACCATCCCCCTTCTCATTTTTAAGTTTTTATTGTAGAAATGTTCAAACACACATAGAAGAAGAGAGAATAATATATTCATTACCCAGTTTCCGCTGTTTTTAACATTTGCCAGCCTTGTTTTATTCATCTTCTGTCTCCCTTCCTAACCCTTCTACTTTTTTTTCTTGACGTATTTTAAAGCAAACCCTGTTCATTTGTATTACATACCTATAAATATTTCCATATGTGTGTCTCACAAATAAAGGCTTTTCTTTTAATGTAATCATGATGCCATCATCAAACTTAAAAATTAACGGTATTTTCTTCATATCATGTAATACCCAGTCTGTGTCCAGATTTCCTCTGTTCTCTCCAAAATGTCGTTTCATGATTGGCTCAAAAAAGGTTACACACTGCATTTGGTTGTTTGTCTTTTTAGTCTCCCTTAATTTCTTAACAGTTCTCCTCCCCAACCTCTTTCCTTTTTTTTTTTTTTTTCTGTGCCATTTATTTTTTAAGAAACTGGGTTTATTTTTCGTAGAATTTTCCACATTCTGGATTTGGCTGATTTCAACCTTATGGTATCATTTTATGTTTTTCTATCACCTATGTTTCTGTAAACTGTTAGTTCTAGTGGCTTGATGAGATGCAGGTGCAGGTCCCTTTTGGCAAGAATGCTTCATGGGTGGTGACTGAATCATATTAAGAAGCTTATGAAGTCTAATCCTTCCTCTTTGGGGGAATGAGATTGATCACAGGGTTCAAATGTAGGCAGCCTGACCCATCCTTTTTAAGTTTCCCATGAACCTTTTGCTTAATAATTCCTGCATCCCATTGACTGGATTCATTATTTCATTAAGGGGCAAGGCTCTTAAGATTTCTCTCCCCATTCCATCTTTCCCCACTCCACAGGATGTGTGGAATGGGGAAAGAAATCTTTTGGTTTTATAAAATTAGAACTATTCAATTTTCCATTCAATGAGGAAGTTCTTCCCTAGCTATCTTGAAGACTACCTTGCTGAACTTAAGTGAGAGGGATCCCACTCTCTGTTGTTTAGCAGAGCTCCATTAGGAAGCTTTTCCTTGTCTTGAACCAAGTTCTGCTTCTTGGCAATCTATACTTGTTCTAACGCAGCCTCTCAGAACAGCACTAAATTTGTCTCTTCTCAACTTCTACAGGATAAATCTGAAAACAGCTAGGATAACTTCTTTTAATAGGTACTTCTCCAGACTAAATATATTCAGATTTTTCACCTGACCTCGGGAAAGTAATTTTCAAACCTTCATCTAAGTTGATCTTCTCAAGATGCTGTGTGTGTGTGATATTTGAAAGTAACAAGATACTCTTAGATGGAATTTATTGGATAATCAGTGCACCCTGTCTCAAGATGAGTTTTGCTGCTAAAATCTAGAGGAAGGCAGGAAGGAAAAAAGCCAGATAGTAGTCCATTTTGAACCCGGTCAGTCTTTCCATGTCAATTGCTCTTACTCTTTCGTGCTCATTCATTAGTTTGTGAGCCTTTTGTGGTCTTTGACTTGAATGACCACAAAAAAGTAATGTTTTCCCCAGAAAATGTATCCATAAAAGTTTACCTATTATAGGTGTTCGTAGACCTCCACACACATGCATCAGAGCACAGTGATCTCTTTAAAGGGCTCAAGGATTTCAGGTCCTCTGTCGTTCACATCTGAAGCATCATATTCCTGTGTGGGTAGCTGAGGTAAAGATTAGGGAGTGAGAGTGAGGGAGGGCAGTAAATTTTGGAGCCTCTGTCTCAGTAGCTCTTCTGTGTACCTTTACCTCCTCTCCCTCTCTGCTCCTTATTCCTACCCTCTTTCCTATTCCTTCTTTCTCGCAGGAAGTTCTCCCCACTTTCCCACTGCAGAGTACTCCTCGTGGGAGGAAGAGGTAATGTGCCCTCCCATCACCTTATTCTTCTCATTTAGGCTATATTTCTTTAAGTCTGTGATTCTTACTGCCTTTATGCCAATTATCAGTCAAATTTCAGAGAAATGATGAGATGCTAGATTTTATCATACTATTATTTTATCTTAAATTTTGCCAAAAACAAATGGCATCATCAACTTGTGCTATCAAATATATTTGAGTGGTAAAAATATCTTGTAATATACTAAGACAATGAAAATATTCATTTTTGAAGACTGATACATGGCAAACAAATTAAATGTTGAATATGTTTGGTATTTATATTCAGTAAAATTTTATTTGGGTGCTTTAAATATGTGTCAAGGCCAAGCGCAGTGGCTCCTGCCTGTAATCCCAGCACTTTGGGAGGCCAAGGCAGGCAGAGCACTTGAGGCCAGGAGTTCAAGACCAACCTGGCCAACATGACGAAACCCATCTCTACTAAAAATACAAAAATTAGCCAGGCATGGTGACACACGCCTGTATTCCCAGCTACTTGGGAGGCTGAGGCAGGAGAGTTGCTTGAACGTGGGAGGAGGAGGTCGCAGTGAGCCAAGATCTTGCTACTGCACTCCAGCCTGGGTGGTAGAGTAAGACTCCATCTCAAAAAAAAAAAAAAAAAAAAAAAAAAAAATTAAATAAATAAATATGTGTCAACACATAAAGGATCTTTTCGGAATTGTGGGGATGGAACTTTTAAATCTGTCCCCTTGAATAAATATGCGTGTATGAGAGAGAGAGAAAGAGATGTTACCAAGTCAATTATCTGCATGCACTGTAATAGTATCAACTCCAGGCTGAGCACAGTGGCTCCTGCCTGTAATCCCAGCACTTTGGGAGGCTGAGGCGGGTTGATACGAGGTCAGGAGATAGAGACCATCCTGGCTAACATGGTGAAACCCCGTCTCTACTAAAAATACAAAAAATTAGCTGGGCGTGGTGGCAGGCACCTGTAGTCCCAGCTACTCAGGAGGCTGAGGCAGGAGAATGGCTTGAACCCGGGAGGCGGAGCTTGCAGTGAGCCGAGATCGTGCCACTGCACTCCGGCCTGGGCGAAAGTGCGAGACTCCGTCTCAAAAAAAAAAAAATGGTATCAAATCCTGCTCTTTTCATTTATCACTGCAGATGTGGTCAAAGGTGAAAAGATTCTTCCGGTATTTGATGAGCCACCAAATCCAACCAATGTAGAAGAGAGTTTGAAGAGAACTAAAGAAAACGATGCTCATCTTGTTGAAGTTAATTTGAATAATATAAAGGTAAGTGTGCTAATCAGAGTGGTTTTGTATTGCTTTGAGTTAGTTGAACCTAGGATGAGAGCTGGGCAGTTGATAAAATAGTCTAATTCTTTCTACTTTAACGTAAAGTTTTTGCTCTTACCAGTATGCTAACATAGGTTTCTTCATATTTTAGATATTGAAGTATTATGGTATAGTATTTTCTAACTTGCTTTTTGAAGAATTTATCATCTAAAAATGTAAACCCTACAAACTGTCAGAATAAATCTCAGGTTTTCTAAATACTGCCCACTTCTAAGAACATTTAGCCTCTTGGGTCTTGCTTTTTTAAAATTCGGTTCCTTAGCCAGGTATGGTGGTGCATGCCTGTAATCCCAGCTACTTGGGAGACTGAGGCTGGAGGATGGCTTGAGCCCAAAAGTTTGAGACCAGCCTGGGCAACATAGTGAGACCTGCCACTGTCCCATCTCAAAAAATAAAATAAAACCTGTTTTTTTGAGGTAAAATTTAAATATGGTAAAATTCTCCCTTTTAGTGTCCAGTTCTATGAATTTTGACAGGTGCATACAATTTTGTACAACCACCATTACACTCAAGATATAGAATATATCTGTCACCGCAAAAGTTCTCTCATACCCCTTTGTAGTCATTCTCTGACCCCCAGCTCTAGCCCCTGACAACCACTGACCTATTTTCTTTCCCTATTATTTTGCCTTCTCCAGAATGTCATATAAATTGAATCCTATAGTATGTAGCCTTTTGGGTCTGGCTTCTTAGCATAATACATTTGAGATTGATTCATGGTGAGTGTGTCAGATACGCTGCAGTTTGTTTATCTGTTCATCAGTTGGAAGACATATGGGTTCCTTCCAGTTTGGGATGTTTATTAATACAGCCACTATATACTTTTCACACACAGGTTTTTGTGTGAACATGTTTTAAATTCTCTTGAGTAAACACCTAGGAATAGGCTTTCTGGGATCTTATTTTGAGTTTTAAACAATGCAACTCTTCCTTGGAGTAAGGAAAGAAGAAATTAGGAGGACATGGGGTAATTAATTACCAAAAAGTAAACTCAAATTATCTAGATATTAGCCATTGTGTAATGGCTTCATTATAAATTCCTCATTTTAAAACTTGATTTTTTTGAAGTCGAGGACAAGTGGAGGAGAGCATCTGGAAATCTTGAGCCTAGGGAAGGAAGCTTCTGTGCTCCTCTAGGGAGTGATCCTTCCTGTGAGTAGAGGAAGGAAAGCCTCAGAGAAAGCTTATATTCATAGTTGATTACTAACTTTTTTTTTTTTTTTTTTGAGACAGAGTCTTGCTCTGTTGCCCAGGCTGGAGTGCAGTGGTGCGATCTTGGCTCACTGCAACCTCTGCCCTGCCCCAGGTTCAAGCAATTCTTGTGTCTCAGCCTCCTGAATACCTGGGATTACAGGCATCCACCACCACACCTGGCTAATTTTTGTATTTTTAGTAGAGATGGGGTTTCACCATGTTGGCCAGGCTGGTTTTGAACTCCTGACCTCAAGTGATTCGCCCACCTTGGCCTCCCAAACTGCTGGGATTACAGGTGTGAGCCACTGCGCCCGGCCTATTTTTATTTTTTTTAATTTGGTCCCTGTGTATCCCTTTCTCTAAATAAACAGTAATCATCTGAAAATAACCAGGCTAGGGGGAATTGAAGTCTCAAGATACTACTGAGAGAAACCAGCATCTTCAGTATTTTCTCTCCTTCAAGTAGTGTAGGGTTAATCTCTCTTAGTGCTTTGTAGCTTAAACTAAGTGACTGAGAACAGTCTGTCTGCCTCAGGAATCGTACTCATCAGAGATGGACTCCTTCATTTCTTTCCTTGTAGAAAAGTAAATCCACTTTTATTTTCATATAAAAAGAATAATGAAGGCTGGGTGCAGTGACTCATGCCTGTAATCCCAGCACTTTGGGAGGCCGAGGAGGGTGGATCACCTGAGGTCAGGAGTTCGGGACCAGCCTGACCAACATGATGAAACCCCATCTCTCCTAAAAATACAAAATTAGCTGGACCTGGTGGTGCATGCCTGTAATCTCAGCTACTTGGGAGGCTGAGGCAGGAGGGTTGCTTAAACCTGGGAGATAGAGGTTGCAGTGAGCTGAGATTGCGCCGTTGCACTCCAACCTGGGCAACAAGAGCAAAACTCTGTCTCAAAATACATAAATAAATAAAAGGAATAATGAAAGGTGAGAATAATGAGAATTTTTTTTAACCTAAATGCTAGAGAAATGGTGATATGTGCTCTGCTCTGAGTCAGTAGTTTATGCAAATGCTCCATCGTAGATAAGTCAGATAATTATGGAGGAAGCTGCATTATTTGTATTCATTTGTAGACTAATTCTTAGGTGTTTGTATAATTTCTGAATACATTTTAAAGCAAAAAAAACCATATATTTGATTAATGGAAACTAAATATAATGAAAATTGAAATGTAATGATGTTTTATGTTATTGTCTTTCAAGAATATCCCAATTCCAACCCTAAAAGATTTTGCAAAGGCTTTGGAAACCAACACACATGTGAAATGTTTCAGTCTTGCAGCCACCCGGAGCAATGACCCTGTTGCTACTGTAAGTAAGCGACTTGAGAATATCAAAATTATGACATGCCCAGGGTGTGTTACAGTGGTGATTTTTATGAACAAGATTTACCCCTTTTTTATAGTTAATGTTTTAGCTCACTATTAGGCAGTATATTACTTACCAGCTTTTTGTGTTTATTTTTTCCTGTATTTCCTTCCTATGAATTTTTTCCCCCTCCCAGCTTCCCCCTCCTTCCTATGAATTTTTTAAAACATAAATGGAATCATGTAGTATATGCTGTTCTGCAACTTGATTTTTCACTCTGCAGTTTATCTTTAAAGTTTTGTTGTATCAATACATAGGGATCTACCACATTATTTTAACATCTTCAGAGGATTCCATTTATGGATCCTTAGTGGTGGATTTTTGTTAAATGCTTTTGCTGTGTCTCTTGAGATGTTCATATGGTTTTTGTCCTTTATTCTGTCAATGTGGTGTATTGATTGACTTTTATATGTTGAACCAGCCTTTCATTCCTGAGATAAATCCCACTTGATCATGGTATAAACCTTTTGTTTCATTGGCTTTGAGAATATCACTCACTCCCTTGGGGGCTCCCCTTACCTCAGTGGACATTCCTTCTCAAAGCCCTGTACTGGTTTCTCCATATCTCTTCAACTTCTAAATATTGGAATGGCCCAGAACGTGGTCCTTCTTTTCTCAGTCTACACTGACTTTCTGGGTAATCTCAGAAATATATATATTATCTTCATATACTTGCTGATGACTCCCAGTGTTATTATCTACAGTTTGTATCTCTCTCCTGAACTCCGTATTCATGTCCAGCTACCTCCTCAGCAGCTTTACTTGGATGTCTAATGGACATCTTACATGTAAGTCCTCAAACTCCTGACTTCCATCCTGTGCCTGCTTTTCTCTGCTGTTTTCTATCTTACTAAATGCAATTTCAATCTTTCATTGCTCAGGCAAACAAAAAAAAAAAATTTTTTTTTTTTTTTTTTTTGAGACAGCGTCTCACTCTGTTGCCCCGGCTAGAGTGCAGTGGCGCAATCTCGGCTCACTGCAACCTCCGCCTCCCGGGTTCAAGCGATTCTCCTGCCTCAGCCTCCTGAGTAGCTGGGATTACAGGCATGCGCCACCACGCCTGGCTAATTTTTGTATTTATAGTAGAGATGTGGTTTCACCATATTGGCCAGGCTGGTCTCGAGCTCCTGACCTTGTGATCCGCCCACCTCAACCTCCCAAAGTGCTAGGATTACAGGCGTGAGCCACCACGCCCAGCAAAAAAAAAAAAAAAAACAAAAAACTAATGGAATCATTCTCGACATCCCTTTCTTGCAACTTAAACCTACCTTTGGCCCTATCTTCAAAATATTTCAGAATCCAACCACTTCTCACCATTTTCACAACTACCACCTTGACCCAAGCCACCATCTTTTCCCACCTGGATTATTGCAACAGCCTCCTAATTGGGTTACCTTCATCTATTTTACCTACCCCAAAGTCAGTTCTTTACATAGCACCAAGAGTGATTCTTTTAAAACTTAAGTTAAATGACCTCATTCCTATTCGGATAACCCTCTAGCAGCTTCCCATCTCATTAAGAGTAAAAATAAAAATCTTTCAGTGGCCTTATAAGGCTTCACATGAGTGGACTTCATCTCATTTACTTGCCCTTTCTTTCATTCTACTCTAGCCATACAGCCTTCTTCAGCATGCCATGTGGACTCCCAAATCAGGGCCTGTACATTTGTTCCTTCTGCCTTGAACTTTCTTCCTAAAATAATCCACTTAGCTTTGTCTTATCACTTTGACTCTTTGCTCAAATGTCACCTTCTAGTTGAGGCTTTTCCTGACCGTGCTATATAAAATACCAACCCCATTCCCACCCCCAGTATTCCCCATCTACCCTATTGTGCCTTTTTTCTTTTTACCCTCTAACATTGCACTTTGCTTACTTTTATTATCTGTGTCCCTCCCCAGCTAGAATGAACATTCTGCCAGGCAGGGACCAATGTGTTTTATCTCTGAATCTCTAGGACAGTGCTAATCAAATAATAGACCATCAGTAATATTCGAATACATGTATGGATAAGGGATTTGTTCCAGGTCACATAGCTAGTTGTTGCTAATAGAAAGGACAAGTATGTAGATACCAGCCACAGTTTTTTTAGTATCTCTACGCCCTATTGCCTTTCCTTTAACTTTAAGCTTGGTCTTACCCATATTTTCTGTAGTTTAACCTTGCTTTTGATCCCTCTAAGGGGCTGTTTTATATAAACTCATGATCATTGTTCTTTTTTCTCTCTCTTTCCTTCCCCTCCTTCCTTCCCTTCTTCTCTCTTCCTACCTCTGTCTCTTTTTCTTTCCTTCCCAGTCTCCCTCCTCTTTCTTTTTTCACTTGTAGGCTTCTGTTAATTAATCAATATGGTACTTATTAAGCACTGAGTCAAATGTCTAACACTGTACTGTATCCTATGAGAAATGAAATAGAAGCAGATTGAAGACATACCATTACTTGAGGAATTTAATATTTTATTAGCCCCTTCTTCTCAATGGCCTTTGTGCTCTTCTGGTTCTGGTTATCTGTGTTCTTTTCTGGCCTTCTGCCTTGACCATTTCTTTTGGCCCCTGCCTTGGAAATTAGTACATAATTTACCCTCATTTTGGCTTCACATGATCCAGCTACAGCAAGACCCAAATAAGAAAAGATGTTACAGCGACATTGATGAAGTTGGTCTAACACAGAAACTGAAAGAGTGAGAGAGACAGAAGAAAGAAGCATGAAGTAGGGAATGAGGAGTAGAGAATGTCACCAACGGGGAATTACATGTGACCAAAAAATCAAAAGATTATGACTGGGTACATATGAAAAATAGGTACAGGCCAGGTGTAGTGGCTCACACCTGTAATCCCAGCACTTGGGGAAGCCGAGGTGGGTGGATTGCTTGAGCCCAGGAGTTTGAGACCAGCCTGGGCAACATGGTGAAACCCCATCTCTACAAAAAATACAAAAATTAGCCGGGCATGGTGGCACACAACTGTAGTCTCAGCTACTCAGGAAGCTGAGGTGGGAAGATCAATTGAGCCCAGGAGGCAGAGGTTGCAGTGAGCTGTGATCCTGCCACTGCACTCCAGCCTGGGTGACAGGGCAAGACCCTGTCTCAAAAAAAAAAAAAAGAAAGAAAAGTAGATACAGTCATCCATGGGTTCAACCAACTTCAGATCAAAAATATTTGGAAAAAAATTCTATGAATTTCCAAAAGCAAAATCTGAATTTGCTGTATGCCAGGTACTATGTTGAATCCACAAAAATGAAGTGATGTGTAGGCATTGTATTAGGTATATTAAGTAACCTAGAGGTAATGAAAAGTATACAGGAGCATGTGTGAAGGTTATATGCAAATACTATGCCATTTTCTATAAGGCACTTGAGCATCTGAAGATTTTGGTATCTGCAGATGGTCCTGGAACCAACCCCCAACAAATACTGAGGGACAACTGTACATGTGAGAGCTATGGGCTACTGTGTCAAACTGAAACAACTAATGACAAACATTAAGGCAGTTAATTAATGTATTTATTTATGGCATGTACAATATGTAGTAGGTACTGTATCAAATTTTAATCTCTTAATATTTTCTCTAATTTCTAGGCTTTTGCAGAAATGCTGAAAGTGAACAAAACTTTGAAGAGCTTAAATGTGGAGTCCAACTTTATCACGGGAGTTGGGATTCTGGCACTGATTGATGCGTTAAGAGATAATGAAACCCTGGCAGAGCTCAAGATTGACAATCAGGTCAATGTTCTACAATAATAACGTCGAGGAAGCTACAGCCCACGCTGCTGTGTAGGGCTTGGCGACTCAGGATGGGGATGGGAGGCGGGCTGTCAGGGATCCCTGTTGGAAGATGCTGGGCTGAAAGGAGAGCTGACATTTGGGGTATCTAGAATATTAACTCAGTGTATATAACAGTGTATACAATGTAAAGGTGTATACTCTCCCTAGATCATTTTAAGAGAATTTAGATGGCTATCTAGTTTGAACTGAGAGGACTCTTACATGTGACCTAGTCCACCTTCCAATTTTTCAGCTCTGTGCTGGCAAGGTCCACATTGTAGGGTTTTTGTAAAAGGCAGAGAGATACATGTTAGAAATGTTTCCATCCAGAGTAGCTATTAATTTTTTTATTTGAAAAAATAACTCCATTTATTTGAAAAAATATTTGTTAAATGTCTCCTTCAGTCCTTCAAAGTAAATACATTTTGTAAACTATGAAGGTGGAAAAGAGGATTATGTCTTAAAATTTAACCCAGTGCTTCATAATCCATGTTTTTCATTTTTTTATTGAGATATAATTACATACAGTAAAATTCATTTTCTTAAAGTATACAGCTAAATGGTTTTTAGTATATTTGTAGAGTTTTGCAGCCATTACCACTAATTCCAGAACATTTTCATTACCCCAAAAAGAAACCCCATACCCATTAGCAGTCACTCCCCATTCACCCCTCTCACCAGGCTCTGGCAATCACTCATCCACTTTCTGTTTCTTAGGATTTGCCTATTCTGGACAGCTTATATCTGTGGAATCAAACAATATTTGATCTTTTTGTGCCTGGCTTCTTTCACCTGGCATAATGTTCTGGAGGTTCATCTGTATTGTAGCATACATCAGGACCTCATTCTTTTATGACTGAATAATATTCTATTCCATTTGGGGTGTGTCCACATACGGGCCACTAGAAATAATGCTGCTGTGAACATTCATTACAAACTCTAACATGGACATAGATTTTCATTTCTCTTCAGTATATAGCTAGGAGTGTATTGCTGGGTCACATGGTAACTCTATGTTTAACTTTTTGAGCAGCAGCCAGTTTTCCACAGTAGCTGTACCATTTTACATTCCTCTCAGCAATGTCCCCATTTTTCCACATTCTTGCCAACACTTGTTATTATCTATCTTTTTTATTATACTTATCCTAGTGGGTATGAAGTGATATGTCATTATAGTAATTCACACTTTTTTGATGTCTATATGATCATATTACTGAACTTTAAAAAGTTTAGTGTGTGTGTGTGTGTGTGTGTGTGTGTGTGTGTGTGTGTATAAAGTTCCAGTGAGGCTGTGGTGATGATTGGGTCAATGGGTAAAATCCCCTTCCTGTGACAAACATTTCATAGCTTTAAGTGACCAGTTTTCTACAACAAACAATTTGTTCTCAGTTACAAATCAGTACTTGGAACTACTGAACTATGTATATGTTGTAGGAATTGGGAACATTTAAAGAGATCAAAGAATTAGCATGTGCCTGAATGTCTTAATTTACCTTGAAAAGTATTTTGATCTAGTTTATTAATATTGTTCTTTTTTTCTAATTACTCCAGAGGCAGCAGTTGGGGACAGCTGTAGAATTGGAAATGGCCAAGATGCTTGAGGAAAATACAAATATCCTTAAATTTGGATATCAGTTTACACAGCAGGGACCACGAACCAGAGCAGCTAATGCTATAACAAAAAACAATGACTTAGGTAAGACATAGTATCGATCAAGTTTCTGAGTTCTATCACAAGCTAACGTATTGGGGGAACTTCTTTCCCTCTTAAGAATAAATTCTAACAGAGAAGTTATTTGGCCTTTGTTTCTAAAATCTGCATGGTCCTTTATATACTGATTGAATTCAAGTTCAATTAAAGTGAGGTTGTGATGATTGGGTCAATGGGTAAAATCAGCTTCCTGTGACAAGCGTATTTCATAGTTTTAAGTGACCAGTTTTCTACAACAAACAATTTGTTCTCAGTTACAGATCAGTCCTTGGAACTATTGAAACAAAGATTTCAACATTATCGGAAAGTTTTTTGCCCTTTTAATCAAGCGGACCCAGATAGAAATTCAATTTTATATGATAGAATGTGGATATAGAAATATATAAAATAGAGAATAATTATATTTCTCACCCAGGTTTTTTGTTGTTGATTTTTTTTGAGACGGAGCCTCGCTGTGTTGCGAGGCAGGAGTGCAGTGGCGCCATCTCGGCACACTGCAACCTCCGCCTCCCAGGTTCAAGTGATTCTCCTCCCTCAGCCTCCCGAGTAGCTGGGACTACAGGCGTGCGCGCCGTGCCCAGCTAATTTTTGTATTTTTTTTTTTTTTTTTTTTTTTGAGACAGAGTCTTGCTCTGTCGCCCAGGCTGGAGTGCAGTGGCACGATCTCGGCTCACTGCAAGCTCCGCCTCCCAGGTTCACGCCATTCTCCTGCCTCAGCCTCCTGAGTAGCTGGGGCTACAGGCGCCCGCCACCTCGCCCGGCTAATTTTTTTTGTATTTTTAGTAGAGACAGGGTTTCACCGTGTTAGCCAGGATGGTCTCGATCTCCTGACCTGATGATCCACCCGCCTCGGCCTCCCAAAGTGCTGGGATTACAAGCGTGAGCCACCGCGCCCGGCCAATTTTTGTATTTTTAGTAGAAATGGGGTTTCACCATGTTGGCCAGGATGGTCTCAATCTCTTGACCTCACGATCCACCCGCCTCGGCCTCCCAAAGTGCTGGGATTACAGGCGTGAGCCACCGCACCTGGGCCCTCACCCAGGTTTTATAGTCTGGTATGTAGGTGTTTGCTCGTCTTCCTAAAAGGACTGTTGTGGAACTGTCTTCTCACTGCATACATCTAGGTCAGTAATCTCTCATTCTCCTATGGTTCCTATTTAATTGCTTGAGGCTTGTGGCTTCTGTTTGAAATAGACTTTCCAGCCAAGGCTGAATTAAAGAATATGGTACTTAGAATTTTATTTCTACATGTTTCCAAAAGTTGACTCTTTTAAATTAGGATGTTTGCCATTGAAGTATTTTTAAAGATGCATCTTAGACAAGAAGTAAAACAAGACTTCTCAAAAGGAGTGACATTTCAACGTGTTGCCATTCTCTTAAGCTTCAGCCATATTTGAGTTCCCATTCTGTAAAAGTTTCTGGAGCAGGAAAAAATAGCACTTCATTTCTTTAATCCAGATCACGTGGAAAATATTAGCTCAAACTCTTTCTGTCCTTTTTATGACTGTGGTTTCCCAGAAGAGATGTTAGCTGCTTGCTTTTGAAAATAGAAAATTGGTGTGTTTTGGTGTATTGTTGATTCCAAATGTAGTTTGCAAAGTCATGCTAATTGTTTTAGTATTGCTTCACTAGTTAGCTTCTATTTTTTCCTTCAGGCGTTTAATTTGGCTTCTTAGAGTAGCGTTTTAAGAGAACTTCATAAAGAAGTTCTAGCTGGACTTCATAAATAATTGGAAAGCTTTAAAAACACATAGATTATTGGCTTAAAATGGCTTTCTTCACCCCAAAAAGATGGTTGACCAGAGCCTCACGACCATCACATAACCCTACTTTGATAGATAATGAAGCCAAGTGCTCTATTGAATGTTTACTATGTTCTCATTAGTGCGCTACACAGCCACGAGCTACAGATACTGTTGTTCTCCTGTTATGCAGGATAAGCTGAGGCTCAAAGAAGTTAACTAACTTGCCAAAAAACACACTACAGAAAAGTGACAGAGCGAGTTTCCTTAGAAGTTCTGATTTAGTCTGTGATGGGATTTGGGTTGTAGGCATTTCACACTCAGAAACCCTGGCTTGTTTCTCCAGTATTGAGTGGATATTTGAGTTTCTGAGTTCATCATTGTTATACATCTTAAGCAGGTGTGCCCCATATGTCCTCTACTTATCACAGCATTTGTCCCATTTTTTAAATTGCCTTTTACTCAGAAAACTAATTATATGTAGTAGTCTTACTTCCAAAGACTATATGCTTTTTGAGGGCAGGGACTATGTTGTTGGCAGGGGCCATGTCCGACTATTGAATCCCAACTCTTTTAAAACCATGCCTGACACACAATAGGTACTTAAGAAAACTGGATTAAGTGAATAAATAAGTGGTAGAATTTGAACTCTCTCAAAGTTATAATTTTCTGGTACCTGAATAGCCATAAACTAAGCCAGAAGTATCCTCCATTTTTCCTCTCCTTGGAAACTACCTTAACAAGCCCCAACCAGCTCTGTTACTTACCTCCCTCCAGGAGGCAGGTGATTCCAGCAGCTGTCCCTCCAGGAGCTGTACAGTGAATGTCTATAAACGTCACGGCAGGGGCGCTGACCTTTGCAAGGCTTCAGCAGTTGTGCTTTTTTGTGAAGACTGTTTTGGTAGACACTTTGCCTGCATTTCTGTAAGAAAAGAAATGTCCAGTGTTAGAGTGAGGGAGATTTGGGCAAATGCAAGATGGGGTGTGGGGGGTGCAAATGAAAACCACTTCCTAGGCTGCTTTATGTTGTCTCTGAGCAATTGAATAGCCGTGCACAGTGGTGTGTGATAGAGGAAGAGAAGACCATGTTGAAGAAGCTGTGTTCTGACCCAAAGCAGAAGCGAGAGAAAGCAAGCAGCTTTGTTCCGGGAACTCTCTAGACTCCCAGTTACACTGTTTCATTCTGATCCAAACTAGATTTTCAAACGTGGGTCTCATGCATGAAATGACAATAAGCACATTCCTGGATAGGGCAATTACAGATAAAAGCTCAAATTTGAGAGCAAGCAAGTTATTTATATGCTGATGGCAGCCTGTGGATTTTAAGAACTGACTCATATCATGATGCTGGCTCCTGAATAAACTTTCAATGAGTACTTGTTGTTTAAAGCTAACATTTAAAAAGTGGTATCAGCAGATTGAGGCCGGGTGCAGTGGCTCACGCCTGTAATCCAAGCACTTTGAGAGACCAAGGTGGGTGGATCACCTGAGGTCAGGAGTTTGAGACCAGCCTGGCCAACATGGTGAAACTAAAAATACAAAAATTAGCCAGGTGTGGTGGCAGGTACCTGTAATCCTAGCTACTCGGGAGGGTGAGGCATGAGAATTGGTTGAACCCAGAAGGCGGAGGTTGCAGTGAGCCGAGATTGCACCACTGTACTCCAGCCTGGGCTACAGAGTGAGACTTTGTCTAAAAAAAAAAAAAGTGATATAAATAAATTTAAGAGGGAGTGTTGGTAGAATACACTGAAATTACATGGTTAAAGAACTTTGATTTATTTGGATTTTATGCAGAAGGCATTAGAGAGCCATTAGAGGCCACCGAATACATGATTAAGATACTTCAAAAACAAAAACTGCTCTTATTGCTCTATTAGAGTTAGAAAATGAAGTTAGTTAGGACATTCGCAATTAACTAATGGTGGCGTATTGACAACTTATATCAGTGGAGTGTGTTTTGGTAACAAGGTGAAACCCCGTCTCTACTAAAAATACAAAAAATTAGCTGGGCGCGGTGGCGGGCGCCTGTAGTCCCAGCTACTCGGGAGGCTGAGGCAGGAGAATGGCGTGAACCCGGGAAGCGGAGCTTGCAGTGAGCCGAGATTGCGCCACTGCAGTCCGCAGTCCGGCCTGGGCAACAGAGCGAGACTCCGTCTCAAAAAAAAAAAAAAAAAAAAAAAAAAAAAAGAAATTGGACCAGATCCAAAGAATTGTTAATAGGGCAAAATTTATAAGCCTGCCATCTAGAGGATGAGCTGAGGAATTGCTGGAAGGTAACAAGTGAGCACCAGGTGAGAAAGAGGGGTCAGAAATGGCCCGTTGCCCCATTGTCCTCTGTTGTGCACACAGCGGCAGCAACCTCTCATTCTTCTGCTCAGCTTAACTTTTTTTCAGCTGTATACTCTGACCTCTGCCTAATAGATAAAGATTGAAAAGCCTGAAGACCATGTTTTCTGACATATTGGTCTCAGCAGCCTGATATGTACTAACTCAAAAGAGATAATCAAAGAACAAGACTTGAAACTTGTACAGAATCTCCTGGGCATATAGTTCTTTTTCACCTTGTAGATGGGGCTTTATCAGATCTTTGAGTTCTGATTTTGATAACATCGTTCCCTCTCTCATTGTTTTCTTAGTCTCAGCTATTCATTGAAATAATTCTACCTGCTCTCCATCTCTCCAGCTAAGAAGTGTCACAGCTGTAACAGCAAAGAGGTTCTATGGTATACATGCAATATTCTATTTACCTTTGAGTCTCACATTACTATCTTTACACTAGTTAACTGCATATTCCATTTTCTAGACCTTTTTTGTTTGCTGCACTCTGTCCTGTAGATCTTTTCTATAACATGCATTATAGCATCTGAAGTGGTATGCCAGTAACATCCAAACCCTGCTGCAATTCAAAATTTTCGTTGAAATGTTCTACCCTAAAGAATTATCTGGGCTGGGCGCAGTGGCTCACGCCTGTAATCCCAGCACTTTGGGAGGCTGAGGCAGGCGGATCACCTGAGGTCAGGAGTTCGAGACCAGCCTCAACATGGAGAAACCCCGTCTCTACTTTAAAAAGTACAAAATTAGCCAGGTGTGGTGTTGCATGCCTGTAATCCCAGCTACTCGGGAGGCTGAGGCAGGAGAATTGCTTGAACCTGGGTGGTAGAGGTTGCGGTGAGCCGAGATCGCGCCATTGCACTCCAGCCTGGGCAACAAGAGCGAAACTCCGTCTCAAAAAAAAAAAAAAAAAGAATTATCTGAAGTTTGCCTTTCAGACATTTCTATATTTTTCAGAGATCTATATACATGATTTGATATTTGAGGGCTCAAGTCTCCATTTAATTTTTTTTCTTAATACTTCAGTGAACACATGAAACTTGTCTTTGTTAGCATGGATTAAAATTAGAGTCGGTTGCTTGCTTTGACAGCACATACACTAAAATTGGAATGATACAGAGAAGATGAGCATGGCCCCTTGCAAGGATGACACAGACATTCATGAAGCAATCCCTATTTTTATTGAGTTCTGGCAAAAAATAAATAAAATAAACTTAAGAGTCAGGCGAACTTAATTAGATAGTTATAAAAATGTTCGTGGGAACCTGATACTTTAGTCCTTCTGGTTTTATTTTCAAGCAAGCACCCAGCCTATGGCTGAACAAGATTTTATATACGTCATCTGAACGTATGGTCTTATCTATTAAAGGCCGACAAACAGAAGTCAGCAGTCAGAAGAGCACAAGAGCAGAGTGTCTATGGCCTGGCCAGGACACCAGGTGTACCTGTTGGCTTCTAGTTCCTCTGTCAAACAGCCAATTTAGGCCAAAGTACACACTACAGAAGTGACAGAGCCATGATTCACTCTATTTGTCATCAACTCTGGAACCTGTGGTTTTTGTCCTCTCTAGGAGCCGGCCACAATGCTGATAGCCCTGAATTGGTGGCCCTCAGTGAATGCTCTCTAGTGGCTGATAGGTGAGAGCGCAGGTAGCAAGATCTGAAGTTGAAGACCTTGTTCTGCTACTAGAGAACACCCCTGAGTAGTTTGACATCACCAGTCCAGGAAGAGGCTGGTAGTCTCAGATACATACATGTACCGTTCTTTGCTGTAAAAGCTGAGCTAGTTGACTGGCCACTTAGGCAGCCAAAGTTTATGGTAGCCGGAAGTGACCACACCATATTACCAGGGTCTGAGATTTTCATTACTTTGCATTTGTTGTTTTATCAGACCCTGAACTGGTTTATATTACAGGAGACAAAAGAAGGAAAATTCAGAAAGCAGTAGCAAATCACTTACCTATAAAAATGACAAAAATGTTTTTGGTATATTCTTTTACAGCCTAAGGAAATACATTGTAGTGTCTAATCAGGAGAGCATGCAAATAGTTACTTTTAATATGTTCTAACCCCAGCTGCCTGAATGTCACTTCAAAATTTAACACACTAATTTATTAGCTGTTTTTTAAAACCTGAGTATGTACTTTTTCAGTAAACAAATGACTTGGGCTGGACGCAGTGGCTCACACCTGTAATCCCAGCACTTTGGGATGCTGAGGCGGGCAGATCACTTGAGCTCAGGAGTCCAAGACCAGCCTAGGCAAGATAGTGAGACCTAATGTCTGTTTTATTAATAAATTACAAAGTTAAAAATAAACAAAAACAAATGACTTGTAGATGATTGCTGACCATTCTGTTTTAGATTTCTAGTGCTGCTGCTGTGTAAGCACAGCTATGAGTCATTGAGCTTAGGGCATGTAATTCTTTTGTTGAAGCCCCTTGGTTCTCAACAAGTAAATGACAGTGGTGAATGATGGGAAGTAGGTTGTTTTTTTTTTTTTTTTAATTAGTGGTCATGTGAACTGGAAATGGACATTTCAATTTTGTAAAACTTATAACTGGATTATGCAGAAACTTGCTTGTTATAAGCAAGTTACCATTGTAAAAACTAATAGGGATTTCTAACATAGTTTCTTTTATTTTTCTCATAGTGCGTAAGAGACGAGTTGAAGGAGATCACCAGTAAGTCTGCAAAGGTGTAATCTTTGGAAGACTTCAGAAGATCACCAAGGGCTCATGTTGGTGACATCATGTAAAATTTTCCTGGGTAGAAGGGAAAAGACTGGAAAAATTTTTTTAGTGACATGCATTTTTTTTTTAGTTGTTATCAAATTGTAAAATCAGTAATGTGATATTTTATATTCTGAAACATTTCTACTTTCTGCTAAAATCAATTTTAATTTAGTTTAATTGAATGATTTATGATGAATCTTGGGCAAAAAAATACAACTGTAAAAAATTTCACAGGTCATTTGTGTAGAATAATTTGAACATTGTGAGGACCAATCTTTTTTAAATCAAAAGGGATGTTGCTGGTATCAGAATTGTTATTGCTTCATTTAGACATAAAACACTTAAGTGTTTTCTTCACTCCGTGACCTGGAGAGTTTTCCATTTTTTAAAATACATGAACTTGGCAAGGGTGTGATTTTTCTTTATCAAGAGAACAAAATGCCAGAATGTTAAAACAGTTAACTCAAAATCTAGTCATCTGTGTAGGAGCTAAAGCAGGTCTCCAGGGAGAGAGGGTGGTCGTCTGTGCATTCCAGGTTACTGCACTTGTCTGATGTGACGTAGCAACACCCAGGTCTTCTTAAAACAAAGTCATCAGCTTTGCCAGGTTACATACTTTATTTAAAAGTATAGTGAGGTCGAAGTTCATTCCAGTGTTTCATTTTAATAATGTGGGCATTATTAAATTTTTGTGGAAGCTAATAGTAAAAAATAAAAGCTGTTTTCACCACCTCCCTCCCCACCCCCCAAAAAAGGCGTACAGCCAACTCTTAGTTATTTAGGGTAAGAGAAAAAA
Organism: Homo sapiens; assembly: GCF_000001405.40. Taxonomy (NCBI): domain Eukaryota; kingdom Metazoa; phylum Chordata; class Mammalia; order Primates; family Hominidae; genus Homo; species Homo sapiens. The sequence continues at coordinate 51,909,654 of NC_000015.10, forward strand.
GAAAACTGTTAAACAATGAAATCAAAGATAATAAATATGATAGATTTCCAGTATGAGGCACTTGCAAAACAGTCATTTAAACTGATGGTTACTGTAAGTCAGTTGGAAGCTGGCATGTATGTAAATTACTTGGTGTTACACCATATCCGAAGAAGTTCCTATGTGCAGTGCAGAATTGCATAAACAGTATTTAATCACTGCTACAAATCTTCCAACCAAGAAGGAAAACTGCTATTCTTCATAAATCTAATTTTTAGTATATGCTTCCTTTCATCTTATACTTTTATCAATATTTATAAAAGTCATTTCTATAATAAAAGCAGTCTTTCTTGCTCAAAGTATTAAGGTGAACAATTGAATAGAGTACTGTGGTCGGGAGACTGATTTGAGACTGCAGAGCTGATGCTGGGTAGAGGGTCTGGACTTGTATTCATGTTCTGTCTCAGGGCAGCCCCTGGAGCAGGAGATGGCAGAGGCATTTACAGCTGCAGAAAACAGGGAGGAATGGAATCTGAGGTAGCCCTGGCCTCAAAATTCAGGCCTGGCTGTATCATTTACAGAGATTTTTCTGGAGGGAAAAGTCTCATTTCTGAGGAAGGCAAGGTGGCTAATCATTATTAATTTTTTTTAAACTTTTTGGGCCGGGCGCAGTGGCTCACGCCTGTAATCCCAGCACTTTTGGGAAGCCAAAGTGGGTGGATCACTTAAGGTCAGGAGTTCAAGACCAGCCTGGCCAACATGGTGAAACCCTGTCTCTACTAAAAATCAAAAAAGTAGCCGGGTGTGGTGGTGCACACCTGTAATCCCAGCTACTCAGGAGGCTGAGGCAGGAGAATTGCTTGAACCTGGGAGATGGAGATTGCAGTGAGCTGAGATCGTACCACTGCACTGCAGTCTGGGTGACAAAGCAAGACTCTGTCTCAAAAAACAAACAAACAAACAAACTTTTTGAAATTGAATTGCAATATGTCTGCTACTTTGGCTTGGGCTGGACAGTTTATCTAATAAGCAAGGCAGCTTCTTGTGTGCTATGGTAATAAGCCTTCTTAACAGGCTAAGCTTCCCTCATAAGAACTGTGGTGTTTCTCTTTTTTTTTTTTTGTTTTGGTTTGTTTTGGTTTTTTGGTTTTGTTTTGTTTTGTTTTTTAAATCAGTATCCAATGTTTTATAGGGGCCAAAGGTTAACTTTGCACTATTCCCTGTCAGTTAAAGGCCACTGATATTTTTCTAAGTTAGCAAGGCTCACTTGCTTGCTTTCTTGCCTCCCTTGCCTCCATCCCTCTCCCTTCCTACCTTCTCTATTTACCTATTTCTCTCCCTCCCTCTCTTCTCCTCTCTTTTTTTTTCCCCGCATATGCAGCTTTTTGATTGTACTTGATTTTATAGAGACTGCACAGTTCCAGCAAGATTGGGAGTCAGGCATGGAGCAGGCATCTCAGGCTACCAGAAAGAATTGGTCACCTAGACTTTCAGTCAGGCATCCTCGTTTGCATTGTCCTGTAAGTCAATTAGTTGATAAATAGTTCCCCCTTCATCCCTTAAGTTTTGTTTTTGTTTTTGTTTTTAATATAGGTAAGTGGGACTCTACCTAAAATTTTGCATCATACTTATGGGTAATATCTTTTTCATATATTATTTATCAAAGTATGAAGTTGAGTATTTTGCTTGTACCATTTCAATTCTGCATTATAGTAGTTCATTGTATAACTGAAAGAAATGATTTCTTCATAAGTGACATTAAATATGAACATTCATCCAATTGAATTTACAAAATCTTTCCAAAATTATAAGGGAGAAAAATCGGGTTTACTTCAATCTTTAAAAATCTGGCACCTCTTAGTAACTTTCAGTATTTCTAAATTGCTCTAAAATTTTATAATAAATAGATTAGGGTTTTGCAATAGTCTTAATTTTTAAGCCAAAGGTTTTCTGAGACCTTAGGTTTTGTAGTCTAACCAGCTTATGTGGTTATTTAAAAGAATATTCTTTGTGTTTTTAAATTGCTATTTTTAAAAAAGCTTTTTATTACCCATTTTATAAAATGTTATACTCATATTTGTCTGAATTTTTCCAGTATTCCTACATGAAATTGTATGTATTAAAAACTCAATATTAGTGGCAAATATTAATACTATTAAAATGGATTTTGGTGCTATATTCTTGTAGCTAAAGCCTAGTAGAATTCTCAAGAATAGGTGAAATACACTTTCAAAGTTGCCTGTCATTTAAAAGACCAAATAAGCATTTTGTATTAAATAAATTAGCAGATGGTTAGAGACTTCAAGGAGAGTTAGCTTGGTCATTTAATTGCGACTTCATGTTATTTGATTGAAATAACCCACATCCTTGCTTTGTATAAGATATTCGCTCTGGAGAAGTTACATGTAAATAGAATTCTATAAATTGTTTTCCAGTTGACCGAGTATCTGTTGTGTTTTTGTTTAAAAAGAGGATTCCATGACATAATAAAAATTATTTTAAAAAATGTTTTGGGCCGGGTGCGGTGGCTCACGCCTGTAATCCTAGCACTTTGGGAGGCCGAGGTGGGCGGATCACCTGAGGTCAGGAGTTCGAGACCAGCCTGACCAACATGGAGAAACCCTGTCTCTACTAAAAATACAAAATTAGCCAGGCGTGGTGGCACACACCTGTGATCTCAGCTACTCGGGAGGCTGAGGCAGGAGAATCACTAGAACTCGGGAGGCGGAGGTTGCAGTTAGCTGAGGTCGCGCCATTGCACTCCAGCATGGGCAACAAGAGTGAAACTCCGTCTCAAAAAAAAAAAAATTTTTTTTTTTTTATAAAATGTTACTCATATCATATTGTACGTTATATTTAACTCTTGCTGTCATTAAAATAAGATGACAACATTTATGAAGTTTTATAAAATCTTACATTTTAGGGTCTGTGTTCCCAGGGCTGCCTCACTTTTTCCCTAAAAAACTAGGAACCACTGTTAACCTCCCAGCAGATGCAAGGATCATGCTTTCTCTGGAGTCCTTAGTCACTTCCATTCTTTGCAAGTTTAGTACTGCCCAAATTTACTCATTCTACAGTGTTACTGCACTTTGAACGTATTGACCCATGTCACCCAAGAGAAGCAAACATATGGATGCACTAGAGACAACTCGGGTTGCTGCTCTCAGTTAAGGGCTATGAGTTCTTGGGGTCTAAGTATCTGTAAAATTATCCTCTCCATCAGCTCTCACTGATCATTAATGTTTCTGGATATTTCTTACCCTAAGATTTGCTTACCAACAAATCAAAGAAACGCTTCACTAATTATTTTTAAATTGAGAAAATAGTATTCAGAGGCAAAGATTTTTATATTCTTTTTTGAGACCAAGTCTCACTCTGTCATCCAGGCTGGAGTGCAGTGGTGCGATCTCAGCTCACTGCAGCTTCCACCTCCCAGATTCAAGTGATTCTCCTGCCTCAGCCTCCCAAGTAGCTGGGATTACAGGCGTCCGCCACCACGCCCGGATAACTTTTTGTATTTTTAATAGAGACGGGGTTTCACCATGTTGGCCGGGCTGTTCTCAAAGTGACCTCAGGTGATCCACTCGCCTCGGCCTCCCAAAGTGCTGGGATTACAGGCTTGAGCCACCACACTCAGCCTTATTCTTATATTTTAATTTGGTCATTCTTAGATCTACAGATTGAACATCCCTAATTGAAAACTTTTTGAGTACTAACATAGTGTTCAAAGGAAATGCTTATTGGAGCATTTAGAATTTCAGATTTTCAGATTAGGGATGCTGAACTGGTGTAATGCCCAGTATTCCAAAATCCAAAATAATTTGAAATCTGAAACACTTAATGGTCCCAGCATGTTGGATAAGGGATACTCAACCTGTATTGATTTTTCTCCACTATAATTCAGTTCTATAAGTTCTTCCCTATAAAAAATGAATGAATTAGAAATTTGATAATAAAACATATTTTATTAATTTTAAACTCTATCTTGCAGTCTGATCATTCAGAAAGGTCAACCTAGAAAAAAGACATGGCTAAGTAAACTATTTTAAGCCATAACTAAGTATTTTGGAAAGCCTTCATTAACACATAAAGAATTTTGGCCAAGTACTGTGGCTTATGCCTGTAATCCTAGCACTTTGGAAAGCCGAGGCCGACGGATCACTTGAGCTCAGGAGTTTGAGACCAACCTGCGTAACATGGTGAAACCCCATATCTACAAAAAGTACAAAAATTAGCTGGGTGCGGTGGCGCATGCCTGTAGTCCCATCTACTCGGAAGACTGAGGCAGCAGAACCGCTTGAGCCTAGGAGGTGGAGGTTGCAGTAAGATGAGATCATGCTGCTGTACTCTAGCCTGGGCAATGAGAGTGAAACTCTTATCTCAAAAAAAAAAAAAAAAAAAGAGCTATACTCATAGTACTTTGGGAGACCAAGCAGGGAGGATTACTTGAGACCAGGAGTTTGAGACTACCATGGACAACATAGCAAGACCCCATCTTTACAAAAAATTTAAAAATTAGCCAGACACCTATAGTACCAGCTACTTAGGAGTCTAAAGTGGGAGAATTGCTTGAGCCTGGGAGGTTGAAGCAGCAGTGAGCTTTGATCATGCCACTGCATTCCAGCCTGGGTAACAAGAGTGAGACTGTCTCAAAAAACAAAACAAAACAAAAAAATGGGTTTTTTTGTTGTTGTTTTTGTCTTTTACTTAGGACACCTGCTCTAGAGGCTAGATAAAAATAGATTGTAATGGCCGGGTGCAGTGGCTCACACTTGTAATCCCAGCACTGTGGAGGCTGAGGTGGGCGGATCACTTGAGGTCAGGAGTACGAGACCAGTCTGGCCAACATGGTGAAACCCCATCTCTACTAAAAATACAAAAAATTAGTTGGGCGTGGTGATGCGCACCTGTAATTCTAGCTACTTGGGAGCCTAAGGCAGGAGAATCACTTGAACCTGGGAGGCAGAAGTTGCAGTGAGCCGAGATTGTGCCATTGCACTCCAGCCTGGGTGACAGAGTGAGACTCCATCTCAAAAAAATATATGTATTAAGAAATACCACCAGCAGTGTTTTGCTAACATAGCTGTAACAAATTATTAAGTTCTTTTTTTTTTTTAAGATGGAGGTTCACTCTTGTCGCCCAGGCTGGAGCGCAATGGTGCGATCTCAGCTCACTGCAACCTCCGCCTCCTGGGTTCAGATGATTTTCCTGCCTCAGCCTCCTGGGTAGCTGGGACTACAGGTGCCCGCCACCACGCCTGACTAATTTTTGTATTTTCAGTAGAGACGGAGTTTCACCATCTTGGCCAGGCTGGTCTCGAACTCCTGACCTCGTAATCCACCCGCCTCGGCCTCCCAAAGTGCTGGGATTACAGGTGTTTGCCACCGCGCCCAGCCCAAATTATTACATTCGTAAGACAGACACCTCTTAGAATCTATATATATGAGGTTTTACTCCCTTTTCTACACTCAGTATGTTTTAATTGATGCAAAGCAATTAATTGGCCTAAAATGTTTCAAATATTATAGTCTATACATTCAGAAAGTAAGGTTTAAGAATGAATTATTGGTGCTTCTTGGTGGGTGTATATAGCAGTTTTTAGAAGTTTAAATTTCACCTCTACTCAGAAAGATAAGCTTTTGATTCAGTGGTTTCAAATTTTCAGATCAATCCATTTAAGAATTGTTTTTTCAAATGTATATACACGTATAACATAAAAATTTTTGTAATTTCAAATGTCTTTTTTTCAGTTTTTTGGATGAATTATTATATTTGGTTTTAGTTACATTTAAAAGCTTGAAAATTACCTTTCTAACAATCATTTGAATGTCATTCATTGTCACATGAAATCAGGTATTTACGTTTTTTTCTAATGCTAAAATATCCAACATTGTAATTGCCCTATTTTTCCATTTTTATAAGTATAAAAGCAATGAATTTTAACACTGGTATTTAAATAATACAAAATATTATCCAAATTCATAACAGCACAGTGAAGTTTCTTTTGAAGACTATGTACTGGAAGCATTTAGAACTTACCAATATATACTGGGATAAATCGTTTCAATAAAGTTTATCAAATATTCTGTAAACTTGGACTTTTTGAAAAAGCACATAATCCCTTTAGTTCCTAAGTTCTAAAATTCATTCCTTACATCCTTCTTCAAGAAAAAGTTTATCAGTTTCCCTGAGTTATTCAGTCCTACCTGTTATGGACTGAATGTTTGTATCCACACCCGCCCCCCCACCCCAAATTCACATGTTGAAGCCCTAACCTCCAATGTGATGGTATTTGGAGATGGGGCCTTTGGAAGGTAATTAAGGCTAGATAGGGTCACAAGGTTGGTCCCCTTATGATGGCATTTGTGTTCTTATACAAAGAGACAGGAGACTCTCTCCATCATGTGAAGATACAGCAAAACAGCAGCTGTCTGCAAGCCAGGAAGGGAACCCTCACCAGGAACCAAACCATGATCTCGGACGTCCCAGCCTCTAGGAACGTAAGCAATAAATTTCTGTTATTTAAGCCACCCAGTCTATGGTATCTTGTTAGGACAATCTGACCTGGCTAAATACCACCATATTAAGTTGAATCATATAAAATTAGTTATAATAGTTGAACACTTTTACTCATAAAAATAGTAATTTCCTAAGGTTCAACCTAATATCATCAGTACTAGGTCCTGTCTGTTCATAAAATTGAATTGAGTTGACAAATACGCAAAGAGCAGGGTCGGACAGGTGCGGTGGCTCACGCCTGTAATCCCAGCACTTTGGGAGGCCGAGGCAGGCGGATCACCTGAGGTGAGGAGTTCAAGACCAGCCTGGCCAACATGGTGAAACTCTGTCTCTACTAAAAATACAAAAATTAGGCAGGCATGGTGGTGCATGCCTGTAGTCCCAGCTACTCAGGAGGTTGAGGCAGGAGAATAACTTGAACCCAGGAGGTGAAGGTTGCAATGAGCTGAAATCGCGCCACTGCACTCCAGCCTGGGCAATAGAGTGAGACTCTGTCTTAAAAAAAAAAAAAAAGAAAAGAAAAGAGCAGGGTCCTGTGATACAGTACACTCTGAACCTGATGGGAACCAGTCCTTCTAATAAACTAGAGATGGCTTTTACAGTAAAGCAAAGACATCTCTTATCAATCACCTATATCCATGAATCAAAAGAGAAAACCAGGTCAGGCATGATGGCTCACACCTGTAATCACAGCATTTTGGTAGGTTGAGGTGGGCAGATCACCTGAGGTCAGGAATTTGAGACTAGCCTGGCCAACATGGCAAAACCCCATCTCTAATAAAAATACAAAAATTAGCCGGGTGTGATGGCACACGCCTGTAATCCCAGGTACTCAGGAGGCTGAGGCAGGAGAATCGCTTGAACCCGGGAGGCAGAGGCTACAATGAACTGAGATCACCACTGTGCTCCAGCCTGGGCAACAGAGCAAGACTCCTTCTCAAAAAAAAAAAAAAAAAAAAAAAAAAAAGGCTGGGCTCAGAGGCTCACACCTGTAATCCCAACACTTTGGGAGGCCAAGGTGGGCGGATCACCTGAGGTCAGGAGTTCAAGACCAGCCTGGCCAACATGGCGAAACCCCGTCTCTACTAAAACTACAAAAATTAGGTGCATTGGCGGGTGTCCATAATTCCAGCTACTCAGGAGGCTGAGACAGGAGAATCGCTTGAGCCCAGGAGGCAGAGGTTGCAGTGAGCTGAGATCGCGCCACTGTACTTCCAGCCTAGGTGACAGGGTGAGACTCCGTCTCAAAAAAAAAAAAGAGAAAACCAGGGAAATGTGTAATGGGTTTGAGGAAACTTAAGGATAAAGGTTAAATAATTTAAAGTTTTCAGAGTTTTCCTGACTTAGGGGAATAAAGAAATTGACCTGGAATCTTTAATGTCGTTCTGCCTTCTGAGAATGGCTGTTGAGCTTCACATTCATGTACAGGAAGCCTCAATGCATATTCCCTTTGGTGAGTCAGGGAGATTCAGGTGCTTGAATTGTGAGCTGTTCCCCTGAGTTCAAGAGGACTTGAGTGCCAGGGACTGGCTGTGAGGCAACAGCGCCCTCACCATGTCCTCCAAAGCAGTCCAACTAAAAATGCTCAGCCTGGTGCTACCACTGCTCTTATAGGTACCAAATAGTGGGAGTGGCTTGAAAATTTGTGAGTCCAAAATTTCCAAACATTTTTTTCCTTCAACTTTAAGCTTTCCTGCATGGTCTGCAAAGGTTGAGGGCTTGTAGATCCCAACCCAGTCCCCCAGCTCCTGTGCTGTTCACAGACATACCAGATCCTCAAGGCCAGCCCCTTAGAAAGAATACCTGATGTTACAATTAAGTTGTGCTAGTACCCTTCATTGTTCTGAATGAGTCTTTCAATTCTCCTTTAGAAGCTAGTGCTAATTATGAATGTGTTTAATATACAAGCACGAAATTATGCTGTAAAAGTATAAAAGGGAAGGAAATAGAATTGTAAAGTGGGGTTTTCGGCATGGTGAAATGGGCTTTTTTTTCCCCTTTGATCATTTCTACTTAACAAAACATTTTAAAATATTTATCTAGTATTCAACTCTCAGAGGTAGAGAAATATAAACATTGAATTGAAGGATTTGTGTGGTCAAATCTAAAGCCCACCTAGTTCAAGAAACTGATGTCAGAGAAGGGACTGCCCAACATAACAGCATTTGTTTGTTCATTCAGTAAATAGTTTTTAGGTTCTATTATATTCCAGCTATTGTAGCAATCACAAAACTAGAAATCAAGTCCGGTATTTTGTTTCCCATTGCCCTTTTCCCTAAACCTAATGGTGCCTGTTTATCTCAGGTAGATATTTTGGGTATCTGTCTCCATAAGGTCACTAAAGTATTAGCCCAGCATTGTGATCACTGTGCATGGAAGATCCTAACCCTTGTCTCAGAAAAGCTTACTTGTTTACTTAAGTAAAAGCTTTGTACAGAGGGCTTAAGCTCTTTAAACCTCAGCTTCCACATCTATAAAAGGGGTATAACAGCACCTGCCCTAAGGATTAGAAGTGGTCAGGCCCACACAGCTCTGGTTAAGTACCAGGTATCCAGTGAGCTCTCCCTGCTGTACCTGCTCTTCCAAGAGCACAGTGCCATATGGGAAATGGAATTAATGCCATACTAAGGGGACTACAGAGCACAGAAAGGCCCCAAACCCAGCTAGGCAGGCCAGAGGACATCCTGGAGGAGGCCACAACTGAGCCAAACTTAACAGCAGGAATGCACTAAAACCTAAGATCCACTCACAGTAAACAGTTAACAAAATCCTCCTCTTTGGGAAAAAATGAATTTTCTAACATCGTGGACTTGCTTTTGAAAACTTTTTATTCACAACTAGGATTATGCAAAAGCAACTCAACTTCAGTTAAAACAAGTCATTTCATAATTGTTTTAAAACAAACTATTGAATACAATGAGTGCACATTTTAGGGCTTTATATCATCTTCTTCCTCTTCATGCTCTGCTTTCCTCTTTCTGGAAGGTTTACCTGAATAAATATGAGAGGTAAGACATAAAATTCAATATAAAATGTTTCTGGAAATTTTATCTAAAATGGTTCTGACCTGACAGTGACGAGCCAGCCCTTCACGTTAGAGCCCAGTTTCTCCACCCTTGGTAGCCAATGTGTGTCCCCACAGACACTGCCTAGATCAGGCAACTGAACCTAGGTTTCCCCTGGGCAGTGGTCAGGGCTGAAGGGACACTTACTTTTTTTTTTTTTTGAGACAGAGTTTTGCTCATTTCCCAGATTGGAGTGCAGTGGCGCGATCTCGGCTCACTGCAACCTCGGCTCACTGCAACCTCCATGTCCTGGGTTCGAGCAGTTCTCCTGCCTCAGCCTCCCAAATAGCTGGGATTCTAGGCATGCACCACCATGCCCGGCTAATTTTTGTATTTTTAGTAGAGATGGGTTTTCACCATGTTGGCCAGGCTGGTCTCGAACTCCTGACCTCAGGTGATCCGCCCGCCTCAGCCTCCCAAAGTGCTGGGATTACAGGCATGAACCACTGCACCCGGCCTACATAGCATTTATATTGTATTATAAGTAATCTAGAGAAAATTTTTTGTTTTCAGACAGGGTCTTGCTCTGTTGCCCATGCTGGAACGCAGTGGCATGATGACGGCTCACTGCAGCCTCGACCTCCTAGGTTCCATTGATCCTCCTGCCTAAGCTTCCTAAGTAGCTGGGACTACCTGTGCTCAGCTAATTTTTTATTTTATTTTATTTTATTTTATTTTTGTTGTTGTTGTTGTTGTTGTTGTATAGCTGGGGGTCTAATCTTGGTCTCAGGCTGGGCTCAAACGATCCGCCCGCCTCAGCCTCCCAAAGTGCTGGGCTCCCAAAGCACCCAGCCTACAGATGATTTAAAGCATAGCTTATATGCAAATGTTAAACTATCTTATATAAGCAACTTGAGCACTTGTGGATTTTGGTGTCCTCTGAGTCCTGGAACCAATCTACCATGGATACTGAGGGACAACTGTGTGTTGTGTAGAGAGAGGAAAAAATAAATGAAAACACAGTGACCAATGTTGTCACTGCAGTGTTTTTCCTGTCTGTATCTCCAGAACCTAGAACACAGCATGTGTTCAGAAAACATTGAATGAATTAATATGGCCAATGGGCAATACCATAGTGATTCTCTTATATAATTAATACTTAAGGCCAGGCACGGTGGCTCACGCCTGTAATCCCCACACTTTGGGAGGCCGAGACAGGCAGATCACTTGAGGCCCAGGAGTTTGAGACCAGCCTGGCCAACATGGCAAAACCCCATCTCTTCTAAAGATACAAAAAAAAAAAAAAAAAAAAAAAATTAGCCGGGCATGGCGGTGCATGCCTGTAATTTCAGTTACTCAAGTGGCTGAGGCACAAGAATTGCTTGAACCTGGGAGGTGGAGGTTGCAGTGAGCCAAGACTGTGCCACTGACTCTAGCCTGGGCAACATAGCAAGACTGTCTCAAAATAAAATCAATAAATAAAAGACATAAAATGTATTTGTACTTGTGATCTTATAAAAGGAAGAGAAAACAATTAAAGGAAAATATTTTCATAACAAATGAGATAACCCCTCAACTATTACATTGAAATAAAGACACCCAGTTTTAAGCCAGGCACCATAGCTCACGCCTGTAATTCCAGCACTTTGGGAGGCCAAGGTGGACGGATTGCTAGAGGCCAGGAGTTCAAGACCAGCCTGAGCAACGTAGTGAGACCCCTATCTCTACAAACCATTTTAAAAATTAGCCAAGCATGGTGGTGCATGCCTGTCGTTACAGCTACTCAGAAGGCTTTGGCAGGAGGATCACTTGAACCCATGAGATCGAGGCTGCAGTCAGCCATGATCATGCCACTGCATTCCAGCCTGGGCAACAGAGCAAGACCCTGTCTTAAAAATAAAATAAAATTAAAGGCTGGGCGTAGTGGTGTCTCATGCCTGTAATCCCAGAACTTTGGGAGGCTGAGGCGGGAGGATCACTTGAGGTCAGGAGTTTGAGACCAGCCTGGCCAACATGGTGAAACCCCATTGCTACTAAAAAATACCAAAATTAGCCAGCCTTGGTGGCAGGCGCCTGTAATCCCAGCTACTTGGGAGGCTGAGGCAGGAGAATCACATGAACCTGGGAGGTGGAGGTTGCAGTGAGCCGAGATTGTGCCACTGTACTCCACCCTGGGTGACAGAGTGAGACTCCATCTCAAAAAAAATAAATAAATTTTAAAAGACACCCAGTTTCCCACAATGAACATGGTAGATCACCTCTTGCTCTACCCATATGAAGCAATTCGTAGTTCTGTAGCCGAGACTTGATATCTCAGGCCCTGCACCTTTCTTTACAGGCCTTTCCATCTTCCTAGAGTGCCTAACCTGGCCTGTGTGCTTGTAAGCTTCTGCTCATTCTTCAATACCCAGCAGAGACTTCCTCCTCCATGCAGCCTTCCAAGACCCACCTGAGTACAGGTATCAGACCTTTGGGCCACTCCTAGTCCTACTGCTGCATTTATCTCACTGGATTTCAGTCAAGTGTGTAGACAGCTAATTTGTGCATGCCTGGTCTGTGAGCTCTGTTCCCAGCAGTTGGCTCCTGAGTACAGGGTAAACTCAGAATTGAATACATTTGGTCTTACTTCATCATTACTGAGTTTTTTTGCTCTCACTAATCTTTGAGTCTTATCTTCTGACCCCTCATCAGTGTCTGAGGAATAGATGCTGGCTTGTTCCTCTGAAAGCAAAGGAATTTTAGACATGGGATTCACCTTCAAAGATGGTTTATTTCTCAATGTTTCTTCTGCCAAATATTGTTACTTCCTACTGTACATTTTTCCTGAAGGAGTCAACTTTCTTTAAAAGTTTCAGCGGGAAGGTAAATAGAACTTTCAGACATGCTGAAATGACTAGATTTGAGAGATTTTGTTCTCAGAGAGGTTATTTGATCACTTTTAAATACGCACACATCAATTTTAAGAACTGTGAAGCTTAAATATTGGGTCTTTATACAAGCAGAGGAACTGCCTTATATACATTTCCCTCCACAAGGACATAAATTGTTTAACTGATTTTATTTGGAGGATGCCATGTTTTCCTTTTTCTTTTTCTTTCTTTGTTTTTTTGAGACAAAGTTTGCTCTTGTTGCCCAGGTTGGAGTGCAGTGGTGCAATCTTGGCCCACTGCAACCTCCACCTCCTGGGTACAAGCGATTCTCCTGTCTCAGCCTCCCGAGTAGCTGGGTTTACAGGGGTCCACCACCATGCCTGGCTAATTTTTTTGTTTTTAGTAGAGACGGGGTTTCACCATGTTGGCCAGGCTGGTCTTGAGTTCCTGACCTCAGGTGATCCGCCTGCCTCGGCCTCCCAAAGTGCTGGGATTACAGGCGTGAGCCACTGTGCCCGGCCAGATGCCATATTTTCACAGCTAATCTTTTCTGTGGGGGAGTAGCCCTAAGAAAAACAAAAAGGCCTTCGTACTTTTGTCCTCAGTAAATAGTAGGACAAGGACTAAGAGCTCGCCAGAGCAAAAGCAGGCACTGCCACCCTGAAATGATGAAATGTGACCTCCATACCTGACTCACTTTGGAGTTCACCTTGATAATAGTTTTTAATAGCAGCCAGGCTGAAGGTGTGCTTGCCTTCCTCCTCTGCACTGTCACTGCCAGGGTCCTGGTAGGAGACACTTGGCCACTCCTGGTAGCGCTTCTCCCGCAGATGGATTCCCTGAGACTCCCGTTGAGTGGAAGCCCTCAAGCGTTCTTCTTTCTGTAAAAAAGCAAATAACCTCTTCAGCCTAAAACAGAAACTTGTGCCCTCTTGCATCTACTTTTACCATAAAGAACACATAACAGCTGTCCCATGTGTCTTTGGGGTACCATCTTCCCCATCACACCTCTGTTACTCCACGTGGATCCATTGGTTTGCAGGTGTGAAGGCAATGCAAGGGTGAAGAGGCAGAAGGGGCCAGGTGTGGTTCACGCCTGTAATCCCAGCACTCTGGGAGGCCAAGGCGGGCAGATCTCTTGAGGTCAGGAGTTCGAGACCAGCCTGGGCAACATGGCAAAACCCCGTCTCCACCAAAAAATGCAAAAATTAGATGGAGGTGGTGGCGCATGCCTGTAGTCCTCAGCTACTTGGGCGGCTGAGGCAGGAGAATCACTTGAACTTGGGAGGCAGAGGTTGCAGTGAGCCAGGATCATGCCACTGTAGTCCAGCCTGGGCAACAGAGCGAGACTCCATCTCAAAAAGAAGCAGCAGAAGGGTGCCCTGACACTAACCGGCTCAATTGGCATTGGCACAGGCCTGTCCTTCAGAACCTTGCTGGTGTTCTGTTGGCACAGGCCTGTCCTCCAGAGCTATGCTGCTGTTTTGTGCTGCCACTTGGCCCAGAGAGAAGCATCCCACCCGAATTGACCTCCTGGAGCAGCAGAGGCTGTTTCTGTTCATCCCTGAGCCACAACCACCTGACCTGCCCAGGCTCCACCAAACTCCCATGGCTCCCAGATATTCCTGTCCTGACCCCTCAACCCAGAGCTCCCCATAGCTCCAGTGAGAGAATGGGGAGGCCTTACTAGGGGACAGTTCTTGAGCCACAAGGTAGACTTCATTTTTTAAAATCTGCCTGGCATTTCACACATTGGGGTTCACAATGTATGTTTGTGAAAGGTTACTTTTTTAAAATCATCAGTTTTCTAGATTTCAGAGTCCTTTGTTTGGTAGTCTCACCAGCAGCCATTGACATTACTGTGGTTAACTACACACTTAGAAGGTTAAGCTGGTTCCCTAATAACTGCAAGAAATAAAACAGCAGTGGCAATAAGAAATGGTGAATTAATGTTCTGGAAAACATAGGTCTTACTACCCCAAATGTCCCAGGATAAAGCTTAGCAAACATACCTTCTTCATCACTTGTGTGTGTTGGCCTTCAGGATCACGACCCGCCATTGGTAAGATTCTAATTTTCTGTGTCTTTGAACTTCTATTAGCAAGTGGCAGGGTCATCTTTCTGTATGTGGCACTGTCTCTAGAGTGAGGTCTGCCAGGAAGTGGACAAAAATGTCTCACTGGTTACTAAGAACATTTGGAGGCAAGCATACTGACAGCAAAAACACCCGGGGACGAGGACCTCACACTCAGCAGACAGAGGAGGCAGGATCACAGTTCTTCCTTCTCCAGCCTCCTGAGAAGCTCCTCCCTCTGCCCCACCTCCTGGGGAAAGCTGACTGGGCTAAAGTGGGAGTGCAGTGGAAGTGAGGAGAGGCAGGTGGCAACGTCAGTCTTTTACAAAGAATATCCCCGATTGCAGTCAGAGAGAGGAGAAGAGAAGGAATATGAAATCTCAGTTTCCAGAGAGAGATGCAGATGCCAGAAGGGACAATTAGAGAACTAACAATGAGTCTCTTCATCTGGAAAAAATTGGAAGTCAAAGCAAGGAGGTAGGTCACAGTAGCAGCAGGGGCCTTATAACAGCCCAGGGGGATAATACAGCTAGACCAGGAGTCCTGGGGCGGAAAGAAATGTCTTCCTGACTATAGGAAGGCAGCTTTTAATTACGTATATCAGAGGGGAGGAGAATGATCCTTAGGGGAGTCTCTGGAAGAGAGAGCATGGCTATAAAGAGACGGGACGTCCAGAATGAGATGGTGCCAGGCAGTCAAATATTATCGCAGTGTGGAGCACAGGGGACAGTGAAAAAAAGCAAGCTCAGAATCACACGTCTTTTAGGATGCTATTCTAGGAGAGATGATTAAGAGACTGGATTGAGCACCACTCACCACTTGTGCCAGGTCTCTGTTTGATGTTCTGTGTGTTATTTGAATTCATTGATACAACATCCGTGTGCAGTAGATGTTGTTATTGCAATTTTATAGATAAGGAAGGTGGAAATTAGTGTGATTGCAACCCTTCCTCAAGATTACATAACCTCAGAGCTGTCCTTATTTATAGTCTATAAAAAGACCAACAGATTTACTGAATATGATTTACATACTATAACATCCATTCGTTTAAGTATACAACTAAACAGTTTTACAACCATGACCCCTATCTGATTTTAGAAAACTTCCACGTCCCCCAAAAGAGTGCTTGTCTTTTAAGTACTCCACCTCTGGAGGAAACCCTACTCCTAATCAACAGTACTGTGTCCTTCAGAGGGAAGGCATGGAGAAGGGGCCACAACACTGAGCTTAGCTGGCCCCAGTATCTGACTGCTTAGGCACAGGCTGCAGCAGCCTCAGGTGAGTGGAGAGCCCAGCCTGCCGGGTCTGTTGCCGGCACACACCAACACCATTCTGATGATGGCCTAGCTTCCCAGGTCAATTTCACTCCAGGGAAAGGACCTGCTGAGCAGCAGAGTTGCAAGGACAAATCCTGCAGGCTTCTTACCAAGTATACTGATCAATGTGGATTAACATACCTACATTCTGGGCTATAATCACTCTCCTGGGAATTCTGATAGGATGAACTGGCTCCCTGACAAATAGCAGCTTGGAGTAAACTTGAAAAAGGTGTATGAGAACCAGACCATGGTCCAGGGGTGAGTTGTCCTATCTCTACTTTGTTGCTCCTTAAATGCAAGTAATCGTGTCGGTGTAATAGTTACCTAAAGGTAAGTTTGGATTTAAAGACGGCTTGTCCCTGTAGACCAGTGTCTTCTCTTATAAACAGGTGGATGTAATTGCCCAGCAGCGGGGCTTTGTACACATCAAACACTTCATTGCCTAAATGCAGGGACATGCTGGAAATGAGAAATAGTTCAAATATTAGGGTGGATATTTAATGAGTCCTATGGCTTCCATTCTGCCCTGTGAGCTTTGCTTAAAATAGTGTGGAACTGCTAGATCCTGACCTCATACTGAATTCATAGGAAAAGCAGAAAAGATGCTGTAAATAACCTGTCTCCTTCCAGAGTAAAAAGTGGTAAAAATCTATCCTCTTTTTAACTTGAAATATAATTGTTTTGTAATTTTATAAATCTCTACCACTTCATTAGCAAAGCAGAAACAAGTTTTCAAAAATATCAATTTGTCATGTCTGATATCTCACCAATGGGAGCTACCTTTAGTCTTTCACATCAGTAAGGTAGACACAATGGCTTTTGTCACATCTTCAGTTCATTTCTGAAGTCTCCACCAGCACAGCTATAAGACCTCCACCCTATTTACTTCTCTCAGGTTTCCTAGGTAATTCCAGAGACCTAGATTTTTGTAAATCCTTTAGTGAAAATGACCCCAGGCTGGGCGCAGTGGCTCACTCCTGTAATCCCAGCACTTTGGGAGGCCGAGGAAGGCGGATCACCTGAGGTTAGGAGTTTGAGACCAGCATAGCCAACATGGTGAAACCCTGTCTCTACTGAAAATACAAAAATTAGTTGGGCATGGTGGCACATGCCTGTAATCCCAGCTACTCATGAGGCTGAGGCAGAATAATTGCTTGAGCCCAGGAGACGGAGGTTGCAGTGAGCCAAGATTGCACCACTGCACTCTAGCACTCCAGCCTGACAGAGCAAGAGTCTGTCTCAAAAAAAAAAAAGAAGAAAAGAAAATGACCCCAAAAGAAGTTTCTACAAAGAAAACCTCACTCATCCCAGGCCTCCCTCTTGGTATGTCAGTATTTTTCAGGCATTTTATGCTCACCTTCTGTCTGACCACTTGACCATCCGAGCATTGCTTTCTTTAATTTTATTTCCTTCTTTATCCCGGCGTATCCTCCATCTTATAGTATTTTCTACCTGGTTAAAAACCCAGAGGCATTGGTTAGTTAAACCAGTTTAGCTAACTAAATGTTCTTCTTTCTTCAAGTGATTTATAATCATGTGTAAAGACTTGATAGGTAATGATAGAAGAAGCTTACAAAAACTAACTGATTCAGCAAAACTGAAACCTACCTGCTACAAATACCTAGAGATGTTGGTTAAACTAACCAGACATTTTCTTTAAATCTTTTCTGAGCTCCAGTTCATAGCAGTGGAAGCAGGAGCTAAGTAGGACGCAGGCCAGAGGTGTTATCAAACAAAACACATGAAGAACTCCAAAGGAGAGAGCATGAGGCTTAGGGTCCACATGAGGCAGAGAGTTTAAAATGAGACCTCTGCCTATGGCAGGGCCACTTGAAGATGAACCCAATGAAAGAAGGGCTAAAAAGTGCCCCCATTCACCTAGTGAGACAGGGAAGCTCTGGGCATGAAATTACAATTTTTTAAAAAGAATAAACAACTAATTAACAAAAAATTAAAACATGAGATCGGTGCTTTGCCCTGTTTTTGAGTCTAAATTTATTCTACCCATATGGTGAACTCCAAGTCACAAAAGTAACAACAACAACAACAATTTCCCCTGCCCAATGATACCACTGGGGCCCCTGGTAGAAACTCTTAGGAAATCCTGTAGCCAGGTGTGGTGGTGTGCACTTGTAGTCCCAGCTACTCAGGAGGCTGAGGTGGGAAGATCACTTGAGCCCAGGAGTTTGAGACCGTTCTGGGCAAAACAGCGAGGCCCATCTCAAAAACAAAAACAAAAACAAAAAAAAACACACAAAAGTTTTAAATTTAAAAAAAAAAATTGTTTTAAAGGAAACCCCCTTAAGGAAGAACAACACGCCTGTGAAAGCAGTTGGTAGTACTTTGCCGTCCCAGGCCTTCAAGAGGGAACCACCTAATGACAAGGTCTCTTTTGTGCATAGTTTGAATATCCATGAAGAAAGGAGATATTTCTGTTGTGGGAAATTGCCAGGATCCACCCACTGTAAAATGTGGAGGCAATTCCATATACCTTATTATTATTTATCCTGAAGGAAGTAGCTAACAATTTTCAAAAATTTTTATCTTTACTTATGTCAAAAAAAGCATAACTGCAACCAAAAGAAGAAAGTGACAATTCTACAGGGATAAAAAAGGGCACATACCTCCTCCCGTAAAAATATTCCGAAAAGGTGTTTAATTCCTAGGTCTAAAGAGCTATTGAACAAGAATCATAAGAGGATTTCGCAAGCTCAAGTCTCAAGTTGTCATCCCTGCTTTACTTTATAAAAGGAAAAACGTAAAAAAGGAATAAAGTGTAGGATGGTACCTTTAATTTTAACCTGATTCTGTCTTCCTCGTCAAGCACTTTCTCATCTTCAAATTCATCTTCATAAAACTGAGGATCAAAAGGTCTAAAAATTGTGTTTTTAACATCATGTTAGCCATATTTAGTAAGGAATATGATTAATATTATATTTAATCATCCCCACAATGTGCCTTCATGTGTTTCCAAAAATCACAGTAGACAAATAACTTCATGTAAACCTTCAAAGAAGTATGCAAATTACCATGCTTTCTGAAATTTGTCTCTAAAACATATTGCCTGAAATGAAATTCAAATGCAACTAACAATTCAAAATGTTATTTGATGAAATATGTCTTCCAAAGTATAGGCAACAGGTCTTACTGTCTTCCCTTATTTTTTAAGAAAATGTGTTAAGCATAAGAGCTTGCATGCGTGTACCTTAGTGAATCATACCCACTGACACTATTTTGTAGTACAAAATAATTGTCTTTTCTAGATTCGCAATGGATTTTGCATTAAACATTTGTAATTTTTTTTTTTTTTTAGACAGAGTCTCACTCTGTTACCCAGGCTGGAGTGCAGTGGCAGAACCTCGGCTCACTGCAACCTCCATCTGCTGGATTTAAGAGGTTCTTACGCCTCAGCCTCCCAAGTAGTTGGGATTACAGGCGTGCGCCACCATGCCTGGCTAATTTTTGTATTTTTAGTAGAGACAGGGTTTCACCATTTTGCCCAGGCTGGTCTCAAACTTCTGACCTCAAGTGATCTGCCCGCCTCAGCCTCCCAAAGTGGTGGGATTACAGGCATGAGCCACCGCACCTGGCCAGAACATTTGTGATTTCTCTAGCAGACTTTCTCACTCTTGTTTTCTGATTTGTCAGCTTTATACCAGTGAAAAACACCTTCATCCATTGTGATCTGTTTATGTAAAAGAAAGTGCCAAAATGCTAGAAAAATTATTAGCATTAAAATTCTCTCTCACCAGTGATTCATTTTTCTACCACAGCACATCCTAGATTTATATTTTTCAAAGTTATATGAGAAATTTCCCATCTTTGTGATTAGTCAACTCATGACAAATAAGAAAAAATATTTATTCTACGCATTTTTTTTAATATCTTGAAAATTTTAATCAGTCCTCTTACTTGGGTTCTATACTGAGAAACTTGGGTAGTTTAACAAAATACAATTCATTTCCTAAATCAGAGTTGATACTGGGAATTTCTTCTTCTATTATGGTTTCAGAAATTGGCTCTTCCTCCTGCTGGTCCTGAGGCACTCCATGTTCATCCTAAGAAAGGTATCAGAATGTGAGAGATTGAAGACATTAGAAATGTGCTAGCTTTACTCATCCTGCACTAGGCAGATGCAGGTTTGACGGGAAGTAAATTTTTTTTTTGATATGGAGTTTTCACTCTGTCACCCAGGCTGGAGTGCAGTGGCATGATCTCGGCTCGCTGCAACCTCCATCTCCCGGGTTCAAACCATTCTCCTGCCTCAGCCTCCTGAGTAGCTGGGATTACAGGCCCGTGCCACCAAGCCTGGCTAATTTCTGTATTTTTAGTAGAGACGGGGTTTCACCATGTTAGTCAAGCTGGTCTCAAACTCCTGACCTTAGGTGATGTGCCCACCTTGGCCTCCCAAAGTGCTGGGATTATAGGCGTGAGCCACCACCCCTGGTTGGGAAGTAAATTTACACTCCACTTTAGGGATAAAACAGTCAGCAACTCTTCCAAGCTTCTCCCTAAAACCTCACCTCATGCCTACAAAAAAGCAAAACAGGCTGGGCGCGGATTACTGGCTCACGCCTGTAATCTTAGAGACTTCGTCTCAAAAAAAAAAAAAAAAAAAAGGAAGACAAAACAAAACAAATAAAACACAGGAAAACAAGATCTGTTAGCCAACATTAGTAGAAAAAAGTATCTATTTTATTGACTTTTTTGCATAATATATTCAGCAACAGAAGTATGAAATTATTCACCCCATCAATACTAGACAACTATTAAAATCAGAATATCAGCATAGCTCATGCTTCTTGTCATAGGCTTGAATAAGAAAAAACTTTAAATCAAAGGTTTTTATATTACATATTAATTATATTTTTATATTATTTTATATTAGTCTAGCCCCTAAAGTTTGGCATCACCCTTATTCTGGGTAGTTCCTTCTGTGCCTTCTTATATCCAGAAATTCCCAATATAGCTAAGAAAGTCACCTATTCATCAGATGTTCAGCTATCCACGTCCTCTCTCAACATGAGAAAGACAGATTCATCAGCCTCTGAAGCTTTCTTTTTTAGCTTTGAATAATGGGATTGGTTGATATTGGTGATCGTACTTACAATCAGCTGTCCTGGAATAGGTGGTTGATTGCCCTCATCACTCTCAGAAGAAACGTCGTCTATATCTCCAAACAGATCCATGGTCCCACTAGGATCTTCGGTGTTGGGGGGAAATGCACAGTATTAATTTTTCCAACTAAAGTTCTTTACACAGTTAGTTCTTGGTCCACCACTTCAACATAGTCCAAAGATTCATAAGCCAAATCTCCACTAAACCAACCTCAAACTGGCTCCCTAAGCCAGGTTCTCAGAAGCTTAACTAACTAGCGTGTCTTTGGAGAAAGGAGGAGGCAGAGTTGGTGGGTGAAAGGTAATCACTGTGGCAGCCAGCTTTCAAGGTTCCTGCCCATCCTAGTGATTCCTGCCTCTGGTTTCCATGCCCTTGTGTGGTCTCCTCCAACACTGTGTCATGATTGATCTATGTGATCAGCAGAATACAACCTGTATTCGAGATGAGGCTATGAAAGACACTGGCTTTTCTGTCTTGCTCTTTCTGTCTTAGGTCACTTGCTCTGGGGAAAGCCACCTGCCATGCCGTGAGGACATTCAAACTGCCTATGGAGAGGTCCACATAGTGAAAAACTAAGGCCCCTGCCAAAACCCATGTGAGCCATCTTGGAAACAGATCCTTCAGCCCTAGGCAAGCCCTTAGATAATGTAGTGCCAGCCAACATCTTGACAGCAGCCTGCAAGAGACTCTGAGTTAGAAACAACCAGCGAAGCCATTCCTGAATTCCTAATCCTCAGAATCAGCATGATAATAGTAAATGCTTATTGTAAGTGCTGAGTTTGAGAGTGATTTGTTTTTATGTTTTTTTTTTTCTTTTTTTTTTTTTTTTTTTTTTGAGACAGGGTCTCACTTCGTCAACCAGGCTAGAGTACAATGGTGCGATCTCGGCTCACTGCAACCTCTGCCTCCCAGGTTCAAGCAATTCTTCTGCCTCAGCCTCCCAAGTAGCTGGGACTGTAGACACACACCACCATGCCCGGCTAATTTTTGAATTTTTAGTAGAAACAGGGTTTCACCATGTTGGTCAGGCTGATCTGAAACTACTGTCTTCAAGTGATCCACCCGCCATGGCCTCCCAAAGTGCTGGGATTACAGGTTTGAGCCACTGTGCCCGACCAGTTCTTTAGAGAAGTTTTACTAGTGTTTACCCTTTAAAAAGCTTAAGGTTCTATAAAAATGTTACGAACCTTTCCTAAATTCCTGGCTTTTAAAAGTGATGCATCCATAAGTGAGCCTAAGTACACAAACTTGTGGCATCAGGAGCCAGGGCCAAAATGTGTGCATTACTAGAACATGAAAAGCACCATTGCTTAGGGCTATCTTCCTAGTTACAATGTCTGAGTCATGGCCAGATGTGGTGGCTCATGCCTGTAATCCCAGCACTCTGGGAGGCTGAGGTGGGTGGATCACCTGAGGTCAGGAGTTGAGACCAGGCTGGTCAACATGGCGAAACCCTATCTTTACCAAACTTACAAAAATTAGGCAGGCGTAGTGGCACATGCCTGTAATCCCAGCTACTCAGGAGGCTGAGGCACGAGAATTGCTTGAACCCAGGAGGTGGAGGTTGCAGTGAGCCGAGATGCAGAGCGAGACTCCGTCTCAAAAAAAAAAAAAAAAAATTGCAAGTCAGTAAGTTAGTGAATAGCTAGATGCATAATTTGTACAATTTTATAAAGTTTAAGAAAAAGACATTTGCAATGGAGTTATGCTGACTCTTTTCCCTTGTTTGAATCCCCCAAACTGTCACAAAGTATATTTGATGGTAGCTTTGATTGTGATTGTGGCTGTCTAACAAAGACATCTGTTAACCAACACCTGCCAGGGCTCCCGGCTGAAATATGTAGCAACAAAGGAGCAAAATTCTGAACCAAAACAGAAAGAGTGCTTAACAGCATTTCACAACAGTGCTGCTCAGGACCAGCCCAACACTGAATGTATCTGCACTGTGCAAGAATGTTCATAGAAGCCTATGTTGTCCATATTTATCCACAATTGTGTCATATCTTTTTTTATTTTTTATTTTATTTTATTTTTTGAGACGGTGTCTCACTCTGTCGCCCAGGCTGGAGTGCAGTGGCACGATCTTGGCTCACTGCAAGCTCCACCTCCTGGGTTCAAGCAATTCTCCTGCCTCAGCCTCCGTAGCAGCTGGGATTACAGGCACCTGCCACCACACACAGCTAATTTTTGTGTTTTTAGTAGAGACGGGGTTTCACCATGTTGACCAGGCTGGTCCTGAACTGCTGACCTCAAGTAATCCACCTTCCTCGGCCTCCCAAAGTGCTGGGATTACAGGTGTGAGCCACGACACCCAGCCTAATTTGTGTCAAATCTTAAATCATTTGGCAAAGTACACATGAGCACATAGTATTTCATTCAGTTGGAGTTTCTTGGGTGTTTTCTTTAAGGTATTTGCAGTTGCTGCCCCTTTCTTGAACTCTGAGTACTAGAATCTTTTTAATTCTCAATATGAGTGGAGGTTTTTAGCTATAAATTAAATAGGAACTTGGCCTGCATAGCCACTGTGTATGGCCCAGAGCTGAGCAGACAGCCATAGTCATTTTATTATTTGCATACTGGGGACTAAACAAATGAGTAAATAAATTGAGGATATTTGAAACCAGGCTTTTTGCTTTTGGAGAAGGGGACAGAAGAGGCAATTCAGTAGGAGTCTGTATTAAGGGAGTCTGAGCCACCTAAACAAGAAACCTTCTCATGCCTTCTGGACCTCATTGGGCCGAGACAATAGATTGGTAAAAGACTGCCATACATACGCCCAATCTTACGGCTTCCTGGGACAGAAAATGCCCAGTTCATTCTGAGAAGCTCAGCCTGTGTAGTTACTTGATGTTCCATGATTAAGTGTTAAAAGGGCCTGTCTAGGCTGGGTGCGGTGGCTCTCGCCTGTAATCCCAGCACTTTGGGAGGCCGAGGCGGGTGGATCACAAGGTCAGGAGATTGAGACCATCCTGGCTAACATGGTGAAACCCTGTCTCTACTAAGAAAGTACAAAAAAATTAGCTGGGCGTGGTGGCAGGTGCCTGTAGTCCCAGCTACTCGGCAGGCTGAGGCAGAAGAATGGCGTGAACTCGGGAGGCAGAGCTTGCAGTGAGCCGAGATCGCACCACTGCACTCCAGCCTGGGGGTAGAGCAAGACTCCATCTCAAAAAAAAAAAAAAAAAAAAAGGGACTGTCTACAAAAGAGGACATGGATATGTTTCAAATCCCTAGAGACCTGTACTCAGTTCTCTTGCTGATTCTAACCGCAGGGTTCAGACAGCAGTGATATTTGCCACAAACACACTGAGCATTATCAGATATGCTGGGTTATTAGGCCAAAGTGGAAGAGCAGTTTGCCCTGTAGCCTGGAATTACTGCAGAACAGTCTCTTATTCTGGTCCTCACTTTAAACAGGTAGCATCTCTGCCTTACTTGGCAAAAGGTCAAAGTAGCATAATGAAATAAAGTGTACGTTGGCTCCTAAATCCAGAAAGATCCACCAAACATTCTTTTGCACTGGTAGGTGGTTTAAGGTACAGCACCTTATCCTTCATTTTGGAGGGGCTATCCAGACATGCTCCAGACCATTAGTCCCCCAGAAACTTCACTGAGGTGGCATGCCCCTAAATTTTGATGGGGATTATCTCCCACTCTCTGGTTTGCACGCTGATTACTAAGGCATCTAAAGTACAGTTATTTCCTACTCATCAGATCAGATACCATCAGCATAATGTCATCAATGCAGTGGACCAGTGTGACATGGGGAACATAAAGATGGTCACGATTTTTGCAGACTCCATATGCAAAGTATTATAGGTAAGTCCATGTAGCTGTGAGGCAAGACTGTTGCCTCAGACCAAAGGGGCTTCATTGGTCTAATAAGGGGTACCATTGGTCTAATGAGGGGTGCCATTGGTCTAAAAAGTAAAAGCAAACTGTTTCTATTTGTCATTACATATTAATATGGAGGGGAAAAAAGCATTTGCCCAGGCTGGTCTTGAACTCCTGACCTCAGGTGATCCACCCACCTCGGCCTCCCAAAGTGCTGGGATTATAGGCGTGAGCCACCACACCTGGCCCTGCCTACAGCTTTTGAAGGATACATGTCCTCCTCTGCTTAATATATTTCTCACAATTCTAGTGACCCAGCCTGGGTGAGAGTGAGACTGTCTCAAAAAAAAAAAAAAAAAAAAAGCAGCCGCTAGTATAGTCATTATTTGATTCGGTGTAAGATAACCAGTCATTTCCAAGATCAATCTGCCAATAGGCCATACAGGTGAGCTAAATTAGGGATGTGGCCGGGTGCAGCGGCTCATGCCTGTAATCCCAGCACTTTGGGAGGCTGAGGCAGGCAAATCATCTGAGGTCAGGAGTTCTAGAGCAGCTTGGCCAACATGGTGAAACCCTCCCTCTACTAAAAATATAAAAAAACTAGCCAGGCATGGTAGCCTGTGTCTGTAATCCCAGCTACTCGGGAAGCTGAGCCAGGAGAATCACTTGAACCTGGGAGGCGGAAGTTGCAGTGGGCTGAGGTCGCACCACTGCACTCCAGGCTGGGCAATGGAGTGAGACTCCGTCTCAAAAATAAGTAAATAAGGAGCGAGACTCTGTCTCATAAATAAAGAAATAAAATAATGAATAAATAAATGGGGGATATAAGAGGTCTCATCACCTCTGCTTCTTTCAAGTCTTTGATGGTATCATTCATCTTTGCAATTCCCCCAAGCATGCAGTGTTGTTTTTGCTTTATTATCCTGGTGAGAAAAATAAGTTCCAGGGGCTTCCACTTGGTCCTTTCTACTTTAATGGTGCTTCATGGATCAGAAGACAATGTGGGGAATCTCTCAGTTGACAAAATATATCTACTCCAATCATGTATTTAAGAACTGGGGAAACAACCACAAGGTGGGTCAGTAAATCTGGAGGGCATACTGTGAGTTGAACTTGGGCTAAAACTCCATCTATCACCTGACCACTGTCAGTCTCCACTTTGTATTTAGTGGAGTGTTTTAGGTTCTAGGAGTGAGCATCAACTGAGCCAGCATCTAGTAATCCCCCAGTTCTGGGTATTTCCTTTCCCCAGTTTGTAGTCTACTCTAGTAAATGAGATAATCTGACTCATTGTGATACCAGTGGACACCATGGGCTACCAGCATCCCTTCTCATTGGTGGGGAGCTCAGAACTGCACTCAAACCCACACCAACTCCTAAACTCCATCTTTGAGGATTCGTTTCCTTGACCACCTAGTCAGGTTCTAGTCAGGAAACAGAAAACACACCAGTTATCTGTACAGATAGAATATTTTAAAGTTCAATTCGGTTTAAAGTTGTGGACTAGGTTATTGAAAGTATAAAAAGAGGAACTCTAAGAGTTCACAGAGATAGCATATGCAAAGAACAGCTTCCACCTGTGGGGCTGAGGGAACATAGGGACGAGGGGGGATTATAAAAACTTAAACACTTACATAAAGGGCCCCCTGGAGCTTAACTCATACCTGAGGAAAAGCTGCTGCCCAGCTGGTCCGGATGTCTCTCAGGGGAGAAAATGAAGCCGGGTCTCCAAGTGCTGGCAAAACTGCAAACTGGACTCTGCAGCTGCAGAAAGGCTCTGCCTCTGCTGAGGTGAAGAAGTGTTGGTGGGTCCTCTCACAGAAAATGGCAAGTCAACAGGAAGCCCCCCAGAAAGTTCCATAAGCAAACAGGAAGGAGCAATCCCTTCTTAGTTCTCCAGGCTTCCAGTCTTCCTTTGGCGCCCCCTAATAGGGGGCAGCTGGTGAAGCTCAAATCTGGTTTGTGGACTCCTGGCCCCAGCACCACCATGCCAGGTACAGAAGAGTAGGTTTGGAGACGAGACAAGAGCTTAACAACTGACACAGGTGTCTACTGGTAAAATGTTTAACACAAACACACAAAACTGTGTTGCCTTGGAGAGACTGGAGTCAGAATGAAGGCTCTTAAAAACCAGGTAGAGGAGTTTCCATTTGATTAGCCAGGAAATAGCTGGCACTGAAGATTTCTGAGTTAGGAAAGTGACATGATGATGACTTAGGCCTCCCTTCTCTTGATGTCACTTTTCTTTCTCTATAACCAGGCTTCAGGATAAGCCTCCCACAACTACCACTCCCAGTTTGGACTAATAGCACCAGGAAGAAAGAAGAGTAAAAGTAGAGGCTGTCAGTAAGGACAAGATTAGTGTATGCAGAAGAGCTCCACAGAGAAGGCAAATATGTGTGTGGTGGATTTCAAACGTACCTGCAAATCCTTTGCCATTCTTCCCATCAAGAGGAATCAAATTCCCGTCCCTTTGTATTTTTTGTTTTTTAAGACAGAGTCTCACTCTTGTCACCCAGGCTGGAGTGCAGTGGCAGGATCTCAGCTCACTGCAACCTCCGCCTCCCAGATTCAAACAATTCTCCTGCCTCAGCCTCCCGAGTAGCTAGGATTACAGCCACGCGCCACCATGCCCGGCTAATTTTGTATTTTTAGTAGAGACAGGGTTTCACCGTGTTAGCCAGGATGGTCTCGATCTCCTGACCTCAGGTGATGTCCACCTTGGCATCCCAAAGTGCTAGGATTACAGGCATGAGCCGCTGCGCCCGGCCCAGATCCCATCTTTATTTAAAATTTTGACATTTTGTTCATTATGGATTTTTTGACATTAATTTTGAATACAATATTTTAACAATTATATTACAACAATATCATCGTTATCATTGTGGATCAAATAGTGACCTACCCCCCCACCCCCCGCCGAATCCATGTCTACCCACAACTTCAGTATGTGACCTTATATGGAAACAGAGAATTTTGCACATGTAATTAGTTAAAATGATATCACACCAGATTAGAGTTAAATCCAATGAATAGTGTCCTTACAAACAGAGGGAGATCTGGAGATACTGAGACCCGGAACAGAGACACAAGGAAGGTCATGTGAAGACAGAGGCAGAGACTGAAGTCATACTGTCAAAAGCCACAGATCACCAGGAACTACCAGAAACTGAGAGGCAAGGAAGGATCCCTGTCAAGAATCTTCAGAGGCAGCATGGCCGTCCCACACCTTGATTTTGGACTCCAAGTCTCCAGAATTGTGAGAGAATCTCAGCCTGGCCCAGAAGGCTTCTTTGTGGGGAATGAGAGGAAGGGGGTTGAGAGAGCAGCAGGAATTCACTGAGACCTAAGACTTTGTTTGTTTAAAGCATTAACAAAATCAGTTCGCTTTGGGAAAAGTAGATTTTTTTTTTTTTTTGAGACAGAGTCTTGCTCTGTCGCCAGGCTGGAGTGCAGTGGCGCGATCTCGGCTAACTGCAACCTCTGCCTCCTGGGTTCAACCAATTCCCCCGCCTCAGCCTCCCGAGTAGCTGCGACTACAGGCACCCGCCACCACGACCTTGTGATCCACCTGCCTCGGCCTCCCGAAGTGCTGGGATTACAGGCATGAGCCACCGCGCCTGGCCGGAAAAGTAGATTTCTTAAACATAGAGACTTGCTTTTAAATTGTTTTATTACAATTAAAATTACACAAAAGCAAATCGATTCATTTCAATCAAAATAACTCATGTTTACATATTTATAACTGTACAATAAAATATATAAAATGTTTTCATATTTCATACTTCAATCATCATCTTCTTCCTCTTCATCGCTGATCACATACTTCTTATGCTTTTTATTTGCTTTATCATCATCTTCTGCTTTTCTCTTTCCGGAAGGTTCACCTTCCTAAACAGATACAATTTTTACAAATCTACAAGTCAATAAAGAACATTTTTAGGATGGTTTATGAAAAGTAGCTATGAGCTGAATGACCCTCTGACAACTCAAAGTAACGGTTCCTGCAGGTTGTGAGGGAGATTGTGAGGTGTCAGCAACTGTGAACTAATCTCTCACAGGGAAACCTTTGAACACAGAGTAGGATGTGCAGGAAACTGGAGACAGGATTTGCCACAGAAGGGGCGGGGCTCTCCCGAGGAAGTTCTGCCTGTCTAACCACTGGTCCTGTCAGGATATTTTTACCATGATCAGGTAATTTCTCAAATTTTTTTTCTCTGCCTCCTCAGCATTTCACTTCTTTTCATTATCTAAAATTCAGTATTTTAAAGACTGTTGATTTGGTTTTTTTGGAACAATTTGTTTCAATGCATTAAAAACATCATAAAGGTTTTTAAGAAAATATTTGATGACATTAAAGGGCATCTATAAACAAGTTTCCTCTGTTTAAAATCATTCTGTACAAACGTTCTAACAGAAACAAATAATTTAGGAAGTTACCTAAAAAACATTTTTTACAGATAGATAGAATTTGAACATGTCAGTATCTAAATATCAAATACTGATTAAAACAAACTGACACTAAATGGGATGGGCCGGGCATGATGGCTCATGCCTGTAATCCCAGCACTTTGGGAGGCCAAAGGGGGTGGATCACCTGAGGTCAGGAGTTTGAGACCAGACTGGCCAACATGGCAAAACTCCATCTCTACTAAAAATACAAAAATTAGCCAGGTGTGGTGGCGCACGCCTGTAATCCCAGCTACTCGAGAGACTGAGGCAGGAGAATCACTTGAACCCAGGAGGCGAAGGTTGCAGTAAGCTGAGATCGCACCACTATACTCCGGCCTGGGCAACAGAGCAAGCAAGACTCCGTCTCAAAAATAAATAAATAAATAAAAATTAAAAATTAAATGGGATGAACAAATGGTTTGAAGGTTGAAGTTAGGGAAAGCCAGACATCTTGCTGCTGTGACCACAGGCTGCTAGATGGAGAATGCAACCTGGTATGCCCACTTTTTTCTGATGGTTCTCATGGCTGGCCCTCTGACAGACAAGATAGCATCTCACACTTGTTTCCTGCCTTATTATCCCAAATACATTCCCACAGACCTGAAAGGCCATAGAATTCAAAGGGGGGAAGTTATGAATCCACAGTAAGGTATTTAGAGAAGTCCTCCTCCTCCATTTACTTCCCAGCTGACAGCAGTGAAATACCTAAACAGCAATATTGAAAGATGGACCCTGCCCCCAAGAAGGGACAAGAGCCCCTCCTTTCTATTCTGCAGGCTAGAGCAAACCCAAATACTCCCAGCGCCACAGGCAAAGAGCACATTCAATCACACTACTTGTCTTTTAATTTCCAAAGGAAAAATCTTAAAACGTTTTACATGCAATCACTATTTTTTGGTAACCTTCCAAAAGTGAGCCTTGGTGTGTTTGTCTTTTCAGCTCTAAAATCCTTTAATGAGATGAAATTTGAATCACTAAAAGAACTAGCATGGTAATTCTAAAAGATGGTACAGCCTGTCCTAAAGGCCCCTGGACAGCAGCAGCCAGGAGATGGCCAGGGCTCTCCCAAAGAAGTCTCACTGGCACCAGTCCTAATCCATCCTCTGGAGTAAGAAGCTGTGAAATTCTGCTTTAGAAAGCCTGCCAAGGACCGGCCGGGCGCGATGGCTCACGCCTGTAATCCCAGCACTTTGGGAGGCCAAGGCGGGCAGATCACGAGGTCAGGAGTTTGAAACCAGCCTGACCAAGACAGTGAAACCCCGTCTCTACTAAAAATACAAAAAATTAGCCAGGCGTGGTGGCGCATGCCTGTAATCCCAGCTACTCAGGAGGCTGAGGCAGGAGAATCACTTGAACCCAGGAGGTGGAGGTTGCAGTGGGCAGAAATCACACCACTGCTCTCCAGCCTGGGCGACAGAGGGAGACTCCGTATCAAAAAAAAAAAAAAAAAAAAAAAAGGTTGGGCGTGGTGGCTCACGCCTGTAATCCCAGCACTTTGGGAGGCCGAGGTGGGCAGATCACGAGGTCAGGAGTTCAAGACCAGCCCAGCCAACATGGTGAAACCCCATCTCTACTAAAACTACAAAAAAATTAGCCAGGCGTGATGGCGGGCACCTGTAATCCCAGCTACTTGGGAGGCTGAGGCAAGGGAATTGCTTAAACCCGGGAGATGGAGGTTGCAGTGAGCTGAGACCACACCACCACACTCCAGCCTGGGCGACAGAGCGAGACTCCGTCTCAAAAAAAAAAAAAGGCCTGCCAAGGACTGACTTCTCTGGCAGCTACACATAAGCACAGAAAAACACAGCAAAGGGAATGGGTGCAGTGGCTCATACCTGTAAACGCAGGGCTTTGGGAGGCCAAAGTGGGAGGATCACTTGAGGCCAGGAGTTTGAGTGAGACCAACCTGGGCAACATGGTAAGACATTTTGTCTTTACCAAAAAAAAAAATTATAATTGCTACAAAAAAAAATTTTTAATAAAATAAATAATAAGGCCGTATGTGGTGGCTCGTGCCTATAATCCTAGCACTTTGGGAGGCTGAGGCGGGCAGATCACTTGAGGTCAGGAGTTAGAGACCTGCCTGGCCAACATGGTGAAACCCTGTCTCTACTAAAAATACAAAAATTAGCCAGGCATGGATTTGGAGGCTGAGGCAGGAGAATCACTTGAACCCAGGAGGCAGAGTTTGCAGTGAGCTGAGATCGCGGCGCTGCACTCCAGTCTGGGCAACAGAGCAAGACTCCATCTCAAACAAACAAACAAACAAATAAATAAATAAATAAGCAAGCCAGCCAGCCAGCCATCACACAGAGCAAAGGTATATAGTTCCTCAGACTCCCAGGACTTAGAAAGGTGAGAGAATCCTTCAGGATGACTTCATTTTTGTGAAATTACACATGTGGGATGCTGCCTTACTGAACATAACTGCAACAGATCCCAGTGTCATATATAAATGCAGTAAATGACAAAAATATTTTTATTAAGTCTAAAAGAAAGCTTGCTAATACAGTCATGAATGCAGGTCCCTGTAGATACAGAAAAAGACAGTCCACAGTTATGAAGATAAGGCAGGGTTGTCAAAGGGGAAATGGAGTCTCAAGAGGGAGAGCTGGAGAAAGAGACACAGAGGGGAGGCTGCCTGACATCACATTCTGAGTAATCCTTCACAGAACGTACCTGTTTTGTCTAAGAAAGCTGAGGGTTGGCCTTGATACCTCTCCTTTCCACTGTCTCCATGTTTCTTTCAGCTTGGGTCTTTCCCTTTTCCCAGACTCCTGGAGAACAGAGTACCGGCACACACTTTCTCCCCCTACCTATTTATCTAGATCTTTGAGGTAATTTAGATTTTGTAAAGTTTTAACTACTTAAAAAAATGAGGGAGAATAAAAAGCTCTCTTTTACATTTTTCTTCTTTTTGGTAACTTAGACTCTGTTGGAAAAGGGGAAATAGTATTTCTTGTTCAGCTACTACATATTGTGTTACTTTCAAATCTGTTGTTTTTAATACTGTAATGCAACATTTTTACAAGACAGCGAGTATAAACTCCATTGATCAGATGAGGAAATAGAGATATGAGATGACTGGCCCAAGGCCATACAAGTGGGAAAGGGTAGCACCAAAATCGATGCAGTTCACTCTAATATAGACTGGCCCTTGCCCCCATTTCAAGGCATGCTATGATGATAATGGTGTTCTCTGGACTGGGGACCTGGGGTCTGAAAACTCCCTTTAATCTCAGAGGCATACCTAGGCTCCTGGTGTTTGAGTGGGCTTTAGTGTGCAAAGCACAGAGAGGGACTTAGAACAGGAATGCTCCCATTCCTTATTCCATTGTAACCCATTACCAGGACTCAAACTAGGGTACCATGAAGAGGCAATGGCAGGGGTTGAGAGGTCCAGACGGAAGTAAAATTTTTGTTGTCAGGGAAGGAAAGGGAAGAGTGCAGGAAGACCTGAAAGAGAGTATTTGGGTAAGGGAGGTAGAGGATGGTTCCTGTAACAGCTAGGTGGCCATTCCCAAGAGGCATTTTTAAGTCAGGCAGTGTAGGTTTGCAACTGCCCAGCCTAGAAGAAGGCTATCTGATGGATCACTTAAAAAAAAAAAAATCACTTCTGAGAATACTAGGAATAAACAAACAGAAGTCCCATGACACTTCTCAATTTTCATTCACAGTTTCTACTTGCCAAGAAAAAAATAGCATCTGCTTAGATGAGGACTCACATTTGCCTGTTGTTCAGCACTGTAAATGCATCATTAAGATGTTGCCTCATCTAATTTAAAACAAATACGTTGCAGAACAATGAAACAAATTTTGGCCAGGTGCGGTGGCTCATGCCTGTAATCCCAGCACTTTGAGAGGCCGAGGTGGGTGGATCACCTGATGTCAGGAGTTCCAGACCAACCTGACCAACATGGCAAAACCCTGTCTCTACTAAAAATACAAAAATTAGCTGGGCGTGGTGGCAGGTGCCTATAATCCCAACTACTAGGAAGGCTGAGGCAGGAGAATTGCTTGAACCCAGGAGGTGGAGGTTGCAGTGAGCCAAGATGGCACCACTGCAATCCAGCCTGGGCAACAGAATGAGACTTTGTCTCAAAAAAAAAAAAAAAACCAAAAAAAAAACAACAAACAAATTTTGTCTAGTGCCAGGCACAGTGGCTCACGCCTGTAATCCCAGCACTTTGGGTGGTTGAGGTGAGAGGATCCCTTGAGCTCAGGAGTTTGAGACCAGCTTGGGCAACAAAGTGAGACCCTCTGTGTATAAAAAATAGACTGGGCGTGGTGGTTCACACCTGTAATCCCAGCACTTTGGGAGACCAATGCGGGCAGATCATGAGGTCAGCAGTTCAAGACCAGCCTGGCCAACATAGTGAAACCCCATGTCTACTAAAAATACAAAAAACTAGCCAGGCGTGGTGGCGGGCACCTGTAATCCCAGATACTTGGGAGGCTGAGGCAGGAGAATCGCTTGAATTCGGGAGGCGGAAGTTGCAGTGAGCCAAGATCACGCCACTGCACTCCAGCCTGGGCGACAGTGTGAAAATCCATCTCAAAAATAAATAAATAAATAAAATAAAATAAATTTAAAAATAGGCTAGGCACAGTGGCTCACACCTGTAATCCCAGCACTTTGGGAGGCTGAGGCAGGTGAATCACAAGGTCAGGAGTTCGAGACCAGCCTGGCCAACATGGTGAAACCCCGTCTCTACTAAAAGTACAAAAATTAGCCAGGCATGGTGGCATGTGCCTGTAATCCCAGCTACTTGGGAGGCTGAGGCAGGAGAATCGCTTAAACCTGGGAGATGGAGGTGGCAGGGAGCCGAGATCGCACCACCGCACCCCTGCCTGGGCAACAGAGTGAGACCCTGTCTCAAAAAAAAAAAGAAAGAAAGAAAGGCATGATAACAATGTATTAGCAAGACAGAATATCACTAAAGTGAGAGAAGTGATTAAAAAAAAAAAAAAAAAGGTACCAAATGGGAATTCTTACACTGAAAGGGTAACTGAAATGAAATGTGACCAGAACAGCACAATAGTAGATTTGAACTAGGATCAGCAGACTTGATGGATCGACAGAGATTATGCAATCTGAAGAACGGAGAAAACAGAATGAAGAAAAATGAATAGTCCCAGAGAAATGTGAGACACCACTAAACACACCAACATACACCTAATGGGAATGGCAGGAGAGGACAGAAAACAGCAGAAAAAATATTAAATGAAACAGTGACTGAAAACTTCCCAGATTTGTTGAAAAACATTACCCTACACATCCAAGAAACTCAACAAATTGCAAGTAGAATAAATGCAAAGAGAACCACGTGCAGATACATCACAGTAAAAATGCTGAAAGACAGAAAACTTCCTGAAAGCAGCTAGAGAAAAATGACTTGTCACATGCAAGGGAATCTCAAGACGATAAAGAGCTGGCTTCTCATCAGAACAATGGAGGGCAGAAGGCAGAGGATGGCATATTCAAAGTGCCAAAAGAAATCACCATTAGAAAGCTCATTTTTCAATAATAATAATGGAAGCCAAAAATCTCCTGAAAGAAAATTGCCCTAAAATTGCACAACCACTGAAAATGTTTCAAGAGGGTAAAATATATTTCAGATAAAGATACCAAAGAAGAAAATAGGAATTTCAGCTACATAGCTTTACAAAGGTACCAGTTAGGGTAAAGGATAGAAATAAGAATTTTTAAAAAATTATTTATAATTTTTAATTGCTAATAATCATGCTGTCTGGTACATTACTGATTTACTCCTGAATGAAACTTAAGGGAAGTCCTTATCTTAGAGAGTTTAGGCCTACTTGTCAGAGAACAAACTGAAATGGTCAACAGTCTGTTTCCATGTGCCTTTTAACAATTCCAATTTCATCACATTTTGAAATAGTAATGATATCTTCATAATATAAATATATACTTTTCATATATACTATGTGTAATAAAACTTTATATTAATTTATACACATGATATGATATAAAATTTTAACTTTACAGCAACGCTGAGAGAAAAATGAGGTTCAGAAAAGCCAGACATTTAAGATAAAAGATTTCAGTGGTAGAAGCAGGATTCCAACCTAGGTAGTCTTTTAAGACTCCAAAGCCTCTACTCTCTCAGCTCTGCTATGCTACCTTGATCTATAGATACCTGGGAAACAGGTAAGGCCATTATTTCACAGGCACAATCAACATACTCTCAACAAAGCAGTCAGTGATCCTACTAAGAGTTAAATCATATCTTCTCTCCTCTGCTGAAAACTTCCAATGAAAACCACTCAGAATAAAAAACCAAAATAAAACAGTCCATCGCAGTGGCTTATGCCTGTAATCCCAGCACTTTGGGAAGTTGAGGCAGGCACACTGCTTGAGCCCATGAATTCGGGACCAGCCTGGGCAACATGCTGAAACCCCATCTCTACAAAAAATACAAAAAAAAAAAAAAAAAGCCTTACAAATGGTGTGAGGCCCTAGGTGACCTGGCCCTATCATATTTCTGCCCTCTTCCTCTCACTCACAAGGCTCCAGCTTCAGCCTCTGTGCTTTCTTCACACATGCCAGGCAGGTTCCCACCTCAGGGCCTATGCACTTCCTAATTCTGCATGCAACACTCTCCAGAGAGCTGAAGAGTTCACTGTCACTACCTTCAGACGTTTACTCAAAGATCACCATTCCAGTGAGAGCTTCCCTGAACAGCATTTCTAAAAGTATAACATCCCAACTCCCAAGACCCCCCAGAGCATTCTCTATATCGTTTTCCTGCATAATTTGTCTCCTTATCACTTTTCACCATCTGTTATACCATATATAGTATTTTACTTTATATAGTATTTCACTGGTATAATGAAAACTTTAAATTTCTCAGTATCTCCACATCACCCAGTGGGGTGTTAAATACTCACTGGAGTGTTAAGAAAAAGAGGCCAGGCGCACTGGCTCACGCCTGTAATCCCAACACTTCGGGAGGCTGAGGCAGGCAGATCACAAGGTCAGGAGATTGAGACCATCCTAGCTAACACAGTGAAACCCCATCCCTACTAAAAATACGAAAAATTAGCCAGGCATGGTAGCAGGCGCCTGTAGTCCCAGCTACTCGGGAGGCTGAGGCAGGAAAATGGCATGAACCCAGGAGGCAGAGCTTGCAGTGAACCGAGATCACGCCACTGCACTCCAGCCTGGGCAACAGAGCGAGACTCTGTCTTAAAAAAAAAGAAAAAGAAAAATTCTCAGGGCCTATTCTCTTATAATATGAAAAAGATGCTGTTTAAAAATAAGATAAAATATTTTTAAATTATCTTGAAATAATTTATGTCAATAATAAATGAAAATTTATTTCAATTTATTAAATTACTCAATACAATTTCAAATACTTTTTGAGATGGAGTTTTACTCCTGTTGCCCAGGCTGGAGCACAATGGCGCGATCTCGGCTCACTGCAACTTCCACCTCCCAGGTTCAGGCAATTCTCCTGCCTCAGTCTCCTGAGGCTGAGAGTAGCTAGGATTACAGGCATGCGCCACCACGCCCTGCTAATTTGTATTTTTAGTAGATACGAGGTTTCTCCATGTTGGTCAGGCTAGTCTCGAACTCCCAACCTCAGGTGATCCGCTTGCCTCGGCCTCCCAAAGTGCTGGGATTAACAGCCATGAGCCACCATGCCCGGCCAAATACTGTTTCATCTAAATAAAAAGAAAATAGGTTTTCCCAACATAAGAATGAAATCATTTTCTTTTTTTTTTTTTGAGACAGGGTCTCACTCTTTTGCCTAAGCTGGAGTGCAGTGGTGCAATCATGTCTCACTGCAGCCTCAAGCAATCCTCCCACCTCAAGACTCTGGTAGCTGAGACTACAGGCACACACCACTACATCCAGCTAATTTTTGTATTTTTTTGGAGAGATGGGGTCTCCCTATATTGCCCAGTCTAGTCTCAAACTCCTGAGCTCAAGCAATCTGTCTGCCTAGCCCTCCCAGAATACTGGGATTACAGGCATGAGCCACTGCATCCAACCAAGAATGAATTATTTTCCTAATTTAAAAAAAAAATACTGAGAAGTTTTACAAAAAGGAGATACACCCTCTGGTCTACCACACTGAATGATCTGTCATTCTCTCTTGGATTAGCCTTGGTATGTCAGGGACCTGCACCTTTTCTTCCAGGCCTTTCCATCTATCCGGAGTGACCTACCAGAGACAGGACAGTTTGACCAGCAAGCTTCTGATCACTCTTCAACACCCAGCAAGAAGTCTTATCCTCCATGCAGCCTTCTAAGACCTCTCTAAGCACAGGTATCAGATCCTCCTCTGGATCACTCTGTCTTGTTACTGCATTTATCTCACTGGATTTCAGTGACGTGTGTAGACAACTAATTTGTGCCTGCCTGATCTGTGAGCTCTTCATTCAAAGCAGTTGGCTCCTGAGTACAGGATAAACCCCTAGAATTGAATAAATTTGGTCTTACCTCATCACTGGTAAGTTTCTTTGCTTTGAGTAATCTTTGAGCTTTATCTTCTTCTGATCCCTCATCACTGTCTGATGAATAGATTCTGGCTCGTTCCTCTGAAAGCAAAAGTACAGATTGTGAGTCACCTTTTTTTTTTTCTGAGACAGGGTCTTGCTTTGAGGCCCAGGCTGGAGTGCAGTGGCACAATCATGGCTCACTGCAGCCTTGACCTCCTGGGCTTAGGTGATCCTCCTGCCTCAGCCTCCCAAGTAGGTGGGACCACAGGTGTGCACTACCTACCCATGCCCAGCTGATTTTTTTTTTCTTTTTAGTGGAGATGAAGTCTTGCCATGTTGCCCAGGCTGGTCTTGAACTTCCTAAAATCAAGCGATCCTCCTTCTTCAGCCCCCTAAAGTGCTGGGATTATAGGCGTGAGCCACTGTGTCCAACTGTGAGTAACTTTCAAAGACAGTGACCTATTCATTCTTAAATGTTTTCTTCTGATAAATATCTTTAGTTCCCTCTGTATATTTCCTCCCAGGGGAACCAAATAATTTTAAAGTTTTTGATTTAAAGATAAGTATAAATTTTAGATATGCGGAAATGAAGCAGACTTACCCTCTCAAAATACAAAAACCTGACCACTTTTAAAGATGAAAAAGGTTTGTGTGCAAGGTGTCTAAAGAGGCAAGATACCCTACTCTTACGAAGTCAACTATTAAAGCCTGAGACATTCTTCCACCAGTAACAGTTAATTCCAAAATGAGTTTGAAGGTAAAGCAAGAAAGTGGTTTCCTGGTCCTGTAAAGACCGTTTGTTGCCAGGCAGACCTTTCAAAGAGAGATGTAGAGGGGCGCCCATCTGCTCCACTGCCCAAGCCCAGGTGAACCTCTGGGTGGAATAAGAGCCGAGGACTTTAGACCAAGCCCCTCCCGTCAAAACCCAAAGCCTTCCCTTTGTCCCCACACCTTGCCTATCTGATTACTGTATGGAACTGAGCACTACTAGACTCATGTGCTAGATTTTTAATCTCTGGTGACCTGAATGTTACACACCTCTCTCTCTTAAAGCATCCTTGGATTTTTAAAATTTTTATTTAATTTTTGTGTGGTTTATTTCCACACAATTGAATCTTTTTCTATGGGAAATCAGCATTGACAAAAAAGAAAGGGTCTCTGTACTGTGGTCCCCAAATAAATAATAGGTAGGTAATATGTAACAGGTCACCAGACCAAATGCAGTCACTATAAGAAAAGGAGAAATGAGTTTCATGGGACAGTCAGAGAAAAATAAATTTGGGTGTTTTAAAAATTTACTTGTTATATGCCAGGCTCTGGGCTAAGTACTTTAAATGTATTATATTATGTAATCTTCAAAACAACCTTATGTTCTAACTACCATTATTAATAGGTTGTTTTTGTCACAATGAGGTAACAGAAGTTAAGGGAAACTATGTAACTCTTCAAAAGTTATACAACTAAAAAGTGGCAGGACTCAGATGAGAGCGGGCAGGGTCAGAAGGCCAGCCAGGTCTTCTTAGTTCGCTTTTCACCATGTCG
Organism: Homo sapiens; assembly: GCF_000001405.40. Classification (NCBI taxonomy): domain Eukaryota; kingdom Metazoa; phylum Chordata; class Mammalia; order Primates; family Hominidae; genus Homo; species Homo sapiens. Next base: position 51,948,833 of record NC_000015.10, read on the forward strand.
TCTTGCTACTGGCTTGGGGGAACCCCTGGGTAAGAACCAGGTGGATGCAGAGTCACGGCTGGGACAGATGTCTCGGAAGTCAGATGACTTTGGTTTAAGAACTGACCAGTTAGCAACTACGTGCCTTTGGGCAAATTAGTCAACCTCTCAAAGTCTCAGTTTCCTCAATAAAAACAAGGAAATAAGAGCAACTAGATCATAATGTTGTTATGAGGATCAAACAGGATGCATGTCAAGTGTTGAGCATTTGCCTGAAATTCAGTATGTGTGGAAAAAACGTTAACCATCAGAAATCAGTGATACTTGTGAAAGGAGGAAATATGCAAAAGTAAATCTAAGAGAAATGTAGAAGAAGAATGAAAGAAAATATCACATAATTTCTGAATAGTTTAATTTCTTGATTCCCAATTAGGTAATAAAAAAGGTTGACAAAAGTTCCAGTATAACTGGCAAATTCTCAAGTCAGAAAGCAAAAGCTCAAGGGATAAAACCCAAAGTAGGAACAACAGCAGTTCCTACCTTTCAAGCTCACCTGAATGAACTAGGTCACTCATGACAACTCGTTCTTTAAAAATAAAATGTCCGGGCTAGGCACAGTGGCTCATGCCTGTAATCCCAGTACTTTGGGAGGCCAAGGCGGGCAGATCACTTGAGGTCAGGAGTTTGAGACCAGCCTGGCCAACATGGTGAAACCCCGTCTCTACTAAAAATACAAAAATTAGCCAGGTGTGGTGGCGCACACCTGTAATCCCAGCTACTCGGGAGGCTGAGGCAGGAGAATCACTTGAACCCAGGAGGCAGAGGTTGCAGTGAGCCGAGATCACACCACTGCACTCCAGCCTGGGTGACAGAGCGAGACTCCGTCTCAAAAAAAAAAAAAAAAAGTCCAGTGACTTGGCAGCCGGATTACATCTAATGCCAAGATGAAGTCCAGAATCCCGAAATGATGAAATGTAATTTCCATACACGACTCACCTCGAATGCCCCCTTTATATCGGTTTTTAATGGCAGCCAAGCTGATGGACTCCTCGCCTTCCTCCTCCTCATCGTATCGATCAGGTTCCAGGTAACTGGCGCTCAGCCCCCGCTGGTGCTGTTTCTCTCTCATTCGGCGCTGCTGAGATTCCCTACGTATGGAAGCCCTCAAACGTTCTTCTTCTTTCTGTAAAGAAGCAAATAACCTCTTTAACCTAAAAAGGAGCTACTTTTGTGCCCACTTGAACCCACTTTTATTACAAATAGCATGTAATGTCTGGTCCAGATAACAGCTGTGCCGTGTGTGTTCCCCATCCCACCTCTGTGGCTCCACAGGGACCCTCTGGTTTGGTTTGCAGGAGCAAAGGCAACACAAGGGTAAAGCGGCAGAAGGGAGCCCTGACACTAACCGGCCCAACTGGCATTGGCACAGGTGTGTCCTCGGGAGCTGTGCTGGTGTTCTGTGCTGCCACTTAACCCAGAGAGAAGCAACCCGCCTGAGAAACCCCATTCATGCCCAGCAGAAACCTAAATTGACTCCCTGGAGCAGCAGTGGCTGTTCCTGTTCATCCCTGAACCACAGACAACTGATCTGCCCCAGCTCTACCAAACTCCCATAGTTCCCAGATATTCTGGTCCCAGCCCCTCAGCCCCTCAACCCAGAGAGCTCCTCACGGCTCCTGATGACAGGTTGGGGAGCGTCCTAGAGCCACAAGGTAGACCTTTCATTTCCTTTGCACTGCCTGGCATTCTGCACCTTGATGTTAAACCAGGTTGGGGGTAGGGGTGGTGTTGGAGTAGGTTTCAGGGATATTCTGGGATTTCTTTGAAGGTCTTCCTCATCCCGTTGCTCTGTATTATCATATACAACTCCAATTATATTGCTAGAAATTCTATGGAACAGATTGTTTTAATAGTATGTGGCTGTACGGAGGTTAGAGTAAAAATCACTGTCAGTAGTACAGGGACTAAGAACAAACCAGCTGACTCCTAGTCTACATTTTCACAGGAGCTGGGGACATGGAGGAGGGTGTGGGGAGATGCTCAAAGTGGTTCAAGAGCTTCTCCAATAATGCTGAGACTGGAATCTGCAGGTTCCTCCAGTTCCCTTAGTCTGTACAGAAAAGGTGGGGAAATGGAACAAGCCCAGCTCCAAAGCAAATGCCGCTATATACCACTAGGTTAGGTACTGCTATTAGATCTGGTTTAATCTGTCTCCATGAACAAATACAGGATGGAGGAAAAAGCAAGGGCTCAGAGCCAAACCTTCAGCAGAGCCTGACCATAAGATTTGTAAGAAAGGCCCTGAGGTAACTGGACTGTCTTAGCCTCACCATGCCCTGCTTCACTAAACAACGTAATCACAAGAGGCAGGGTGGGCAAAGGCCAAAATCTAGTAGGGATTAGAGAAGATGGAGAGGAGAAATGATGAGCCTGTACTACTGCATATGGCTTCTCAAATCAAGTGCTGCAGGAAAGGCCAATAGCCAATATGAGCACATGCTCTATCGATTAGGTACAATGCCCCAAATAAACTTGTGCCTAATTAACAGCTGGGTCAAATTTGAAAATATACCAGGTAGAATGTTACAAATTGACCTTAAAAACTCATAAGCTCGTCTTATTCTTTACCAGAGTCTACTTTAGGCACTCTCTCATTCAAACTCCTGGTCTATTCTCTATTTTACACTACTCTCTAGTATCTCCACTGACTTCTGACATGGATTCTAAACCACACATAGATGACTTAATGATCTTTGAACTTATACATGAAAATTCAGATATTTCAATCACCGGTTTGTTGCTGAACTCTCAGGGCCTGGTGAAGAGAGAACCTGAGCCCTGTTTCTGTTTTACTATCATTGCCACGTCACCAATTGTTTGGCAAATGCTGAGGAAATGAATCCAGCTCCCTATTCATGTCAGTTGGAAGAGGAAAAGGTAGGCCAATAAGAGATGACGAACAAGCATTTTGGGAAATACTTGCCTAATATACCAAAGAATCCCAGGATAACGCTTAGGCTTAGCAAACATACCTTAATCATTTCTGTGCGTTGGCATTCAGGATCACGACCAGCCATTGGCAAGATTCTAATCTTCTGTGTCTTTGAACACCTATCTGCAAGTGACAGAGTCATCTTTCTATGTGTGGCACTGTCCGTAGAGTGAGGTCTGCCAGGAAATAAACGAAGAGCATATCACTGTTTACCAAATACATTTGTGAGCCAGTGATACCCACGTCACAGAAGTAAGAGCCCAGTGACCATTTCCTAGTCACCTGAAAAAATAGGCAGAGACACTCGACTGAATATACCAAGGTGGAAGATTGTGAGTTTTCTTCATTCTGTGGCTCACTGAGACATTCTTATTCCACAAATGAAAAACAGAAGGTTGGAGTAAAAAAGATTGTATGGCATGATCACCTTCTAGAAGCAATAAATGGATACGCTCAAGCAACATTAATTAGATACTACAGGTTGGTGCAAAAGTAATTGCGGTTTTTGCCATTACTTTTAATTAATATTAATATATTAATATTAATATAATTATCCTATTTTATAGATTTAGGAAACTGAGGCAAAAAGAGGTTAAGAAAGTGGCACAAGGTCACACAAGTAGAAATGGAATTCAAATATGAGTCTAACTGATTCCAAAGCCTGTATGTTAACCTTTATAATTTCAAAAAGCTAAATCATAACCAACATTATTGTGCCCCCTCTAAAGATAAGCATTACCCAAAGAGGATGGTCTGCTTATAATCAAGAAAGAGAAGCATGAACATCTCAGTGCAGCACATACTCAGTCTAGAGAAGGAAAGTGCCCTCACCAGCTGAGTATTCCTGTCCTCTTGGGGGACACACCTCTGCAGTGGTATTAGATGCCGGGGCCTACGGCACTGAGATGGCCCGTCTCACACTGACCAACTTGCTGGCTTTCCTTCGATTGCATGCACAACAACAACCTCTAGTTATTAGTCTCCCAGGTCAATTTTACTAAAAACAAAGGACACACTGGCTAGCAGACACACGTATTTTAGGCCTCTTGGCAGTTATAATAACCACTGGAATTAAATACATTGACATTCTGGTTTACCTAACAGTCTCTTGTAAGTCTGGTTAGCATGACCTGGTTCCCTAAGAAACAGCAACTTTTAGTGTATTTGACAAAATAACCTTTGAACCTTCAGAACTATGCACAAGATCTTGGTTCTTGCTGAATCATACCGTGGGGTTACATCAATCAGGTGGCAGGCATTACAGAAACATCTATGTTTCACTGCTTTTACCATAAGAAATAATACATAATAATAATAACAGTTACCTGAAGGTGAGTTTCGTTTTAAAGACTGCTTGTCCCTGTAGACCAGTACCTTGTCTTATAAAAAGATGATTGTGGTCGCCCTGCAGTGGGGCTTTGTACACATCAAACACTTCATTGCCTAAATGCAGGGACATGCTGGAAAGAGAAACATTTCATCTATTAAAGTCATAAAGCTTTCACTCTACCATCTTACTTCACTTAAAGGTGATTCAGGCTGGGCACAGTGGCCCACATGTGTAATCCCAGCACTTTGGGACACCAAGGCAGGTGGATCACGAGGTCAGGAGTTTGAGACAAGGCTGGTCAACATGGTGAAACCCCATCTCTGGTAAAAATACAAAAATCAGCTAGGCATGGAGGCACACCCCTGTAGTCCCAGCCTTCGGGAGGCTGAGACAGGATAACTGCTTGAACCCGGGAAGTGGAGGTTGCAGTGAGCCAAGATCGTGCCACTGCACTCCAGCCTGGGCGACAGGACAAGACTCCATCTCAAGGAAAAAAAAAAACAAAACAAAACAGGTGATTCAACTGCTGCTCTCTCTTTTTACACAGAATTTGGAAGGAACGAAAATAAGAAGTCATAATGAGAAAAACTGATGGACTACAAAGAACTAACACATGCTGGGATGTTTACCAGGCTCTACTACATTCCCAGTGAAGGGCAATTTTTTTAAAATGTCAATTTGTGGCTGGGCACGGTGGTTGACGCCTGTAATCCCAGCACTTGGGAGATGGGAGGATCGCTTGAGCCCAGGAGTTCAAGACCAGCCTAAGCAACATATGGAGAACTGTGTCTATGAAATTTTTTCTTTTTTTTTTTTTTGAGACGGCATCTAGTTCTGTTGCCCAGGCTGGAGTGCAGTGGCGCGATCTCGGCTTACTGCAACCTCCGCCTCCTGGGTTCAAGGAATTCTCTGCCTCAGCCTCCTGAGTAGCTGGGATTACAGGCGTCCGCCATCACACCCAGCTAATTTTTAGTAAAGATGGGGTTTCACCATCTTGGCCAGGCTGGTCTTGAACTCCTGACCTCGTGATCCACCCACCTCGGCCTCCCAAAGTGCTGGGATTACAGGCGTGAGCCACCGTGCCTGGCTCTTTTTTTTTTTTAATAATCCATGCAGGGTGGTGCACACCAAGTAGTCCCAGCTACTTGGGAGATGGGAGGATCACTTAGGACTAGGAGTCTGAGGCTCCACTGAGCTGTTATCATGTCATTACACTCCAACATGGGCAACAGAGTGAGACCCCATTTCTAAAACTAATAATAAATTTAAAACTAAAAAGTATTTCAAAACTTGATCCCTCTGACCCGTTCTGGGTATGTCAATACCCTTCAGGCGTTTTGTGCTCACCTTCCATCTGACCACTTGACTATCCGAGCATTGCTTTCTTTAATTTCATTTCCTTCTTCATCTCGGCGTATCCTCCATCTTATAGTATTTTCTACCTGTTTCACAACACAAGTACTTTAGAAAATTATAGTTTAAATGACTCTATGCATCTTGTTTTTCCTCAAGAGGCACATAATCACAGAATAAGCATACAGAGGTGACAGATGTATGTGTGGCAGGAGAATGAACAACACTGAAACCCTCTTTAATCACCTAGAGAGGTTGGATAAATTAAAAGCAGGGAAAAAAATATGCTTAAGTGAATTTCTGAGCTCCTAGAATCATAATCATAGAGAAAGCTTAGAGCATTTGAGCAGATGGCAGATACTAAATGTACACTAACCCCGAGATGTGTTAAGACAGTAAGAATTACAAGGGTCAGGCGATAAAACTTGAGTCCATGTGAGGCAGAAATTTTTTTTTTTTTTTTTTTTTGAGACGGAGTCTTGCTCTGTCGTCCAGGCTGGAGTGCAGTGGCGCAGTCTTGGCTCACTGCAAGCTCCGCCTCCCGGGTTCACGCCATTCTCCTGCCTCCGCCTTCTCAGTAGCTGGGATTACAGGCGCCCACCTCCAAGCCCGGCTAATTTTTTCATATTTTTTAGTAGAGACAGGGTTTCACCGTGTTAGCCAGGATGGTCTCGATCTCCTGACCTCATAATCCGCCCGCCTGGGCCTCCCAAAGTGCTGGGATTACAGGCGTGAGCCACCACGCCCGGCCGAGGAAGAAATTTTGAAGTGAAACCCCTGTATAAAGCAAGTTCTCTCACAGAGCTAAAAACTCCATAAAAATGAGACCAAAAACTCTGCCTATTGGCACAGAGAGATAAACTTCCCATATATGAATAAGGATAAATAAGTGCCCTATGAAAATGAAAACCCCAGATTTCAATAGGTTTAGAGCCTAACTATCTTACCTGCATGGTGGGGAAACACCAGAGTTGGCAAATGAAAACCACTGTTACTGAAAGTAAAGTCAGTGGGATCTCCAGGAAAACATGGCATACTAAACGCATGCAGTTTATCACTGCTGCCTCCTGGAAACCCACTAAAATGACAATGAAGAGTAAAAACAGGACATACAAGGATAGAAAGAATGAGAATGAAGCTGGCAACAGACAGAAGCCAACAATGTGAAAACTGCCAATGCCAAGACCATGCTTCCCTCTGCCTGTTCCCCCAGTGTCAATCCTAAACACAGCTGCTCCCAGTCCCACGGAGATCGTCTGGATCTCCACTCCTTTAGCTGCAAATGTCTGTGCAGCTGGGTCCTAATGATTCCCCCTTCCAGTTTTTCCCCTTTCCCTATTTATTCCTCACAAATAGCTATAAAGTGTGCTGATTGAATAACTCCATCATATTTATGAATTAAACATGATGTCATACCTGAAATTTGTTTCAGAATAGTCTGGGGAAGCTGGGGTGGGGAATATGTAGATGACAAAAGATTGTTAACTCGACAACTGTTGAAGTGGGTCATGGGCACATGAAAGAGTTCATTATATTGTTTTTAATACATTGGTGTATGTTTGAAATTTTCAGATTGAAAACAAAACAATCTGTCACTATTCCTGTCTTCCATCTCATACAATAGGTTGGCCACATATAAATACACAAATATGCCGGGTGCAGGGCTCACACCTGTAATCCCAGCACTTTGGGAGGCCGAGGCAGGCAGATCACCTGAGGTCAGGAGTTCAAGACCTACCTGGCCAACACAGTGAAACCCCATCTCTGCTAAAAATATACAAAAATTACCCGGGCATGGTGGCATGTGCCTGTAATTCCAGCTACTCGGGAGGCTGAGGCTGGAGAATTGCTTGAACCCGGGAGGCGGGGGTTGCAGTGAGCTGAGATTGCGCCACTGCATTCCAGCCTGGGCGACGACAGAGCAAGACTCCATCTCAAAAAAAAAAAAAAAAAAACCACAAATAGGCCATTATTAATTGAGAAGCCGTTCTAAAAAATGCTTTCTATTATATAAAGTGATTCAAATAGTAATGATGCTATAATAGGACACATTGCTAGGTCTTAACCTATCAGGATGAAGGACACATAATAGTATTTCTGAAGACAGGGGACCTCAGAGAGGTACATAAGCTGTACCTGGTTCCCTGGTTCCTTGTTCTTAAAGAATTAACTACACCATGCTTTAAGACTGGTCAGCGTAGTCTTAAACATCACTCAAGAAAATAAGGGTCCAGGGTTATTTCCTATCACACACCAAGGTTTTAAGACAACAGTTTATGTTAAACACCAACATTTTGTAGTCTGATGCACTGAAATTTTAGGGTAAAATACATATTTATAAATTTTTTTTTGGGGGGGAGACAGGGTCTCGCTGTGCTGCACAGGCTGGAGTGCAATGGCACAATCACAGCTCACTGCAGCCTCAAACTCCTGGGCTCAAGCAATCCTCCCGCCTCAGCCTCCTGGAGTAGCTGTGACTATGGGCATGCGCCATCTCTGCTGGCTAATTTTTTTTTATTTTTAGTAGAGACAAGGTCTTGCTCTGTTGCTCAGGCTGGTCTGAAACTCCTGGCCAGTCTTCTCACCTCGGCCTCCCAAGGTACTGGAATTACAGATATGCGGCACCATGCCCGGCCTTTGAAGTCTGACACCCATACTAGAATCTGGTATCACATGGTCTAAAAATATAATAGATATATTGATACTAGCTGTAGCATCATGACAGAAAGTAAGAAAAAGGAAAAAGACAAAATTAAATAAATTGATAAAAAGTGAATAAGGAACTACTATATTAGTTTATATGTATATGACAGGAAACAATGAAAAGTAGTAGAATTAAAGCCAGAGGCACTAAAACAACCATGAAAAATTGATACTGCTAAGCCTAAATCAATACATCCATGTGTCCCAAAGAAATAATATTAACAGATGGGCTAATAAACAGATGAGTAGATGGGTGGTGGAGGGAGGACAGGAAAAAAAAATAGTGTAAGCAGTATATCTGTTGACTGTGTGATCTTGAACAAATTATTAGCACCTGTTTATCTCAGTTTTCTTATTTGATTTGCATTTCCATTAAGAGGAGTAGTGAAGTCTCACTGAAAAGCTTTTGGATAGAAACCATCTTATATCAAGGTTATTTAGGTAGTTGTTAATATACCACATTGAAGAGATGGTACTATTAAAAATATAAAAATTCAGTGCCTAAAAAATGCCAGACTATCCCTTTCTAACAATTTAATAAGGTACCAAGGCCAGGCGCGGTGGCTCACACCTGTAATCCCAGCTCTTTGGGAGGCCGAGGTGGGTGGATCACCTGAGGTCAGGAGTTCGAGACCAACCTGGCCAACATCGTGAAACCCTGTCTCTACTAAAAATACAAAAATTAGCTGGGCATGGTGGTGCATGCCTGTAGTCTCAGCTACTTGGGAGGCTGAGGCAGGAGAATCACTTGAACCCAGGAGGCAGAGGTTGCAGTGAGCTGAGATCATGCCACTGCCCTCCAGCGTGGGCGACACAGCGATGCTCCTTCTCAAAAAAAAATATATAAATACCCACTAGAAAATAAGAAATTTACAGGAAATCCTTCGGATTTAAGAATTGAAAATGCATAATTCCAGTTTCAGTATCATGCATTCAACCACCTCTTGTTCCCTTGTGCAACTCAATTCTAAAATGTCTACTTGGCCAAGTGCAGTAGCAATCATGCCTGTAATCCCAGCAATTTGGGAGGTCAAGGCGGGAGGATCACTTGAGCTCAGAAGTTCAAGATCAACCTGGGCAACACAGCAAGACCTCATATCTACAGAAAAAAAAAAAAGGCTGGGCATGGTGGCATGTTTTCTGTAGTCCCAGCTACTCAGGAGGCTGAGATGGGAAGATCACTTGAACCCAGGAAATTGAGGCTGCCAAGAGCTGGGTTTGTGCCGCTGTACTCCATCCTGAACAACAGAGCAAGACCGTGTCTCAAAATAAAAAGATGAAACTTCTGCTGAACCTACATCCTCCTTACTTAAAAGATTAGAGGCCCTCCTTTGATAGCGTGACCAGATGGTATAAGGTATCAAAGAGAAGCATTAATGGGAATTTAGTACAATAAAATTCTTTCCTAATAGTCAACAAAAGCAATCAAAAGAACACAGCCATATAGTGAAGTGTTAGGTAAAAAAATCACTTTCAAAAGCTCAAGTTTCAAGTTAGTATCTCCAGGTTTTACTTTATAAAAGAAAAAAAAGGAAAAAGCATGAAATGGTACCTTTAATTTTAACCTGGTTCTACCTTCTTCATCCAGCATTTCTTCATCTTCAAATTCATCTTCATAATACTGAGGATCAAAAGGTCTACAAATTGTTTTCCAAATAAACTATTAATCATATTTTATAAAGAATATTACTGCTATGTAATAACATCTCTATTAATAAACACCATTATATCAAAAAATCATAATATAATTTTAAAAATCATAATGATCAATATCTTCATGCTTAACTTCAAGGAAGTAGTAATTGTACTTTTTTCTTTTTTTTTTTTTTTGAGACCGAGCTTTGCTCTTGTTGCCCAGGCTGGAGTGCAATGGCACGATCTCGGCTCACCACAACCTCCGCCTCCCAGGTTCAAGCGATTCTCCTGCCTCAGCCTCCCGAGTAGCTGGGATTACAGGAATGCGCCACCATGCCTGGCTAATTTTGTATTTTTAGTAGAGACAGGGTGTTTCTCCATGTTGGTCAGGCTGGTCTCAGACTCCTGACCTCAGGTGATCCGCCCTCCTCGGCCTCCCAAAGTGCTGGGATTATAGGTGTGAACCACCACACCCGGCCAGTAATTTTACTTCTTAAAATTTGTTGTTAATACATATTGCTTGAAATAAAGTACAAGCAAGGGTAAATATTCAAAATATCCTTTCTTCTTCTTATGTAACTCTGCCAAAGAATAGGCAACATATGCTCTAGCTTTCCACATCATTGTGCCTGTGGAAAAAAAATTTTAAAAGCACAAGAGCTCGAGTAAACTTAGTAAATAATACCCATCAAACACTGTCTAATTGTCCAAAACCATTACCTTTTCTAGACCAACAATAGCTGCTACAGTGGACACTGGCATTTCTCTAGCAAATTTCATCGCTTTCAATTTCAGCCTTTTCAGGGTTGTACTAATTAAAAAAATACCTTGAACACTTGTGGTGTCTGTTAATTCATAAGAAAGTATCAAACTGCTAAAAACAATCATAGCATTAAAAGCCTCCCTTACTAATACATATTTTTTCTATCTCAGGATGTGCTTGACTAATTTTTTCAGAGATACACGATCAATTTTCCGTTTTTGTGATTTGTCAACTCAATGCGAAATAAGAAAAATAAACATTCTATGTATTTCTACTCAACATCCTGAAAAAATTTTAATTGATTTCCTTACCTGGGCTCTACACTGAGAAAGTTGGGCAGTTTAACAAAATATAAGTCGTTTCCTAAATCAGTGTTTACTTTGGGTATTTCTACTTCTATTCTGGTCTCAGGAATTGGCTCCTCTTCCTGTTGATCCTGAGGCAATCCATTTTCATCCTAGTGAAAGAATCGGAAGTTTGGAGCTTGACAGGACCTTAGAAATGGCTTCCTTCAACCTCCACACTTTAATTACTCTGGGGTGCAAGAAACATAATTAGATATCACTTTAGGACTAAAGAAGTCCCCAGTCCCCATCCCAACCCACCTACACACAAAATGGGAAACGATCAATTTGGATACCTCAGTACAAAAAACTATCTCCTTTATGATAAATCTGTCTTCCAAATACTCAACAAAAGTGTGAAATTAACACTTCAATAGGAAGTCACTCTATCAATTAAAACCAGAGAAGATTATCAACATAGCAGACACTTCTTGGCATGAGCAAGAAAAACATTCAAGTCAATGGTTCTCAAATCACAAGTCCTCACAGTTCAGTCCCCTAAGGCATGACACCAACCTCATGTTTGGCAGTTATTTCCACTCCCCCTTATAACCAAGAGTTCCCTACATAATGAAGAAAGTCATCTGTTCATGGTATTTTCATACTAGAATTCAGTTATCAACTTCCTTTCCTGGAATAAGGGAGACTCTTCACCTTTGAAACTTTATGCCTGGCCTTGAATAAGTTCATGTTACTAACTGACTTACAACAGGCTGTCCTGGAGTAGGTGGTTTGTCTTCTCCATCACTCCCTGAAGAGATATCATCTGCACCTCCAAATAAATCCATGGTTCCACTATTATCTTCAATGCAGAAGGAAAAAGGCATTAGTGTTACTATCTGTAACTAAGGTTCTTCACAGCTGATCACTTCAACACATTCCCAAGGTTTCTGGACCAGCATCAGAAAACCACCAAAAACATAATGCTGAGCCTGGCTCTCAAAGACCCAACCAGAGAGTGTGGGGAGAGGGAAGGGGGCAAATCTAGTGAAAGGCAAGCTGCACAGGAGGCACTTATTTCTCCTTTCATTTTCACCATCCTTGTTCTCCCACTTTCCTTTATTCCCCAGGAGCCCAAATGTTTCCTACAGTCTAGATGCTCAAAGTTGGGGCTGAAGCACTCCACAGACACCCATTTTCCATAAGTCTATCCCAGATTCAAAATTACAGTCCAGGCATAGTGGTTCATGCCTGTAATCCCAGCACTTTGGGAGGCCAAGGCAGGTGGATCACTTAAGGTCAGGAGTTTGACACCAGCCTGACCAACATGGTGAAACCCCGTCTCTACTAAAAATACAAAAACTAGCTGGGCTTGGTGACAGGTGCCTGTAATCCCAGCTACTTGGGAGGCTGAGGCAGGAGAAAGGAAGCTGCCACACCTGGCGGTAGAACTCCTTTCATCCTTCCAACTTATAATACCAGGTGGTGGTGGTGGTGGTGGTGGTGGTGGTGGTGGTTGCGGTTGTTGTTGTTGTTTTGAGACAGAGTCTCACTGTTGTTGCTCAGGCTGGACTGCAGTGGTGCGACCTTGGCTTACTGCAACCTCTGCCTCCCGAGCACAAGCGATTCTCGTGCCTCAGCCTCCCAAGTAGCTGGGACTACAGATGCACACCACCTCGCCCCGCTAATGTTTTGTATTTTTAGTACAGACAGGGCTTCACCATGTTGGCCAAGCTGGTCTTGAACTCCTGGCCTCAAGTGATCCACCCACCTTGGCCTCCCAAAGTGCTGGGATTACAGGCGTGAGCCACTGCACCCAGCCAACACTGGGTTTTTATGAGCTCTTCATCTAACTCACAGCTCAAAGAATCAGTTTCTTCATCTAAGTCAAGAACTTAGGAACAAAACACCGAGACTGTCATTATTCAAAGTGAAGAATGGACATTGTAACCTCCATCCCAATAAGAAGGTCAGCCCCCTAATAATGAATTCACTCTAACTATAAACAGACTGGGCGCAGTGATTCACGCCTGTAATCCCAGCACTTCGGGAGGCTGAGGTGGGTGGAACACTTGAGATCAGGAGTTCGAGACCAACCTGGCCAACATAGTGAAACCCCACCTCTACTAAAAATACAAAAAATTTAGCCAGGCATGGTGGTACGTTCCTGTAATTCCAGCTACCAGGAGGCTGAGGGAGGAGAATTGCTTGAACCCAGGAGGCAGCAGTTGCAATAAGCTGAGCTTGCACCACTGCACTCCAGCGTGGGTGACAGAGCAAGACTCTGTCTCTTAAAAAAAAAAAAAAAAACTACAAAGAGGCAGGTTCTTCTTCAACTAATTAAGCATGAGCAGCTTCTCATAGCTATATAACTTCTCTGAGTACACTGAGCGTATCCACACTCTTATTCTGTGGGTCTGGCGATCTGGGGTAAACACACTCAGGGTTAGAAATGCACTACAGTTAAATACAGAAAGAGGTATGGAAATATACATATATATATAATAATAGGGATACCTTTTGGCACCTCAGTGTCACTATCCGCTTCTGAATCAGATGCAATCGCATTCTTGCGTTTCATTCGTAAAACTTCATCTTCACTATCACTGCCTCTTGCAGATTCTATAAGGGTAGAATTAGAAGTTCTGCATAATCAGTCGCATTAGTTGAATTTTGTGTTTTAAAAGCAATATTGGAGATAAACAAATTGTGATACAATGGACTACTACTCAGCAATAAAGAGGAATGAACTGCTGATACATGTAACCAATTGGATGAATCAAAAATGCTATATGCCAAGTTAAAGAGGCCAATCTGAAAGACTACATACTTACTGTATAACTCTATTTATATGACATTTCCAAAAAACCAAAAGTTTAGTGACAGAAAAGACCAGTAGGTGCCAGGGTTTAGGGGTAGCAGAAAGATACGACTCAAAAGGGATAGCATAAGGGAGTTTTTCAGTGTGACAGCGATTCTGCATCCTGAGTGTGGTGGTGGTTAGACAAATCTATAGATATGTTAACATGAATAGAGCTGTACATGCAGAACATGCCCCCCCCCCAAAAAATTAACTCTAGTGTGTGTTAATTTAAAAAACAGAATTCTTAAAATAAATACTGGTGCCAGTTGTGGTGGCTCATGCCTGTAATCCCAGCACTTTGAGAGGACGAGGTGGGTGGATCACTTGAGGTCAGGAATTCAAGACCAGCCTGGCCAACATGGTGAAACCCATCTCTACTACAAATACAAAAATTAGCCGGGTGTGGTAGCGTGCACCTGTAGTCCCAGCTACTTAGGAGGCTGAGGCAAGAGAATCATTTGAACCTGGGAGACTGATGGTGCAGTGAGCCAAGATCGCACCACTGCACTCCAGCCTGGGTGACAGAGCGAGACTGTCTCAAATAAATAAATATACTGGCTTTGCAAGTACAAAAACTTGGTAGAAATGAGAAAAGTAGCACTAAAACTTATCAAATTTACATAAGACAAATTTCAGGGAAAAAAAGGTAAAAAGATTAAAAAGGAACTGACAAATATATCATTATTTCTAGAAGGGCCAATTATTTACGTAAAAATGTCACAAAAATCAACAGAACCACTGTTGAACTAGTAAGAGATAAGCAGAATGACCAGCTACAAGGTTCCCTACTATGACCCTGCCCTTGACTTGGTCTTCTAGTATTTGGGATGTAGTACATGAGCCTTAAAGATTCTTTCTGGTAACAGTAAAAACAGCCCTACTTTCGGCCAGGCATGGTGGCTCTTGCCTGTAATCCCAGCACTTTGGGAGGCCAAGGTGGGCAGATCACCTGAGATCAGGAGTTCGAGACCGGCCAGGCCAACATGGGGAAACTTCCTCTCTACTACAAATACAAAAATTAGCTGGGTTTGGTGGTGCACACCTTTAATCCCAGCTACTCAGGAAGCTGAGGCAGAAGAATTGCTTGAACCCAGGAGGTGGAGATTGCAGTGAGCCAAGATGGTGCCACTGCACTCCAGCCTGGATGACAGAGACTCTGTCTCAAAAAAAAAAAAAAAAAAAAAATGAGTGGCCGGGCGCAGTGGCTCACGCCTGTAATCCCAGCACTTTGGGAGGCCGAAGCAGGCGGATCACGAGGTCAGGAGATCGAGACCATCCTGGCTAACACGGTGAAACCCTGTCTCTACTAAAAATACAAAAAATTAGCCGGGCGTGGTGGCGGGTGCCTGTAGTCCCAGCTACTCGGGAGGCTGAGGCAGGAGAATGGCGTGAACCCAGGAGGCGGAGCTTGCAGTGAGCTGAGATCATGCCACTACACTCCAGCCTGGGAGACAGAGCGAGACTCCGTCTCAAAAAAAAAAAAAGGATGAGTTCATGTCCTTTGCAGGGACATGAGGGACATGGATGAAGCTGGAAACCATCATTCTCAGCAAACTATCACAAGGACAGAAAACCAAACACCGCATGTTCTCACTCATAGGTGGGAACTGAGTAATGAAAACAGTTGGACACAGGGCAGGGAACATCACACACCGGGGCCTGTCATGGGGTGAGGGGCAGGGGGAGGGATAGCATTAGGAGAAATGCCTAATGTAAATGACGAGTTGATGGGTGCAGCACACCAACATGGCACATGTATACCTATGTAACAAACCTGCACGTTGTGCACATGTACCCTAGAACTTAAAGTGTTAAAAAAAAAAAAAAAACCTCTACTCTGAATTAGTTATTGAAAACTTACTGCAGTCCCATAGTCTACACAGATCTATATTCATCTCTGGAAATATGCTGCCCTCCTCTTCTAATAACACCAAGATGTGGTTTCTGAATCCTGTCCTGTGAGGTGTGTGTTAGATGCCCTCATATTTAAGCTAAGAAGATAGGATCAAAATATAATTAATATAATCAATCACCTATGGAAATGAAGCAATCCAGGTATTTCAGGAAGACTTCAACTTAATTAAGGTAACTTTTATATAATACAAAGAAATATGATCTCTAATTTTTTGTACATTCTATATGAAGAATGTGTTAACTTGAGCAGAATAGTCTAAATGGCAATGATAAAAGCAGGTCCAGGAACCAAAGTTCAGGTGTATGCCTCCTGTAGTCTTTAGGGAATGAGTGCTGTAACCCAAGCTCGTCTCTGTAGGGTGAGGATACACCCATCAATCTGTCTTGGCTCAGTAACACTGTCCATTGAGATCACCCAGCCATGTTTGCACTTTCTACATATTATACTCCCTGGGCAACCTCCTGATTATTATAATTTGCCATCCACGCTAGATTTGCCCCCGGGGAAACATATGGGGTGATAAGGGAGAAATAACTGATCCTCTTGAAACAATTTTGCAATTCAATTTTATACATTAATATCTTGTAAATTTGACTAGTTTGAGTAAACTCCTTAGAGCTTGACCATCTCTGGATGATCAAATTTTGGATCTCAAAAAGCTGAGCTGCAGCAATGGTGCCCACATCTCAGTACAGCTGCTCTGTGGGGACACTTCAATGGTATGGTTTTTTTCCCCAGGCTAATCTATTCTCTCACATGAGGCATGCTCTTCAGTTATCCACAGAAATGGAATCAACTTAACTCATTATCAGCTCTTCTTACACCATATCCCTCCCTCTAAGACTCAATTTTAAGTCCTCTTTAAATTGTTTTCCCCCAGACCTATCCATTAACAAATGGAAGGGAAAGGAGTAAGAAAGAATAAGTGGATTAGAAAGATTTAAAAGAAGCAAAATGTATTCTAGAGTTAGAAAAGTTTGAAAGGGAGGGGACAGAAGAGAAAAAACAGGGTAATAAAGATGGGAATAAAGACTAAATGGGTCCCTGCTGTATCTGAATGCTTCTTTCTGAGCCATTCTGGTTCTCATAAATGTATTACCTGATTTATGATCCTGTTCCTCTTCATCATCTGAATGCCTGTGTTCTTCATCTGAGGCCTGTGGCCTTTCATCATCAGAATTTTGCATTTTCTCTTCATCAGACAGCTGTGGTTGTTCTTCATCATCAGAATTCTGTTTCTCATCATCATTATCAGAAGCTACCGGCCGTTCATCATCAGAATTAGCCTTTTCCTCCTCAGATAGCTGTTGTCTCTCATCATCGGAAAGCTGAGGCCTCTCCTCATCATCTGTGTTCTGCATTTTCTCATCATCGTCAGAATTCTGCAGCTTATCTTCATCAGATCCTTGTGCCCTCTCCTCATCATCAGAATTTTGTATCTTTTCATCATCTGACTGGTCACTTTTATCTTCTCTGCCCCATTTTTCATCATCTGAATGTGCTTTTTCAGAACCTTCTGCTTCTGAATGATGGCTCCCTCCATCCGATCTATGACCTTCGTCTTCATCATCATTAGGGGCTTCTGATCCACTGTGCTGATCTACATCTGAGGGGTCATTGTCCTCATGGTCAGAACGCTCAGAAGCTTCTGATCTATTGTCTGATCTTTCAGAGTGATTATCACTACCACTATGATGTGAAGCTCCCTCGTCCTCACTGTCATCTCCAAACAGTTCCTTATTACTTGGTTGTCCTGAATCACCTCTTTCATCCTGATCACTTTCACTTCCAGAGGCATTACTGCCAGAGGCAGCATTCTCTTGATCAGAATCTGAGTCAGATCCAGAATCAGAATCTATGGGGTCATATAAACATAGGATAACATAAGCAAAAAAAGGCAGAGTAAGGCAGTCCCAAAGTCCATCCCAACATAAAAGCAATGAAGAAACTGGCAAAAACTGTTAGAATTAACATTCTAAGGCCGGGTGCAGTGGCTCACGCCTGTAATCCCAGCACTTTGGGAAGCCGAGGCAGGCAGATCACCTGAGGTCAGGAGTTCGAGACCAGCCTGACAAACATAGCGAAACCCTGTCTCTACTAAAAATACAAAATTTAGCCAGGCATGGTTGCACATGCCTGTAATCCCAGCTACTCAGGAGGCTGAGACAGGAGAATCACTTGAACCCGGGAGGCAGAAGTTGCAGTGAGCGGAGATCAAGCCACTGCACTCCAGCCTGGGCGACAGAGTGAGACTTTGTCTCAAAGAAAAAAAAGAAAAAGAAAAAGAAAAATATATTTACTAAAATCAAAGAGTCACTAGAGGGGCTCAACCAAAGATTTGAGCAGGAAAAAGAAAGAATCAGTAAACTTGAAGATACCTCAGTTCGACTGTCCAATCTGAGAAACAGAAAGAAAAAAGAATAAAGAGAAAGGAACGGAGTCTAGAAGATTTATGGGACACCTTAAGTTATACCAATGTATGCATAATGGAGTCTCAGAAGAAGAGAAATGAGCAGAAAAAGATTCTTAAATAATAGCTGAGGCCAGGCATGGTGGTTCACACCTGTAATCCCAGCACTTTGGGAGGCCAAGGCGGGCAGATCACTTGAGGTCAGGAGTTCGAGACCAGGCTGGCCAACATGGCAAAACCCCATCTCTACTAAAAATACAAAAGTTAGCCAGGTATGGTGGCGCAAGCCTGTAATCCCAGCTACTTGAGAGGCTGAAACAGGAAAATCGCTTGGATCCAGGAGGTGGAGGTTGCAGTGAGCCGAGACCACACCATTGCACTCTAGCCTGAGTGACAAAGCGAGACTCTGTCTCAAAAGAATAAATAAATGATAGCTGAAGAACTCCCAAATTTATGAAAAATATAGATCTACACATCCAACAAGTTCAACAAATGACAAGTAGGATAAACTTACAGAGGTTTACACCTAGAAACATTGTTATCAGACTGTCAAAGACAAAGAAACAATTCCAAAAGCGGGCAAAAGAGAAGCAGTTCATCCCATATGAGGAACGCTCAATAAGAGTAACAGCTGATTTTTCATCAGAAACCAAGGAATCCCAGAGCCATCCATAAGAGGACACATTCAAAGTGCTAAAAAGAAAGACTGTCAACCAAGAATTTTATATTCAGTAAAATTATGCTTCAAAAACTAAGACGATATGGAAGACAAAAGAAAACATAAATTGGACTTCCACAAAATGAAAAACTTTTGTGCAGCAAAGGACGTTATTAAGAAAGTAGGCCCGGCGCAGTGGCTCATGCCTGTAATCCCAACACTTTGGGAAGCCAAGGTGGCTGGATCACCTGAGGTCAGGAGTTTGAGATCAGCCTGGCCAACATGGTGAAACCCCATCTCTACTAAAAATACAAAAATTAGCCAGGCATGGTGGCTTACGCCTGTGAGCCCACTACTTGGGAGGCTGAGGCAGGACAATCGCTTGAACCCAGGAGATGGAGGTTGCAGTGAGCCAAGATCATAGCACTGCACTCCAGCCTGGGCAACAGACCAAGACTCCATCTCAAATAAATAAATAAATACATAATATTGCTAAGTTAAGTTCAAAACTGGTTAATGTCTTAGAGGACAATAAAATCTTTTGGCTGGGTGCGGTGGCTCATGCCTGTAATCTCAGCACTCTAGGAGCCCAAGGTGGGAAGATCACCTGAGGTCAGGAGTTCCAGACCAGCCTGACCAACATGGTGAAACCCTGTCTACTAAAAATACAAAAATTAGCTGGGCATGGGGGCACACGCCTGTAATCCCAGCTACTGGGAATAATGAGGCATAAGAATCCCTTAAACCTAGGAAGCGGAGGTTGCAGTGAGCCGAGATCGTGCCACTGCATGAAAGGGGAGACTCTGTCTCCAAAAAAAAAAAGTAAGTGAAGGCCAGGCGCAGTGGCTCACGCCTGTAATCCCAGCACTTTGGGAGGCTGAGGTGGGTGGATCACGAGGTCAGGAGTTTGAGAACAGCCTGGCCAATATGGTGAAACCCCATCTCTACTAAAAATACAAAAATTAGCCAGGCGTGGTGGTGCATGCCTGTAGTCCCAGCTACTTGGGAGGCTGAAGCAGAATAATCACTTGAACCCAGAAGGCGGAGGTTGCTGTAAGCCGAGATTGCGCCACTGCACTCCAGCCTGGGCGACAGAGCAAGACTCCGTCTCAAAAAAAAAAAGGAAA
The DNA here is from genome assembly GCF_000001405.40 of Homo sapiens. Taxonomy (NCBI): domain Eukaryota; kingdom Metazoa; phylum Chordata; class Mammalia; order Primates; family Hominidae; genus Homo; species Homo sapiens. The sequence continues at coordinate 51,968,845 of NC_000015.10, forward strand.
GTGAAAAAACAACCTACAGAATGGAAGAAAATATTTGCAAACCATGTATCTGATAAGTGTCTTTATCCAAAATATACAAAGAACATTTATAACTCAACAATAAAACCAATTTCTTTGTGTTTTTTGTTCGTTTGTTTTCTTGGAGACAGAGTCTCGCTCTATCCTTCAGGCTGGAGTACAGTGGTGCAATCTTGGCTCACTGCAACCTCTGCCTCCCTCAAGCGATTCTCCTACCTCAGCCTCCCAAGTTTATGGGCGCACGCCACCACACCTGGCTAATTTTTTTGTATTTTTAGTAGAGATAGGGTTTCACCATGTTGGCCAGGCTGGTCTCGAACTCCTGACCTCAGGTGATCCACCCACCTCAGCCCCCTAAAGTGCTGGGATTACAGGCGTGAGCCACTGTGCCTGGCCTAAAACCAATTTTTTTAAAACAGAGGACTTGAATAGACATTTCTCCAAACAAAGTTACACAAATGGCCAATAAATACATGAAAAGATGTTCAACGGCTGGGCGCAGTGGCTCACACCTGTAATCCCAGCACTGTGAGAGGCCGAGGCAGGCAGATCACCTGAGGTCAGGAGTTTGAGACCAGCCTGGCCAAAATGGCAAAACCTCATGTCTACTAAAAATACAAAAATTAGCAGGGTGTGGTGGCAGGCGCCTGTAATCCCAGCTATTCGGGAGGATAAGGGAGGAGAATCACTTGAACCCAGGAGGCAAAGGCAGGAGAATCGCTTGAACCTAGCACTTTGAGAGGCCGAGGCAGGTGGATCACCTGAGGTCAGGAGTTTGGAACCAGCCTGGCCAACATGACAAAACCTCATCTCTACTTAAAATACAAAAATTAGTAGGGTATGGTGGCAGGTGCCTGTAATCACAGCTACTCGGGAGGTTAAGGCAGGAGAATTGCTTGAACCCGGAGGCGGAGGTTGCAGTGAGCCAAGATTGTACCACTGCACTGCAGCCTGGGAGACAGACTGAGACTCCGTTAAAAAAAAAAAAAAAAAAAAAAAAGATGTTCAGCATCATTAGCCTTTGGGAAAGTGTAAACTGAAACCACAATGAGACACCACTTGATAACATCAAGGATGGCTACTTTAGAAACAAATAAAAACTTAAAATAACTGTTGGCAAAGATGTGGGGAAAGGGAACCCTGGTGCATTGCTGGTGGTAATGTAAAATGGCTCAACCACTATGGAAAACAGTTTGGCTGCTCCTCAAAATATTAAAGAATTACCATATGACTCTGCACTCCTACATAATACCCTCCTCCCAAAATTAAAAACAGGCACCCAAACATGTACATGAATTTATTTATTTTTTTGGAGACAGAGTCTCACTTTATCACCCAGGTTGAAGTGAAGTGATGCAATCTCAGCTCACTGCCAACCTCTGTCTCCTGGGTTCAAGTGATTCTCATGCCTCAGCCTTCTGAGTACCTGGGACTACAGGCACGCACGACCACACCTGGCTAACAGTTTGTATTTTTAGTAGAGACAGGGTTTCACCATGTTGCCCAGGCTGGTCTTCAACTCCTGAGCTCAGGCAAATCCGCCTGCCGGAACCAGGAATGTTTACAGTAGCACTATTCAAACAACCCAATGTCCATCAACAGATAAATGGATTAACAAATTTAGGGTGTGCACATTCAATGGAATATTATTAAATCATTAAAAATGAATAAAGTACTGATATGTGCTACAATGCCTTGAAGACATTATGCTAAGTAAAAGAAACCAGACACAAAAGACCACAATGCATGATTCAATTTATATGAAATTCCCAGAACAGATAAGTACAGAAACAATAGCAGACAGGGGTTGGAGGAAGGAGCATATGAGGAGTAAGTGCTTTATGAACAGTGTTTTATTTGGGGGTGATGAAAATAACAACTAGATATATGTTGTCTACAAGAGACTCACTTTACTTGGAGCCTAGAGGGTTGCAAGAATTCTGAACTTGGTCTTGGGTTCTCACTTCAAATAGCTCCTATTCATATTTCAAGTGCCCGTAGTCTCAACTACTTGGAGGCTGAGGCAGAAGGATGGCTTGAGCCCAGAAGTTCAAGGCCAACCTGAGCAACACAGTGAGACCCTGTCTCTAAAAAAGTAAACTTTAAAAAAACACCCACAATCCTGTGCCAGAAATAACTTCCAAGCAGCATGCACATACACTAATTCATTCATTTCATCAACAAATCCTTCATTCCTCCTCTCTGTACACAGACCCCATGCACTCCCCAATCTAACATCACAGACTCCGGAAATTCTGGAGTTTCTGCACAAGCTCTTAGAGAACACATTCTCTCCTATGTGAAACATCTATCTGTAACCCCATCCCATTATCCGTCCCAGACTCGTCATCCAGACATCTCAAGCTCCCTATCACACCATGCTCTGGTTTCATTCAAGACGGCATTCTGAGGCCCTCTGTAAATTCGCCCACCCCATCCCATATTCCTGCATTCATTTCCATTCATTCAAAAACAGCCCTTACTCTACGCTGGCCTGTGCAAGGCAAGGCGGAACAGGACTCCAACGTTCCTACCCGCGCTGCGCAGGCTCGCCTGCACTTCCACCCATGCCCCGCGCCCCTTTCGCTCCACAAGCTCCCAGGAACCGTCTGCTCCACCGACACCCAGAGCCTCGAGGCGCAGACTGTCTGACTCTCCATCCTGCCCGCCGGAGGAGGATGGCACCTCCGGGAGTGCAGGGGGCGCTGAGGCAGGAGTGGAGGAAACGCCACCTCTTGCCCGCGGCGCTGGAGCCTCCACGGTTGTCCGGCTCCCACAGCGGAAGGCCTGCCACGCACCCATCCTCCGAAGACCAGCGAACCCACCTTTACGCTCAGCTTCGCTGTCGGCGTCGCTCCCGAAGAGATCCTCCATATCCGCCATTATCGCTCACGTCCGCTGCTGCCTCGGTTAGGGGCAGCTCCCGGCCTCTCTTTACGGCACGGAACCACTGAAACACGACAGTGTCGCAAAGATTCGCCGAAGACACTCCTTTCCTTACGTGACCTAGTTTTCGCTCGCCCAGTGAACCTGTTCTCGCCTGGGTATGCATGGTATATAAGCCCGGCCATTTCGTCAATATCTGTTATTTGCCAGGATTCTTACCAGGGGGCGGGGGGGTCCTGCGTTCGGTTGCGGGTGTGGATGGGGTGGGCGGTGACTGGCGCTCTCTGGGGAAGGGCCTCTGGCTGGATTAAACCTATCGCGAGTCAGGATTGAAGCCCTTTGTTTCTTACTGAGCAGCTGTTCTCCAGTTATTTCATCCCAAACCCCTTTACCCTCTTAAAAATTGTTGAGACGGAGTCTCGCTCAGTCGCCCAGGCTGGAGTGCAGTGGCGCGATCTCGGCTCACAGCAACCTCCACTGTCCGGGTTCAAGCAATTCTAATTCCTCAGCCTCCCGAGTAGCTGGGACGACAGGCGCCCGCCACCACACCCGGCTAATTTTTTGTATTTTAGTAGACACGGGGTTTCACCGTGTTGCCCAGGCTGGTCGCAAACTCAGGAGCTCAGGCAATCCGCCCGCCTCGGCCTCCCAAAGTGCTGGGATTACAGGTACGGGTATTGATATTTACTGTATTCTTACTAATACGGTAATAAATTTTTAAGTTACTAATTCATTTAAAAATAATATACATGTTAACAAACAGCTTTTTTAAGCTTTAAATGACCATTTTTTTGGCCGGGCGCGGTCGCTCACGCCTGTAATCCCAGCACTTTGGGAGGCCGAGGCGGGTGGATCACGAGGTCAGGAGATCGAGACCATCCTGGCTAACACGGTGAAACCCCGTCTCTACTAAAATAAAAAAAATTAGCCGGGCGTGGTTGTGGGCGCCTGTCGTCCCAGCTACTAGGGAGGATGAGGCAGGAGAATGGCGTGAACCCAGGAGGCGGAGCTTGCAGTGAGCCGAGATCGCGCCACTGCACTCCAGCCTGGGCACGAGACTCCATCTCAAAAAAATAATAATAATAAAATAAAATAATTAAAAATAAAAACATTAGCCAGGCATGATGGCATGCATTTGTAGCCCTAGCTACTCAGGAAACTGAGAATGGAGGATCACTTGAGCCCAGGAGTTGGAGGCTGCAGTGAGCTATGATCACGCCACTTCACTCTAGCCTGAGTGACAGAGTAAGGCTCTGTTTCTTAGAAGAAAAAGTGAGAAAAGAGTACATCCTGTGTTACATTACCTAATTAGGCCATTATGAGAGTTTTGGTCTTGGACAAGCAACAATGAATATTTAGTTTGGAGATTATATGATATATATTTTTGTAGTAAACTTCAGTGCTTAACAGGGTCCAAATGGGTGGGACTGGGTATGTAATCATCAATCCTAGAGCTTTTGTGTATGAAGCGGATGTTGCAAGAGAAGATACATAGATAACCTGAAAACTATCTGGAATACTGGAAAAACAAGTATTCCATTTGACAGTGATTCAGTTTCATTTTCATTTAGAGTACTGTCCCTGAAAAGTACTTTGATTAAATTTATTTTCTTTTGATACAGTGTCTCTGTTGCCTAGGCTGGAGCGCAGTGGCGCCATCATAGCTCACTGCAGCCTCAAACTCCTGGCCTCAAGAGGTCCTCCTGCCTCGGCCTCCTAACACGTTGGGATTACAAGTATGGGCCACAGTGCCTGGCTAAATCTTAATAAATTGAATTACAGTTTGGTCTGGTGAGTCACCATGTCCATATTCCTGGCTATCAGAATAAACGTGTTTTTCCCATATGAATAGTATAAAACAAATCACTTCTGACTCTTGGACAGATTTTTTTGTTTATGTTTTGGCTACACTTTTTTTTTTTAAACAGAGTTTCGCTCTTGTTGCCCAGGCTGGAGTACAATGGCGTGATCTCAGCTCACTGCAACCTCCACCTCCCGGGTTCGAGTGATTCTCCTGCCTCAGCCTTCTGAGTAGCTGGGATTACAGGCATGCGCCACCATATCCGGTTAATTTTGTATTTTTAGTAGAGATGGGATTTCATCATGTTAGTCAGGCTGGTCTCAAACTCCTGACCTCAGGTGATCCACCCGCCTTGGCCTCCCAAAGTGATGGAATTACAGGCCTGAGCCACCGTGCCCAGCCTTGTTTTGGTTACACTTTATGCTGACCATTGCTCTTCTACTCATTATCTTTCTTCATAAAGGATATAATACATGAGATTGGACTTAAGGTAAATCAATCACAATCATTTTGCAGTATTTCTTACCTGAGGTTATCACTTTGATTGAAGTTTATTTTATTTTTAATACTTTTTTAAAAACTTAAAAAAATATATAGAAACAAGGTCTCACTATGTTGCCTAGACTGGTCTTGAATTCCTGGCCTCAAGTGATCCTCGTGTCTTGGCCTCCAAAAGTGTTGGAATTACAGGTGTAAGCCACTACACCCAGTTTGATTAAAGTTTACAGTGCTAAATAACTTCATTTACCCCCAGAGATGGAGAATTTAATCCTATTTGGTTTGTGTTCAACTAATTTAACTTTGAATGTTAAGATGATCTTGACAGGCCGGGCACGGTGGCTCACCCCTGTAATCCCAGCACTTTGGGAGGCCGAGGCAGGTGGATCACAAGGTCAGGAGATCGAGACCATCCTGGCTAACACAGTGACCCCGTCTCTACTAAAAATATTTAAAAAAAAGTTAGCAGGGCATGGTGACGGGCACCTGTAGTCCCAGCTACTGGGGAGGCTGAGGCAGGAGAATGGCATGAACCCAGGAGGCGGAGCTTGCAGTGAGCTGAGATCACGCCACTGCACCCGAGCCTGGGAGACAGAGCGAGACTCCGTCTCAAAAAAAAAAAAAAAAAAAAAAAGATGATCTTGACATTTGTTCCTAGGAATGGAGAATTTCTTTTTTCCCCCCCCGCAAGACAGAGTCTTGCTCTGTCACCCAGGCTGGAGTGCCGTGGCATGACCTTGGCTCACTGCAACCTCCGCCTCCCGGCTTCAAGTGATTCTCCTGTCTCAGCCTCCCAAGTAGCTGGGACTATAGGCATGCACCACCATGCCCAGCTAATTTTTGTATTTTTAGTAAAGACAGGGTTTCACCATGTTGGCCAGGCTGGTCTTGAATTCCTGACCTCAGGTGATCCATCCACCTCAACCTCCCAAATGCTGGGATTACTGGCGTCAGCCACCGCACCAGGCCTGAGAATTTCATCTATTAGGTGTGTGATTAAATAAAACAACTTCAGAGTGGCTTTATCTTCGTTCTTTCAGTTTTTGAAAGAACGTTCTGCTTTCATAAGGTGAAGCTAGATCCTCAGAATAATATCTTTTTAGATACCATAGAACCCGAAGAACAAAGATTCAATGAGGTTGAGTACATAACACAATACAATTAATGTATCATCACAAACATTTTTACAAGGTAATCAAAAAAATACTCAACAGGCCGGGCGCGGTGGCTCACGCCTGTAATCCCAGCACTTTGGGAGGCCAAGGCAGGTGGATCACGAGGTCAAGAGATCAAGACCATCCTGGCCAACATGGTGAAACCTCGTCTCTACTAAGAATACAAAAATTAGCTGGGTGGGGTGGCATGCACCTGTAGTCCCAGCTACTCAGGAGGCTGAGGCAGGAGAATCGCTTGAATCCGGGAGGCGGAGGTTGCAGTGAGCCAAGATCGCGCCACTGCACTCAAGCCTGGAGACAGAGCAAGACTCCGTCTAAAAAAAAAAAGTATAAAATATATACTTACACCAAATCACACAAAAAGGAATATATGTTTTTAAATTTGTGTAACACCTTAACGACTTAGAGGAAAAATAACAGATTGATTAAACAGAATATATTCACTGAAAATTCACTCCATTTATGGTAAACTGCCACTCCACAGGAGGATCATGTGGCTTTTCTGAGCACTTTGTGGAAGGAGTTGGCCTTTAGAAGGGAACAGGCTGATCTGAATTAAAGAGAGCAAGAGAGGAACCTTGTAGTTTCTCTCTATAGCAGTAAGTAAATACTCAGCTGATTTCTTGGAAGACACATGATATTCACTAACAGTCTGCCTTTACTGGATTCCTTACTGAATTACTGAATTAGGGTCCCACAATGGGTGCTATAGGGATATAAAAATAATGACAAACATATTTCTTCATATAAAAGAGTTTGGGGGGCTGGACACGGTGGCTCACGCCTGTAATCCCAGCACTTTGGGAGGCCGAGGCGGGCGGATCACGAGGTCAGGAAAGCAAGACCATCCTGGCTAACACGGTGAAACCCCATCTGTACTAAAAATATAAAAAATTTGCCGGGCGTGGTGGCACATGCCTGTAGTCCCAGCTACTCGGGAGGCTGAGGCAGAAGAATCGCTTGAACCCGGGAGGCAGAGGTTGCAGTGAGCTGAGATCGTGCCACTGCACTCCAGCCTGGGTGACAAAGCGAGACTCCCATCTCAAAAAAAAAAAAAAAAAAAAGAAGTTAATTATAAACTATGTAGAGGTACTAAAAATTGAAAGCCAGAAAATGATCAGTGAAGATGGGGGTTAGTCAGGAAAGGTTTCTTAGGAAGATTCAAACTATATTAATGAAGTGACCAGAGGGAACGCAGTTATTGAGACATAAAATTGAGCAGAACGTAAAACTCAAACAAGAACATTGACCAGCTTATCAAATTCATTCCCTGATTCACTATAAAATTTCAGAACACTGGGGATTAAAAAAAAAATTCTAAAAGTTTCTAGAGAGAAAAATCTGCTGGCATATGAAGAATCTGGAATTAAAATGTTGTCAGATTTCTAAACAATTCTGAGAGTTAGAACTATGTGGAATTGTCTTTAAAATCCTGAAGGAGGCCGGGTGTGGTGGCTCACACCTATAATCTCAGCACGTTGGGAGGCCGAGGCAGGCGGATCATGAAGTCAGGAGTTCAAGACCAGCCTGACCAAAATGGTGAAACCCCATCTCTACTAAAAATACAAAAATTAGCCGGGCTTGGCGGTCGCACTCCTGTAATCTCAGCTACTCAGGAAGCTGAAGCAGGAGAATCGCTTCAACCCGGGAGGCGGAGGATGCAGGAGCCTAGATTAAGCCACTGCTCTCCAGCCTGGGAGATAGAGCAAGACTCTGTCTCAAAAAAATAAATTAATAAAATAAAATTCTGAAGGAAAATTATCCATCCTAGAATTATTATTATTATTTTTGGGGGAAGGGGGATGGAGTCTCTCTCTGTTGCCCAGGCTGGAGTGCAGTGGTACGATCTTGGCTCACTGCAACCTCTGCCTCCCAGGTTCTACAATTCTCCTGCCTCAGCCTCCCGAGTAGCTGGGATTACAGGTGCACACCACCACGCCCGGCTAATTTTTTGTATTTTGGTAGAGACGGGATTTCACCATATTGTCCAGGCTGGTCTCGAGCTCCTGAGCTCAGGCAATCCATCCACCTTGGCCTCACTAAGTGCTAGGATTACAGACGTGAGCCACTGCGCCCGGCCGATCCATCTTAGAATTCTGTACTCACCAAACTATCATTAAATAAAGGAAAGAGTAATGGTATCCGAAGGAAACTAGCCTCTATGTATGCAGTGCAACTACCCTGAGGCTCCATGCTGTGAAAAAGCCCAAAGGAGGCCACACAGGGAGACCAAATGAAGAGAGATGCCAGGCCAACCCCCATCTGTTATCGCCCTCCTACAGTTCCTACTCCAGCCTCCATTTATTTTGTTGTTGTTGTTTTGTTTTGTTTGAGACAAAGTCTCCCTCTGTCACCCAGGCTGGAGGTCAAGTGGTGTGATTACAGCTCACTGCAGCCTTGAACTCCTGGGCTCAACTGATCCTCCCACCTCGGCCTCCTGAGTAGCCGGGATTACAGGCATGTGCCACTGTACCTGGCTAACTTTTTATTTTTTTGTAGAGACAGGGTCTCACTATGTTGCTCAGAATGACTTCGAACTCCTGGCCTCAAGCGATCCTCCCACCTTGGCCTCCTAAAGTACTGGGATTATAGGAACAAGACACCATACCTGGCCCCAGCCACCATTTGGATGCCACCTCAGTGAAGGAGCCCAGGCCACAAGTGCCCAGCTGAGCCTTTCCTCAATTGTCTCAGAGTAACCAGGAGACCATAAATGGGTGCTGTGGCATAGTACACTAAGTTTTGAGGTATTTTGTTATGCAGCCTTAGCAACTGGTAAGGTTGCTCAAATATTTTACAGTCTATGAATTGTCCACCAAAATGAGGTGGTCCACTAAACCAAGGAAGAGAAAAGCTGTTGAGATAGGAAAACCAACAATGGAAAGAAGCAAAAGGAATTACTGATGACAGTTTAATTTTTTTTTTTTTGTAACAGAGTCCTGCTCTGTCGCCCAAGCTGGAGTACAGTGGTGTAATCTCAGCTCACTGCAGCCTCCGTCTCCTGGGTTCAAGTGATTCTCCTGCCTCAGCCTCCCGACTAGCTGGGCTTAGAGGCACACACCACCATACCCAGCTAATTTTTTGTATTTTTAGTAGAGACAGGGTTTTGGGATGTTGGCCAGGCTGGTCTCAAACTCCTGACCTCAGGTGATCCACCGGCCTTGGCCTCCCAGTATGCTGGGATTCCAGGCGTGAGCCACCATGCCCAGATTTCAAAAAGGTAATACGGTATCTAAACTCTATTACCACACCCAGCAGGGGCTGACCAGCATCCTATAATCAAAATTAAATTTCTATAGTAAAATGTATGAAAATTCAAACTAAGAGTGATAAAGTTTAAATAGGTTTAGATCAGTTTGGGTCAGCATTTGCCACCAAAATGAGTTATGAAAGTACGCTCAATTTCAGAGATTTTTTGGGGGGATTACCTTATAACCCCATTAAAAAAACAAAACAAGAAAAAAACTTTTAAAAGAAAACAATTTCAGAGATTTTTGGATTTCAGAATTTTGAAAAAGGGATTGTGGACTAGAACTAACTTATTCCATTTTCACAACAACCCTATAACATAGATTACATTACATTCCTCCCATTTTACATGTCAAGAATTTGAAGGGGCCAAGCATGGTGGTTCACACCGATAACCCCAACACTTTGGGAGGCCAAGGTGGGCAGATCGTTTGAGTCCAGGAGTTCAAGACCAGCCTGGGCAACATAGTGAGACCTGGTCACAAAAAAATTAGCCAGGAATAGTGGCTCACCCCTGTAGTCCCAGCTACTTGGGAGGCTGAGGCATGAGGATCATTTGAGGCTGGGAAGTCAAGGCTGCAGTGAGCCATGATCATGCCACTGCACCCCAGCCGGGGTGACAGAGTGAGACCTTGAAAAAAAAAAGAGAGAAAGAAAGGAAGGAAGGGAGGGAGGGAGGGAAGGAAGAGAAGGAAGGAAAGGAAGGAAGGAAGGAGGGAAAAGAGAAAGAAGGAAAGAAGAAAGAAAAAAAGAGAAAGAAAAGGAAGGAAGGAAGGAAAGAAAGAGAAAGAAAGAAAGGGAGAAGGAAGAACAGAGAAGCTAAGAAACTTTGCCCTAAGCTACACAGCTAAGAAGACTTGCTCAGACATAATAACATAAACATATTTTCAGTTTAGTAGGATTATTTGACTTTTAAAACTTAACACCACACACTAATAATTTTAGTAAAGAATATTTTATTTCCAAGATACATGGTAAGGAGGAGGAAAAAACATTCTGAATAATATTTATATAAAGCTACCATTAAAATTTAAATATAGGCTGGGCATGGTGGCTCATGCCTGTAATCCTAGCACTTTGGGAGGCCAAGGTGGGCGGATTACTTGAGCTTAGGAGTTTGAGACCAACTTGGGAAATAAGGCGAAACCCCATCACTACGAAAAATACTAAAATTAACTGGATGTGGTGACATGTGCCTGTAGTCCCAGCTACTTGGAAGACTGAGATGGGAGGATCACTTGAGCCTGGGAGGTCGAGAGTATAATAAGGCAGAGATTGCGCCACTGCACTCCAGCCTGGGTGACAAAGTGAGACCCTGTCTCCAAAAAATAAAAGTAAAAAAATGTGAATATGTGTGTGTGTCTAGCATGTAAACAGAGAGACTGTTGCTGGAAGACTGCATCAGAAGCTGGACCCAGTGCTTGCCTCCAAGAGAAGGAGCTAGAAAACTGGAGGAGAGAAGAGAAACATTACTTTACACTCTGTACCTTTTGAATTTTGTACCAAATGAGCATATTCAAAATTAAAATTAGAAGTAGAAGGGCCGGGCGCGGTGGCTCACACCTGTAATCCCAGTGATTTGGGAGGCCAAGGTGGGCAGATCACCTGAGGTCAGGAATTCAAGGCTAACCTGGCCAACATGGTGAAACCCCATCTCTACTAAAAATACAAAAATTAGCCGGGCGTGGTGGCGGGCACCTGTAATCCCAGCTACTTGGGAGGCTGAGGCAGGAGAATCACTTGAACCTGGGAGGCAGATGTTGTGGTGAGCCGAGACCACTCCATTGCACTCCAGCCTGGGTGACAAGAACAAAACTGTCTTAAAAAAAAAAAAGAAAAAAAAATGTGGATACCAAAATGTCAGTAGTGTTTAGTTAACTCTGGATGCTGAGATTTTATTTTTTTGTTCATTTTAATATTTTCTAGGGTTTCCACAATGAACATGTATTTGTTTTAGAATAAGCAGGAAAAAACCTTTGTTTAGGTAGCATATCCTTTGTTGAACTACAATTTTCCTACCAGTTTGGTATCTAGGATGCATAATACATCATAAACTGGGCATCACATTAGTTGCCTCAAGTATTTTTTTGTGTGTTTGGAGCTATTTACCAGTTGGAATTACAGAAGCTATTTTTTTTAGACAGAGTCTTGCTCTGTTGCCCAGACTGGAGTGCAGTGGCAGAATCTTGGCTCACTGCAACCTCCACCTCCTGGGTTCAAGCGACTCTCCTGCCTCAGCCTCCCCAGTAGCTGGGACTACAGGCGCATACCACCACGCCCAGCTAAATTTTATATTTTTTAGTAGAGATGGGGTTTCACCATGTTGGCCAGGTTAGCCTTGAACTCCTGACCTCAGGTGGTCCGCCCACCTCAGCCTCCCAGAGTGTTGGGATTACAGGCATGAGCCACCGCACCCAGCCACAAAAGCTATTTCAACGTAGAGCTGATTACCTCATGGAAGCATTTGCAGGGTATCCAGAAAAAGACAGAAAACATACTTCCCATAATTAAATGTAAGCTGTTTTCTAAAATGATAGCAAACCCCTTTCCTGAACCTCTTTCCTCCACCACCATTAATCTAACTTGCTTTTTATAAGATTCAAGTGTCATCTCCAAAGCACTAGTATATAAATTACTCCCTATACAAATGAGAGTTTGGACATGCAAATATAAGCTTGGAAAAGGTTCCAATATGCTTCCTATGAAAATTCAGACTTATCGGCCGGGTGCGGTGGCTCATGCCTGTAATCCCAGCACTTTGGGAGGCCGAGGCCAGCGGAACATGAGGTCAGGAGATCAAGACCATCCTGGCTAACACGGTGAAACCCCGTCTCTACTAAAAATACAAAAAATTAGCCGCGTGTGGTGGCGGGCGCCTGTAGTCCCAGCTACTCCGGAGGCTGAGGCAGGAGAATGGCATGAATGGGAGGCCGAAGCTTGCAGTGAGCCGAGATCGTGCCACTGCAGTCCAGCCTGGGTGACAGAGCGAGACTCCGTCTCAAAAAAAAAAAAGAAAAAGAAAAAAAAGAAAATTCAGACTTATGTGAAGAAAAAAAGAACAGAATAAAGGTAATGAGTCAGAAATTATTTCTTAGGACAGAAGCAAAGTTTGTCCTTTTGGAACCTTTTAAATATAGGGTTGGGTTTAGGAACCCGCTTCCTGGAATAGATAGACTTTAGACTCCTTCCTGAAGCTTGAGGGTTACCAGAGAGCTATGTCCTAAAAAGACCTTTGCAGCAGGCAGGATGAGGTCAGCGTACTCAACACCAGAGCAGGAACAACTACTGGAGGAAAGAATCAGAAGGAACAAAGAAAGGAGGATGGGGTACGGAGGGTGCTGTGGGTGTTAGTGGAGGAAGCTGAATAAGAAAAACGATATGCAGAAAAGATATCAAAGAAACTGAAAATGAGAAGTATAAGGAAGGAAAGAAAGGACGGAAAAAAATAGATTAAGAATACAAAGGGAAAGGAGTGACAGAAGGGGATGGAAAAATAATTTTTTAAGGCACATAATAAAATAGTACTGAGGTGGGGAAATATTGAAACAAAAATGTGAAAACATCCCAACAGCACAAACACAGAGACAGAGAGAAACATCAGGAAATGTAGACTTCCCTGCCAACCAAAATTTTACAAATAGAAAGGAACCACTAAAACAGATCCGGCTCAAACACAAAGCAAAACTGAAAATTTCACTTTACAGCAAAACTGCTCTGATTAGATCTTTCACTGGATTTCCTTATCCAACTGGCTGATTTAGAATCGTGTGAGAACACAGCATAACTGCAGAGATACTATCTCGTCGGCGGGTGGGGACTGCTGGCACGCAGGCTGCATCTGGCCCTCAGTATATTTCATCTCACCCACAGAGGACTACCAAGAGGAGATAATGCTGAATTTCATGCTTGCAATGGCAAAAAAGCATTGCAGTATTAACATCCTTAACAGTAATATGGCAAAAGGCCACAAGATGGTGATGGTATACCCTAAAGAGATCTCAATCATATGTAAAATGAGGTACACACACATACACACTCACACATACACTATACACTTACTAATTTTTCTTTAGAAAGAAAATGTCCTGTGTTGGTGGTGGTGAAGGAGGTCTTAGATAAGAGGAGACTTGAAGAATACTGCCTTTAGATAGCAATCAAAACACTTCTTATGATAAAATGAGGCAGTGTTTTTTCGTGTTTTTCCCAAGTAAAAAAAAATAAAAAAGGTATTTTTCAGACTAGAAAACACTAAGAAAATATTTTTCAACTATAGGCACTCTGATTTGTATGCATCTGCTGATAAAGTAATCATTTATATAAAGTAACTGTTACCTTTTAAGGAAATTTTTAAATTTTTTCTTGGGCTCCATAAGATGAAATTTCCCTAAAGAATCCAGTGAAGATTTTACTTCCTTGACTGCAGTTTATTTCCTTACTCAATGAGGAAATGACAGGCAGGATTAATTCCTTTCTTTAAATGGGTGTGACATTTTAGGTTAATCATGATTCATAGTGATGTATGGATAAGTTTAACTTTCAGATGTGCAAACACACATGTACACACTTTTTATCTGCTACTTAACACAAAATCAAAATTTGGGTAGGAAAATGGGTTAGAATCCTGGGCCTAAAATGTCAGAAAGAAGTAACTAATAGGAAAACAGCCAAAAAATATCCCAGGGTCATAAATTTCTATTTGCAAAAACAATATTAACCTTTAGAATTTTTTTTTAGGTTGGGCGTGGTGCCTCATGCCTGTAATCCCAGCACTTTGGGAGGCCAAGGTGGGCAGATCACCTGAGGTCGGGAGTTCGAGACCAGCCTGACCAACATGGAGAAACCCCGTATGTACTAAAAATACAAAATTAGCTGGAAGTGGTGGCCTGTAATCCCAGCTACTCAGAGGCTGAGGCAGGAGAATCACTTGGACCCAGGAGGCGGAGGATGCAGTGAGCAGAGATCACGCCATTGCACTCCAGCCTGGGCAACAACAGCGAAACTCCGTCTCAAAACAAGCAAACAAAAAACGACAACAACAAAAAAAAACAGGACAACAGGGCTGATGTGGTGGCTCTTGCTTGGAATCCCAGCACTTTGGGAGGCCTAGGTGGGTGGATTGCTTGAGCCCAGCAGTTGGAGACCAGCCTGGGCAACATACCAAGACACTGTCTCTATAAAAAAATTTAAAAATTAGCTGGCATGGCACATGCCTGTAGTCCCAGCTACTTTGGAGGTTGAGGTGGGAGGATCACTTGAGCCTGGGAGGTTGAGGATGCAGTGAGCCATGATCATGCCACTGCACTCCAGCCTAGGTGACAGAGCAAGATTTTAATAATAATTATTACTAAAATAATAATAAGACAGCCTTTTGAAAGGGCAATTTGGTATTATCTATCTAAACTGTAAATGGCTATACTCTTTGATTAAATATTTCCATGTCTAAGTTCAAGGCTGCAGTGAACTATGATTATGCCACTTCACTCTAGTCTGGGTGAAAGAGCAAGATACTGTCTCATTAAAAAAAAAAAATCCAGTCTAGAAATTGATGTTAAGAAAGTAATTTGACAGATGTGCAAATAGATGAAAAAAAATCACCAAAACTTTGTTTATAATAGCCAGAAATTGGAACCCATCAAAACACCCATCAATAGAGAATTGTTCAAATAAATTATAATGATGCAGTTACACAGTGGAATACTAAGTAGCAAATAAAAAGGATTAGGTTGATGAATGTGTATTGAAGAAAGGAGCATCATATATTGTTGAATCACTAAAGCCAGTTAGGAAACTGGATGTTTTCTATGTTTTCAGAAACAAATTTTTTTTCTGAGATGGAGTTTCGCTCTGTCGCCCAGGCTGGAGTACAGTGACACAATCTCGGCTCACTGCAAGCTCCGCCTTCCGGGTTCACGCCATTCTCCTGCCTCAGCCGCCCGAGTAGCTGGGACTACAGGCGCCTGCCAACACGCCGGCTAATTTTTTTTTTTTTTTTTTTTTTTTTTTTTGTATTTTTAGTACAGACAGGGTTTCACCGTGTTAGCCAGGATGGTCTTGATCTCCTGACCTCGTGATCCGCCCGCCTCAGCCTCCCAAAGTGCTGGGATTACAGGCATGAGCCACCGTGCCCGGCCAGAAACAAATATTTAAATATGCAGTAAATGTCTAGGAGGATGTGTACAGTGATGCGCTAGTAAAAGCTTAACAACCAGTTCTCCGGGGGGGAAGAAAAGCCCTGATATGTGGTGTTTGCTAATTTCATGGTGCAAATATTCCTGCCATGGCTGATTTCAAGCTGTCAATGTATAGTTATTGTACACACTTGGGAAGAGATCTACACAATCAGCTTAAATGGGCTAGTGCAGGCAGGATGCAGCACAGCTCTATATCTCTGGGAAGTGAGATTATGGGAAGACTGTCATGTTCCACTTTATATACTTCTGTGAGTTTGTTTTGTTTTTTGTTTCGCACTTTTGCAATGAAATTGTATCACTACTATAATCAACAAGAAGAATAAAAATATTAACTTAAAAACCAAAGATTTTTAAAAGACTGTTCAAAGTCATGGGAAGATGCTTATAACATATTGCCAGGCAAAAATTGTTGACTGAGTGTGGTGGCTTACAACTTTGGAAGGATGAGGTGGGAGGATCACTTGAGCCCAGGAGTTGTAGACCACGCTGGGGAACATAGTGAGACCCAATCTCTATATAAAATTTTTTTAATTAGCTGGGTGTGGTGGCATGCACCTGTAGTCCCAACTACTCAGGAGGCTGAGGCAGGAGGAGTGCTTTAGTCCAGGAGTTCCAGGCTACCATGAGCCACAATCACACAACTGCACTCCAGCCTGGGTGACAGAGTGAGACCCCATCTTTAATAAATAAAATAAAATATTGTATATCATGGTCAGGCACGGTGGCTCACATCTACAATCCCAACACTTTGGGAGGCCGAGGTGGGCAGATCACTTGAGGTCAGAAGTTTGAGACCAGCCTGACCAACATGGCGAAACCCCATATCTACTAAAAATACAAAAATTAGCTGGGTGTGGTGGCGCATGCTTGTAATCCCAGCTACTCAGGAGGCTGAGGCAGGAGAATTTCTTGAACCTGGGAGATGGAGGTTGCAGTGAGCTGAGATTGCACCATTGCACTCCAACCTGGGTGACAGAGCGACACTGTCTCAAAAAAACAAAAAACAAAAAACCCGGCCAGGCGCAGTGGCTCACGCCTGTAATCCTAACACTTTGGGAGGCCGAGGCGGGCAGATCACAAGGTCAGGACATCAAGACCATCCTGGCTAACACGGTGAAACCCCGTCTTTACTAAAAATACAAAAAATTAGCCCGGCATGGTGGTGGGCGCCTGTACTCCCAGCTACTCGGGAGGCTGAGGCAGGCGAATAGCGTGAACCCAGGAGGCGGAGCTTGCAGTGAGCCGAGATCGCTCCACTGCACTCCAGCCTGGGCGACAGAGTGAGACTCCGTCTCAAAAAAAAAACAAAAAACAACGACAAAAAAATTGTATGTCACTGTATTAGTCTGTTCTCACACTATTATAAAGAACTACCCAAGACTGGGTAATTTATGAAGAAAAGAGGTTTAATTGACTCACAGTTCTGCAGGCTGTACAGGAAGCATGGCTGGGAGGCCTCAGGAAACTTACAATCATGATGGAGAAGCCGAAAAAGTGAAGGGGGAAGTGCTACATACTTTTAAACAACCAGATTTCATGAGAACTTACTAATTGTCATGAGAACAGCAAGAAGAAAATCCACTCCCATGATCCAATCACCTCCTATCAGGTCCCCGCCAACATTGGGGATTACAATTCAACATGAGATTTGGGTGGGGACACAGAACCAAACCATATCAGTCACAAAGCAGTATTTTGGATTATCCCAATTTCGTTTTTTTTTTAAGTATATGTATGTTCATACAGTTGCACAAGAAAATGTCTGAAAGGACATAAGCCAAAATGTACATGGAGTTTGCAGCTGAGTGACAGAATTTTGGGTGATTTTTATTTTTTGTTTGACTTTTCAATATTTTCCATGTTTTCTACAAATGCTTTTATAATTATGTAATGCTTTTGTAATCAAAAAAGACATCGTTGTATTCAAAATACCATTTTAGCCTCACTGTCACTGCTTAGGAAGCAATTTCTTCCCTTTTCAGCCACTAGTACCATAATTAGAGCATATGACTATCTTAAAATATGGATGAATTCACTCTTTTATATTTTCCCCTCTCAAAGGTGAAAGAGCGAATTCTGTTTTCATTTATGTGGCCCAAGATCTTGAAATAATAGAAAAAAGTTCTCAATCCCCAATTCCATCAGCTGCTGCCATAGTCCCTACCCATATTTTTGCCCAGACTATTATGACAGCCCTTTACTCCCTCTGTTGCCATTTCTCCCCTCAGTACAGCTCAAAATGAATTAGAAAGGATTAGGGACATCTATGTGCATGTTGCCAAAAGATAATCATCTTAAAATATGGCTTCTATTTAATTTTGCTCAAAGTCTTTAATGGCAGTTTGCAAAAAAAGTATTTACAGCATGATTCCACTGCTGTAATATTTATAAAAACGTATTACCATATGCACAGAAAAAAATCTGGACTATTTCAACTTGTTAGCAAAGCTTTTCTCTGGGAGTACTGGAGATTATGGGAGAATTTTGCATTCTAATTTTTATGTTTCTGAAATGTTTTAAGAAAAGTCTAGATTACTTTTATAATGCAAAAAGAAATCGAACTGAGGAGGGAATTCTTAACCAAATTTCCACTGCCCCAAGAATAAAATCTGAAGTCCTCTCCTTTTGTTCAGATGCCTACCTTTAAAATCCACCTATTCAGGCTGGGCACTGTGGCTCCCACCTGTAATCCCAGCACTTTGGGAGGCCAAGGCGGCAGATCACTTGAGGTCAGGAGTTCAAGACCAGCCTGGCCAACATGGTGAAACGTCGTCTCTACTAAAAATACAAAAATTAACCGGGCATGGTGGCGTGCACCTGTAGTTCCAGCTACTTGGGAGGCTGAGGTGGGAGAATTGCTTGAACCTAGTGTGGGGTCGGTGGGGAGCAGAGGTTACAGTGAGCTGAGACTGCACCACTGCACTCCAGCCTGGGTGATAGAGTGAGACTCTGCCTCAAAAAAAATAAAATCTACATACTCAGTAAAACCAACCCAGTACCCTCCAGTCCCCTCACAGATTATCCACTTTCCTGAATTTTTACTGCTCTTTTTGACTTTGGCACTTACTCGTAGATTTGATCACACAATGGCTCATAGTACTTTTTTTTTTTTTTTTTTTTGAGATGGAGTTTCACTCTTACCACCCAGGCTGGAGTGCAATGGTGCGATCTTGGCTCACTGCAACCTCCTCCTCCCGGGTTCAAGTGATTCTCCTGCCTCAGCTTCTGGAATAGCTGGGATTACAGGCGCACGCCACCACACCTGGCTAATTTTTGTATTTTTAGTAGAGACAGAGTTTCCTCATGTTGGCCAGGCTGTTCTTGAACTCCTGACCTCAGGTAGTCTGCCCGCCTTGGCCTCCCAAAGTGCTAGGATTACAGGCGTGTGGCTCATAGTACTATGTAAACTGTTTCCCAAATAATTTACAGATGTGTAAGGATGAAGTTTATGTTTATTTTTTATGTTTCTCCAAGGTACCTAAACAATTTCAGACCCATAGCTGATGGCCACTAAATGTTTATTAAATTGGTTTGAAATCCAACATCTAAGGAAACTGAAAAGAATATGAAAGGTTATTTTCTTAGAGATACCCACAGAGAAAACCTATTAGGAAAAAAAGAAAGAATAAAATGGGAGTTTTAATACATATATAGGCTAAAAAAGGAGAGGAGAAAAAGAAAAGATAGAAACATTTGAGAAATGAGATACTGTATTAGTTTCCTGTATTTGTTATATAAGCCACCATAACAAATTACTGCAAACTCGGTGGCTTTAGAGCAACAGAAATGAGCCAGGAGTGGTGGCTCAAGCTTGTAATCCCAGCACTTTGGGAGGCCACGGCGGGTGGGTCACAAGGGCAGGAGTTCAAGACCAGCCTGGCCAACATTATGAAACCCTGTCTCTACTAAAAATACAAAAATTAGCCGGGTGTGGTGGCAAGCACCTGTAGTCCCAGCTACTCGGGAGGCTGAGGCAGGGGAATTGCTTGAACCCGGGAGGCAGAGGTTGCAATGAGCCAAGGCCACACCATTGCACTCCAGCTTGGGCAACAGAGTGAGACTCTGGGCAAAAAAAAAATACACACACACACACACACACACACAAAACCAGAAATGTATTCCTTTGCAGTTCTAGAGACCAGAAGTTAGTTCATCAGTATCACTGGGTCAAATAAAGGTGTCAGCAGGGCTGTGATCCCTCCAGAGGCTCTGGAATAAGTTAATTGCCTCCTTCAGCCTCTGGTGGCTGTTGAGCACTCCTTGGCTTGTGGAGTGCTCGAATCCCTGCATCTGTGGTCACATTGCCTTCTCCTTGTCTATCAAATTTCCCTTTGCCTCCGTCTTCTAAGGACATATGTAATTCCAGTTAGGGCCCACCAAATAATACAGGATAATCACTCCATCTCAAAATCCATAATTTTTTTTTTTTTTTTTTGAGATGGAGTCTCACTCTGTTGCCTAGGCTGGAGTACAATGGCATGATCTTGGCTCACTGTAACCTCTGCTTTCCGGGTTCAAGCAATTCTCCCACCTCAGCCTCCCAAGTAGCTGGGATTATAGGCACCCGTCATCATGCCCTGCTAATTTTTGTATTTTTGTAGAGACCGGATTTCAACATGTTAGCCAGGCTGGTCTTGAACTCCTGACATCAGTTGATCCGCCCGCCTCAGCCTCCCAAAGTGCCGAGATTACAGGCACCCGGCCTCAAAATCCACAATGTAACATCCATTTTTGCCATATATGGTAACAGTCACAGATTCCAGGGATTAAGACATGGATAGCTTTTGGGGGGATATAAATAGTCTACCATAGGCAATTGCCAGTAAGAGTTTCTGTTAATACACAGGAGAGCTTCTTCATGGTCCCCAACCCTTCTTTCTTCACTCAGTTCTTTCTATTTCAAGTCCCCTTATATGAACAGAAGCTTAAAATATTTATTATTTTTTATTTTTTTAGAGACAGGATCTCACTCTGTTGCCCAGGCTGGAGTGCAATGGGGCAATCACTACTCACTGTAACCTCAACGCCCTGGGCTCAAGCAGTCCTCCTGCCTCAGTCTCCCAACTAGCTAGGACTACAGGCATGTGCCACCATACCTGGCTAATTTTTATTTTTTATTTTTGTAGAGAAAGGGTCTCTCTGTGTTGCCCAGGCTGGTCTCGAATGCTTGGCCTCAAGCGATCCTCCCACCTCAGCTTCCTGAATTGGTGGGATTACAGGCATGAGCCATCACACCCAGTTTAAAATTATTTAAACTGCCAACTTGAATAATTTGTCTAGCAATGTCTAGCAGGCTACTAGAGACAAATACAAGTCTAAAAGCAGTAGAACCAAGCATGAGGAAAAGAACACCAAAAGTCCATTGTTTTGGCTACTAAACACAGCAAGATTAATAGGAACAGCCTGAACAAGTGAAGCACTCTAAAACTAATTTGGTGAAATCATTCATTGCACATCTGTGGTGTGCTGTTATCCTAAGGCTTGTGAGAAGGATACAAAGAAGTTAGAAGACACCTCTGAGTCAAAGTGTTTACTGTCTAATGATTTAGTGCAAAAGGTTGCACTAAAGAGTTAATAGGGAAAAAAATACAACAAAGTAGCCTAGATTTTCGATAATGCCCAACTTTGGAACAGATTATGCAAATCCATGCTAAGGCCAACACAAAAGAAGCAGGTTGATCTCCTGCTGTAGTTACATAATTGCTATGGGCAGTGAGAAATTGGGGCCATCTCTCTGCAGATAAAAATATGATTGCATTCAATATGCAAAGTAGTGCATATATTGTAGCGAAAAAGAGAAAATGTCAATATTTCATAACTTTAAAAGTTAGAATGGTATATGATTTGGGCAGGATAAAAATATGGGCTTATGGCTGGGCGCAGTGGCTCATGCCTGTAATCCCAGTGCTTTCGGAGGCCGAGGCAGGCGGATCACCTGAGGTTGGGAGTTCGAGACCAGCCTGACCAACATGGAGAAACCGTGTCTCTACTAAAAATACAAAATTAGGCCAGGCGCAGTGGCTCACGCCTGTAATCCCAGCATTTTGGGAGGCCAAGGCAGGCGGATCACGAGGTCGGGAGATCGAGACCATTCTGGCTAACACAGTGAAATCCTGTCTCTACTAAAAGTACGAAAACAAAATTAGCCAGGCATGGTGGCGGGCGCCTGTAGTCCCGGCTACTCGGGAGGCTGAGGCGGGAGAATGGCATGAACTCGGGAGGCGGAACTTGCAGTGAGCCGAGATCTGGCCACTCCACTGCAGCCTGGGCGACAGAGCAAGACTCTGTCTCAAAACAAACAAACAAACAAACAAAATTAGTCGGGTGTGAGGGCACATGCCTGTAATCCTAGCTACTCAGGAGGCTGAGGTAGGAGAATCACTTGAACCCAGGAAGAGGAGGTTGCTGTGACCCGGCATTGCACCACTGCACTCCAGCCTGGGCAACAAGAGCGAAATTCCATCTCAAAAAGAAATATATATATATACACACACACACACACACACACACACACACACATATATATATGTATATGTATATATGTACATATGTATATATATGTGTATATATGTGTGTATATATAGGCTTACATAGGCAAATATGAATTTATGTTGAGACTAGATTTTATCTCTTGGTACTAATATAACCCGAGGCATCATGTTGGCAAAAAGACAAACACCTTCACTTTGCTGTCCTTTAGATGAGAAAAGTAAACACCTTTCTCTTCTATGAGATAGAAAATTTAGGTCTCATGCCAGAAAGGACTACTAGGAAGTTGAATTGTTCTGGAAAGTGTATCACATAACGAGAAATTAATACAAAGTATATAAACTTTTATTACATAACGCGACAAATGTATTTAGAGCCTCTACTGTGTGCAAGGCCTCCAGGGAGTGAAGACATGAAAAAGAAATGGTACCAGTCTCCAGGGAACTAGTTTCTAGTTTCCTAAGAATGGTAATTAGAATATAAATCAGAAAAGGCTATGTCATAGATACATACACAGTTCTCTGAGGGTCTAGGGTTGCCGACATCGGCAAAGGCTTTAGGTAGGACATAGTGTCTGAAGTGTGACTTGAACGATATGTAGGTCAAAGGACCTGTGGAGATGCAGTGGGAGGATGGGCCAGGTAGAAGAATCCGGCACAGAGCTTGGAGAACAGCTTGGAGCACATTTGAGGATAAGTGAATAATCCATTCTTACTGAGATCTGGGTTTATATAGCTTTAGGACATTTGAAGTATCTTTGTATAGGAAAAAGTCTAGGAGAAAATTCGAGGCAACTAAGTATTTATTTATCTATTATTTTTTGGAGACTGGGTCTCGCTCTGTCACCCAGGCTGGAGTGCAGTGGCTTGATCACAGTTCACTGCAGCCTCGACATCCCAGGCTCCAGTGATCCTCCCACCTCAGACTCCTGAGTAGCTGGGGCTATAAGCGCACACCACCACGCTTGGCTCGTTGTTTGTATTTTTTGTAGAGACAGGGTTTTGCCATGTTGCACAGGCTGGTCTTGAACTCCTGGTCTCAAGTGATCTGCCTATCTCAGCCTCCCAAAGTGGTGGGCTTACAGGCATGAGCCACCGCACCCGGCTGTCCCTCATTTATCTATCTATCTATCTATCTATCTATATATATATATATTTTTTTTTTTTTTGAGACAGAGTCTCGCACTCTAGCCCAGGCTGGAGTGCAGTGGTGCGATCTCGGCTCACTGCAAGCTCTGCCTCCCAGGTTCACACCATTCTCCTGCCTCAGCCTCCCGGGTAGCTGGAACTACAGGTGCACGCCACCACATCTGGCTAATTTTTTGCATTTTTTTTAGTAGAGACGGGGTTTCACCATGTTAGCCAGGATGGTCTCGATCTTCTGACCTTGCGATCCACCCACCTCGGCCTCCCAAAGAGCTGGGATTACAAGCGTGAGCCACCACGCACAGCCAAGCCGTCCCCCATTTTAGATGCCAATCACAAGTCCCAGGTTCTGACCTGTACTTCTGACCCATCAGCTATAAAGTGGGGTTTCCATGACTCTCTCCTTGGGTTCAATTAGTTTGCTAGAGTGGCTCAAAGACTCAGGGAAATGCTTTTTACTTATGTTTACCAATTTATCGCCTAAAGAATATCACAAAGGATACGGATGGATGAACAGTCGGATGGAGGAGATGCATAGGGCAAGGTATGGAAGAAGGGGTGTAGGACTTCCATGCCGCCTCTGGGAGCACCTCCCTCCAGGAACCTCCACGTGTTCACTTATCTGGAAGCTCTCCAAATCCTGTCCCTTTGGGTTTTTATGGGGGCTTCATTATGTAGGCATGACTGATGAGATCATCAGTCTTTGCTGGTCAGCTCAACCTTCAACCTCTCTCCCCTCCCTGGAGGTCTATGGTTGGTGGGGGGGTAAAATTTCTAACCCTCCAATCACATAGTTGGTTCCCCTGGCAACCAGCTCCCATTCTGAGGCTATTCAGGAGTGTACCAAAAGTTACCTCATTAGAAAAAGATGCACCAATCAGAGGAATTTCCAAGGATCTTTAGGAGCTCTGTATCATATGCACCTGTCACTCAGGAAATTACACAAGTCTTGGGAGCTCTGAGTCAGGAACCAAGGTCAAAGACCAAATATTAGAACAAAAGATCCTCCTAGCACCACTATTGCTCAGGAAATTAGAAGGGTTTTTAGGAGCGCTACATCAGGAACTGCAAATGAAGATCAAAATATATACCTTACGATGTCACAGACAGACCCAGGAGATTGTTTACAAATGGAAGGATTGATTAAATAAGTCATCATGTTAAGGATAGCAGGAATCAAGTTTCTCACTGGCAGAAATGGAGTTACATATGTGGAAAGTGAAAAAACTAGAAGAATTATTTGGTGTTGGATTAGAAAGGTATTAGTGTAAATTCATAATTTTAAATATAGATAGATGGATGTAGAAATAAATATAGATGTAAATGTGTGTATATGTAAAAGTTTATATATATAAATGCTCACATATATGTACACACATACATATATTTCATATATTCCCTAGCTCTGTCCACAAAAAGGGCCTGAGAACAGTGACACCTAATAGCAATGCGTACACATAATGCCCAGATCTTGGTTTCTCTTTTCTTTCTTTTCTTTTTTCTTTCTTTTTTTTTTTTTTTGACATGAGGTCTCACTATGTTGCTCAGGCTAGTCTCAAACTCCTGGACTGAAGAATCCTCTGCCTCTCTTTCCCAAGTAGCTGGGATTACCGGAACACACCACCATGCCCAGCTTAGCTCTCGGTTTCTTTTTATTTATTTATTTATTTATACTTTTTTTGAGACAGAGTTTTGCTCTTGTCACCCAGGCTGGAGTGCAATGGCACGATCTTGGCTCACTGAAACCTCCACCTCCTGGGTTCAAGCGATTCTCCTGCCTCAGCCTCCCGAATAGCTGGGATTACAGGCATTCGCCAACATGCCTGGCTAATTTTGTATTTTTAGTAGAGACGGGGTTTCTCTATGTTGGTCAGGCTGGTCTCGAACTCCCAGCCTCAGGTGATCTGCCCACCTCACCCTCCTAAAGTGCTGGGATTACAGGTGTGAGCCACCGCGCCTGGCCAGCTCTTGGTTTCTAAATACCATTCTCCACCAAAAGGAACCAGGGCCCCTTGGAGAATGGCTGATTCCCGGGCTGAGGCAGATGCTGGGCATGGTGGCTCATACCAGAGGCTGAGACAGAGGATTGCTTGAACCCAGGAATTTCAGACTAGATTACAGGCCATTTATTTTTATAGAATGTCTTTTAATTTAGGTTCGTCTGAGGTTTCATCATGATTATCACTGTGGTAAGCAATGATCGTGCCACTGTACTCCAGCCTGGGCAACAGAGCAAGACCCAGTATCTAAAAAAAAGATTTTTTTTAAAACTGGAAGTTTGATGAGGAATGGAATATTTACATAGCTTCAAGGTATTCCTCACAAAATACTTAAGTACAAAGAGAAAAAGAGTAACTTTACAGTGGAAAAGTCTGGAAGACACCATGTTATTCAAG
The DNA here is from genome assembly GCF_000001405.40 of Homo sapiens. Taxonomy (NCBI): domain Eukaryota; kingdom Metazoa; phylum Chordata; class Mammalia; order Primates; family Hominidae; genus Homo; species Homo sapiens. The sequence continues at coordinate 51,994,693 of NC_000015.10, forward strand.
TGATCAAAATCAGCCACATCAGTGATGGGACAAATTGACATCATGCTATTGGAAGAACACAGCGTTGATTCTCTGATTGTTCTGCCAAAGGTGCATGAATCTAATCATGATAAAACCTCAGACAAGCCTACATGGAAAGACATTCTATAAAAATAAATGGCCTGTAATCTAGAAAAGTATCAAAGTCATAGAAGTAAAAGAGTCTAAGGAACCATTCAAGATTGAAGAAGACGGAAGACCTATAATAACTAAATACAACCATCATTTCTGAACATTGCTGATTGTGATGATTGTGCTGGAGGAATATGCTTATTAGCAAGAAATACTAAAGTATTTGGGCATGATGGGGCATTTTCACAGTTTAAGCTTTGCAAGAAGTCTCTGAGTCAGAGTTTAGTGTCCAGGATGTTTGCTAGGGAGTGTCTTTGGGATCGACACCTGTGCCAGGGCAGAGGAGGAAGCAGGCTTAGACAGAAGGAAAAGTAAACTGTATGTAAGGAAGGCCCAGCAGCCTCAGCTGACCTCATGAGGAGCTCTGGAGCTACAGCGACCCTTGGGCATTGTCCCAAACCAGCCTGAAAGGGCTAGACTTCCAAATTATACCTTGATCAGCTGCTGGATGCAGACTGTTCCCAAAAGGGCATGAGCTTGGGTGAGGTTGCTTTCTGCAGCTGTAGGAGTTGATGACTGATTGCTGTCTGCTGACAGTACTCCAAGTAGAAGGGACAAGAAGTCCTTCCATAAAGGGAAGCTCAGTGGCTTCATCTCTGTGTTCATTCTTGTGCTGCTTTCACATCCACTTCTTCATATACGTTTGAGTAGTAACTCCTGCAAGATTTATGATAGGCCTCTCTCCCTGGGGAAACTTTGAAAAGGAAGACTTATAGGACAAACTATAGCTGCCTCCGCTATAGTTGTTCCTGGGGCCACAATCAAAACTTACAGGCTTTCTAGGCCAGGCGCAGTGGCTCATGCCTGTAATCCCAGCACTGTGGGAGGCCGAGGTGAGTGGGTCACTTGAGGTCAAGAATTTGAGAATATCCTGCCCAACATGGTGAAACCCTGTCTCTACTAAAAATACAAAAATTAGCCAGGCATGGTGGCGCATGCCTATAGTCCCAGCTACTCAGGAGGCTGAGGCAGGAGAATCGCTTAAACCCGGGAGGCAGAGGTGGCAGTGAGCTGAGATCACAGCACTACACTCCAGCCTGGGCTACAGAGTGAGATTCCGTTTCAAAAAAAAAGAAAGAAGGAAAGAAAGAAGGAAAAAAACAACTTACAGGCTTTCTAAATTCCTCTCATCCTCAGCTACCACCGCTTTCAGCCTTGGTAACTTACCTGGGGAGGCGATTTAGATTCCCATCTCAGAGAGGTCTGAGTTTCTGGTCACCAGGCCTTTCTAAGGACAGAGTTGCTGTATTATCCATTTACCTTCACAACAAGGCAAGGGAATAACAACAAGAGGCATTCAAGCAGATCCTCAGAGCACTGAAACATTTTTCCTTCCCCTTATCGTATAACAGAAGAAGACCTAACCTCTTCTAATGACCAGGGTCAATACCCCCGCCAAGATTGTTGGTCTACTTCTAGCCTGCTTGTCTCTGGATTCTAGGAGTCTTCAATGCCCAGATGGCAGCTTTTGCTAGTAATTCAGAGACTTTGGCTGTGTCCCCTGGTGGAAATATTCCCCTTTTATTTATTTATGTATTTATTATTTTTTTGAGACAGAGTCTTGCTCTGTCACCCAGGCTGGAGTGCAGTGGTGCAATCTTGGCTCACTGCAACCTCCACCTCTTGGATTCAAGTGATTCTCCTGCCTCAGCCTCCCGAATAGCTGGAATTACAGGCATGTGCCACCATGCCCAGCTAATTTTTGTATTTTTAGTAGAAACGAGGTTTCGCCATATTGGCCAGGATAGTCTCGAACTCCTGGCCTCAAGCGATCCACCTGTCTGGGCCTCCCAAAGCACTAAGACTACAAGCATGAGCCACGGCGCCCGTCCTCCTCCTCCTTCTTCTTGACAAAGTGTCATTCTATTTCCCAGGCTGGAGTGCAGTGGCATGACCATAGATCACTGCAGCCTGCAACTCCTGGGCTCAAATGATCCTCCTGCCTCAGCCTCCCAAGTAGCTAGGACTATAGGTATGTGCCACTGCACCCAACTAAGTTTTTTTAGTTTCTTATAGTGACATAGTCTCCCTATGGTCTGGAACTCCTAACCTCAAGTGATCCTCCTGCCTTAGCCTCCCAGAGTGCTGGGATTACAGGTGTGAATGACCATGCCAGGAAATTTTTTTTTTTTTTGAGACGAAGTCTCACTCTGTCGCCCAAGCTGGAGTGCAGTGGCACAATCTCAGCTCACTGCAACGTCTGCCTCCCAGGTTCAAGCAATTCTCCTGCCTCAGCCTCCTGAGTAGCTGGGATTACAGGCGCCCGCCACTACACCCAGCTAGTTTTCTTGTATTTTTAGTAGAGACTGGGTTTCACCATGTTGGCCAGGCTGGTCTTGAACTCTTGACCTCGTGATTCACCCACCTTGGCCTCCCAAAGTGCTGGGATTACAGTGAGCCACTGTGCCTAGCAATTTTTTTTTTTTGAAACAGAGTCTTGCTTTGTCACCTAGGATGGAGTGCAGTGGCATAATCTTGGCTCACTGCGACCTCTGCCTCCCGGGTTCAAATGATTCTCCTGCCTCAGCCTCCTAAGTAGACATGTGCCACGACACCCAGCTAATTTGCATATTTTTAGTAGACAGGGTTTCACCACATTGGCCAGGCTGGTCTCGAATTCCTGACCTCAAGTGATCTACCCGCCTTGGCCTCCCAGAGTGCTAGAATTGTAGGCATGAACCACCTTGCCCGGCCCAGGCAAATTTTTAAAGTTATTTTCTTTCTTTCTTTTTTTTTTTTTTTTTGAGATGGAGTTTCGCTCTTGTTGCCCAGGCTGGAATGCAATGGCGTGATCTCGGCTCACTGCAAACTCTGCCTCCCGGGTTCAAGCGATTCTCCTGCCTCAGCCTCTTGAGTAGCTGGTATTACAGGTGCCCGCCACCACACCCAGCTAATTTTTTGTATTTTTAGTAGAGACAGGGTTTCGCCATGTTGCCTAGGCTGGTCTCAAACTCCTGACCTCTGGCGATCCACCCACGTCAGCCTCCCAAAGTGCTGGGATTACAGGTGTGAGTCACCACGCCCGGCCTTTAAAGTTATTTTCTTTCTTTTCTTTCTTTCTCTTTCTTTCTTTCTTTCTTTCTTTCTTTTTTTCTTTTTGAGACAAAGTCTCGCTCTGTCACCAGGCTGGAGTGCAGTGGCATGATCTCAGCTCACTGCAACCTCTACCTCCCGTGTTCAAGCAATTCTCCCGCCTCAGCCTCCCGAGTAGCTGGGACTACGGGCACATGCCACCACGCCCAGCTAATTTTTGTATTTTTAGTAGAGACGGGGTTTCACCATGTTGGCCAGGATGGTCGCGATCGCCTGACCTCGTAATCCACCCGCCTTGGACTCCCAAGGTGCTGAGATTACAGGCTTGAGCAACTGCACCCAGCCTAAAGTTATTTTCTTAGTGGTAGCACAATCTCGGCTCACTGCAACCCCCACCTCCCGAGTTCAAGTGATTTTTGTGCCTCAGCCTCCCAAGTAGCTGGGATTACAGGCGCCCACCACCACAGCTGGCTAATTTTTGTATTTTTAGTAGAGACGGATTTTCATCATGTTGGCCAGGCTGGTCTTGAATTCCTGACCTCAGGTGATCCACCGGCCTCAGCCTCATAAAGTGCTGGGATTACAGGCATGAGCCACCGCACCTGGCCTTTTTTTTTTTTTTTCTCCCCTCTCTCTTTTTTTTGAGGCAGAGTCTCACTCTATTGCCCAGGCTGGAATGTAGTGGTGTGATCTCAGCTCACTGCAACCTCTGCCTCCAGGTTCAAGAGATTCTCCTGCCTCGGCCTCCCAAGAAGCTGGAATTACAGGCGTGCGCCACCATGCCTGGTTAATTTTTTTTTTTTTTTTTTTTTGAGACGGAGTCTCGCTCTGCCGCCCAGGCTGGAGTGCAGTGGCGCAATCTCGGCCCACTGCAAGCTCCGCCTCCTGGGTTCACGCCATTCTCCTGCCTCAGCCGCCGGAGTAGCTGGGACTACAGGCACCTGCCACCACGCCTGGCTAATTTTTTGTATTTTTAGTAGAGACGGGGTTTCACTGTGTTAGTCAGGATGGTCTTGATCTCCTGACCTCATGATCTGCCCGCCTCAGCCTCCCAGAGTGCTGGGATTACAGGCAGGAGCCACCGCGCCCGGCCTTTTTTTTTTGTTTTTTAAGATGGAGTCTCACTCTGTCGCCCAGGCTGGAGTGCAGTGGCACCAGGCACCACCTCGGCTCACTGCCGCCTCCACCTCCCGAGTTCAAGCGATTCTCCTGCCTCAGCCTCCAGAGTAGCTGAGAATACAGGTGGGCCCCACCACCCCTGGCTAATTTTTTTGTGTTTTTAGTAGAGACAGAGTTTCACCATGTTGGCCGGGCTGGTCTTGAGCACCTGACCTCAAGTGGTCCACCTGCCCTCAGCCTCCCAAAGTGCTGGGATTATAGGTGTGAGCCACCGCGCCCAGCCTCCATTTTTAACATTATAACCATTTAAGTGGGTATAAAGTGGTATCTCATTGTAGGTTTGATTTACATTTCCTTAATGACCAATCATGGTGATCATCTTTTCATGTGCTTATTTTCCATTTGTATATCTTCTTTGGAGAAATGTCTATCAAATCCTTTGCCTATTGTAAAAATGAGTTATTTATTTTATTATTATTGAGTGAAGAGTTTTTTATATATTCTGGCTAGTAGACTCTTATCAGATATATTATTTGCAAATATTTTCTCCCACGCTTTGGGTTGTTTTTTAACTTTCCTTTTTTTAAGGTTTCCTTTTTATTTTAGTTTCCCTCTTTTTATTTATTTATGTATTTATTTTATTTTTGAGACAGGATCTGGCTCTGTCATCCAGGCTGGAATGCAGTGGTGCGAACACAGCTCACTTCAACCTCCACCTCCTGGGCTTAAGCCAGCCTTCCATCTCAGCCTCGTGAATAGCTGGGACTACAGGTGCATGCCACCATGCCTGGCTAATTTTTGTATTTTCTGTAGAGACAGGGTTTCACCATGTTGCCTAGGCTGGTTTTGAACTCCTGAGCTCAGGTAATCTGCCTGTCTTGGCCTCCTAAAGTGCTGGGATTACAGGCGTGAGCCACCATGCCTGACCTATATTTATTTATTGAGATGGGATCTCACCCTGTTGCCAGGCTGGAGTGCAGTGCTGCAATCACAGCTTACTGCAGCCCGGACTTCCCAGCTCAAGTGATCCTCCTGCTTTCACCTCCCCTGTAGCTGAGACCACAAGGGTGTGCCACCGTACCTGGCTAATTTTGTTTTTTTTTTTAAGAGATTGGGTCTCTCTGTGTTGCCCAGGGTTGTCTCAAGCTCTTGGGCTCAAGCTGTCCTCCTGCCTCAGCCTCCCAAAGTATTGGCACTACAGGCGTGAGCCACTGTACCTGGCCTCGTTTTCACTTTCTTGATGGGGTCTTCTGAAGCACAAAAGTTTTTCATTTATATGAAGTCCAAGTTACCTATTTTTCTTTGGTTGCCTGTGCTGTTGGTGTCGTATCTAAGAACCCATTGCCTAATTTAAGTTTTCTTCTAGGAGTTTTGTAGTATTAGCTCTTGCATTGACCCATTTTGTGTTAAATTTTAGTGTACTGTATGAGATAAGGTCCAATTTCATTTTTTTGCATGTGGCTATTCTTTTCTCATATAATTGTTCTGGCATTTTAAAAAACTTTTCAATAGCTGGGCACAGTGGTTCACGCCTGTAATCCCAGCACTTTGGGAGGCTGAGGCAGGCAGATCGCAACTTCAGGAGTTTGAGACCAGCCTGGCCAATATGGTGAAACTCCGTCTCTACTGAAAATACAAAAATTAGCCGGGCATGGTGCCACACACCTGTAGTCCCAGCCACTGGGGAGGCTGAGGAAGGGGAATCTCCCAGAAGGCGGAGGTTGCAGTGAGCCGAGATCACGCCACTGCACTCCAGCTTGGGCGACAGAGAGAGACTCCATTTCAAAAAAAAAAAAAATTCAATAGCTTTAGGGGTACAGTTGTTTTTTGGTTATATGGATGAATTGTATAGTGGTGAAGTTTGGGCTTTTAGTGTACCTATCACACTAGTAGCATACATTGTCCCCAATGGGTGATCTTTTATCCCTCACCCCCCTACCACCCTCCCTGTTTTGGCACTCTTGTTGAAAATCCATTGCCCATTGCTATGACTTGAATGTGTCTTCTCCAAAATTCAGGTGTTGCCAATGTGATAGCATTAAGAGGTGGGGACTGTAAGAGGTGACTGAGGCTATGAGGGGGTCCTTTCTCGTGAATGGGGTTACGGCCCTTATGAAAAACATTTCATGCAGTGTTCAGCCTCTTGCCTTCCACTTTCTGTCATGTGAAGACATAGCATTCCTCCTCTCCAGAGGATGCAGCCCTCACCAAACAGCCAAACCTACCAGCACCTTGAGCTTGGACTTCTCAGCCTCCAGAACTGCAAGAAAAAAAGTTTCTGTTCTTTATAAATTACCCAGTCTCAAGTATTTTGTTATAGCACACAAGCAAATTAAGACACCCATAGATATACATGTTTATTTCTAGACTCTCAATTCTACTCTATTGGTCTGTAGGTCTATCCTTTTGCTAGTACCACACTTTTCATTACCATAGTTTTGTAGTAAGTTTCAAAACTGGGAATTGAATGGTATACCTTTGTCCTTTTCCTTTCTTTTTTTTTTTTTTTTTCAGATGGAGTCCCACTCTGTCACCCAGTCTGGGGTGCAGTGGTACAATCTCGGCTCACTGCAACCTCCTCCTGCTGGGTTCAAGCGATTCTCCTGCCTCAGCCTCCTGAGTAGCTAGGACTACAGGCACGAGTCACCACACCTGGCTAATTTTTGTATTTTTAGTAGAGACAGGGTTTCACCATGTTGGCCAGGCTGGTCTCAAACTCCTGGCCTTAAATGATCTGCCCACCTCAGCCTCCCAAAGTGGTGGGATTATAGGCGTGATCCGCCACTCCTGGCCGCATGTAGCCCTTAATAGGGAAGAATGACTCAATTCTGTAGGCTCAGAGGGTCAAGAGGAATCTGGGAATTCAAGATTTTGGGGGGCATCAACCCAGATGTCCCTGTCCCATGTGTCAGAGTCTCACTCTTTCCCAACCAGAACCCTGACCTAATTTGGTTGGTAGTTTAATCTTCTTTGGAGTTTGGCTACACTGATGATTTAGTCTGGGTCTTGTCCTCAGCATTCTCTGCCTTCCCACCTTAGGTCACGAAAGTCTCTTTACATGCTACCAGAGACCCTCTGGCGAAAGCTTTCATTTGGCTCTAGTTGCCTGGTGTTTACTCTCTCGGCCTTTTGGTTTCTTTTCCTAGAGCTTCAACAGAGGTGAGCAATAACCATATAATCCCATTGTCCTTAGAATTACTATTTCTGCCATATATTGCTTGAGCTAATACATTCTCTTCCATTGGTATACAATCCCAGTTCACCACTAGTGAAAGTTTTAGTACCTGGCCGCCACCTTCTGCCAGGGGTTATCTGGGTTCCATCTATTACCAGTAACAGGTCCTCCCTACCAGCTAGGTGGATGAGTGACCCAGTTCCAAAACTCCATCTTATCTGTGCTTTCTCAGACCTCTCCTGGCTCTGACTGTGGTAGTTTGGGTTTTCCAGGAAGCAGATCCTGAGACGGACTTCAGTGTACAGGATATTTATTAGGGAGGGCCCTTGGGATCGACATCTGTGAATGGCAGGGAAAGGAAATAAGATTGGGCAGAGGGTGAAGTTGATCTGAGATGCAGGCTGATAGCCTCAGTTAACCCCACACAGGAATCTCTCCAGAGGAAGTGGATCATCAGAGTTGTTCTGACAGGGCAAAATAGCTAGGCCTTTTGTATTAGTGTTTTCACACTGCTATAAAGAAATACCTGAGACTGGGTAATGTATAAAGAAAAGAGGTTTAACTGACTCAACAGTTCCGCATGGCTGGGGAGGCCTCAGGAGACTTACAATCATGGCGGAAGAGGAAGCAAGCACATCTTAGGTGGCAGCAGGTGAGACAGAGAGAGAGAGTGTATGTGAAGGAGGAACTGTCAAACACTTATAAAACCATCAGATCACCGGGCGCGGTGGCTCATACCTGTAATCCCAGCACTTTGGGAGGCTGAGGTGGGCAGATCACAAGGTCAGGAGTTTGAGACCAACCTGACCAACATGGTGAAACCCCGTCTCTACTAAAAATATAATAATTAGCAGGGTATGGTGGTGCATGCCTGTAATCCCAGCTACTCAGGAGGCTGAGGCAGGAGAATTGCTTGAACTCAGGAGGCAGAGGTTGCAGTGAGCTGAGATTGCACCATTGCACTCCAGCCTGGGCAACAAGAGGGAAACTCCGTCTTAAAAAAAAAACCAAAAAACAAACAAAAAAAACACGATCAGATCTCGTGAGAACTCATTCACTATCACGAGAACAGCATGGGGGAAACCCGCCTCCATCATCCAATCACCTCCCACCAGCTCCCTCCCTCGACACATGGTGATTATGGGGATTACAATTTGAGATGAGATTTGGGTGGGGACACAGAGCCAAACCATATCACCTTTCTACTTCTGCCTTGATCAGTCATCAGATTTGGGCAACCCAGAAAAGGCACATCTTCTTGGGCAAGGTAGCTCTCTGCACATGAGGCAAACCCGGAAGGAAATGGTAGCTGACAGCTGTGTGCTGAGCACAGTCCCCACAGCAGGGCAGCAAGTCTTTCCTTGGAGGGGGATCTGGTCAAAGCATCTCAACATCCACCACAGGTATCATGTCAGCAATTGACTCTCAAATTGTTCAGGTAAAAATTCATTATGCTATGTGCGCAACTTTTCTGTTAGTTTGAAAAACTTTAAAAATAAAATGCTTTTAAAACAAATGGACAGACTTACACAAATTAAATGTGACTGAAAAAATGTCAAGAGCCTCCTGTTGCTGATGCAAAGAAAGGAGCATGATGTTGAAGAGATGAAAATTCATTTGAATGAGTAAAATAGGGATGGCCAGAAGAATTAGTGAGAGATAAGAGTGAAACAGTAAATTGAAGTTTCATCTTTGCTGATGCAATATAATTCCAAGACTTCAGAATAGGGCAAGAATGCAAAATGCTTATTGCCTCACATTTACACTGGCCTTTAATTTCACCTCACCTCTTCTGAGTAGGTGAAGTCTCTTCTAGACTACCTTTAGTAGCTCCTGTTCCCTATCTCCCTTTTCCTTTTGTTCCTTTCCTCCCCACGACCATCATGAAAATTGGTCTGTGGAGATGTGAGTCTTTACTAAGCGTCTCATACTGGGATGAAGATTATTTTTAGGATTAATCTGAGTCACAGAGGGAGGAGGGAAAGAACCATTTTAATCTTTTCCTTTTCACTCCTTCATAACCTGCTGTACAGCTAAATCATTTTACAAATACGTCTTTCCTCCTTTTCCCTAGGAATGCTTTGCCTTTTATCTTTCCTTTGGAAGCAGTATCCATAAGCCTTCATCAGAAGCTTCTAAAAGTGGAAGGGATTTTTCTTTGTTAGAAAGGACCACGGGCTAATTAAAGGAGATTGCTATAAGCTGCTTTCATGTAAGTAGATCCATTTATTATTATAGCGGTTGTTGGTATCTGAGGGGTTATATAGTTGCCCCTGTTTCCCTTTCTCACTGGCCCTCTCAGCTACACCCATGTCTTAGTCTGTTTTGTGCTTTTTATAACAGAATACCTGAGATTGAATAATTTATAAAGGAAAAAAATTTATTTGGCTCACAGTTGTGGAGGCTGGGAAGTCTAAGAGGGGACAGTATCTAATGAGGTCCTTCTTGCTGCATCATCTCATGGTAGAAGGCAGAAGGGCAAGAGTGATCTCAAGAGGGCAAGAACGATCTCCAGAGGGCAAGACATTGAACTTGAAGCTTCCAGCTTTATTATAATCAGCATGATTCAATTCATGAGAGTGGAGCCCCCATGACCTAAACACCTCCAATTAGGCCCCACCTCCCAACACTGCTGCATTGGGGATTAAGTTGCCAACATACGCTTTTTGGGGAACACGTTCAAACCATAGCAACCCCACTCTGGATTTTCCCTTCTGTCGCTCTGAGGCTGAGCGTGGAAGGGACTCCTGCTTTCTGTGGAGAGATGCAGGCAGAGACTGTGTTTGACCTTCTTCCTTTGCAGCAACATGCTTGAGCATGCCTCATGTTTCACTGTTGGACGACATTTCTTTGAGGGGTAAATAAGCATGTGAACGCTACACTTTAAAAAATATCTTTACCAATTTACACATTAAACACTGAGGAAACAAAGAAGAACAAACAAAACCCCCCAAATAAGTTACCCCAAAAGGTGGGAGAAAGTTCTATCTTGGATAAAATAGGCACTCAAAGGCTATCTGTTGAATGACTTGAATGAATGAAGAGAGATCTGGGCCAGGTGCGGTGGCTCATGCCTGTAATCCCAGCACTTTGGGAGGCTGAGGAGGGCAGATCACCTGAGGTCAGGAGTTCAAGACTATCCTGACCAACATGGCAAAACCCTGTCGCTACTAAAAAAGTACAAAACTTAGCCAGGCATGGTGGCGGGTGCCTGTAATCCCAGCTACTCAGGAGGCTGAGGCAGGAGAATTGCTTGAACTTGGGAGGTGGAGGTTGCAGTGAGCCAAGATCGCACCACTGCACTCCAGCCTGGGCAACAAGAGTGACATTCCATCTCAAAAAAAAAAAAGAGAGAGAGAGATCTGGCTTAACTTAGGTGAATGATAGTTTAAACAGGCAAGCTTCTGGCTGAAGATACTAACAGCACCCCTTATTTAGAGTAGGTTAGCATTTTAGGGGTGCTTCCACACACATTATCTCATGTATTCCTTGGACAGACCCCACCCTTCGAGGGAGGGGAGGTAGGTGCTATTTATACCATTTTAAAGTTGAGATTAAATGACTTGCCTGGAATCAAACAACTAAGTGGCAGAACTGGGGCTTACACCTAGGTCTGCTGACTACCGTTGGTGCCAAGACATCAGAGAGATTCTTCTGGTTTCACAGTGGAGCCCCCAAGGATTACTGCTGGGGGACTTGTCTTACTTAAAACTGTGATAGACTGTGTGGAAGCAGGCCCATGTAGGAAATGGCCTTAAGCTCTCCAGAGTAGTAACTACCAAGCAGATGGATCTAAATTGAAAAGATAAGCTTCACACAGCTTATGTGAGTGGACAAAAATATGGCAAATGAGTTTCATTCTGTACTGAATTGGAATAATGCATTTAGTATTGTTAGTCTAAAGTCACTTAAAAGAAGATGAGTTGGGAGCTGTGCTTTATTCTAAGAAAGAGACCCATGAGTTATTGTTGACTGTTTCCTAAAGTCATATAACAATATGCTAGGCCTGTTTGCTAAGAACGTGGAAAACAGAACTGAAAGCATTATTTTGTCTTACATTTGACAAAATGGTAATGAAGTTATACCTGGAATCATGCATTTAATTCTCCCTGGAAACCGTAAAAAAGAGTCTAGTATTTAATAGATATACCAGGTCATAGAAAGAGGTAACTAAAATGACCAAATAGATTTCCTAAGAAGAAAGTTGCTTTAAAAGTAGAATTAAATAAGGGGAAATTTGAAGGAAACCCCTATTCACCTTTCGTTTTCAACTAACATTTTTTTGAGAAACCACTACATTCAGACACTGTGCTCAACACTAGAGTTTACAATGACTAAAACACAGAAGTTCACAATCATTGTGTGAGAATATCAGCCGGGATGAATCATGAGTACAACTCAGCACAGCTATTCTTGTGTGCTTAGTGGATTGGCAGCTGGTCTAGGGTACAATCTCTTGAACTTGGTTGGTATGTGTTGGTTGCCAGGGGCCAATCAACCCTGGTAAACCTGCAATCAAGTTCTTCAAGCAGCAAATCTGAAGAACTGGACCCTTCATATCTACCAGAGCATAAAGTGAAATTATGACTTATTAATAGCGTCATTAACATTTAGTTGTTTACCTGGGTCTAACAAATACCATCCTTCTCTGTGGTCTCAGCACTTCTAAGCTAGGAAGGTACAGACAGTCCCTGCTTGTGACTGAGTTATGTTCCCAAAAGTTGATTTCTAACTTGGTTGTTTGAAACTGAAAATGTATTTTCCCCAGAGAATCAATGTTAGAAATACTGGTTCTGTTCTCAGGCCAACTCTTAGAAGGCCATTTAGCCCATATGCAGCTTGACTTTGAGACTATAGAACTGTGACCTACGACATTGTTTCTATGGGAAAATGTGCCCCAGAAGGAACAAGGTCTTCCTTCCTACCCCACTTCCTACCTCCCTGTGTAATGAAGCCTGTGTGTTTATTATAGGAAGTGCTGCTCCCAAGTGTGGGCGGCTGGGCTTTGAGGCAGCCTTGGACACTTACCCCCAAGGGCAGAGATATTCTCACTTCTCCTGTCCCAGCTCTGGCAGGGAGGGGAGTGGGAGCAGGTGGGGAGTCTGTCCCTGACCCACCTTCTTCAGGGCTATCTTCTGGGGGGTGGGGTTCTAGCAAGACTGGCTACATAATTTCTGGGGCCCTTTGGTTCAAAAGGCAGAAAAATAAAAATGCTGCTAAGCTAGTTAAGAAGACAACTTTTTTTCCTCCTGCTCTCTCTCTCTTGACTTGTTACAGTGTTTTAAATATGTGATTTAATGTTATTCTACGTAAGAAAAAAGAAAAATTTAAATTACTAGCATGAATGTTATAATTCATTTTTATACTGTGCAAAGCCAGTTTTAAATACAAATATAAGATCATTTAATTCCTGAGGCAGGAGGATTTGCTTGAGCCCAGGAGGCCAAGGCTGTAGTGAGCTGTGTTTGCACCAATGTACTCCAGCCTGGGCAATAGAGCTAGAGCTCTATCTCAAAAAAAAAAAAAAAATTAATTCCTTTGTGGACTCACCAAAATGACATAATTTCTATTTTTTAGCTCTTACATATATATATAGTTGGTTATTACCAGAATAGTATAAAAACTACACAAAACTACCTCAACTGATATTTCACCTCTTTTTTTTTTTTTTTTTGAGACGGAGTTCCACTCCGTCACCCAGGCTGGAGTGCAATGGTGTGATCTTGGCTCACTGCAACCTCCACCTCCCAGGTTTAAGTGATTCTCCTGCCTCAGCCTCCAAAGTAGCTGGGATTACAGGCACCTGCCACCACGCCCGGCTAATTTTTGTATTTTCAGTAGAGACGGGGTTTCACCATTTTGGGCAAGCTGGTCTCAAACTCCTGACCTCAGGTGATCCACCCGCCTCAGCCTCCCAAAGTGCTGGGATTACAGACGTGAGCCACTGTGCCCAGCCCTTATTTCACTTCCTGATGCACACACATTGTACTAACACTCCACCTTTGACTTACTGAGGAGTAAGAAAGTACTGAAAGGCAAAGGAAATGTCCTCAGCACAAGCAGTCAGCTAACACAGGGAAGTGACACAAGAAAGAAAAGATATGATAGGGTACCGTGGTCTTTTATGTCTTAGAATGCCATTGCCTTCTTTCGGTTTGAAGTTCTGGTTCCAGTGGAAAACATGACTTCTCAGAACTATCAGGACCCCCACTTACTCAGCCGTAGACAAAACAGGCTTACCTTGTATTAATACTTATTTGCTTTGTCTTGCTGAATTCTGATGCACCGCGGGCTCACCAGAATCCTGTGCACATGGGTCATGGAGAACACTATACATGAACAGGGTGGCAGGAAATAGTGAACATACTTATTGCATCTATCTCCTCTGCTCACCTGCGTGCTCCACTGCCACATCTGACTTCACTACACAACACGAGTTCAAAGATAAAATCATCAGGAATGTCAAGATGGTCATAGCAGAGCATTAAACCAAGCATGGGGTCCTTTTGCACGCAGGGCCCTGTGTAATGCCCTGGTTGTGGGAGGGAATGGGATGGGCACTCATAGGTTTAGAGTGAGGCCAGGATGGGCAGATGAATCTTAGGCCTCTTGAGCCCCTGGCCATTTTTCTTCCAGGACACCAGACCTAGGGGATTGCCAGAGGCAATGATGAATGCAGATAAAGACTCCAGAGGTGGTTATCAGTTTCTGGGGATGATGACATCTTCTGGGAAGGGAGTTCCAGTGGTAGTAATTATCAAGTGGTAAATGGGAGGTGAGAGGCAGGATTGTGGAAGGCAGACCTACTAAGCCTACCATATGATATACTAATTGATAAATGGAGCACTCAGAATGACCAGTGAAAGCAAATGTTGGGTACAGGATTAGTTAGAGGAAGTGATTACCTTCTTCCTCAAAGGACAGGATAGCTTGACTACTGAAGTGCAAAGGGGAGGAGCATGACCTTGTGAGTTGAAAGCTGCTTTGTCTCCACAACTCAAAATATTTATCATTCCCTGCACATGGGCTGACAAACATCCGGTCTATTCTTTCCTTTTATTTACTCTGGTCATGTGGCAGAGACCCAGGTTGTTCTCAAAATCTGAGACTAGTTATAGAAGGCTTTGTGGTCTCAAGAGGTTCAAGTTGGACACTGTCTCCAGAAATTAGGAGTATCTGTTCTCTTCAAGGTATTGGGCCTCTCAAGATAGAAGGAAGGACAGAATGCAAATAAGAAAACCTTTGGACTAAATTTCCCTGAAGCCAGAAAGTGTCACTCTCTCTATGCTTCTCTTAAAATGTGTGTGTTGGGAGAGGCTGTAAGTTTTGTATTACTAGTTTAATTCTACCATTTCTACAAATTTGCCTTGCTTCCAGAAAATTCTGACTTCCAAAGCAGAAAAATTAGAGGGGCTCTTTGGATTATTTATTTGGTTTTATAAAATTATTCCAATAGATATTTCCCAGTACTTTTAAATGTTTAATTATATAACCATTATTTAAAAAGTAAATGTATAGTTTTTGTCTCAGAAATTGATTTTATTACAAGGAAAGCCAGGTTTTGTCTAAAATATTTAAGCAATTTTTTTTTTCTTTTTTTGAGACAGAGTCTTGCTCTGTCGCCCAGGCTAGAGTGCAGTGGTGCTATCTTGGCTCACTGCAACCACTGCCTCCTGGGTTCAAGTGATTCTCCTGCTTTAGCCTCCTGAGTAGCTGGAATTACAGGTGCCCGCCACCATGCCCGGCTACTTTTTATATTTTTAGTAGAGACACAGTTTCACCATCTTGGCCAGGCTGGTCTCAAACTCCTGACCTTGTGATCCACCTGCCTCAGCCTCCCAAAGTGCTGGGATTACAGGCGTGAGTCACCGTGCCTGGCCTTAAGTAATTTCTTACAGCTTTTCAATGAAATCCCATTTGTCATAGTCTGAGAAAATGATAGAACGTTTGTAAAGTGTTTACCTGAAACGGGCTACTTGGTAGGAACTTGATAAATGATTGCTATTACCATTCTCCTGAAGGATAAGTTGTTTTTTTGTTTTTTTGAGACAGAGTTTTGTTTTTGTTGCCCAGGCTGGAATGCAATGGCATGATCTTGGCTCACTGCAACCTCTGCCTCCTGGGTTCAAGCGATTCTCCTGCCTCAGCCTCTCGAGTAGCTGAGATTACAGGTGCCACCACACCCAGCTAATTTTTGTATTTTTAGTAGAGACAGGGTTTCTCCATGTTGGTCAGGCTGGTCTTGAACGCCTGACCTCAGCTGATCCACCCAACTCGGCCTTCCAAAGTGCTGGGATTACAGGCATGAGCCATTGCACCCAGCCTTTTTTTTTTTTTTTTTTTTTTGAGACAGAGTTTCACTCTGTTGCCCAGGCTGGAGTGTAGTGGCACGATCTTGGCTCACTACAACCTCCATCTCTTGGGTTCAAGCGATTCTCCTGCCTCAGCCTCCTGAGTAGCTGGGACTACAGGCACACATCACCAGGCCAGGCTAATTTTTGTATTTTTAGTAGAGATGGGATTTTACCATGTTGGCTAGGCTGGTCTCAAACTCCTGACCTCAAGTGATCCACTCACCTTGGCCTCCCAAAGTGCTGGGATTATGGGCGTGAGCCACCGCGCCTGGCGGAGGGGATACTCTTGTTGCCCCATCCAATTAAATGTGGGATCCTAGTTTTGTTTGCAGGTGGTAGTCTTGCATTTCCAAAAATCATTCGTGTGATCTGCCTCTCATCAAACTTTATGTACAGGTTTGATGGGTTTTGACTGAAAACATTCTCTCCATAATCTTTAACTATAGTCAGTCCTCATTATTCACAGATTCTGTTTGCAAATTTGCCTATTGCTGAAACTTATTTGTAACCTCGAAGTAGTCATAGCACCTTTGTAGTCACTTTTGAACATGCACAGTAACGAGATACTTGAGTCACCCTACGGGAACGTTGCCAGCTGAGGCCAAACAAGACAAGATTCTGCCTTCTTGTTTCAACTCTCGTACTGTAAACGAGTGTCCTTTCCATGGTCTATTTGGTGCCATGATTTTTTTGTTTTTAGAAACAGGATCTCTCTATGTTGACCAGGCTGGACTCAAACTCCTGGGCTCAAGTGACCCTCCTGTCTCAGCCTCCTGAGTAGCTGGGACTATAGGCACATGCCACTGTGCCGAGCCATCACATGTTTTGCTTTCCGTTGGTGATTTTGCTGTTTAAAGTGGCCCCCAAATCTATTGCTGAAGTGCTGTATAGAGTTCCTAAGCACAGAAGGCTGTGAAGTGCCCTACAGAGAAAATACATGTTAGATAAGCTTTATTCAGGCATGAGTTACAGTGCTTTTGGCAGCGAGTTCAGTGCTAATGAATCAACAATAAGTATTTAAAAAGGTGTCTTGAAACAGAAATACACATAAAACAAGATTATATATTCACTGGCTGATGAGAATGTTGTGCCAGAGGTTTGCAGGAACCTAGCCTTGTATTTCCCCTAGGAGCAGGGTTCAGTTTTCACTAATTTACTGTTCATGATCACTTTACAGAACATAAGTACCACAAATAATGAGAATCCACTGTGAGAATGAACTGTACTTGGCAATGAATTTCTTCAGTGGAAGGCTGTTTTGTTTATTTACAAATCAAATTACAACGTGTTCTTCTATAAACCGTGTCTAGGAGAGCAGTCATTTTAAATTAAGAGTATAAACAGACACACAGAAGCTTCAAGTTGGAGACCATGGAAGTTATCAGCTGGCTGTAGGCCCCTCCTCTCCTCTGCAGTTCCTTTTAGACCCTCCTTGACAGGTGGCCATTGTTTTCTGATTGAATGCTTCCAGTGATGTAGCATTCACTTCACCAGGGAAGTCCTGTCCACTGTGGCTCAGTTCCAATATCCAAAACAATCCTTTCTTATGCTGAGCCAATGCCTCTCGTAATAGCCCTCTCAGTGGTTTTAGATCTGAAATCCAGAGCAACCATTCTCTCCTCTGCACACAACAACCCTTTAGCAAATCTCTTCTGCAGGTTAATCAGACCCAATTCTCACATCTTTTTTTCAGAGAACATGATTTCCACACCCTGCCTGAATGTCTCCTAATGAATTACTCTAATTTGCTATGTGTGGTAGCTTTTGTAAATGTGGTGTCTGTATTTGAACACATAAGTTGAGAAATCTTGAGCTGAATAGCATAGGTGTGGTACCCCCTGGGACGTGGACACTGTTTCCTATTCACACATTTTGTTCTATTTTGTTACGTTTTTTTGGCATCTGCTCACACTGCATTTTACCCTTATTGTCACATTACCAGGTTAAGCCAAGTCTCCCAAATCCTGGTCCTTTTCAAATGATTTTTCTGAACAAAGATATTGTACTTTATTGCAGTCAAATGTCATCTTTTTAAAAAGATTCTTTGCAACCTATGGAAATGATTTTGAGTAATCATCCTGTAATCCATCACACTGTATGTTTTATAGCTCCCTTAAGTTTAATAAGTACCTTAACTCAAAACATTGATAAAAATATTACTCAGCCAGGCACGATGGCTTACACCTGTAATCCCAGCACTTTGGGAGGCCGAGGTGGGCGGATCACAAGGTCAGGAGTTCGAGACCAGCCTGGCCAATATGGTGAAACCTCGTCTTTACTAAAAATACAAAAATTAGCCGGGCGTGGTGGTGGGTGCCTGTAGTCCCAGCTACTCGGGAGGATGAGGCATGAGAATGCCTTGAACCCGGGAGGCGGAGGTTGCAGTGAGACAAGATTGTGCCACTATACTCCAGCCTGGGCGACAGAGTGAGACTCCGCCTGGAAAAAAAAAAAAAAAAAAAAAAAAAAAAAAAAAATATATATATATATATATATATATATATATATATATATATTACACAAGACTAAAGAGGGGAAAATCTGTATTGCTTTTCTAGAGAACTCTCTCAAGATTCCCTGTCATGCACTCTTTGAATCAACCTTTCTCTGCTATAATCTAAACCCACATCACTCCATCTTATCCACAAAGATGTCTTGCCTTCCTGAAATGACCAACCTCTTGGTTAAGTAATGTAATAATCCTATCAAGAAAGGAAGTGGTGTTTCTTTGTAATGACTCACTTGAAGAGAAGTCATGATGACCTCTTACATCTTCCCTAACATACTGTCTTTAATGATTTATATCAGACATTTTCCAGGGTTTACCATCAAATGTAGTAGTTTGTATTGCGAAACTCTATTTTCCATCCATTTTTAAAATCAAGGTATTTGGTAGTTTGTCTTCATAGGGTAACTTAACTGGAAAAAGATAAAACAAGAAGCCTAAAGAGGGAACTTAAAGAGGTAATGTGGGAGCAACTGGGTGACTTAAGACACATCTCTGACTCATCTAAGCATTCACCAAGTCCACTTTACCCAATAATCTTTCTTGTATTATCATCTCCTTCCTCACCTAGTAAAGGTACAATAACCATCTGAATATATTCTGTCTCTCTCATGAGATACAGTTTGGTTTGGCTTCTCTGTTACTTGCAACAGAAACAATTTTTACTTACACAGGAAGGGGAGGCTCCTTAGAGGACGTGGGAGTATTGTTACCAGAAGACCGTACATTGGATACAGGGCAGAAAAAACAATAGATTCTTCTACCTGCTCCAGGTCTCCAATCTCTTGCTCAATCTACCCTTCCTATTAATGCCAGTGTTATATTCTAAAATACTAGTTGTATCCTTTATGTTCCTCTCCTACTCTCTTTAGTGTAAAATCCAAAAGTTTTGGCCTTGTAATCAAGGCCTTCTCAATCTGGTGCTAACTTGTCTTCATTCTCCCAGGCCTGTCAGACTTCTCCCATTTTCCAAAGTGTGCCCTGCATGCTCATGTCTTTGTACATTCTTTCATCTGGGATTTTTTTTTTTTTTCCAGATACTACCCGATGGAATCAAGCCCAGCTCAAATACTCTCTCTCCCTGATGTCCCCGGTTCTTATCAATTGTTCCTTCCATTATAGTCCAACAACCGCAAATAATTTGCATCTCTGCTCAGGAAGCACTCATCTATCTCTCGCTGTACTTATTTTTTCTCTCCTGCATTCCTCCACTATGGCAGTGACTTTCAAACTTTTAGCAATAGCATAGCTCACAACAATAATTAGCAATAAATATAAATACATTTTACATTATGACCCAATAGACACATTCATATAAACTATATATGTCATCAATTTTAAGTATTTCCTCCATTTTAATGCCTGAAATCAGGATTTAGCCCAGGTGCGGTGGCTCATCCCTGTAATCCCAGCACTTTGGGAGGCCTGAGGCAGGAGGATCACTTGAGCTTAGGAGTTGGAGACCAGCCTGGGCAACATAGTGAGACCTCATCTTTACAAAAAATAATTAGCCAGGTGTGGTGGTGCATGCCTGTAGTCCTAGCTACTCAGGGATCTGAGGCAAGAAGATTGCTTGAGCCCGAGAGATTGAGGCTACAGTGAGCCATGATCCCACCACTGCACTCCAGCCTGGGCAACAAAGTGAGATTTTCTAAAAAAAAAAAAAAAAGGATGTAGCAATGAGGTATTTTGATAGAGTTTTCACTTTCTTAATAGTACATAAAATAATGGCATGTTTCATAATGAATGACATTTTTAGATCTGTTGAAATATGTTACATAACCAAGACAAAAGTTGCAGAAAACAATGTTTGCCCTTTCTTCTGGGCAATGCTCTCTTATTTAGTTTTTTGCTCTATTAAGACAAAATGCAAATTGTAATCCACTAAAATGATTTCACTACTCACTAATGGATCATAATCTGCAGTTTGAAAAAATGCTGAGAATTGAAACTTTTTTTGTTTTGTTGAGATGGAGTTTCACTCTTGTTGCCCAGGCTGGAGTGCAATGGTGTGATCTCGGCTCACTGCAACCTCCGCCTCCCGGGTTCAAGCAATTCTCCTGCCTCAGCCTCCTGAGTAGCTGGGATTACAGGCATGCACCACCAGGCCCGGCTAATTTTTGTATTTTTAGTAGAGATGGGGTTTCACCATGTTGGTCAGGCTGGTCTCAAACTCCTAACCTCATGTGATCTACCCGCCTCAGCTTCCCAAAGTGCTGGGATTACAGGTATGAGCCACCGCACCCAGCCTACACCTGACTAATTTTTGTATTTTTAGTAGAGACGGGGTTTCACCATGTTGGTCAGGCTGGTCCTGAACTACTGACCTCAGGTGATCCACCTGCCTCGGCCTCCCAGAGTACTGGGATTACAGGCCTGAGCCACCGCATCTGGCCAAGCACTGAAATTTTTATAGCCACAGAATGGGATTTTTTTTTTTTTTTTGAGAGGGAGTCTCGCTCTGTCACCCAGACTGGAGTGCAGTGGCATGATCTCGGCTCACTGCAGCCTCCGCCTCCCGGGTTCAAGCAATTCTCCTGCCTCAACCTCCTAAGTAGCTGGGTGGCGCACGCCACCACGCCCGGCTAATTTTTTTTGTATTTTTTAGTAGAGATGGGGTTTTACCCTGTTGGTCAGGTGATCCGCCCACCTTAGCCTCCCAAAGTGCTGGGATTACAGGCGTGAGTCCGCGCCCAGCCCAGAATGGCATTAAGAACTGAAACCGGGCTGGGCGTGGTGGCTCACACCTGTAATCCCAGCACTTTGGGAGGCTGAGGTGGGCAGATCACTTGAGGTCAGGAGTTCAAGACCAGCCTGGCCAACATGGTGAAACCCCCTCTCTACTAAAAATGCAAAAATTAGTTGGGCGTGGTGGCGCGCCCTGTAATCCCAGCTACTGGAAGGCTGAGACAGGAGAATACCTTGAACCTGGGAGGCAGAGCTTGCAGTGAGCTGAGATCCTGCCACTGCACTCCAGCCTGGGCCACAGAGCCAAACTCCATCGCGCGCGCGCGCGCGCGCACACACACACACACACACACACACACACACACACACAAACTAAAACTGGCCGGGCATGGTGGCTCACTCCTGTAATCCCAGCACTTTGGGAGGCCAAGGCGGGTGGTCAGGAGTTTGAGACCAGCCTGCCCAACATGGTGAAACCCCGTCTCTACTAAAAATACTAAAATTAGCTGGGCATGTGGTGCACACCTGTAATCCCAGCTACTCAGGAGGCTGACACAGGAGAATTGCTTGAACCCGGGAGGCGGAGGTTGCAGTGAGCCTAGATCGTGCCACTACACTCCAGCCTGGATGACAAGAGCAAAACTCCATCTCAAAAAAAGAAAAAAAAAACACCAAAAAAACTAAAACCAACTACATTGACATGACTTTACAATTCAACTATCTGCAATAAATATAACTTGAATTCCAAGAAACTCTTGCCTAAAAAGGTGGAGTTGCAAATAACTTGATTGTGGTTTCAGGAACTTCCTAAAATCCATTTATCTCATTAAGTTACTCACAGAATTTGCCTTCATCAGGGTAAACAGCCCTCTGTTCTACTGAGTTTAACAACTATTTATCCCTTTAGGCTCTCTTCAAAACTCTCCCCCTCCTCTGCCCACCCACCTTAAACTATTATAACACAAATTTGTCCCAAACCCAATCAGGACCCCTCACTGAAAAACCAGTCTTAAACCAGATCCCTGGGCCAGGTGTGGTGGCTCATGCCTGTAATCCCAGCACTTTCGGAGGGCAAGGCTGGTGGATCACCAGGTCAGGAGATCGAGACCATCCTGGTCAACATGGTAAAACCTCGTCTCTACTAAAAATACAAAAATCAGCTGGGTGTGCTGGCGCGCACCTGTAGTCCCAGCTACTCGGGAGGCTGAGGCGGGGGAATCGCTTGAGCAGAGGTTGCAGTGAGCAGAGGTTGCAGTGAGCCAAGATTGCACCACTCTGCACTCCAGCCTGGCGACAGACCGAGGCTCTGTCTCAAAAACAAACAAACAAACAAACAAACAAAAACCAGATCCCCCAAATCTTGTAATTATTCCATCCTTGACCTCCCCTTTGTCTCACGTGTCCGTGTGAAGAGACCACCAAACAGGCTTTGTGTGAAAAACAAGGCTGTTTATTTCACCTGGGTGCAGGCGGGCTGAGTCTGAAAAAGGAGTCAGCAAAGGGTGGTGGATTATCATTAGTTCTTACAGGTTTTGGGATAGGCAGTGGAGTTAAGAGCAATGGTTTGGGGGCAGGGGGTGGATCTCACAAAGTACATTCTCAAGGGTGGGGAGAGTTACAAGGAATCTTCTTAAGGATGGGGGAGATTATAAAGAACCTTCTTAAGGGTGGGGGAGATTACAAAGTACACTGATCAGTTAGGTTGGGGCAGAAATAAATCACAATGATGGAATGTCATCAGTTAAGGCTATTTTCATTTTTTTTGTGGATCTTCAGTTGCTTCAGGTCATCTGGATGTATATGTGCAGGTCACTGGGGATACGATGGCTTAGCTTGGGCTCAGAGGCCTGACACCCTTTTGAAATGCTACAAAGATTCTGTCAATTTAGTGGTCTCCCTTACTATTGTAAGCCAACTTTGCATTATCCACAGGAAGTCAGCAGTGACACTGGATTAAATGCTCCTTGAGGGAAGGCACAGTGCTTGGTATTTATTCTCCCACCTTCTCTGGGTGATCAGACATTGATGGAAAAGGAAGGTAAACGAGTTCTCAAAGAGTGAGAGGAAAAATGTCCTGAGGATCAGAGGAGAGCCTAGAGCAGAGGCAGTGGGGCTGAAGGTACGAGCTCTCGTTGCAGAAGCTGGAAATTCTGCGGTTGGAACAAGTCTCCCCTTTCTCTTGGTTTTTTTCACTCATTACCTCTTCTTCACACCTGGTACTCAGCTGACGTTGTTTTAAATATTAAAAAATATAAAGCATTCAAGCTCACCCCAACCACTTAACTTCATTACTCTGTGATTTTTTTTTTTGAGACAGAGTTTCGCCCTTTCGCCCAGGCTGGAGTGTCCTGGCGCGATCTCGGCTCACTGCAACCCCCCGCGGGGTTCAAGCTATTCTCCTGCCTCAGCCTCCCGAGTAGCTGGGATTACAGGTGTGAGCCACCACACCCGGCTACTTTTTGTATTTTTAGTGGAGACGGGGCTTTCACCATGTTGGCCATGCTGGTCTCGAACTCCTGGCCTCAGGTGATCTGCCCGTCTCGGCCTCCCAAAGTGCTAGGATTACAGGCGTGAACCACCACGCCTGGCCCTTTGTGATCTTTTTGAAGTGGTCTTTGCCTCTTTCTTGAAGATGCCCATAATAATGACTAGAAGGGCTATTCTATGTCTGGTTCTCAGCAAGATGGTGATGAAGTCATTGAAAAAATATGCTGACCTGCGTCTCTAATTTCATAAATACTTAAATTTCACATAAACACTGAAAAGGCTCCTTGGACTCAATAAGCCATGATAAGTAATGTAAGTTTGCTTTTAGCCAAGTGGGCCCAAGAAGGCACCCATCCACCTTTCTACGTTTCATAGTGCATCCCTTCCCAAATTCAAATTGTCCTATCCCAGTTCCTGCAACAAGCCAGGTACTCTGGCCTCCCAGTCTTTGCTCACAGAAACACCCTCCCCACCTCCTGGTTATATCCGCTCCTCCGGGATCCAGCTGAAAGGCCACCTTGGCGACCACTCCTGAAAGCCTTCCTCCATACTCTGGCAGAATGAATGACCTTAGTATTGGCCTCTAACGCGTCTGTCTTGTGCTCGGGCTGTCGCCTTCCAGCCAATCCATCTTAAGGTCCACCCTTCCTGGAGACTGAGGCCTCTTCCTCTCGGATTGCCCAGTGCCTTGCACGTAGTAGGTGCTTAGTAAACGCTGGCACTGGGTTTGGTCACTTTGTTCCCTTAATGCCAGGGCAGGTAGTAGAGCAAACGGCCCCAGCTGTCTTCCTCCCTGCCCGCCCGCAGGCAAAGCCCCCAGGAGACGCCGGACGAGCCGCGTGCCTTTCCCACCGCCTCCGCGGCGCGCGCAGCCCAGTCACGGGCGCTGGAAATTCCGGCGCGTGCGGGTGCGCTGGGCAGGGCGGGGGCGGGAGAACCCGTGGAGTGAGCCTGTGACGTGAGGGGGCGTGGCACCGCGAAGCCCCGCCCCCTCTTCCTCGCCCTCTCTCGCGGGTCGGGGTTACATGGCGGCGACTGCGGCAAAGCGAGAGCCTCGGAGACGCCGCTGCCGCCAGCACAGCCGGAGACCTGAGCCGACACTGGGGGCAGTCCGCGAGCCCCGCACTCTCTCGATGAGTCGGAGAAGTCCCGTGAGTGTGTGTGTGTACGTGTGCGGGGTGCGCCGGCGGGGCGGCTCGGGAGGGCGCCGCGGCGGGCCCGGCGGCGGCGGCGGCGGCGGCGACGGCGGAGCCGGCTCCCTCCTCCATTGTGTGTGACCCTCCGGCGGCTGCCGCTCAACAAAGGCGTTTTTGTTCGGTCTGCCGCCCGCCCCCTGCTCGCCCGCCTGCCCGCCCGCTCGGGCCTGGCCGGCGCGTCCCCGCGCGGGCGGGCGGGCGGCGGGCTGGGGTCCCCGCGTGGGGCCGGCCAGGCGGCCAGCGCGCCCCTCCCACCCGGCACGCCCCTCGCCGGTCGCCCTGCCAGGCCGCGCCCGCTCCCTGGCCCCGCACGCCTGCTGCCGTCCCGCCGCCTGCGCCTGGCTCCGCGGGTTCGAAACCCAGCCGGACCGGACCGGAGGGCGGGCGAGCGAGGGGCGGCGGCCCGGGGAACATGAGGTGGCGTGGAGTCTCGCCTTACTGGCACGCTGCCTTTCGAAATGCTCCCGCGTCTCCTCCCCCATCCCACCCGGTGACTCGGCCTCAGCTGACTCCGGCCGGGCAAAGTCTCCAGTGGCGTAGCGCGCAGCGCTCACCCGGCTCGTCTCAGAGCCCTGAAGTCCGCCCAAGTTTTGAGTCTTGCCATGAATGAGGTACTGAAAACTCGGAGACGAAATTCCTAATTTCCTCCCTCGGCCCTACAGTCTTTCCTTAGCTTCTTTCGGGACCTTAAGTGGTGGTCTGTAAAAGTGCCCAAATGAAAGCTTGTTTTGTCGGTTCACCAAAAAGGGCCTTGTCACTTTGCTGTGCATTTTAGTCCGCCTTGTGAGTTGTGTCGAAAAGTAAAGGTGTTTTGGCATCCTTTTGTTTCTTGGCGAGTGTAGGACCCAACCGGTTTAGGTGTTAGGGGGATCTCTGTGCAGCGGGAGCTTCTTGATTCCTTTCCTGTTTTATTTTTTCTTTTGCTTGTTCATTGGAAAAGGTCCAGTGAAAGGGACTGGTGAGTTGGAATTAGAAGCCTACTTGTATTAACGGCAGAATTCGTGTTCATTGCTAAAGATGCAGTCTCAGTAATGACTTTTTTTTTTTTAACGGATACAGATGATTTGTCAAGGGGAAAAATTAACACGCCATACAATGAAGAGCAAGCAGCTTCAGAGTAATTTTCTGATGGCTGATTCTTCTAGCCTGTCTCTTACAGTTCCAATTGCACATGTCCTCCCTCTTTAACGCTGGAAAACTGAGATGGAAAGAATGATCTGACCAGAAGAATGTAGGGTCCAAACAGGGCCTGGCCCTGAAATCAGGAATTTCTTCATAGAAATATCAGATTTTAATGTTTAAAAAATAATTTTGAATTGGGTGAAAGGAACTTTGTCTTTAGATAGTAGTTGTTCAAACATGTTTATGAAGTGTTTGCTATGTGCCAGGGATTGTAAAGTCATTTCACATATGTTACATCATTTATTAAGAATTGCCTTAAGCTTGTAAAATTATTCATTGATGTCCTGAATTCAGTAATTGCAGTTAATCTAGAAAATATGCCAGATTTGAGCAGAACATATTTGATCACCTAGGTATTACTGTTGAGAAGAAAACACTGGAAAATGGAGACTATTTTAGAAAAAACTTCGTATATGAGGATATTCTGGAATTCATTTATTTGCAAAAGAGGATTAGAAGTAGTCGTTGGCTACTTTCTGTTATTAAAAAATCCAGAGAAGAGTGATTTGAAGTCAGTTAATTTTGTAATAAAAAAATGCACACATTCTAAAGACTAATGTTAGCACTAAAAGTGTTGCAGTGCTTTACATAAATTCATTTAAAGCATCGTGAGAATCATAACTGACAAAATAGTAAGGTTTGCTGACTCAGGGTACTTTGCTGAAGGGGATGGGGGTCGGGTAGGAGGAAGCTTACAAGTGCTGCTGCAAGTTTTGAGTTGGATGATGACTCATGCTGCCCACGGACTGCTACGTGGCTTTTTTTTTTTTTTTTTTTAAATACACTGTATTTTTTTCTAAATGATAGGCTAAAATGTTCCTGTCCACATTGAAATTCTCTCTCATTTTTTCTGAAGAGGAACAGCAGTTTCTCTAAAAAAGTAATGGCTTCTTAAATTGCATTTTAAAAGGATATCATATACCCTACAGGTGGAATTGTGTAACATTTGCTGAGAGGAAAGGTAAAACCAATTTCTGGTCAGGTGCTGAAATTAAATGTTTGATACTAGCAGTTTTTTGGCTACTGCTGAGAGAGATTTGTTACAGGTTGTTTATAAAGGACAGATAGTACTTTTATGGTGTCGGTAGAAATTGACCTTATGTTTTTATTGGTTATGTGAAAGTTATCTTTATATTTAATATTTAATCAGATATGGCTCTGAATATGAAAGTTTCACTCAGAATTATTAAAACATAATTATATATTGTGCTTTGTGATTTATGTGAATTTTCTGTTTTAATAAAGACAATTTGAAATAGGTATTAGTCACTATTTTTCATGGTTTTTTTTTAAAGATAAGCTGAATGTACAGTTCTAAGTTGAAACTTGGTAATAAGATAAATCTTTTGACTGATTTTAAAACAGCCAACGTTTAGCAAGGTGGCTTAAAATAAGATTGAGAGGGGGAAAAAGATTGAGAATGGCAGTTTAAGAGTGGGGCTGGGTGCGTTGGCTCACACCTGTAATCCCGGCACTTTGGGAGCCTGAGGTGGAAGGATCGCTTGAGGCCAGGAGTTCAAGACCAGTCTGGGCAACATAACGAGACCCTGTCTCAATTTTTAAAATAAAAGAAAAAAAATTTCCCACCCCATCCTCTGGTTTTTCTGTGTATACTGTTTATTTTTCCAAAGGGATTTGAGGAGTTTGTGGACAGTAAAGTGTTTGTTGTTTTTGTGAGACAGGGTCTTGCTCTGTCACCCTGGCTGGAGTGTAGTGGTGCGATCACTGTTCACTGCAACCTCTACTTCCCGGGCTCAGGTGATCTTCCTGCCTCAGCCTCCGGAGGAGCTGGGACTACAGCTGTGTGCGACCATGCCTGGCTAGTTTTTCGTATTTTTTGTAGAGATGAATGTTCACAGTGTTGCCCAGGCTGTTCTTGAACTCCTGGGCTCAAGCAATCTGCCTGCCTCAGCCTTCCAGAGTGTTGGGATTACAGGTGTGAGCCCCTGCTCCCAGCCCATAAAATGTATTGTTAATGTGAATTAAATTTTTGGAACTATTTTGGAAGAGTATTGCATGATTTATACCTAGAGGTTTTTTTTTTACAAAGTTTAATTCAAACTTAAAAAAAATTTCCTACTAGAGGAAACATAAAAATACAAATATAAAAGTATTGAAAATTTTCAGAGCATCACATTACTTAGAGGTTTAACGTATTTTCGGCATTGTTTTCAAATATAGGTAATTAGCTGTAGTGCATAATTCAGAGTTTAAAAACAAACTGAGGCCGGGGGCAGTGGCTAACGCTTGTAATCCCAGCACTTTGGGAGGCTGAGGAGGCAGATCACGAGGTCAGGAAATCGAGACCATCCTGGCCAACATGGTGAAACCCCGTCTCTAATAAAATACAAAAATTAGCTGGGTGTGGTGGCACGTGCCTGTAATCCCAGCTACTCAGGAGGCTGAGGCAGGAGAATCGCTTGAACCCGGGAGGCAGAGGTTGCAGTGAGCCGAGATTGTGCCAGTGCACTCCAGCCTGGGTGACAGAGCGAGACTCCGTCTCAAAAAAAAAAAAAAAAAAAAAACCGAAAAACAAACAAAATAACTGGATATCTTAGCCTGCTTCCTGTCTCCAAGGTACTGC
Source organism: Homo sapiens (assembly GCF_000001405.40). NCBI lineage: Eukaryota > Metazoa > Chordata > Mammalia > Primates > Hominidae > Homo > Homo sapiens. Next base: position 52,023,188 of record NC_000015.10, read on the forward strand.
TTTATGAAATGCTGAGCCTTCTTACCACTGCTATCCAGTTCTTTGTTACATTTGAACCTTGTGTTACTCTAGGTCCCCTGTTAAAATGGAAAGAAGATGCCTCAGAAGTAAATTCTGTGTGGCATTGTTGGCTGCCTTCATTAGTTCCTTCAGCCTGTTTTGTGGGCTGTTGAACATTACACTACAACCTGCCAGTGGTGTGGGAATTTTGCTCATTTTTATTGCTGAGAGCCTTGACTGAGACTTCACAAAAACAACTCCAATGTTACTGTAGTTAATGGCATTTTCCAGGGGTTGCTTTCATGTGAAGCTGATGCTTTTAAGGTGACAGTGATTTGGGCCTAGTCCAGCATTGATTGGTTTTTTCACCTCCATGAACTGCGTATTTGGAAAATAATGTGTGTCTCTCTAAGAGTTTTTTTGTTTGTTTGTTTTTTGTTTTTGAGACGCTGTCTCCCTCTGTTGCCAGGCTGGAGCGCAGTCGCGCCATCTCGGCTCACTGCAACCTCCACCTCCTAGGTTCAAGCGATTCTTCAGCTTCAGCCTCCCGAGTAGCTGGGACTACAGGTGCGCACCACCATGACCAGCTAATTTTTGTATTTTTTTTAGTACAGACAGGGTTTCATTATGTTGGCCAGGATGGTCTCATCTCCTGACCTTGTGATCCGCCTGCCTGGGCCTCCCAAAGTGCTGGGATTACGGGCATGAGCCACCGCGCCCAGCCAATAGAGTTCTAAAAGTTTTGTCTTTTATACATGTCAGTCTTCTAAGTCCATTTCTAAAAAATTGTTCAGAGATTGAATGTTTGTATAGCAAATACAATTTCCCATTGATTTTCGTTAAATTTGGTATTTTTTTCACAGAAAAAAATGGTATCATAAAACTTGTTTTTTAGAATCCTAGCATTTACCTCAGAAAAGTCTGCCTCTGCAGAAAGTGCAAATCTGTATGCATTTAATTCTGTACAATCATAAAACTTTAAAATATTAGTGTTTTGGAGGGGTCATGGGCATTATCTTGCTTCATTCATGTACATCGTTTGACAGCTAAGGAAACCAAGGCCTGAAGAGATCTAAGATCTTGGTACTGAAAGTGTGATTTCTGGACCAACAGTATTAGCATCACCTGGGAACTTGATAGACGTTAGAATCTTGACTTCATCTCAGTCCTACGGTCCTACTGAATTAGAATCTTAGAATCTACTTTTTCTTTTTCTTTTTTTTTTTTTTTGGAGACGGAGTCTCACTCTGTCACCCAGGCTAGAGTGCAGTGGCACGATCTTGGCTCACTGCAAGCTCCGCCTCCTGGGTTCACGCCATTCTCTTGCCTCAGCCTCCTGAGTAGCTGGGACTACAGCTGCTGCCACCGCGCCTGGCTAATTTTTTGTGTTTTTAGTAGAGACGGGGTTTCACCGTGTTAGCCAGGATGGTCTCGATTTCCTGACCTTGTGATCCGCCCGCCTCGGATCCGCCCGCCCGCCCAGCACTCCCAAAGTGCTGGGATTACAGGTATGAGCCACCGCGCCCGGCCTTCTTTTTTTGTAAATAAGAGGCACAATCTTGCCCTGTTGCCCAGTTTGGATTGGAGTGTAGTGGTGTGATCATAACGCACTGCCACCTGGAACTCCTGGACTCAAGTAATCCTCTCACCTCAGTAGCTGGGACTACAGGCATGTGCCATCATACACTGCCTTTTTTTTTTTTTTTTTTTTTTTTAAGAATTGGAGTCTCACTGTGTTGCCCATGCTCGTCTCAAACTCCTGGCCTCCTAACGTGCTGGGAAGAACCTGCATTTTAACAAGATTTTCAAGTCATTCAGTGCGCATTCAGTTTGAGAAGCACTGCTAAACGATGCATACACCTGGGCAACATAGTGAGACCCTGTCTCTACAAAATAAAATAAAATTAGCCTGTTGTAGTGGTGCACACCTTTAGTCCCAGCTACTTATGAGGCTGAGATGAGAGGATTGCTTGAGCCCAGGAGGTTGAGGCTGCAGTGAGCCGTGATCGCACCGCAGCGTTCCAGCCTGGGCAACAGCAAGAGACCCTGTCTCAAAAAATACGTAAATAAATAAAAATTAAAATGATGCATACATGGTTGCTCAGCTCGTTAGTCTTCTGAGTTGCTCTTTCCACTGGCCCTTCTGAAAAAAGTCAAATGGAAAATTTGGAAGCTAATCACTGCCCAGTTGAACTTTCTATGATGATAGAAGTGTTCTGTGCTATCCAGTGAGGTAGCCATTGGCCATGTGTGACTGTTGAATACTTGACGAGCAAGTAGTGCACTTGAGGAATTGAATTTTTTATTTAATTTTAATTCCTTTAAATAGTTGGGGCTGGGCGCCGTGGCTCACGCCTGTAATGCCAGCACTTTGGGAGGCTGAGGCGGGCGGATCACGAGGTCAGGAGATCGAGACCATCCTAGCTAACATGGTGAAACCCTGTCTCTACTAAAAATACAAAAAATTAGCCGGGTGGCGGGCGCCTGTAGTCCCAGCTGCTTGGGAGGCTGAGGCAGGAGAATGGCATGAACCCAGGAGGCGGAGCTTGCAGTGAGCGCCACTGCACTCCAGTCTGGGTGACAGAGCAAGACTACGTCTCAAAAAAAAATAAAAATAGTTGGATGTAGCTGGTGGTTACATGGACAGCACAGATCTAGATGATCTTTGCCCACTCTAAAATCTAAGCTGTAATTTAATAACTGGTTAGACTCAGTTTAATAATTGTCCTTTCTTAATGTACAAATTGGAGAGAGAGTATGTTGACTTAGTTTTTCTAATATGCCCAGATATTATTTCAGTATGTATTATAAAACAGTGCTGATTTTCTAATTGATACATCTGTGTTCAATAAAGTAGATAATCTAAGTTGTAAGCAAGTCAGTTTCTTTCCATCTTAACAGGTATTTTCACTTGAATTTTTAAAAAGTAGCTATTAAGTTTTCCTTAGTTATCCTGTGGAAAGCATTGGCAGGATAGTTTTTGCCTCTGGCCTAGTCCCTCTAGGCTTGTTGGCACTTGTTGATTACTTCCAGATTGATCTGCTGTTTATGTTAATTCCAGGTACCGAAACAGTGGTTCTTAACCTCCTACCTTTTTTTGTTTTGTTGTTGTCGTTGTTTTGAGACGGAGTTTTGCTCTTATTGTTCAGGTTGGAGTGCAATGGTGTGATCTTCGCTCACTGCAGCCTCCGCCTCCTGGGTTCAAGTGATTCTCCTGCTGCAGCCTCCCAAGTAGCTGGGATTACAGGCATGCACCACCACGCCCAGCTAATTTTATGTTTTTAGTAGAGATGGGGTTTCAACCATGTTGGCCAGGCTGGTCTTGAACTCCTGACCTCAAGTGATCCACCCGTCTCGGCCTCCCAAAGTGCAGGGATTACAGGCGTGAGCCACCGTGCCTGGCCTTAACCTCCCACCTTATGCAGTGGGAAGATTCTAACCCTATAGTCACAGGCCTATGTCCAAATCTTGGCATTTACTGTGTGTGTAAAGAGCATCAGTGCTCTTGTTTGTAAAATGACATTTACAAGACTGTAGTTTGAGATGAGAGAAATAATTTGTCATTTAGAAAATGCCTGTCATGGCTGGGCGCGATGGCTCATGCCTGTAATCTCAGCACTTTGGGAGGCCGAGGCAGGCGGATCACAAAGTCAGGAGTTCTAGACTAGCCTGGCCAACATGATGAAA